>NC_000016.10:77005682-77630682 GCF_000001405.40 Homo sapiens | reverse complement strand
TCAGTAATCAACCCCCCCCAGAAACCATGTTTGATGATTTTACTAATTCAAGCAGCCCCTTACTCACCTAAAAAATTTTAATGGCATTTGGAAAATACTCAGAATTCCAAATAACAATACAAACACTACATGTTAAAAACTTGAATCGGCTAAAACAGCGTGTTGACTGAAACTGATCTTATTAATAGATTCAAAATTAATAACCGAAGGATATGAGATTATTCACTTGCATGAGCCATCCGGTACTTCAGCTTCCCTGTCTTTGACCTCCTTGTCTCCAGTGATGTAATTTCTTCACCTACATCTGCTATCTTCACCCACTGTTGTATCTTAGCTCTTGTGATTTCCAAAATCTGTTTATTAAATCTTTCAAGTTTCTTGGTACCTCAGGGCCTTTTCACTTAGCCCTTTATCTGGAATACTCTTCCTCACTTGATTAAGGATTTTTCCCAAATGCATCTTTCTCAAAAATGCTTTTGCCGATCCTTTTATCTAAGTTCATCTCTGACCATCATTGTCTATCCTCTGACTGTGGAACTTATACACAGTATAATAAAAACTGGTGTAGTTAATTCATTTGTTTATTTTATCAGAAAATATTTGTAAGCACTTGTCACCTGCCATACTGAGTTCTGGATGATGAAGCTACCACTGTGAATATAGCAGACAACAACCATTGACTCACAGAGCCTGTGGTCCAGTTAGGATCACAAACTGAAACAGACATAAATGTGTGTTTGCATACATTATATATTAGTGCTTATATTAATGTATATATGCACGTATTAGTGTATATTAATGTGTGTATATATGTATATTAGTGCTACGTACATGTGAGTTCTGTGAGTCAATGGTTGTTGTTTGCCATGTTGACAGTGGTAGCATCATCATCCAGATCTGAGCCTGGCAGGTGGTAAGTGCTTACAAATATTTTCTGATAAAATAAATGAATGAATTAACTACAGCAGTCCTAACAACACTAAATATCTTATTTGAAGGGGAAATGCACTGTTAATAATCTCTGTCCTATAATTGAATGTCTCATTTGGAATGTCCTGTAAAAGTCAATCTTTTAAGTGCCACATGCGGTTATAAAATATATTTCTAGGACTTTATAACTTTATAAAACCATAACTGAACATGTAATTTTGAAGGAAATTTTACTGTGAAAGGACAATATTTTTATGTGAGTTGACATGTTATTTTCAACTTTTTCCCAAATGTATCCTTGAAAAAAACAGGCAGTAAGAAAGTACTTTTGGTGGAGCTGATTGGCAATTAATCATATTTGGCATTATTAAAAATAACAGCTTACTTTACCCAAGAAAACATATGTTTTCTATTATATAAACAATTTTATTATTTGACATTGTATGAACTTTTAGAAATTGGATTTGTAGCTTATGGTTCTTGAATGGCACCTCTTAAATTTTGAAATTGTTGAAAAATATTTCGTAGCTTAAAAATACCATGTATTGTGAAAACTAGACAGGAAAAAAAAATACTGTCTTTTCTGGCACCAAACGCTCTTTCAATCAGTTACTTGAATTTTTTCCTGTCATAGAAGAGACATATAAGCAGTAAAAAAATTAAATGTTTGCCTGGAAAGTGAGGGTTGGTAACATTTAACTAATCCTGCTCCAGTCTTGCTTTTTCGATGATAGTCCTGGGACCAATACACTCACTGTGGTTCAATATGTCTTATTCCAACAGGTTGGCTTGGGTCCCTGTCTGGTCATGCTGGGGAAGTCAAAAGTCAGGGATCAGCACAGGATTGCATGAACACCAGTGAATTGTTCCCCTATACATTTCTCCATTTCTTCTTCCTCCACTTCCCTATTGTATTCAGACCTGCTCTTTGGTCCTTTTTAGACGCCTCATGTTAAAAAAATCTCGCCATACCAATATAGTTTATTTTTTATCTGCTTATATGTTTATAATTTGCCAAAATTGAATGGACCTTGATGAGACCAAAAGCAGTTTTGTTTCTTCTCTTGACAGCTTCCGCAAATATTTTACAAGGATTGCATAAAGACTTTCCCTTAAATGATGTATCAGTTAGAATAGACCAGGTCGTGCTGCAGGAACAAACAACCGCCACATCCTGATGGAACCAAAGAGCAAAGGTTTATTTCTTGCTCACTCCACATGCCTATAATGGGTAGGTTGGGGGTTCTGTCTCACATTATTCTGAGTCCAGAGCATTCATTCACCTACCATGAAGAATGATGAAGGTCACTGTGGCAGAAGGAAAGAGAGTATGTTGAATCACATACTGTATCCTAAAGCTTGGCATATACCTTCAACTCCAACACTGTGGCCAAATCAAGTCACCTAGTCATACTTGCCTTAAGGTGGCTGGGCAAATGTCAATTCAGTGTCATTCTACTATGCTTGGAGGAAGAGAGAATTGAACAACTCTAATGATTCCACAATATACTACATTTAATTGGTTGGGAGGTGCCTTCTAGGGCATCTTCTTGGGAGGTGTTGGGTCTGTCCTCAACTAATCAAAGAAGACTGTGATAGCTCAGTGTTATTTGTAGTGGTAGAGACAAGACAGTTGAACTGTAGGGGCCAGGTTGTTTCTTTGCCAGAGTGGCCAGCAGTTCACAACTTCGCTACTTTAAACAGTCTCAACCAGGCGTAGTGGCTATGCCTGTAATCCCAGCACTTTGGGAGGCTGAGACGGGTGGATCACTTGAGGTCAGGAGTTCAAGACCAGCCTGGCCAGCATGGTGAAACCCCGTCTTCTACAAAAAGTACAAAAATTAGTCGGCATGGTGGCGGGTGCCTGTAATCCCACCTACTTGGGAGGCTGAGGCACGAGAATCATTTGAACCCGGGGGGCGGAAATTGCGGCGAGCTGGGAGCACACCACTGCACTCCAACCTGGGTTACAGAGTGAGACTCTGTCTCAAAAAAAAACAAACAAATGAAAACCCCCAAAAGCTCCATGGAGATCTCTAAAAATACAGTTGCTCAAGTACCATCTCTAGAGTTTTTTTCCCCAAAGTTCAACTTTGCTCTCTATCTCTAACTGTATCTGTAAGATAAGCTCCCCCAGGACAAAAGGAGAAGAATCTTGCAATAATTGTCTGGTTAAGCTAGTACAAGAGCGCTACTAAATCTGCTACAAATAGAAATTCTGATAACTAGTGAAGGGTTTTGTTTTATGGCAGAAAAAGAGAATCCATGGCTCGGATGAATCATCCCTCTTGGCCAGATATGGCATATAAGAGTTCATCTTATATAATAATACTGATTGGATGGGGTTGCTTAGAGCACTGTATGGAATGGGTGCTGAGGCTGCATTAGGGTTCAGTATCAAACATGTGCAGTGATTAACACTGTCTGCCATGGGTGCAAGAGGGGTGTATTAGACTTTTCTAATGCTGCTCATAAAGACATAGCTGAGACTGGGTAATTTATAAAAGAGGTTTAATGGACTCACAGTTGCACATGGTTGGGGAGGTCTCACAATCATGGTGGAAGGCAAAGGGGAAGGAAGACATGTCTTACATGGCAGCAGGCAAGAGAGCTTGTGCAGGGGAACTCTCATTTATAAAACCATCAGATCTTGTGAAACTTACGACCATGAGAACAGTATGGGGGAAGCTGCTCTGGTGACTCAATTATCTCCACCTGGCCCTGCCCTTGACACGTGGGGATTATTGAAATTCATGGTGAGATTTGGGGTAATGGTGGAACACAAGCCACATGTTTGTCTGTCTTATTCTAGTCACTTCTACCCCACCTCTCCCTTTTAGGGCATTACATTCTAATCTAACAATCTGATTACTACTTTTTCTTCATAGATTCCTTGCTATTTGTGTAGGTGTGACTTGAGAGACAGGGCTCCATTGTTTCAGTTACTCATTTATTCCTCTAGAATAAATTAAACCTAAAACCAAAAGCTAGACATTTTAATTTATATCAACTTTTTAGGAATCTGATTAAATTGAGTCAGTCCCAGAGATCATGGTCAACTTACTAATAATGTAAACGACTTAATGTTAAAATCTGAACTTGAGTGTGATCTTCCCAGAAGACGCTCTCTGTTGGAAAACTGGTCAGCTTTCCCGTCTGACATCACTATACTCGTTCTTTCTGATTTCAATAATTATCAACTGGATGGCATCAGAGATGGAACCAATGTGGAATAACTCATGTGTCCAGAATAAAAGAAGAAACACATGAAAACTTCGAGGGAAAATAAAAGCCAATGTTAAGATAAGTGATACTCTGCTAATTCATCAAGAGTGAGCGGAGTATCTCTAAGGTGAATAAAGAATGGAAGCCTGGAGTATTCCAAAGAGCTGCTTGATTTTTTTTTTTTTCTTTTTTACCATCAGTGTATTATTTAGGGACTGAGAAAATACATGCCTTCTTGGCTCCAGTGTAGACGTTCAGGCTTCTTTCTCCACTTTTAAAGATAAGATGAGGCTGAGATCTTTTTTGTAATGTGATCATTGATCATTGAAAATAAGTACTAGACAGGTGTTGCAGTTACAGACACTCTTATATGCTGTTGAGAGATGGGATGCACGTCGAGAAATTAGAACATTTCAATATGCCTTCAGGACTATAAAAAAACTATTTCACCTTTTCATATTCTTCATGACTAGAAATAATTTTTATAATCCCATAAATCTTCAAGGCCAGAGTGTATACCAGTAACTTTGACATAAACATATTTCTAGGGTGTAATGATATTTATCTAATGGGACTGAGTCTCTGGCCAGCTGCCTGTGTGTACTAGACAGGGAAGCCTTTTCCAAATCCTTAGATTTAACCCATTTTTCTCCTAAATGGTGAACAGCATAATTTATAAAAGATAAGCAGTTCCACTCACAATTTATTATTGTTCTAGACAAGGTCTCAATCTGTTGCCCAAGCTAAAGTACGGCAGCATGATCGCAGTTCAGTGCAGTGGTGAACTCCTGGGTTCAAGTAATCTTCCTGCCCTGCCTCCTGAGCAGCTGAGATTACAGGTGCATGCCATCATGCCCAACTAATTTTTTTTTTTTTGAAATGGGGTCTTAATATGTTGCTCAGGCTGGTCTCAAACTCCTGGCTTTAACCTCCTGCCTTGGCCTTCCGAAGTGCTGAGATTACAGGCTGAAGCACCACCCCCAGCCTAAGGGAATGGCTTTTTACTCAAGTTCCAGCCCCATTTTCCCTGGCCTGTTATACAGGCCTCCTAGAGTTCTCAGTGTCCTGCTATATTTACCAAAAGGAAGTCATTATAGCTTCCAATGCCCTGGCTAGTTTTTTTTTTTTTTTTGCAGATATAGGTTGCAGGGGATAGGGGGTGGGGTCTTACTGTGTTGCCCAGGCTGGTCTTGAACTCCTGGCCTCAAGTGATCCTCCCACCTCGGCCTCCCAAAGTACTGGGATTATAGGTGTGAGCCATCACGCCCTGGTTCCACTGGTAATTTTAGTTCGTATCTTATGTAATATAGTTAAATAGGAAATCTTAAAGGCCATATGATCTATACAGATTTAGAATATTAGAGATCAATTGATTTATCATAGACATTCTCAACATGGATAATACTGCTAGCAAGGGGGTAAAAATTGGTTCTTGGGAGTGGCTAAAAAAAATAAATATTAACTATTACAATGGTTTGTGGCTCTCCGAAGGGCTATGGCACATAAAAAGATCTACAGCATATCTGTGGCATTAAAATTTCATGGAGAGGAGGAATGCTTAGCAAAAAATGTAAAAGAAAAACTCACTTGGAAGACAATAAGTTTGAGAGATACTGCTCTGTCTCTCCAGTTTTAGAGATAATCGTTTTAAAAATCAGTAACATTTGTTGTATGTCTCTCCTGTACCAGGTACTGCTTTTCAAGTATAGTAGTAAGATTGTCTCAATTCCCCTGACGACCCTGAAGGATAGGTGCTTTTGTGTAATTTTACATTTGGATGAGACAATGCAGCATAGAGGCAAAGAGAGACATAAAGAAGTCAAAGCATTTGGGCTGGTTGCGGTGGCTCATGCCTGTAATCTCAGCACTCTGGGAGGTTGAGGTGGGCAGATCACCTGAGGTCAGGAGCTCGAAACCAGCCTGGCCAACATGGTTGAAACCTCGTCTCTACTAAAAATACAAAAATAAGCCAGGCATGCTGGCCTGTAATCCCAGCTACTTGGAAGGCTGAGGCAGGAGTATCGCTTGAACCCAGGAGGCCGAGGTTGCCGTGAGCCGAGGTCGCGCCATTGCTCTCCAGACTGGGTGACAGTGAGATCCTGACAAAATAATAATACAGATGTCAAAGCATTTGACTAGTCTTTCAACTGGTAAGAAGCAGAGCTGAAATTTTAACCCACACTGTTTTCAGTTTCTTAACCACTTCCCGGCTTTGTACGGCAGCTGCCTGTGATACAGGTAAGAAGAAAGAAGCCCAGAGAAGGCTCTTTGCTTTCTTATCTCTACCACACGTTAATCCTGGATTTAAGACACCTGCTGTCCATCGCCTCACGACTTTAGCATTTTGTCTAATACAGTTTCTCTGCCACTAGGGCTCTTCCCTGTAGTGTCTTCATTTTGGTGATGAAACCATTGACAAAACTGTGAAATATAATGGGAGCTGACCCTACTTACAACTAACTGATCTTCAACAAGGCAGACAAAAATATACACTGGGGGAGGACACCCTATTTGATAAATGGTGCTGGGAAAATTGGTTGGCCACATGCAGAAGAATGAAACGATCTTTATCTCTCACCACATAGAAAAATTAATTCAACGTAGATTAAAGCTTAAATCTAAGAAACCATAAAAATTCTAGAATAAAACCTAGAAAACACTCTTCTGGACATTGGCCTAGGTAAAGAATGTATGGCAAAGCAAATGTAACAGAAGCAAAAATAGAGCTGGGTGCGGTGGCTCATGCCTGTAATCCCAGCACTTTGGGAGGCCGAGGCGGGCAGATCACAAGGTCAGGAATTTGCGACCATCCTGGTCAATATGGTGAAACCCCGTCTCTCCTAAAACTGTAAAAATTAGCCGGGCGTGGTGGCAGGTGCCCTGTAGTCCCAGGTACTTGGGAGGCTGAGGCAGGAGAATCGCTTGAACCTGGGAGGCGTAGGTTGCAGTGAGCCGAGATCACGCCACTGCACTCCAGCCTGGGCGACAGAGCGAGGCTCTGTCTCAGGGGGAAGAAAAAAAAAAGGCAAAAATAAATGAGAGCTAACTAAAAAGCTTCTGCACACGAAAAGAAATAGAGTAAACAGCCAACCTAAAGAATAAGAAAATATTTGCAGACTGTATCTCCAGTAAAGTGCTCATATCCAGAATCTACAGGAAACTCAAATCAGCAAGAAAAAAAAAATCCCATTAAAAAGGGGACAAGTGACATTTACAGACATTTCTCAAAAGAAGATACACAAATGGCCAATAAACATATTAAAAATGTTCAGCATCACTAATCAGGGAAACGCAAATTAAAACCGCAATATGATGCCAACTTTACCCCAGCCAGAATGGCCATTATTAAAAAGTAAAAAAAAAAAACAAAACCAAACAAACAGTAGATGTTGGTGTACATGTGGTAAAAAGGGAATCCTTATATATTGCTGGTGGGAATGTAAATTAATACAACCACCATAGAAAACAGTATAGAGATTTCACAAAGAACTAAAAGGAGATCTACCATTTGATCCAGCGATCATACTACTGGGAGTCTACTCAAAAGAAAATAAGTCATTATATAAAAAAAGACACCTGTGCATGCATGTTTATCACAGGCCAATTCACAATTGCAAAGATGTGGAATCAACCTAAGTGCCCATCAGCCAATGAGTGGATAAAGAAAATGTGGCATATACCATGGAATACTACTCAGCCATAGAAAAAGAATGAAATAATGTCTTGTGCAGCAACTTGGTTGGGAGGTCATTATCCTAAGTGAAGTAACTGAGGAATAGAAAACCAAATACCACATATTCTCACTTACAAGCGGGAGCTAAGCGGCATATAGAGGGGTATAATGAACATTGGAGACTGAGAAAGGGGAAGGTTGGGAGGGAAATAAAGGATGAAAAACCACCTATTGAGTACAATGTGCACTGTTCAGGTGACAGGTACACTAAAAGCCCAGCACCGGTATACAATTCGTCTGTGTAACCAAAAATGCCTTGTACCCCTAAAGGTAGTGAAATAATTAGAAATGAATCAATCATAAAAAATAAAGAGGGATGACTTTGCTTTGAAAGGAAATATACCCAGTGTCTTAAGTCCTGATTTGAGTTTCTGAGTATCTCTTTTGCTGTTATTGCCAACTTATGGGTTTTATTTCTTGGGGGAGTGACAGTATCTCCCTTTACCCCAATCTAGTTTTTTTAAATTTTATTTTTTACATCAACATTAAAATTGACTTTTTTTTGGTGTAAACTTCTGTGAGTTTTAACACATGTGTAGATGCATGTAACCATGACCACAATCAGGATCTGAAACAGTTCTTTGTTCCCCTTAAATTATCTAATGCTGCTGCTTTGTAGTAATATCTCCTCCTCCATCCTTAACCCCTGGAAACCACTGATCTGTCCTCCATTACTGTAGTTTTGCTTTGCTCCAGAATGTTATATAAAAGAATCCTACATTATGCAACCTTTTGGAAACTGTTTTTTTTTTCCAATCAGCATAATGCCTTTGAGATTCACTCAAGTTGTTACACTGTATCAATAGTTTGTTCTTTTTTGTTGCTGAATAGTATTCCACGGTATGAATCTATGGATCTCTTTATCCATTTAAGTATATTTAAGTTGTTTGAGGTTTTTGGCTATCACAGATAAAGCTTCTATAAACATTTGTGTACAGCTTTATTGAGGGAACTTCAAGTTTTCAGTTTGCAAAGATAAATACCTAGAAGTAGGATTGCTGGATCGTATGATAAATGTATGTTTAAATTTTTCAGAAACGACTGTGTTTAAGAACTTTTTGTGTAACCCCATGTAACAAAGTTTTTCTTCTTTTTTTTCTAAAAGTTTTAGAGTTTTATGTTTTGCAAAGGAGATCTCTGATCTATTTTGAGTTAATTTTTGCATAAGATGTGAAGTTTAGGTCAAGGTTTACTTTGTGCATATGGATGTCCGTTTGTTCCAATACTATTTGTTGGAAAAAATTTTTTCTCCAATGTGTTTTTTACCTTTGTCAAAAATCAGTTGGCCATATTTGTGTGGGTCTGTTTCTGGACTTTAGAAACAATTCCATTGTTCTATATGTCCAACTCTTTTCTGATTAGTGTCTGATTTCTGACATTGTCTTGATCATTAAAATTTTATAATGTCTTAAAATCAGAAAGTATGACTCCACCAACTTTATTCTTCACAATAGTTTTGATGGTTCTGTTCCCTTTGTTTTTGTTTATCATATACAATTTAAATTAAGTTTGTGCATAGCTACTAAATCTCTTTTTGATATTCTTGTTAGAAGTGCATTAAATCTACGTATCCATTTTGTGGAGGGGGATAGAACTGACATTTTAACAATACAAAAACTTCCAGTCTATGAATAGGGTACATTTCTCTATATAGGTGTTCTTTGATTATTTCATCAATATTTTGACATTTTCAGTATAGACATTCTGTACACTTACCCTTTTTATAATCATATAATGTTGCCTTTTATTTCTGGTAATTTTTTTCTGAAATCTTTTTCTGATTTTAATAGAGTCTCTTCAGGTATTTTTTGACTAGCATTTGCATGATATTTTTCTCATCCTTTTACCATAACCTAGAAATATCATTATATTTAAAGTGGGTAGATATCTTGTAGAGAATACATCCTTAGGTTTTATTTTTAAAAACTTTCTCTGACAATATCTGTTAAATAGTGTGATTAGACTGCATGTTTATGTGGTGGATTATTTTGGGCTTAGGTGTACCATTTTATCATTTTCAATTTGTTCTGTTTTTCATTTTTTTTGGTTTTACTCTTCTACTTATTTTTGGATTATTTGATTTTAATGCTGTAAATTATCTGTTGAGATTTTTTACTCTATTGCTTTATATAGTTTTTTTTTTATGTTTTAAGAGATGAGGTCTCAGTCAGTTGCCCAAGTTGGAGTATAGTAGCCATCATGGCTCATCACAGGCTTGAACTCCTGGGCTCCAGTGATCCTCCCACCTCAGCTTCTCAAACTACTAGGGTTACAGGTGTGAACCACCTCTCCTGGCCCATATCGTTGTTTTTTGTTTGTTTGTTTGTGTGTTTTTAAGTAGTTACTGCTCTAGGGATTATAATATACATACTTGTTACTTTCTACTCAATATTTTCAACTTTGAGTAGACTGGAGAAATCTAACTACAATATAGGTACTTTTACCTTTCCTCCTTTATGTTATAATTACTATATGTATTATATCTATATACATTGAAAATCCCATGAGTCAGTGTTAAAATGATTGCTTTAAACCATCATACATATTTGGCAAAATAATGAGAAGAATATGATGTTTACCCCAATATTTATCACTTCTTGTGCTCTTCCTTAATTCTTGATGTTCCTCGTCTCCTCCCCTGCCCCTTATTTCACCTTAATTTCTGAAGGACATTTTTATGAATAATAGAATTTAGGGTTGATGATTCTTTTGCAGAAATTTAAAAATGCTCTTGTTCCTTCTGGTAGCCTTAGTTTCTGTGGAGAAATCCACAGTGATTGGAATTGTTGTTCCCCTTTATGTTATGTGTCTTTTTCTTCTGGCTGCTTTCAAGATTTTTCCTTCATCTTTAGTTTTCAAATTGTATTATGAGAAATCTGGGGATTAATTTCTTTGAGGTTATTATGTTTAGTGTTTGCCGAGGACAGAACGGAAAGTGTGGTGGCCGTTTGCCTTCGATTGTGGCAACCATGCCCTCAGGTCAGAGGATTCACTTGCCCCAGTTTTAACACCTGCCTAGCCTCTGCTGCAATGAGGCAGGATTGCCTGGGGGCTGGGACAGAAACTTTTTTTTTTTTTTTTTTTTTTTAAATTGAGACTTCCTAAACTGTCTCTGATCTTTTGAGCCCCCTTTCCTGGTCTTTGGGCCTGAAAAGTCAAGTCGTCTTCTGAAGCCCTTTCTGGCTACACTAGTGTATACTTCTGGGTTTTGGGCTGAATATGAATCCAAGCTAAGTGATATTGAAGAGGAAAAAGTGGAAAACAACACCAGTTTGGTGGTTCTTCAAATTCTGCTTTTCCCAGTCTACCCACTATCATTATTTTTGGAGTCCTCAGATAACTGCTCCATGCTTTCTGTCTAGGGTTTTTATTTGCATTCAGTGAGAGAGACAGGGTGAAAGAAACTGACTCTGTCTTGCCCCAGATTGGTCCCAATCAGTTTAAATATTCATTCTTGGCTTATGATTCCCTGGCAGGCATACAGGGATCTGTACCCTTAATTACTTAAGTCCCTTACTTTTTTTTTTTTTTTTTTTTTTTGAGAGAGAGAGGTTTTCACTCCATCGCCCTGGCTGGAGTGCAGTGGTGTGATCTTGGCTCACTGCAACCTCCACCTCCCAGGCTCAAGTGATTCTTATACCTCAGCCTCCGGAATAGCTGTGATTATAGGCATGTGGGCACCACGCCTGGCTAATTTTTGGATTTTTAGTAGAGACAGCATTTCACTATCTTGGCCAGGCGGGTTTTGAACTCCTGACCTCAAGTGATCTGGCTGCCTGGGCCTCCCAAAGTGGTTCCTTACTGTTTGATATGATTCAGGTCTCTCAAGTTGTAGAAACGTCTACCTTCTTTCTGCTGTAGGTACCTGGAAGTTCTGGAAAGAATTTTAATGGAGAGAGAACTAAGATTTATTGAGTTAGTCCTTGGTGCAAATAACTTTATGCACACTGCCACATTTTATCCTCATAATAGTCCTTTTTCGTATGTATTATTTCCCCATTTAGCTAAACAAAGTCATATAGCTGGGTAAGTGGCACATCCAAACTCAGGTTTATTTTTTGAATTTTAAAACCTGGGTTCTCCTCATCATGCTGAGGATAGACTAATTTTGTTTTCAAATGTGGGTATTATTGGAAATTGCCCAATATATTTTTGAACCCATTGATATTTGAAAATGCAATAAACATTTTGGTTTTGTGTTCTTTGAAAAAGTGCTCACTTGCTTGGTCTGGCAGCACTCAGAGTCCAACTGTCCCTTGATTCTCTTTTAAGACCGTTTTTAGGTGTTGCAATTTCCATAATCACCACCTGATCCTCTAGTAGAATATTGACCTGAGAAGTTCAGACTTCCAGTTTATCAAGAAAGAAGACAGCAATATTTAATTTAGAATGTTTAGCTTGGACAGAACATTAGTCTCATAAATGCGAATTTGTGAGTAGTCACCGGGGTCTGCATGGATAAGTGGATTGACCTTCGGCAAGTCTGTGGCTTAGTAGCCAGGTGGGCTGCCCATGTTGTCAGGAAATCCCTGAAGTCATGCATTCCACGTGGTGGGAGAAGTAGACTCACTGTCCTTACTGCATGCTGAGATTGTCCTGGTGGCAGTTACATGTATTCTTTGGCAAATGGCCATTTCCGCAGCCCCAAACCAACAACAGTTCAATGGTTGAAGCCATGTCTTAGAAGGAGTGATTCTGCAATTCTTTGGCAGCCTCCCCAGAGTTAGTGATATGGAGGAGCTTTATGAAGATTGAGGGAAAAGATAGGGAGGTTAGCAGGTCAGACTGTAATTGTTAGCTTTAAAAAAATAAAACAGATGAGGCTGAACTTAAAGAGGTACCCTGAGGTCTGCAAACTACCTAAAATATATAGGATTATTTTTCTCTGCATTTTCTAGGAAGTAGGATACTTCTTTAAATTGGTCAAGGACCCAACAAAGTTAAGAGTCTCTGATCCATTATGTAAACACGTGCAGATCTACAAAGTCAGTGTCTGTGCTATGCACAGAGGGACTCATGAATAATAACAGATAATGTGTGAAATGGCCAGCTGAGAGCCTCCTCCACTGAGGGAGTGGTCATGTCATCCATGCAAGGCACTGTTAAAATATTAGTTGGTTTTTGTGGCTGTATCCTTGTTATGCCGTGGTTTCACTGATTTCAGCTCAACAGTGATGATCTGAAGAATGAAGACAGTATTTTAAAAAATGCGTGGTCCTTAGGGAAGTTGGATGAAGGATCTATTGAATCTCTATTACTACTTTTGTAAATGTTCAGTAATTCTAAAATAATTCGCATACATTACACACACACACACACACTCACACACTTTCTTTGCAATAAGATGAACTATTGAAGAAGACAAGTTCTTCTTCAATGAACTTGAAGAATGGCATGAATGGATGAGGTTGACCTTGGAAATTTTGATAGCAAGGTTAGGCAAACAGGGCCGTGTTAAGGAGCATACACTCTGGGGTTAAAAATTCCTAGGTGTGATTCCTAGACCTTGTATTTACCTGCTGTGTGAACTTTGCAATTTTGCACATGCTCATTTTACAGTTGAGAATACTGAGGCTCGCAGAGTTTAATAACTGAAACCTACCTCATATGGTTGTTATGGGAGTTAAACGAGATCATTCAAGTAAAAACACCTGGTACATAGAAAGCACTCAATGAGTGTTATCTGTTAATAAAACAATTATTATCAAAGTGGAGACAAGAGATTTTAGAAGTCATGAGTGCACTGGTAACATCAGCAAATTCTAAGTCCTGACAGCTGATGATCTTTCTATGTGTCAGGATGTTTTAGGCACTGCAGCTACATAAAGAGGTAGTGGTCAGTGCGGTATAGTTGAGAGAGTCAACTGATGTAGGATTCAGGAAAACAAGCTGGGCTGACAGGGGCAGTACTGGGAAATTGCTGAATCTCAGAGACATAATGTAGAAGGTCAGGTGAATCAATTATGAGACTCCTAGAAGTGTTCTATTATTAATAATAAACCCTGACCATCTCATAAGTCTAATTTGTTGGGAGTATCCCTTTGGAAATCAGGTAGGGATGAATTTTATTTTTATGAGATGGATTTTTAGTTCATAGTCACTTTAAAGTAAAACTGTTTCTTCCCATTTTTATTCAGGGGCTTTGAGATCTTTTTGTAACAGGGACATGATTTGCCATCTTAGTGAATTGTTAAGGCCTTGGCTTTGAGAAAATTTGCTCTCCCCCTTCCCTGAGTGTGCGCACCATGACCTGTGAAGGCTCAAGACTGACTTTCAAAATGTAACTCCATTAGTCCATGTGTGACAGTCAGAAACAAGTCCAAATATTATGAAAATGATAGTCGTGATCTGCAATCATTTTCCTTCATTCTAACTCGAGACGGAGCATGTTATTTCCCCCTTGAACTTAACCATAATTTAAACATGATATGTTATCATTTTAATGTCTGTGGTGTTACTCAAGAATTCAGTGATGAAAAACTAGGACACATGAAAAATGGCTTATGGTAAAAGCCTATATTAAGAACATGCTCAGAAAGAGGTTAAACTAATTGCAATGAGGGGAAAAATGGATTAGGAGAGACTTGACTTGTGTCCCTACTTAGAGTTACAGCCTCTGAACATATTTCTTCATTGGATATGAAATGATGTTACAAAGGAGATTGCCTGAATAATGAATGTAGTATATAAAGCTGGCAAACATTAGTATATAAAGCTGGCAAGCATTAGTTAGATAATGCTGATGATAATTGCTATGAGATGTGTACGTAGTCACACATCTTGACTTACTGTTTTCGCGGATGGTGACATTTCAGTTTTAAGTGGTCCATACACATGCTTACTGAGGTAGTTAATGCTAGAGTTTGTAGGATAAGGCAGCAATCCACTAGAAATAGGAAAAGCATAGCTGGGAATAATATTTTTGAGACTACAAAGGAAATACTAGTTTTGAATATCCAGATTCTAGAAATCTGGGGTCATAAAAAATAATTGATTAAAATGCCATCTTTCTCATGATCGTTATTTTTAAAAATAATCATTTTTACTTTACCTTATTATAGAAGTTTTGCTCACTTAGAAAATCTAGAAAATATAAAAGGAAATAAAAGGCACTCATATATTACATAAAAATAAGAACTGTTAACATTGTTTACATTTATGTCAAGTCAAACAGAAATGTTTATTTCTATGTAATTATTGCTAGGATGAATATACAATTTTGTATCTTGCCTCATATCCATGGTGAATATAATTCCAATATCACTAAAACTTTGCTGAAATACTATTTTTAAAAAATAGTTGGAAGTCTGCATAAGGAAAGTAGCTCCCACGTGCCAGAAACAGAAAGGTCCTTAAGGAGGTGCTCTGGGATTCGGCACACACCTGTCATCTGCTAGACACTGGACACTGTTGGTTGGCATCCCTGTCCTGATAAATGGCCGAGTGGTAGGTATTAAGGAGAGAGGTCTCATGGCTTCTCATCTAGCATTGATGTTGAATCTTATTTCTGCCATACGCTGAATGACACTGTTTCGCCTCTGCTATATTTGGATGTTTGCATCACCCAAATCTTATGTTGAAATGTGACCTCCAATGTTGAAGGTGGGTCCTAATGGGAAGTATTTGTGTGATGAAGGCAGATCCCTCATGAATGACGTTGTATTGTGCTGTCCTCAAGATGAGTGATTTCTTGTTCCGTTAGTTCCCGTGATAACCAATGATTAAAACAAGCCTGGCACCTTCCTCCTCCTCCTCCTTTCTCTCTCATCATGGGATGCTGGCTCCCCTTGCCTTCCACCATAAGTGGAAGTAGCTTGAGGCTTCACCAGAAGCAGATGGTGGTCTCATGCTTCTTGTATAGTCTACATAACCGTGAGCCAAATAAAACCTCTTTTATAAAAAAATTACCCAACCTCAAGTATTGCTTTGTAGTAACATAAATGGACTAAGACACCCTCTCTGAACCTCAGCTCCTTATTTTCCATTTAATGACTGTTAAGATATTTTCAGCTCTAGGACGCTGTCCTTAGTACCTTGGCATATAGGTTCATATTTTTATTCTTTTGACACTTTTGATTAACTTGTCGTTTTCCAGACACTGGCATGTTTTCTCTTGTAAGGTTTATAGTCACCCAGTGAAATATGAATTACTATGGTCATGCCAGAGACAAGACAGGTGAAGCTCAGAGGGTTGAAGGAGTAAGTGGTAGGACTGAGCTTTGACTCTGCCTAGCCATGGCTGTCCCGTAAACAGGCTGTTTCAGAGGAACTGAACGTTCATCACCGAGAGCTAGTCACTCATTGGTCAGTCCATGTATTAGGTCATTCTTGAGTTACTATAAAGAAATACCTGAGACCGAGTAATTTATGAAGAAAAGCGGTTTAATTGGCTCACAATTCTGCAGGCTGCACAAGAAGCATGGCACCAGCATCTGCTTCTGTGAGCCCTCAGGAAGCTTACAATCATGATAGAAGGCAACGGGGAACCAGCGTGTCACATGGTAAGAGGAGGAGCAAGAGAGCATGTGGGGAAAGGTCTCAGACTTTTAAACAACCAGATCGCAGGTAAACTAACTGAGCAAGAACTCAATTATTACCAAGCGGGTGGTGCTAAACCATTCATGAGGGATCTGACCCCATGATCCAATCACCTCCCACCAGGCCCCACCTCCAACGCTGGGAATCACATTTCAACATAAGATTTGGAGCAGACAAACATCCAAACCACATCAGTCCACTAGTTTGTTAGTTACTCATTTATCCACTGACTGGCTGACTGGTTACGGTAGACATAACAATGTCTACCTCCCAAAGATATTAATATTTTACTCCATCAACATGTGACATGGCAAGGAGAAATTAAGGCTGCAGATGGAATTAAGGTTGCTAATCAGTAACACTTAATATAAATGGATGATACAAGTGGGCCAATATAATCACAAGAATCTTTAAAAGTGGAAGCAGGAGAAGAGTCAGTGTCCAGGTGAGGTGATGTTAGAAGTTCTCCCCTAGCCATTGCTGGCCTCGGAGATGCCAGGAGGTCAAGAGCTAAGGAATGTGGGCAGCCTGTAAATCTAGAGTAGGTAAGGAAACAGATCCTCCCTTAGGGCCTCCAAAAAGAATTGCAGCCCTGCCAGTACCTTGATTTTTGTCCAGCGAGTCTGATGTTAGAACTCCAGAACTGCAATAAATTTGTGTTATTTTAAGCCACTATGTTTGTGGTGATTTGTTATGGCAGCCCTGAGAAACTAATACACAGCGTGGGTTCCAAGGGTAAGAACTCTGGAGTGTTCCTGTAGTGATGCCCAGGGGCTCTGTCTTATTGGGGGTTGGAGCAGCAGCAAATTCTAAGAGGTGATCATGCTTGGAAGTAGGTGGACAACAGCTTGAAGGTTTGATGTGGTTGCCTGTTTCAGAACAGGACCCAGAAGTTGTCAAAGGCCTGGTTGCGACCAGGCCCTAGAGCATGATTAGATCAGGCCTCCAGGAATGAGTCAGGCAGATTGGAAGGAGTCTGCAACAGTAGGTTCCAATGGAAACATAATCAGTCTATGCTAGTCAGTCTTCAGTGGATGTGATACACACTTTTTCTGTCCTCCAAAGTTCAGACTTAAAAAAAGAAACAACTGAAACGTTGCTCAAGAAACATTTATTGATTATTGATGATGGTTGTGGTTATTCATTTAATTTTTAAGAGAGTATTTTTTGACCATATTGTTTTAAATGGTACATGAGAATGTATCACAGAAAAAACACCCCCAGATCTGACACATTCATGGGAATAGTGAAACTTAACAGCAGTCCTAGTGTTTTGTTCGTTATGTATAATATTTTAGAAGAATCTTTTCAAATGGGAATTTTATTGGTCTGTTGGCTCAGGGAAAAGAAAAAGACAATTGAAATACACATTATTTCAAGATGATGGAAACAGAAAATAATTCTCCACAAGAAAACATCACCCAAAGGCAAGAAGCCAAAAGAACAATAGTGGTGGTTAATATACTAATATAATAAATCTAAGCCCAAATCCTTCCTCTTACATTTAAACAAAAAGGCAATAACAATTCTATTTTGTAAGAATATCCCTGGGAATTACACGTGAAAATATTTTCTCTAGGCAGTATTTGGATTTTCATGCTCTGTAATCTATTTGCGAAACAATTTAATATCTGGTAACATCTGCATGGTCATCATGATCTGTATTTCATACTCAGAACATGTGGCAGCATACAAAAGCACATTGCCACTGTTAAGCAGTTTCAAAATTTATTGACTATATTTATAACTTTATACTTTTCCCAAAGGAACAAAATCCAATAAAATAAAAATAAGAAATGGGGGCAAGGAAAGGAGGAGGAAATCCATATGCTAACTCTCTGGGTTAATATATTTACTGTGACTGAGCTTCCAATTTGGCTCTGAGCATCCTACCTCCCCTGACCCAAAAAAGAATTTAAAATTCACAAAGCTCCCAGTAGCAGAAAATTAGAATAAAAATACTTTTATCAGGGATTTTCCCCCATCACTACATATTTTTTCTTCTTATTTTTAATTGAGACAGAGTCTCGCTCTGTCACCCAGGCTGGAGTACAGTGGCAAGATCTTGGCTCACTGCAGCCTCCACTTCTTGGACTCAAGCCTCCCACCTCAGCCTGCTGAGTAACTGGGACTACAGATGCATGCCACCATGCCTGGCTAATTTTTGTATTTTTTTTCTAGAGACATGGTTTTGTCATGGTTCCCAGGCTGGTCTCGAACTCCCAGGCTGGTCTCTGAGCTCAAATGTCCACCCTCTTCAGCCTTCCAAAGTGCTGGGATTACAGGTGTGAGCCACCACATTCTTTTCTTGTATTTTAAGTCATTAAAAAAAAAGTTTCTCTATTGTAGCCACTTCCAAAATAGAGAACCCATGACTATGTCTTAAAGTTGTAGTTTTCAAACTCCAGTTTGCCTGGTAGTCTCCTAGAGGACCTATTAAAACAGATTTCTAGGTCCTATCCGTAGAGTGTCTGAATCATTGTAGCCTGGGAATTTGTATTTCTGGCACATTCCCTGGTGATACTGATGCTGCTGGTCTATGGACCATGATTTGAGAACCACTGCTCTAAAGGAAATTTATGAAGTGATATCACAGAGGAGATATTGAGTAATCTATGGGAAAATTCCTTTAAAAGACGTCCATAGCATATGCAGCAACTATTGCAATGTGAATGCTTCTTCAGAACATTATTAGCAAAAGTCAAGGGCACAGATCCGACTTGTGCTGACATGCTTAGTAATATGGGAAAATTTTGCAGTATAATTAGTCAGCATGATCCTACTATGTAGACTTCTGATATAATACCCTCTTTGTATGTGTGTGTATGTTTACTCAATGGTGGTATTATTTAATATTTTAACTGCTTTTTTGAGGTAAGACTGACATACAAGAAGCCTATACATGTTTAATGCTTCCTACTTTATTTCAAGGAAAGTATTTAGAATTCATAAGGGAATAGGTAATATTTGAATAACATATCACTAAATGTAGATTACTTTTAAAGAAATCTTGTTCTTTATAAATTGGGCTTTTAATTGAAACTGTGATTTAAGACCTCATGCTTCTCTTAATTCGAAAGAAATGTATGGGCCGGGTGGGGTGGTTCATGCCTGTAATCCCGTACCTTGGGAGGCCGAGGCAGGCGGATCACTTGAGGTCAGGAGTTTGAGACCAGCCCGGCCAACATGGTGAAATTCCATCTCTACTAAAAATACAAAAATTAGCCAGGTGTGGTAGTGGGCACCTGTAATCCCAGCTACTTGGGAGGCTGAGGCAGGAGAATTGCTTGAACCCGGGAGGCAGAGGTTGCAGTGAGCCAAGATCACACCACTGTACTCCAGCCTGAATGACAGAGTGAGACTCCATCTCAAAAAAAAAAAAAAAAAGTATGCGTTGACTGCTGAGTGTACACACATGAATGTAAGAATTTGCTTCCTCTACCTCCAAAAATCCCATTGAAATGCTATAGATGAAATGAAGGCTTACTTGTCTAAGAATGAGAGAGGGAACTTCCAGTGGGCCAGTGGAGGTCATGAATATCTGGAGGTGAAAATGAAGATGGAGTCATAGTGACTTCACTTTTTAAACATTTTTATTTTGAAATAATTACTGAGTCATAGGAAATTACCCAAAAAATATACACGGAGTCCATACGGGTTCCATGAAGGCAGTCGCCTTTCATCCAGCATTCTTCAACGGTCACATCTTGTATCACTCTACTACAATATCAAAGGCAAGAAATTGACGTTGGTACCATCACAGAACTTCAGCCATCAGTTTTACCTGATTTATGTGCACTTGGGTATGTGTGTGTAGACATTTGGTTTTATTACATGTACGTGTGTATTTGTATAACCACCACCACAGTCGAGACACAGGACTATTAATATTTCGTCACCATGAAGATCTCCCTTGTGCTACCCATTACAGTCACACACACCCTATGTCACCCCCCATCCCTAACTCCTGGCAACCACTTATCTGTTCTCCACCTATGATTTTGTCATTTCAAGAACGTTATGTCAATGGGATCATCCAGTGTGTAAACTTTTGCCATTAGCTTTTTTCAGTCAACACATTTCCCTTGAAATCCATCCAAGTTGTTAAGCACATCAATATTTGCTCTTTTTTATTGCTGTGTAGTATTCCTTGGCATAAATGTAAAATGTTTTGTTTAATCAATCACCTATTGAAAGACCTTTGGAGGAAGGGGCTGGGAACACCCTGAGGGCAAGGCAGCAATGACAAGATTAAATTTGAGAATTACTCTTTCCCAGAGTCTCAGAATGTATCTGCCTTTGGTTCAGAAGATTACAAAGGGTGAGGGTTGGAAGAGATGCAGGAATCAGGGTGAGTATTGGGAGACCTCTCTAGGACTTTTTTGTGTGTGGGTGTGATATGGTATGGGGTGCCAGGAGCCCATGGTGAAGCACACTATAATCAGACATTTGGGGAGGGGAGCAGTCAGTCTGTTCACTTGCTCTGGACTGGTCCATCCTAAAGTGAAGCCAGCTTGTTCATAGGCCCCAGCTAGAAACTCAGTTCCTGGTCTATCCCCTTATTCAAGGAAGAAGTTTGTTGGGGGCATGGAGCCCACTCAAAGGAAACAGAAGCTTACCTCAGTGACCTATGTTAATTGTTAAAACCTGTATTTATGAATATATACAGACAGTCCAGACCACCAGACATGTGAGGGAAATCAATTCTAAAGGAGGACCAAGATGAACAAACAGAACATTGACTCTGGAAGACAGAAATTAATCAAGGAACAAAAGAGGATTTTAGCAAAGCCTAATTGTATTAGTGATTCTGGCCATTTTTTAAAAGGACAAGCTGCAATGAAAGAGAAGAACTCAAAAATAGAGTTTTTTTAATTAATGTTTCTAAACAGGAGGCAGTTGTGTTCCCCAGTGGACTTTTAACAATGTCTAGAAGACACTTTTGGCTGTGACCAGTGGGGTTGGGGGTGCAAATGGCATAGTGGGCAGACGCCGGGGATGCTGCTCAACATCCTACAATGCACAGGACAGCCCCCAAAACAAAGAATTATGTGTCCTAAAATGTCAATATTGCCAAGATTGAGAACTCCTGCTCTAAATTAAAACTATTATTTCCATAATGAAAGAACTGTTCTTTAACATTTAGAAGAGATACATTACGTCTCTCAGTATGGAAAGCCAAAGATGTAGAGAAAACATGGGAGAACATTTGAAAGACAGAGTATTAATATACGTACTTGGGCCCAATCTCCAACTCCTAGGAGTCCTTCCAAGAGAAAAGAGACAATGGGAATGAGAAAATAATCAGATAATAGAGGACAGTTTTCAGTGCCGAGTTAAGATACCAGGTACAAAGCAGGTGAAAGAAAAACCCACTGCTAGTCTGGAGTTAGTTCAAAATAAACTCTTAACAGTTTCCAGTTTGTTTTTCCATTTTCTCTTTATTGTAATTAACTCTATGAAGAACATCCTGGTAGCCAGATCTTGAGAGCAGACGGCTTGGTTATGGGTCATATAACTCTTACTGATTTAATGTCCTCTTGTTGTTCATGCCTCAGACTTTGGAAGGAATTCATACCCAAACCCTGCTCCATTTTTTACAGTTCTCCCCACCCAGTGTTGTCATGGACAGAAGATTTCATGATCATCTAGGCAGAAGTTGTTTAATTTACAGATGAAGAAGCCAAGTTCCACAAAATACAACTTACTAATCCAAGGCCATGGTGTCAGGAAGTCTGCTTCTCAGATGATGGGCGTTTCAAACAGGGCCCATGCCACTGCAAGCCCACTGTGTGCTGGAGTTTTTTGTCTGAGTCTCGTCTCTATTAATGGGTAGTGCTCAAATTCATAAAGCCTTCATGATTTTTTTTCTGTGCTCTCTCAATAGTCCTTTGTTTATAACTCGACGTGGCCTTGTAGTTTCCCTGAGCACTATCATTATTTATGTACATTGCAATCTTGCGGAGGGTAACTTCTCACCTTTACATAGTACAATTTCACAAAGCAAATAAAGTTGGCCCTCTGTACCTGTGGGTTCTGCATCCATGGATTCAGCCAACACTGATCAAACATACTTGGGGACAAACCCAATAAAAAAATAACAATACAACAATAAAAAATAATACAAATAAAATAATACAGTGTAACAACTATTTACATACCATTTACATTGTATTAGGTATTATAAGTAATCTAGAGATGATTTAAAGACTATTGGCGAGCTGGATGCAGTGGCTCATTCCTGTAATCCCAGCCTCCTGGGAGGCCAAGGCAGATGGATCATTTGAGGCCAGGAGTTTGAGACCAGCCTGGCCAATATGGCAAAACAGTGTCTTTACTGAAAATACAAAAATTAGCCAGGTGTGTTGGTGGGCGCCTGTAATCCCTGCTACTTAGGATGCTGAAGCAGGAGAATTGCTTGAGCCCAGGAGGCAGAGGTTGCAGTGAGCTGAGATCAGGCCACTGCACTCCAGCCTGGGCGATAGAGTGAGACTGTCTCTAAATAAATAAATAAAGGAAAATGAGCGTAGGTTATATGATAACACTGTGCCATTTTATATTAGGGACTTGAGCATCTGCTGATTTTGGTAGCTGGGGAGGGCATCCTGGAACCAATCCCCCTAGGATACCAAGGGATGACATCAGTGTCATCTAGTTAACTGGAACTAACTTAATGTTAACTTCTTCATTAAACAGATATTTAACGAATACCTACTATGTACCAGGTACTATTTAAGAGATATGAACAAGATAGATAAGGTCCTTGCTTTTGTAGAGTTTATATTTTGTCGGGAGACAGACCATAAACAAATAGACATAATATTAGGTAGTTAATGAACACAGAGAGAAAATTAAATCTGGGTGAAGTGTGATTAGCTTGCTGTTTCAAACAGGGCAGGTAGGAAAGGCACTACATCTAGAAATGTCATTTTCAGAGAGAAAATCCATGGTCGTCTTATCACATTTCAGCCACCTTATCACTGAAGATGTAGAAACACGTAATCATTTTTTATTACTTTATCCCTTTTAGTGTTCCTTTTGGGAAAGGTAACTGGAGTCAGAGAATTCCAAGACCTTTTTCAGGACTGGAAAGCGATAAGAGACACTCTGCAGAGCAGCAGAGGTTCTTATCAGAAACGCTATGAACCTCAGAAAGTACCGAGAATTTCACATCAAAACTGCAATGCTTGTGAACGTATCTCCATAAACTTGTTCCTTCAGCCCCACTGTGGTAGGGTGTGTCTGTATGCCCATGAGTGTGCATTTATCTTTTAAGCAAGTGTTTGAGGTTGTACATGAGTGTTAGCTCACTGATTCTTGTCCTTCCCAGCCCATTTTTTACCCCATAACCTCAGCTGATGAGGTCATGGGAAAAGAAGTGGTGCAGAGTACGGAGCAAAGGCCAGTGATGCAGGTCCCCGATGCTCTCCAGGGCTCTTGTGGTGTTCTCATTTTTTAACAAACTGAGATGCAGGTATTCATGTCTTTCCTTTTCCTCCCCTTTCCTTATCCTGTAGTATTTTCCCCTCCATGTGGATATTGTTACTCAAATTTAGCCAAAATTACATTCCATTCAAGAGTTCCTTCTGAAGATTCAAGAGATTCCCACGTCTAGATTGGAGTTTCTTAGAGTTCTCTGCCTGGATATGGATTCCCCCATCATATTCCATGAGACAGCCCAACCTGAGTGTCTTCCAGACCTGAGGTACAGAAACCCAAGTCAGCTTTTCCATTTTATACCCATCTGTCTCTCTCTCACATACTCACCAAAACCTCATCCTGGGCTCCTTACAGCCCGGATACTTGAAGGCAGCCCAATGCTTGCCTTTGTCGTAGAGCTGCAGTCATCTCCTTATTAGTCCCAGGCTCAGGGCCCAACCCGGGAGCAGAGATTCTATTTGAGTTGAGTTGTGCAGACAGATCGCAAAACTTCTTTTCAACAACTCCTCCCTACACTTCCTTTCTCACCTTGGGTTCTTCTTACTCATTCCCAGACATTCAGATTTATTTGCTAATTCATTCATTCTTTGTATTGATTTCTTAGGGCAGCCAAAACAAACTACCACAAACTTGGTGGCTTAAAACTAACAGTTCTGGAGGCCAGAGGCCCAAAATCGAGGTGTTGCCAGGGTTTGCTCCTCTGCAAACCCTGAGGGAGAATCTGTCCCATGCCTCTCTCCTGGCTACTGGTGACTGCAGGCTCTTCTCCATGTTCCTTGGCTTGTAGACTCACCACTCCAATCTCTGTCTCTGTCTTCAAGTCACCTTTCTTCCTTTGTGTCATAAGTCTTTCCCTGCCTTTTTCTTGTAAATATGCCTGTTATTGAATTTAGACACCACCCTAAATCCAGGCCAATCTTACTGAGAGATCCTTAATGATATCTGAAAAGACCTTTTTCTCATAAGGTCATATATTCACTAGTTCCAGGGGTCAGGAAATGAATGTATCTTTGGGGGTGGGGGACACCATTCAATCCACCACATTCATCAACATATATTTATTCCATCACTTCTAGACTATTTTGCTTAGGCTCGAGGAAAATCTCTGTGGATGGAACAATATTCCTGCTTTCACAGAGTGTACAGACCTTGATAGGAGCCAGTGTTTCTCTGGTAATCCCAATGAAAAAGGATGACAGTGACACAAATTGGGACCTTCATGAGAACTGGACATTTGGTCTCCTTGAATGTGCTCCTTTGTGCAGAAAAAACCGAGATTGTGTCACAGCACTCCAGCCTGGACAACAGAGTAAGACTCCATCTCAAAAAACAAACTATAAACTAATTTCCTCCCAAAGTTAGTTCAGCCTACACCCAGGAGTGAACAAGGACAGCTTGGAAGTTAGAGTAAAGATGGAGTTGGTTAGGTCAGATCTCTTTCACTGCCTCAGTTACATTTTGCAATGGTGGTTTGCTCTCATGAGCTAGGCCAAGGCTAGACTTCACCAGATGCTGCATCCGTGTTCAACACTTTGCCCTCCCTAATCTTTGTTTCAAAGAGTGCTCCCTCAGTTAATCACATGCTTCTAAATCCTTGTCTTAGGTTCTGCTTCTAGGGAACCTGACCCTTACGTATGTACATATGCATGAACATGCATACATACATGTACATATGTATGTACTTACAATGACTTTTTAATTTTCAGCTGGAAGTGATGTTTATTGGATCAGTAGTGATGCAGGGGATGGCAGAGGGAGAAAAACTATGATGCAGGGACCATGGCAGCCTCAACAGGCCCCTAAAGCTGCTCTGGAGCTAAGAAGGCCGGGCCTTTATGTTCTTACATTGATCAGTCATTAGGTACAGGCCTCCTGGGAAGGGGCATGACCTTGGGTGAGGCTGCTTTTGGATGTGGAGGTGACCCCTGAAGAGACTGACAGCCAGATGCCTTCTGCTGACTGTACTACCAGTAACTGAGCTAACAAGCCCTTCATGGAAAGGTATTTTGGGCCACATTTTACCATACATCTCAGAGAGAACAGGAAAGGTGGCATCTCTGCCATGCTACATCATATGGGGGTTGTGAGGATCAAAGCAAATAGAACATAGAGGACTTCTGCAAAAGAACCTGGCTTATGGTAAGCCTCCAGTCAATCTTGTTTGTGGTGTTAGCATTTCACAAAATTATTTTAAATATCTCTTTATTTTGCAGGTAATAAAATAGAAGCCTCTGAAGCTAAATAAAATACTTGACCAAGTTCACATAATAAGTTAATGTCAAAGCTATGAATAAAAACCTTTTGTTCTGAAATCAAATCTTACCTTTGTTCCAAACTAGCTTCGCTGTAGCATACAGTATTCGTGGTTTACTAATTCATGTTGTTTGGGGTGGTGTGGGGAAGCTGTAGCTTACTTTTTTAATCCTGCAAGGTCTATTGTAAGAAAATCTCACTCTGATTTCAAGGAGAAAGATGAACTTAGGTAACTTAACTAGAAGATGGGTCAGTGTTTTAAATAAACTTTGTAAAATGAAAAATGTGCAGGCTAAGAGATGCTATCTTCAAGGTCAAACGTCTCTCAACCTTCAATGCATGGAAATTGTGGCATGGGGCTGTTGGAAATTTTACACATTCGTAAATATTGACAGGCTGACAAAGAATTTTAATTTTGAGATGTCTGACTCTGATTATTTCTAAGACATAAACACCTTTCAATTCTCCCCTTAGGCCAAAGATCAAACTTTGGTTGTCGTCTATTAGATAAGGAATCTGACTGTTAGATGTAGTCCAGATTTATACACATTTCTGCCCGGGGAAGCCAACCATTCAGTTGTCAAAGAAATGAGAAAGCTGGCTCTTGCCTGGGACCTCCTTGTTTGTTCTGCTGTGTAATTCTCAACCAAACCCTGAGGGAGCAACTTACATGCTCTGCCTAGGAATCTCCCACTTTGGGTGGAGGTAGGTAGGGTTCTTCTGGGTAACTCTTTTCAAATGCAAAACTTCAGCAGCTTCTCGCTGCACTTAGAACAAATTCCAGACTTGTAACTATGGTCTGCAAGGGCTTATGCAGTCTTTTTCCTCCTCTTTTGCCTTCCTAGCAGGCTCCTTGCTCATTACTCCAGCTGCAATGATCTTTCAGTTCTTCCAAGTCTTCCAGTTGTAGGGATTTTGCTCAAGATCTTCCATCTTCTTGAGATATCCTTCCCCGGACTTGCTTTTTGTCTCAACTGAAAGCTCATCTCCTCCTCGAGGCATTCCTGATCACTCTGGGTCAGCAGTGTTAGTCTATGTCACAGTGAAACTGCCTTTGCAAAAATTATATCAGTGAGAAAATTATGATGGTTAAAGAGATCTGATCTAACTCACACCCCTCTTGCCTTTATCTTTCAAGCTGTCTTAATTATTCCCGGGCTTAGATGAAGCTAACTTTGGAAGACATTTAGGTTATAGTTAAATGATAATAGGCTTCCCCCAAAATACAACCACCTTTGTAAAGCTAATGAAATGCCACCAGGCTAGAGGAAGGACAGGAACCTGAATTCTGCTAAGGTGTAGACATAAACAATTGCCACCCATTATTCTGGAGGTCCTGCAGATAATGTCACTATTGTAAAACACATGATTGGCCTTTTAAGATATCTTTTCAGGTGTTTTTTACATGTCTGATACACATGGCTCTAAGTGGACCCAACTACCCTTCCCTCACTCCTCTTGTGGCCCCACTCAGAAGCAACTCTCTGAGGGAGACACCTTCAACCCCCTGTGATTTTATTTTTACCCCACCTGATCATCAGCAAGCACCCATTACCTGAACACCCCCACCCCTTCGTACAAACTGCTTTGTAAAACCCCTAAACTATGAGCCTGACGTGAAACTGATTTGAGTAATAACTCCATCTCCCATGTGGCATGGTTGGCCTTGCGTCAATTAAACTCTTTACTGCAATGCTGTGGTCTTTATTTGTGCAGCAGACAGGAAGACTCTGCCAGGCAGTTACAACAGTGCTTGCTCTGCTTCATATTTTCCTTCAGGAGTTTTATCCTAAAATGTAAATATTGATCAGCTTTTTAAATTGTCTTGGAAGTAGGGGCCATGCCCGTCTTGTTTCCATCCTCTATTTCCTTCTCTGCTGTTTACTTTTGGGTTATTTAAACATTTTAAAAAAATCTACTGTGTTTTAACCATATATTTTTGTCTGGTTTTTAAGTAGTTGCCCTGAGGTTTATAATTACATATTTAGCTTTTTAACTGTCTACTGAAATTCAACATTTTACCATTTCCAGTGGAATATCAACACTCCTATAAGCATCTCTTTACTTCCCTTTAGGTTATAATTTTTCATCCAGTACATCTATGTATATTGAAAACCCCAGTAAACGGTGTTTAATTTTTGCTTTCCATCTTTTTTCTCAAGCGAAGAATGGTCTATTTACTCTTTCATTTGCTCTTTATTGCTGATGTTTAAAATTTCTATCTGGTATCATTTTCCTTCCTCTTGAGGAGCTTGCTTTAGCAATTTGGTGAGGGCAGATCTGTTGTAAACGATTTTTCTTAGTTTTTCTTCATCTGAGCATGTCCTTATTTCAACTTTATTTCTGAAGGATATTTTTTCTGGATGTAGAGTTTGTGTTGACAGTTCTTTCATTTCAACACTTTAAGAATAGTGTGCAACTACCCTCTGGGCCCATAGTTTTGAAACAGGATTTTTCTCGGCCCCTTTGTTGGGCTCACAGCAGGGACATCCCATCAACTCGACCCATCACGCTCAGCCCCTTGCGGGAGGGAGCACATGAGCTCATGAGTACAGGATTCATCCAGCCACTCTGAGTGCCAACACAGGAGCAAATTCCTTGTCAGCCCACGGCCAGATCAGATGTGTTACCTCCAGGGGAACATGGCGGTGCCCAGGCAGAGGTGCCGGTGACCCCAAAGCAGCAGCGTTAGTGTGCTCTTTAGCTCTTTTAGTTCCACTGTCCACAGCCTGATGGACAGCAGTGTGTTAACAGCTCGGTCAGCCCCTTGCCCTGTTATATGAGGTGCTGCCCTCCACCAGCGAGGCCAAAGGGCCAGTGCTACAGCCTTTCAGAGTACCTGAGCTCAGTGTGTCCCAAGCTCTAGTCCAGAGTCCAAGAAGAATGAGGTCATGTTGATGATTAAAAGGTGATGAGAATGTAAGATTTTATTGAGCAATGAAATGGCTCTCATGAGAGAGAGGAGTTTGTGGGGGAGGGGGGTGGTTGTTCCCCACCCCTGCAGTCAGGTGATTCCTCCCTCTCTGTGTTTCTGGGTCAGAGGCTTATTATTATTATTATTATTTTTCGACAGGGCCTTGCTCTGTCATCCAGGCTGGAGTACAGTGGTGCCATCTTGGCTCACAGCAACCTCTGCTTCCCAGGTTTAAGCAATTCTCCTGCCTCAGCCTCTGGAGCAGCTGGGACTACAGGTGTGTACCATCACGCCCGACTAATATTTTTATATTTTTAGTAGAGATGGGGTTTTGCCATGTTGGCCAACCTGGTCTTGAATTCCTGACCTCAAGTGATCCACCCACCTTGGCCTGCCAAAGTGCTGGGTCAAGGGCTTTTTATGGACTCAGAATGGGGAGTGCATGCTGAGTGGTTTGTATGCAAAAGATTAAAATGAAGACACCACTCAAAGGTGGGCACAACAGTGTAGAAAACCAATTAGGAAAGGGTAGGAAAACGTAAAATAGGTAAAGGGTGGGGATCGACCAGAGGAAAGTATGCCAAATGGGAAGACAAGTTCTCAATCTGGTCTGAGGATTTAACCTGTAGCTTGGCTTTCAGGCTTTAAATTGTCTTTGCCTTGGAGGTGGGGTTTCAACAGGGATCTGCCCCTTTCTGCCTAGGCATTGAGCTGCCTCCTGTAACTATCAGTTTCTAGTGACAAATCTGCAGTAATTTCAATTGCTGTGTCTCTATGGATAATGACTTTATTCTTTTTCCTTAGTTTTTAACTGAGTAAGATGTGTCTTGGTGTGGATTTATTTTGGTTTGTCCTGTTTGGGAATTACTCAGCTTCTTGAATCTGTAGGTTTATGTCTTTCACCAAATTTGGGAAGTTTTCAACTTGTAATCTTCAAATATTTTTTCAGTACTGTATTCTTTCTATTTCCGGGATTTCAGTCACATGAATGTTAAAACATTTATTATCACGTAGATCCATGAGGCTCTATTAAAGTTTTTCAATCTTTTTCTTTCTTTTTAGATTGGGTAAGTTTTTTTGCTCTATCTTCAAGTTCACTGACTCTTTCTTCTGTTATCTTCATTCTATTAAGCCCATTCAGTGAGGGTTTTTTTTTTTTTTAAATCGCAGTTGTGCTTTTCAGTTCTAAGATACTGACTTGATTCTTCTGTATATCCTCTATGTCTTTGCTGAGACTTTCTCTCTTTCCTTTGGTTTCAAAAGCATTTAGAGTTGCTTGCTCAACCAACTGTATTTTTATACTATATTTTAAAGGCTTTCTCAGATAATTTCAACATTTGTATTATATTTGTGTTGATGTCCATTGATTATCTCTTACCATTTGAGTTTAGCCTTTCTTGATTTTTCATTTGTTGGAGTAATTTTAGATTGTATCCTGAACATTTTAAATGTAGTGATAATAGACTCTGGGTCTTTCTAAAATCCTGTGAAGGATGTTGATATTTTTCTTTTAGCAGTCAGTTGGGCTGTCTGAGGCCAGGCCCCAAGTTCTACCTGACATTCTATGGGTTATGATTCCAACATTTGTCCAGTTTTCAAACACTTTTCAGTGCTATTTGGATCTGCCCTGCATGTGCTCCATCTAGTGGCCAGTCTGGATCCTGGAAGGTAGTTTGTTCATTGAACAATGTATCTATGTAGTAGGCTGAGTAGGATCAGATCTGTACATGCACTGTAAGAGAATGAGCCCAAATGTTCATAAACACATTTATGGGTTTGTTTTCTTGAGTTCTACTTTATTTCATGCCTTTAATATTTTCTGTTTCCTGGAAGTTCCTCTTTTTGGCCTTCTGATTACAAAACTAGAAATCGATTATCCCACTCTGGTGGGTTGGTTGCCAGTGGTGGGGATACAGAGAGAAAAATGGAGGTTTTCCCTCAATCTCTTGGGATCACAAGTCCAGAAAACAGAAATTTCTCTCCCATAGAGTTTTGGCTTCTGTGAGTGCCTGTTATTGGAGCTCTTCTGCCACCCTCGCAAAATTGATTTTTATGAAAAAACAATCTTAGTAATAATAACAAAGGAGAGTAGAAAATTTGAGGAGGTCATAAATATGTTGATGGCCTTGATGGTGGTGATGGTTTCATGGGTGTTTACTTTCCCCAAACTCATTAAGATGTTTACACTGAAATGTACAGCTTTTTATGTGTCAGCTAAAAAATAGAAAAAAGAGAAAACCAAATGGGGATTTCTATAGTTTCTTTTGGAGGTAGGAGTTCCCTTCTCAGGTCCTCATGGCTTCTCCTACAGTTTTCTCATCTGTCTCTGCACTGTTGCCCACTACCAGGTCTGGTGTTTAAGTTCAGGCCAAGATATACTAGAGGAAAGAAGATTGAAAAACCCACCTGTGGTTCAGCAGCATTTCAAATTCTGGTCTTCTCCCCCAATCTGTGTGCTGCCATTTCCTTCTCAGAGTCCTCAAATAGCTGCTTTGTGTGTTGTGTCCATGTTTTATTGCTCTATTCAATGGGAGAGGCAGAATCGAGTGTGTTTCTTCATGTTACCTGGAAACAGAAATCCTTAGTTATTGATTTAGGTGAGACACAAAACCTTCTGCTATTTGTGCTGATTCTGTAACCCAAATAGCTGCCTTGTTTTATTCGTGGGGAGCCACTGGAGTTCTAATCCTGGTGCTGGAGTGAGTTGGTCAAGTTAGTTAATGTCTCTGAGGCGTTGTGTACATTGTGAATACTGTAGTATTACCTGCCCAACTTGTCCCCTTCCCATGATTATTGTGATGATAAAAAAAGATGTTGGATGTGACAATACTTTGAAAAGTATAAAGTGGGCTGGGTGGAGTGGCTTACACCTGTAATCCCAGCACTTTGGGAGGCCGAGGTGGGCCTATCATTTGAGGCCAGGAGTTTGTGACCAGCCTGGTCAGCATGGTGAAACCCCATCTCTACTAAAAATACAAAAATGTGTTGGGTGTGGTAACAGGTGCCTGTAATCCCAGGTACTCAGGAGGCTGAGGCAGGAGAATCGCTTCAACCTGGGAGGCAGATGTTGCAGTGAGATGAGATCAAGCCACTGCACTCCAACCTGGGCAACAGAATGAGATTCATCTCAAAAAAAAAAAAGTATAAAGTGGTATATAGAAAATAAATTATCTCCTGCGACCTGCAGAAAGTGATTGATAGGTGTATTCCTGGAATAGGGATGGAGGATCGAGCAGCTGTCTGTCTGTGTTGGGCTGGGAGCACCTCTAGGACTCCCTCATCCCCCGTGTACTCTGTACACAGGCCACCATCCTTCCTCCCTGAACCTCTCTTCTCTCTCAGGTTTCTGGGCACTGTAAGAAGCATTGTTGCTAATTAAAGACTAACAGACCAGAAATCAGGGGATGAAACTCATGATTCTGTCACTGATAATCTCTTCACTTTTCCTCACGGTGTTCCAGTTTCCTCATCTTTAAAATAAAAAGAATCAAAAGTCAACGATTTTCAAGCTCTGTTTTATGGAGTCTTTGTCAACCAGCACTCCCTTAGTAGCGGTGAATGCTTGGGGTGGGGGTCAGGTTGGAGATGGGAGGGCTGAGATGACAGTTTGATTTTCATCTGCTTTCGAGACAGGGTCTTGCTCTGTCAGCCTGATCATGGCTCACTGCAGCTTCAACCTCCCAGGGCTAAATCAGTCCTTCTACCTCAGCCTCCCGAGTAGCTAGGACAACAGGCATGTGCTACCATACCCAGCTAATTTTTGTATTTTTTTGTAGAGATGGGGTTTTGCCATGTCACCCAGGCTGGTCTTGAACTCCTGGACTCAAATGATCCTCCTGTGTCAGCCTCCCAGAGTGCTGCGATTACAGGTGTGAGCCACCATGCCCTACTGAAACATCAGTTCTTCAAGTCTCCAACCCATCTCGTACTGGAGCAGTTCTGCTATTCTCAGGTTTCTCACAGATTTTTCACTTGACAAAAAGGTCCTGTGGCTAAAATATGTTTCAGAACTCTGAGTAGTCCTCAAAGGTAACTATCTCGGGATCCCATACTTTTCCAAGACATCAATTCCCATCCTGTCTTTCTGGTTGTTTCTTTCTCTTTAACACCAACTTCTTTGTCTCCTGTCTTTATGTGTGGACATTCCTTAAGTCTTGGTCCCAGGATTGCAATCTTCTTTGCATAACACCTCTCCCTTGGTGAGCTCATCTAATGTTATAGCTTCAGCTGTCCAACAGGGGACTCCCAGTGTCCAATCTCTTTCCTGAGCTTCAGCCAAATATTTTTAACCATCCTCTAAGTCCCTCCATCTAGTAATATATCAATAGATTCAATTCAGCATGTCTTAAACCAGACTCATATATCATCTGGTCTCTGCCATTCCTAAATTAATACTTTTCTTTAACTTCTCTTTTTCTCAGTGGTCATATCATAAGTTCTTCCAACAACTGAGTTTACAATTTTAGGGTGGTTTTTTATGATGCATTGCCTCTTTGACAATATCCATATAACCTCAAAAGTCTGTTAATCATGCTTCTTCAGTATCCCTCTGAAAGAATTTTTATTTCTGCTGATGTCATTGAGTTCATATTTTATTCTCCTGTATTCTCCTCTTATTCCAAATGTGCAAGATGGCTCCCTAAAGTGATCTTCCTGTCCCCACCGTTCTTTCCCCTGATCACATCATGCTCGGACCAATATCTGAAAGCAAGAATCTTTGTAAGTCATTACGTTGTTAAATGACATCTCTATTGGGTGTAGAATAAAGCCCTGAAGATTCAGACTGCAGCCAGTGTCTTTGCCTTCTTTTACCTTACCTCACCTGCCTCCAATAAATGTATTTCCTCTACACAGATTAGTCCTCTAATTATTTCGCAGACACACCAGGAGTCTTTATTTTCCATTCTTCTTTATGATGATTTTATGAGGCTTACTGCATTCCTCAAAGACAAATTTTCATCCACTCCCTTATGGCATTATCCTGACATCCCAGTCATGGAGATTTTACCTTTTCTTTCAAAGCATTTACTTTGACATAACTTATGTAAACTTATGTTTAGTATCTTTGTGCATGTCTTGCCTCCCAGCCACACTGTAACTTTATCAAAATCAGGAAATGAGTCTTTAATATTCTTGTACCACATCAGAAGGCTTGGGAAACAGGAAATGCTTGGGAATTGAGGAATTGAATCTGTAATATTCTTGTGCCACACCAGAATGCTTGGAAATGCATCAAATTTGTAGAGATAAAATGATTCATAATCTCTTTCATAAGAGCAATTACCATGAATTATCCTAAGTATACTTGTTTACTTTTCTTTCTCTGTGGTTTCACCCATATTGGCCAGAATATGCTTCATGAATTAAACAGGAAGTATTGAACATAAAGTTTTATAAACCAATCCAAAAATTTGATAGCAAGGAACTATTGCAACTTGGGGTAAAATCTTTATAGGCTTCCTTTTTATCTATTTCTTAACAGCACACGTTTTGTGTATTGAAAATCCTGTCTCAGTTACATCCATATAATTATATTCATTAATGGATTAATGCAATGTTGATTGACTGTTTCTTTCAGATTCGTCTTAAATGGTAAGCAAAACTCTTAAGAGACTGGGATTCCTAATGGCATAACTAGCTTCTCAAAGTTTCAGTATATATCATTGGATCTCAAAAGTACTCTTTGATTGACATTATGAAAATATTTACAATAAAAAAATGAAAAATAACTATAATAAGAAAAAGTAGGGGAGTAACTAAGTAATGTCTGGCATATCCACATCACATAACACGGTATTTTTAAATCTTAGCTAAAATTTGTTAAATCATACTGAGTTTTTAATGACACAGATGCATGCCAGCTTTTTGCTGTTGTGCAACTTTTCCATCATTACAGATTGTTGCACTTGACAATGCTGATCTTGGAAATTATTTGAAAGAAATCTGAAAACAATTCCTTTTTCTCAAAAGTATGCCACTGTGTCTTCCCCATTTATATGTGACATCAGTAAGCAAAATGGCAAATTGCATTACACCCTTGTTCAGCACTCTCAAGCTTGGATTATATAGTGACACTGCTACTTCTTTCATTGCTCTGCTATTTCTGTAACAGTTATCACTGACAAAGAATGTTATTTACTTCAGAAGTTACTTCCTATCTTTGATAAATATCAATTGTTTTTCTCAAGGATATCAGTTATGGAGATAACCATAGCCAATAAAAACCACTGCTCTGTATGAAATGCTCACTGTATGCTAGAAAATACGTGGCTGGTATCAAGTGCACATGCGGTGTCACAAAAATAACAGTTTCAACTTTTGCATAGAATGAGTAATGGCAATTCTCCTCCCAACACACTGTACTCTACCTAGACTCTTTAGTGGTGTGCAATTCATCAGGACTTTTGAGGCACATGGCAGAAGGCAGCATTTCATTTTGATTGCTGGATGTAGTTTCCAATGAAAATTAAAGATTAATGATGTGAGTATGTAAAAGTCAATAAGAAGAAAAGGCCAGGACTCTAAAACATTTGTAAACAGTGTAAAGCTTTGTACCAATCAAATGGCTGCAGACAGGGAAAGCTAATACCGACGCAATAAAAACCGAGCGCTAACCTTTCATTGTGTCTGGTGCTGAGCTTCTAGCATTTGATGAATGGCTACCTTGTGCCAGTGGGTCATTTGGGAGTGTCTGGGTCTTTCATGTGGTTGAGACAGCTGTGGGCAATCTGTGGATATGGATCACCCTGCTGAGAGACGCAGCTACGTGTGAAGGCAACACTGCACTTAGGAGGAGTCAAAAAATAGATTAATATCAAGTACCAATTTACAACGTGGATGAAATCTTTGTGGGATTTTCAACTCAACAGAAATTGTCTCATTGGCTTTTGATGTCTCCTTGAAATGAGATCATTTTGTCTCCAAGCTGGTATTTACATGTGGGTAATTAGGTTTCCTATTCATCACTTCCATCATCCTCATAAGTTGTATGAGATAGGTGTTGCTTTTGCTGCCTCATCTTCTTACAAAGGCTCAAAGAAGCTCAGTAACTTGTCTAAAGTGGCAGAGCTAATAAATTGCTGAGCTGGGACCTGAACCCAGGTCTGTCTGATTCCATAGCTTGAGCTGTCATGCAATGGAAGGTGAACTGTAGCATTTGGTGAATGTAAAACTTCCTGTTTGCTTATATTAAAGGCTATTGCTATTTTTTTTTTAATTAGGGGAGACTGGGTGGGGGGAAGGGTAGAGTGTGTCTCAATTCCGAAATTCAAAAAGGGCCACATAGGAATCTCTATTCCTCTTGCCCTTTTGGCATAATATCCCCAGTTGTAGCAGGAACCAGTAGAATGGGTTTCCCTTCATTGTTTTTGAGAAGGAAATGCCTGTTGAACTTTGACAACAATGTTAACGATTGCCAGAGACCCTCAATTTATTATTCATCTCTCAGGAATCCTATGGAAATTTCCTTTGAATACTCTTTCCTCATCAATATTAATAATCGCATGATGTCGTGCATGCTTTGTGTTCGTCAAAATGCCATTGTGCATGTGACCTCATTCCATCTTTAATATTTTATTGGAAGCTTTCTACATGTTAAGCACTGTGTTAGATGCAGGAGATATCAAAAGATGTATAGCACAACTTCTTCCTCAAGAGTTGAGTCTGAACTCTAACCTGATGTCATGAAGTAGACCAGATACCTTCCCCATTTTATACACTATTATTTTCCACAGCATAACCTTCTGTCCTCACCTTCTACAAGTTCCTTGTCATATTTTTTACTCTATCAGTGTTATTTTTTTCAGGTTGGTTTGTTTGTTTATTTGTTTTTAAACAGATAGTCTTGCTCTGTTGCCCAGGCTATTGTGCAGGGGTGCAATCATAGCCTACTGCGGCCTCCAACTCCTGGGCTCAAGCAATCCTCCTGAGTAGCTGGGACTACAGGTGCATGCCATCACGCTCAGGTAATTTTAAAACTATCTTTTGTAGAAATGCTGTATTGTCCCAGCTGGTCTGAAACTCCTGGCCTCAAGTGATCTTCCAATATTCTTATATTTACTCCTCCTTAAATATTAATGAGCAACTAAACATTCTCACATTCATCTCCAAGGTTTTTCTCATGCTTCATCTCTTCTTGACCTACTTTTCTGTATGTCCATATTGGACCCATCCATAAACCAAGGTAGAGTCTCCTCTCCTCCTTGACAGCTATTCAGGAATCAGGCAACCTCTCCCCTCTTTCAATTTTCACTTCAGTTATTGTCACCATCTTACATTTGATACTTGGAATATAGTGTACTTTGATATAAACACATTTTTCTTCTGTATGTAATTGGTCTCATGGCCTATCTATAAATACAGAAAGATCATCGATAGGTATTCTAAATAAATAAAAGTACTGTGCAATATGCATGATATTTGCTAAAAAGAATACTAGGAATAATGTGGAGCTTGTAAATTGGAGATCGCTGCCAGATTTAATACCAAAATATGTATTGTTGAGCTAGTAAAATACTGGCATACATAGTTTTTCAAAAGTTTTAATTGATTGTCAGTATCTAAGTACTGGAAGATCTGACATAGCATTCTAAATTTCTGGCTTCATTTGAAAACTCAGAGGCAATGTTTGGCCTACTTTTTGCATGGTAACTGTAAGCTGAGGCCAAGAAGCAACTGCCATTGCCTCCTCAATGTTTGGGTGGATGAGAGTCAGTTTCCCATTTATCACCATTCTCATTCTAATTATTTCTCACAACAGTGTTAAAAGGAAAGTGAAGGCTGGGCATGGTGGCTCACACCTGTAGTCCCAGCACTTTGGGAGGCTGAGGTGAGCAGGTCACTTGAGGCCAGGAGTTCAAGACCAGCCTGGCCAACATGGTGAAACCCTATCTCTACTAAAAATAAAAACTAGCCAGGCATGGGGGTGCATGCCTGTAATCCCAGCTACTCAGGAGGCTGAGGCAGAAGTTTCACTTGAACCCAGGAGACGGAGGTTGCAGTGAGCTGAAATCGCACCACTGCACTCCAGCTTGGGTGACAGAGTGAGACCTGTCTCCAAAAAAAAAAAAAAAAAAAAAAAAAGGAAAGAAAAGATAAGAAAGTGATGTATTTCCTGTTACCTATGGCTTTGTCTCAGGGAACAAAAAGTTAGCATGAAAGGGCTGGTTTTCAAGAAAAATGAGAGGAAGCATTATTATTGTTTGGGGACTGAAGTGGAAAATAGAACTGTGAGTTAATAGTTTGTTTAATAAGAAAACAAAACAAAACATAAGTGGCTATGATGGGATAAACCTGGCCCATTGTAATTTTTGTCATCCTAGCCCTTGCAGACATTTGTGTTTGCTTTTGACCCTTGGATCAGGGAAAGGTCAAGGACCTAAAGGTGGGCTGGGCCGAAGTCCTGGCTCTGGCCTTCACTAGTGTTTGACCTGGGTGGGTTAGGGCTAACCACACTTTTCCTCTCTCTAAAATGGGAATAATGATATCTGCTACATGGTGATAAATTGAGCTTAAAATGAGATGCATAACAGGGGACTTTTGTCTGTTTTTGGTAACCCTAGTGCCTGCAACAGTGCCACAGTGCCGTGTGCATGCTTGGGGCTTAATAGACATATATTGAATAGACAATAACATCTGTAAAGCACAATGAACTTTGCTCATAGGAGGCCATTAGCGAATTTGAGCATGTTGTTAAGGAGCTAATCATACTTGTTAAGTGTAGAGACTATTTGGTCTTTTTTTTTCCCAGCACCTAGGCCGCCGTAGAGCCGGTCATTAATATTTATTTGCAGAATGAATAATGTCTGATTGTCCGTCATTTGGTAATCTTTCTTAAAGAGAGTGGCACTGGGGACATCTGGCTGCTATTTTGGTGTGGGTTTTTTTACCTCCTTGAGATACAAGGATTGTCTTGTTGTTCCATGTGGCGTAGGCCTAATATTTTTCTTTCTTTTTACGGTTTGGTATATGGCTAGCGGAGGGTGGTATCTTCTTAAGAAAGTTTATTTCACTTTCTGAAGGTGTTTTTCATTTTCCCAGCTGCCCTTCACTTCCCCCTACATGCCGTTTGCACAACTTCCCAGCTGGCAGATGTGAAGTGGATAACCTTGTAGCAGTCACCAGCATCTTTAACAATGAAGGGTCACAGGGAGCAGGTTAACACTCAGCGTTGTGGGGTTTATTATTACATCCAAGCTCCAGTATGGTTTTACCAGAGAGCCAGTCTTTTTTTTTTTTTTTTTTTTTTGAGACGGAGTGTCTCTCTTGTTGCCCAGGCTGGAGTGCAGTGGTGCAATCTCAGCTCACTGCAACTTCCACCTCCTGGGTTCAAGCAATTTTCCTGCCTCAGCCTTGTGAGTAGCTGGGGTTATAGGTGCCTGCCACCATACCTGGCTAATTTTTGTACTTTTAGTAGAGACACGGTTTCTCCATGTTGGCCAGGCTGGTCTTGAACTTCACAGGTGATCAGCCTGCCTCGGCCTCCCAAAATGCTGGGATTACAGGTGTGAGCCCCTGTGCCCGGCCACCAGAGAGCCAGTCTTGGGCGGTGCAGCCAGGCCGGCCATTATTTTGCAATCTTGGCTATTCTCTGGTGTCTTTTCCTACTCGACATTAAGGAGTGGTTTTTCAAATAAAGGTTTCATTGACAAGTTTGTAAAAAGGAAAACAAAAATGAGTTAAAAGTCTGCCTCAGCGTCGCATGCTTAGGACAAAGCCCATATTGACTTACGTAACTTTTAGAGGCTTTGTAGTTAGCTTTCCAGCTCTCTCACGTTCATTTCGTGCTTTGACTTTGATCTTCAGAGCTTGGGGCTCAGTGGAGGTTAGCGAAATGGGGCATATTGGGTGCCATGCATTGTGTTGGAAACTTTCACAAATGCTGACTTGTTTATTCATAGAAGTTGCCAGCATCATAATGGCCCATGACAACTTATGCAAAACAACTTTGGGTTCTCCTCTGCACCACGGTTGCAATTCAGTTTCATTGTCTCCCCGGGAAATACACTCCAGACTCTTGGGGATTGTATGATAGGCTCATTGGAATAATTGATTTCTTAAAGATGAGTAGTTATTCTATTGTTTTTATATATCATCCTCAAAGTATGTGGTAATTGTGGTGGCGTTTGTACAGTTTGTATGGTCAGGAATGTTTGTGAGGCATTAATTGAATATTTCTTATGAATATTGACTGTGCAAGGTCTCCTGAAGGCAAAGAAAAACAGTAATGTGAACGCATAGTAGGTAGTCAATGAATGTTTATTAGCTAAGACATTCTTTTTTTAATTGATTGATACATACTTTTAAATAATGTGTTTTCTTTACTGTAACACTAATGTATGTTGCTTGTGAATCACCTGGCATATATAAAATATGTGTTTATTAAATAAACAACGATTCATTGGATACTTACTGTGTTCCAGGCTGTGTTCTGGGCATCAGGGATACAACCATGAACAACAGACAGAGTCTGTTGTGGAGTTGTGGGGTTGACATTCTTATGGCGGTGAAACACAGAATAATTCTGAGTTGTACATCTATGCCTTTTTTTTCTCCTGTTCTTTGCTTAAGTGCCATAAAACAAAACAAAACTAAGAGTTGAGGTAGAGACAACAAGGTAGCCGCATACCCTTCAAGTAACTACTGTGAATATCTTTGCACATTTTCATTTGGTGATTTGCCTATGAATTGTGTGCAAGTGAATATATGCGAACATCTGGGTTCCATTTGGTTTCATTTTATTTCAATTAATGACCCATGTTAGGTTGTCGAACAAGGTGGACGTGTGAACGCCAGCTTGTGTTTTCATGCTTTTCTAGATGAGAGGAGGCAAGGTTTCCAGCGAGGTACCTTTTCCCCTCTTGATTTACCCTCTTCCTCAAGCCCCCTATCCCAGAAAGAAACCTGGCCTGGGCCCAGTGCACCTGGGACAGGCAACCTGGGGCACGCTAAGCCCTGACTCCACAAACATGCTCTCCCCACTCCGTCTTGATCTCCGGATTGTGGTCCTGCCATGGCTGTTTTCAGCTGAAATAGCATGAAAAATGAGTTTTTGTGGTGTTTTTAATATAAATAGTAGAGATGCCACAGGAATTCAAATTCTCAAGGGATGTGCTTTCTTACAGGACTTAATACGTTCTGGGAAGACCATTGAGTTCTGCCTCCCCACCGGCTCTGCCCCATCAAAGAAGGAAGGGCTGGCAGTGTCCAAGGGCAGGGAATGTCTGCTAGGTTGACGGCTCCAGCTGGTGCTGCCAGCCCAAAGCTCGCTGGGCCACGCAAGCCGAGAGAGTGAGCTCTAGGGTAGCAGTCTGCAGACTTTTTCTGTAAAGGGCCAGATTGTAAATACTTCAGGTTTTGCAAACCTTGTGGTCTCTGTTGTAACTACTCAACTCTGCTGTTGTAGCATGGAAGGAGCAATAGACAATGTGCAAATGAGTATGTCTGTGCTCCAGTAAAACTGTATTTACATAAAGAGGTGACACGTCAGATTTGACCCACATGCCATAGTGTGCAGACTCCTGCCCCAGAAACTGAATCAAAGGGCCCCTGGGATCCTACCTGGGCTCTACCACTTACCTTCTGGAGTTGTAGGTGGGTAGTTTCAGCTTCTTCCTCTGTTAAATGCGTTTCTTAAGAGCACATACCTGCTGGTTCTCATGAGTCTTAGTGAGATAATATAAGAAGGCCTCCAGATACAATCTCCTCTGTGTTGAGTACCTGGACAAGGGTTAGAGTACCTGTCCCATCTGTCTTCCCAGACAGCTTTGACCTCTGGAAAAATTTCTCCCTCCAGTCTGAAAAGGTATTTACCCCCCAAAATTTTGACTAATTCTCCTCTTCCAGGATGTAGCTCTTCTCATGCCCGTGTGTAAATCTTGTTAAGCCTAAAGGCCAATCCATCCCATAAATTTTTCCTGGTTGCAGGTCATATTTCACTCACTTCTGCACCCTTCCCCAACACTTTAACTGCACTTTTGGAATGGTACTCATCCCTTGTTTAATACCACTTCGTTTATTCATTCATCCATCCATCCATCAAACACACAGGTCATTGACTATGCATTCTCCATCCTGCTATCAGTGTGTGTCTTAACTAGCACTTTTATGAGACCACAGGCCTTTTGAGGTCAGGGATCCTGTTTTATTTCTCCTGGTACATCAGAGCCTAGCACTGGGATGAGCATAATCTATATGCTCGGTAAAGCTTTTTGTGATGAATGGGAGGGGGATGAATACTCTATCTCAACCTCCCTGTCCTCAGTGTTCTTGGCATAGAGACTTGCATACAGTAGGCATCAAAAACACACATGTTGATTGAGTGTTGCCTTCATACCATTTTACTCAGCCTGTAATGCTGTTTCTTTACTTGAGGGACTTGGTTGCCAAATATCTTGACCTTTTGCCTTTTCCCTGGTGAAAGGGCAGGACTTGTGAATGAGAGGGGGCTCTAAGCCCTGGAACGGCAAGAGTCTGAAAGCACGCGGGTTAGAGGGAGAGAGGTGAGCGTAGGGCATGGGTGGTGGGGAGGGGGTTGTGAGTTCCAGCTCGTCCTTAACACCCATCTGGGTGGCCTCTGAAACCAGACAGGGTAATTATCCCTCCGGCCCCTGTGCTCTAAATTATTTACATTTCCCAGGCAAGACACTGAAAGGGGAAGCATAGAAGGACCCTGCCTCCTCCTATTATCAGACTTGACTGTTCCATTTCCTCCCCGGCTGATCTAAGATGGTTTGTGGAATTCAGAAAGGGGCACCAGGTTCAGAGTCAGGAAGCCCAGGGTTTGAATCCCAGCCCGTGATTTTGAAAGGTTGCTTTATCCAGAGGGGTATCCATTTCCCCTTCTGTAGTATGGAGGTAATAAAAGTCCCCATCTCACAGGGGCTGATGTAAATGAAAACAAAGCCAAAAAAGCAACCAAATGCACATGTAAAATGCAACAACGTATGTATAGAGAATCAATGAACACCTGCCATTTTCCTTTCCTCTGCCTTGTTTTACAAATATTTGAATGCTTCCTTATCTTGCCTCTTGAGGAAATACTTTTGGAGACATTGGCTTTCTAGCAGAAGAACTAAAGATTGGATGAATCTCTCATTCTGGGTTTCATAACCTTGGTCACTGCTGATAATTGACATCGGATAATTCTTTGTTGGGCAGTGGGGAGGGCTCACCCAGTGCAGCGTAAGATGTTTAGCAGTGTTCTTCGCTGTGATCTGTAGATCACCATCAGTAGCACTCACCTCTTACTTGTGATAGCCAAAAATGTCTGCACATATTGCCAGATCCCCTGGGGTGGCGGGCCGGGGGGCACAGTTGTCTTCCACAGAGGATTACTATGGACAAATGACTAAAGAGCTCCTTGCAGGGTGTGGGAGGCAGATGAGCTGGTGATGGGAGTGGCTCCCAGAAGTGATTTCTTTCCTCCTTTGCAAGGGAAGTGCATCCCTTAGGATCCAAGTGCTGAAGGAGAACAGGCTGTACTGTGGTCCCAACGCCTGGAGAAGGCAGAGAAACAAGACTATCAGACTCGAGGTTTGTCATGGTTAACAGGCGCTTTGTGTCAGGGCCACCTGAGGGCACTTGCCAAATTAGGTAACCAGGACCCCAGACATGACAGCTGTGCAGACCCAGGGTCACTGGCCCCTATAGAGGTGTCTCCCTACATGGGAGGAAGACACCATTCCTAAAACTCAGACATCCAGGTCGGATGCTGGTTCAATCTCCTGGTTCAAGCAGTCCAGCCCCAGTAGCTGAAACTACAGGCACATGCCACTATGCCTGTCTAATTTTTTGTATGTTTTGTAGAAACGAGGTTTCACCATGTTCCTCAGGTTGGTCTCGAACTCCTGGACTCAAGCAATCTGCCAGCCTCAGCCTCCCAAAGTGTAGGGATTACAGGCATGAGCCCCACTGTTCCTGGCCAAAATGTTCACTTTTAAGCAGCCTCACAAGAGATTGTGATACCCACAGAAGCTTTAGGATCTCTGCCCTCATTGGGAAGGCTATAAGCTTTAGATCTGGAACTGAATTTCATGCCCCCTCAAACCCAAACACTTACTAGATGTGTGATCTTTAAAAAGTTTTACTGAGCTGCCTTCCTAAAACAGGTTCAACAATGTTTGCCACCCTGGATCATTACAGAGATAAAATACCATTTTCTGAGTAGCCATTAAGTGTCAAGTATGTGGAAAGTACTTTTCATAGGTGATTTCAATGTGCATTCTTATAAAATTCCAAAGGAAGAGAATAATTTTACTTTTCATCACAGGGCTCTGCTGTGTGAATATTAAGCCCATTCTATAGATTAAGAAACTGACGCTTGTTAAGTCCCTTGCTCAAGGGTGATACAGGCCTATAGCTCCCTCTTCCATGGCTCACCCCAGGTTTTTTCGCTCTGCATTGAGCCTTTTCACCTCTGATCTCTCCTCACCAGTAAATTGCCACACTTGATTTCTACCCCCAACCTGGGCACTTACTCAGTATTAATGTGTAGGATTCTTTCCTAGAGTAATGCCAAGGAAAATCCAATCAGATGTCAACAAGAGGATCTCATCTGAGAAACCGATGCCAGGTGGGAAATGAGTCAGGACAGCACAGTAGGTGGGAAATGAGTCAGCTAGAATCTTTTGCCTTCTCTAGAAACAAAGACACTTAGACTGATCCACAAGTGAAGGGATCTTGGCACGTGTTCTGCTCTGGGATGAGTGCAGGTCCCTTACAGTAACTCTCCTGATGATCCTCACTTCCACCCCAATTTACTTTTACCTAGCACCAGTCTGAGGCCTTTTGTCACCAACATAAATATCCTTTCAGCTTCCCCTTTCGATGCAGGAAATAACTGCTAGTAACGGCGAAAGCCAAGACTGGACCACGTCACACGAATTCCACTCCCGAACCTCTTTTTTTTTTGGGGCCAATTAGCTGAAAGGGTTCGGGGAGCTGATCACAATCACTCATTGGGATCTTTCAGGAAGCAGGGGCAGAAATGAATTGATGGAAGTGGGTAGCGCTTTTCTTACGTTATTGGCTTTACTTGAAAACTCTGTTCAGGAAATTGTGGGCATTCGTTAAAGTGCTGCTTTGACCCCTGACTTCCATGGACTCACTGTGAAAACAGCTGATTGGTGAGATGGGAGGATGAGCTGAGTAATACAGGACACCATGACGTGAATCACAGAGGCCCAAGCTCTTGCACATTGCACAGTGGCGGTTTCTCGAATGCTGGGAGTGCTTCAAAGTCTCCACCTCATGATGGGCAGGTCCGGGGGTTACGCCCGGGAACCATAACTAGAAGTGGCTGTTTGGTGGTTATATGCAGGAAACTCTGTCAACCCATTTTACAGGTGAGGAAATTCAGCCTTAGGAAGTCTGGAAATGTGTCCGAGATTACACAGTAGAGATTCATACATATAGTCATCTGATCTTTAAAGCGGTGTTCTTTCCATTTTATCATCAATCATTGAATGCGATCCTAGGAGTTTACCCCCTCCCACCACTCTCGTGTAGAATTTCCTTTCTGCTCTGTTTTGTCAATATATCCAACATTTGGAAAATCAGTTGTATGTTGCATGTGTGTTTCCCCAAAGGGTGACTTTATGTCTTAGATCTCAGAAGCTTGGAGGGTGCTTGATGTTTCAGAGTGGCAGAGACTAGACATTTCTATAGGGTTTTCTACTGACCACGCCAGCTACCAGTGGACTGAGAACAACTCAGTATGGTCTTGTCGCTTGGCTTAGCTTAGAGTACAATTCTTGTAGATGGTTAATGTGCTTTGAAATAATGCTAATGTTTACCCTTATTTCTCAGGGCCAGAAAATGGACAAGATGAAGCCTCTAATCTAAGAATTAGGACAAAGAAAATGTACTCACTAGTGCCAGGCATGGTGGGGCGCACCTGTAATCCAAGTTCTTTGGGTGGCCTAGGCAGGAGGATTGCCTGAGTAGGTGACAGTGAGCTATGATGGCGCCACTGCACTCCAGCCTGTGAAACAGGGTGAGACCCTGTCTCTTAGGAAAAAAGAAGAAAAGGACTGACTTTTTTAGTAACCAAATAAGTTGCATTGTTTCCTTCTAAATTGCTCTTTGTTCTTCTTGGAAATATATTATTGCTTGTGCAGACTCTCAGGGACTATACATGGTAGCAAATAAAATTATTATCATTTAATAGACTCTAGGAATAACATGGGCGTCAGAGGTGTGCTGTTTCAACCACTGTCCACAAGGTGGCAACCTCTCCAAGGAAACTGAGACCAAAATCTAGTCTTTAAGCAACTATTATTATTTAAATGCTTATTGGGCAACTCCAGCACGCTTGGCACTGTACTGAATACTTAAAAGATTTAGCTTCTGCCTTCGAGGGGATTACCAAGTAACGAGTTTCAACAGTCTCTTGAATTAGACTATTTCTCAGCCTCCTGTGTCCGTCAGTCACTGTAAATCCTGGGTCTGTATCTTTAAAAGAGAGTAAGATGTAGAACAGAAAATAAATTTCATTGAGTCCTACTGTGTGCCAGGTATTGAATAGGCACTTTGCATGTGTGGTCCTCACTAGGAACTGTCAGGGGCGTGATGACTGTCCCATGTTACAGAAAGGAAGTTGGATAGACATTTTAATATTGGAATTCTAATACCACAGAGCTAGTCAATGGCAGAGGCAAATTACAAAGCCATAGTTATCTGCCCCTACAGTCTTTCCACTGGTCACTGTCTCACTGCAGAAAACTTGTGGAATACATTATTCCCAAGAAGTGGTCCAAAAGAAGAAATAGCCACAAAATCCTTTAGATATTTGCATTGATGTCATATCCCTAAGGAATGCTTGTGAAGGAAGACTCTAATTTTTTGAGCTATTCCTTGACTCTTTAGGAATGAGTCTATATTGGCATATATATGTAGAATATATCTATATTCAGTATAGATATTGGCATATAGCAAGGTCATATTGTCAGGCTCACAGCACTGTACTCCAGCCTGTCCAGCCTGGGTGACAGGATGAGATATTGGCACATGTATATATATGTGCCTATATCTATATATTCAATATAGATATTGGCACACACACACACACACACACACACACACATCCCATCTACACTTTCTCGCTTTCACATTTGAAAATGCTGCTGTAGCGGTGAATGAAATATTGGAGTTAATGAAACTGAGATGACCCCAGGAACAGACCCTGGAATGAGGATACAGGTACAAGAAGAGACTCCCAGGGAAGAGCAAGAAGTGGGGAGGCAGGGCAGGACAGGGGAAGATGCCAAGGGAGATAGCAAGTTTGGGCAAAGTCCTCCAGGGGGATCTTCAGCCTGATTCCATAAGGAAGACTTAGGAGGGCAAGCTACACCTTAGAATCTGGGGCAGGGGAGATGAGGATTTCCTCCTGCTGCACCTTGCAGTCATTTGTTAAGAGCCAGGAGGAGGGGAAGGACATAGGGACATACATTCCAAGGAACTTGTGGCCTCTCATGCTTGTGAGCAAGGCTGGCTTCATTTGCCCGAGATCAGAATCTGTTAAGAGCTCCTGTTGCTGGCTGTTTTAAGTAAAAACACACAGAAGCCAGGGCTGTACACATGCAGCACAAAGATACTCCGGAGGATCTGGGTGGGGTATCAACACTGCCCCCACACGTAGTAGGTTCTTGGCATTGAAACTTTTATGTTGATGGTTTTAAATCCTTACTAACACCTGTGATTTGTAGTATTTTGCAGCTAGACTTCAGCTATTAGAGTAACTTAGCAAGTCACTCAATCATACCTGATATAATGAATTCTAACCCATTTCTTTTCTGACCTGCAGTGATTTGCTAAAGATTCAAAATCCCGGGAGGGACTGCTTAATTTGCTTAAGTTAGCCTGCTTTCTCCCTGTCTGGCTTCAGCTGCCCAACTACGATTGGAGTTATCTGGATTTGCCATCAGACAATGCCTGCCCTATGCAAGAGCAATCAAGCCCAAAAGGAAGGAGAATGGGTGGTGAGCTGCCAATAATGACAAACTCCCACTAAAGTTCATAGATACGAAGCAAGCAAGACCCTCTGGCCCACTTTGAGCCAAATCCAGACCTCATTGTGGGGTGGTGCATGAGCTGGGGAGTTTGATCTGAGACACTAGCTGGATGTCAACTTTCCAAGTCACTAGTGGCCTCTAGGATTAGAAGCTTCAATCTCTACCTTTCAGAAACCCCTTTGGGTGTTTCAGTGTTGGCCAGGTTGAGGTTTGGCAGCACATTTCTGGGGAGACAGACCACAATCATAGTGTTGAAAAGCATACATTCAGAAAATGATAGGAAGATCATGGAGGCGGGATGGGCTTTAAATAATTTTAAATAAATTTCCAGAGTGAAAACTTCCCAAGGCAGCTGCTGGTGATGTTGGGATCCCAAAACACCCGGGAAGAGCAGACCTTAGTGTATTTACATGCCATGCAGACGCAGCTCTTCCAATTTCCCAATCAGCTCTGCATTCCCTGTAGGAAGCACTCACATTACCTGGGATACCACAGAGGCGTTGATGCCCTTGGCACCATCACTTGAGGAAGGATGATTTCACCCGTTTGCTCTCATTTCAGCATCTCCCTCAGCTCAGGGCTTATACTTGTCTTAAATTGTTTAAAGCTCCAAGGAACCTCCCACTGTGTGATGTTAGCTCTGCACATGTGCAGACAGTTGGGGAAGAATCATGTGCTGGAACATCCTGGTCCTTTTTTCTGAGCCTGTCTTGGACTGGCCACTCAGCAGCTCTCACTCGGCTGCCTTAAAACATGCTGATTGCCCCAATTTATAAGCTGATGCTGTGGTAGCTGAGGAGGCAGCAGTAAACTTCATGGAATGATTAGAGAGTCAAGTGTGGTATGTAAACTTGAGGTCTCTGACATTTTTTTCTGATTTGGGAAAGAGATAGCCAAGATTCTAGTAAAACTTGAGATTTTGAAGAGTCTTTAAAGGAGGCAGTACTAAATAGAGGCTAGGGGAATTAACAGAGGGCTTGAAACACTCAGGGACCATTCATGGTGGAAAGCCATTCACTCCTAGACCTGTAGGATCCTTGAGGGCTGCAGCCACAATAGGGAGGGTGCTTATGAATACCTCTGAAAGGCTTCTAAGAAGAAATGATGCTGCAACTGAAATGTGTAGCTTCATGGGAGTGAACTGGGCACAGAGGAGGTAGGTGAACCTAAGGGAGAGTGATGTTGCAAGGGCTGAGAACTTAGAAAGAGTTTGCTGTGTTGGGTGGCAGAGCAGAGCTTAGAGTTTGGGGGGAGTCGATGCTGGAGAGCGAGAAAGGAGTAGCCCTGTTACGATGGAACAGGAGTTTTGTTTTCCTCCCATGGCAGTGAGAAGCCATTGAAAGGTTTTAAGCAAGAGAGTAATAACCTTCCTTTGCTGATCTCACATGGTGTTGCCCTCCAATGGCAGAAGCCACTGCACTGACCACTCCTTGAGGGTCTGCCTTGAGGGTTGGTTCTTTGTCACAGGCAGCAGCTAACTGGCTCTTCAAGCGAGGGTGCTCTTGACTCCCATATGCTCCAGTGGGGTGACCTTTCCTCCCCAGCCATCTTCTCCTTGGACAGATCCATGGGCCATGATGCTCATAGCCTCACCACTGTTAGCATATCCCAAGAGGATGCTTCTGGCCCATCTAGATAACTCTTTTTTTCTCCTCTAGGAGAGCCTGCTCCTCCGGGCTCCAGAGATTTGTGTGTCCTGGGTGACCTTCTTAGTTCGTGAAGTCTTATTTCAGGCTGAGTATTGTTCCTGCAGAAATATCTCATTATTCCGCAGTGGAATGTCTATGCTTACTATCCTTCTCTTTGTTAATGTAATAGTTCACACAGGAACTGTGTAAAGCATTTATATAAATAATTTTACTCAAGTCTCACAATGACACTATCTGAGTCGCGTATTATACTCCTTTTCCAGTTGAACATGCTGGGAAAGTTTAAATACACTTCTTTTTTTTTTTTTTTTTTTTTGAGATGGAGTCTTGCTCTGTTGCCCAGGCTGGAGTACAGTGGCATGATCTCGGCTCACTGCAAGCTCCGCCTCCCGGGTTCACGCCATTTTCCTGCCTCAGCCTCCCGAGTAGCTGGGACTACATGCGCCCGCCACCAAGCCCAGCTAATATTTTGTAGTTTTAGTAGAGATGGGGTTTCACTGCGTTAGCCAGGATGGTCTCAATCCCCTGATCTCGTGATCTGCCCACCTCGGCCTCCCAAAGTGCTGGGATTACAGGAGTGAGCCACCGTGCCCGGCCTAAATACACTTTTTAAGTGCAAGGGCCTGGAACTACTACGTGGCAGAGCAGGATTCGAATCCAGGTCCAAATCCTAAGCTCTTGAGCAGCCGGCTGGATCATCTCATCCAGAGATTGATGCCAAGGCTCAAGCTTCCTTACATCATGCACAATTAGCACCCTCAGGGCCGTTCCTAACTCCACAGGGGTCAAATCCTTCAGCCTCCCTGTTGCCAGAGCTCCGGGTTCAGAGTACCATGAGGATAGCACTGTTAACAATCACCTCCTGCTCTCTGGGGTCACAACTATCATTTCCTTTCAAAGAACTGGAAGTTTGAGTCCTAGAAACAATGGGATCTCCAGGTTGGAACTTTTCACCTACATTCAAGGTGATAATCTGTCAGGGTCAAGAGCAAGAAGAAAAGGGAAAATCAGAGGAATTAGCAAATTGATGTTTTAGGTCCAACTGGAGGCAAGCCATCATTTGTGAATTATTAAGTTTACATCACTTAGATCACTTTACAGGCAAGCAGCTCGGTATTAGAAATTGGCAGTGTTTATTTGCACAGATGCAGTGGAGAAAAATATATTTCTACAGGGTCATGTTAGCCCAGCTGATGAACTGATAAGGAAGCTGCACCATCTGCTCACAGCCAAGCCTCTCAGTACATTTGGGTTCACCGTTAACCACATTTATGACAATATACGAGGAAATGGAACATTTTGGTTTTTCTCCCATTCAAGCTCTATATTTATATTTTAAACCAAACATGGGCCCTCTTTTCTGGACTGGATGTTCCATGTATGTCCCCATACCTTCAGTCTATATTTACTTCCCAGGATACTTGCCAATTTGAGTTGTTTACATCTCTGGAGACACTGGGCTTACATCATGCTGTATGATGTCCCATCTGATGAGGCATGTTTGTGAGGCATCCTTTGCAAATGAGCAAAGAGGAAGGATTAGTAAATGTGTAACCAAGATGCTGTGAAGCAATTAGCCCTAATGTGAATTTCATCAGAAATAGATTTCAGAGCCATTATTTGCACATTCTTTGAAAACAAAGAAGGGAATCCATCCAGTCCCTAAGGAATCCATGCAGCCCCTCTTGTGTTTAAACTTCAGTGTCTGTGTCTGTGTGGGGTGGGCAAGGCAGTGATGGGTTAGGTCCTGGATAGTACCGTGGAACTCTTCTGACTGGATTTGGCCGAGAATGAATTATGTTACATGGGGGGCCTGGGTGTTCTCATCCTGACCTCTTCTTCCTGGCTGTGTGACCTTAGCCAGTTTTCTGTCCTCTCTGAGCCTCCTTTAGTATATATAAAATTAGGAGAATAATTTCCTAAGTCAGCACTACTTGACCACTACAAGCATGACAGATAGCAACTATTGTGCCTGGACTTGATGAGAAAATGCGGCCCATGCACTCAAGGAACACGCTGTCAGTTGGAGGTACCACTAGGTATCACCAATCAGTGAGCAAGATAATGAAGAGATAGTTTGAATATATCTTCATCAACAGGGTGAATAGAAAGGAAAGGAAAACCGGCCCATGACCCTGAGGGATAAAGGCAGAATCAAGTGATAAACATAGAAATAATAGGTAAGAAAGTGCTTTATAACATTTCTCGACATCTAAATGTTTAAATTTGGATTATTCCTGTTTTTAAGGACATGTTGGTCAGGATAGACTATGTAATGGTACAATAACAAGTGCCACACAATTCAGTGGCTTTACCTAATAAAAACTTGATTTTCTTTTTCCTGATTCTAAACGTCCAGTTGGTTGGCAAGATTATTGGTGATGGGGCAGGGGTCTCTGTCCATTGCAGTCATTTAGAGACCCAGCGTTTGATGAAGGTTTCATATCAGCATAGGTGTCTATGATCTCCGTGGCAGGTAGTAAAGCTGTGCACTGGCTCTTACAGCTTCTCTCTGGAGGGCACATTATCACTTCCCATCACATTTCATTGGCCAAAACAAGTTGCATGCCTATCTTCAAAAAGGTCAGAGTGGGGTGATCCCATCATATGCCTGGAAAGTGGAAAAAGATGAAAAATTTGTGTACAGCTGCAATGTCGTGGAATTCTTTTTCTTTCTTTTTTTTTTGTTTGAGATGGAGTCTTTACTCTGTCACTCAGGCTGGAGTGCAGTGGCACAATCTCAGCTCACTGCAACCTCCACCTCCCAGGTTCAAGCGATTCTCCTGCTTCGGCCTCCAGAGTAGCTGGGATTACCAGTGCATGCCGCCACACCTGGATAATTTTTATATTTTTAGTAGAGATGAAGTTTTACCATGTTGGCCAGGCTGGTCTTGAACTCCTGACCTCAAGTGACCTGCCAGCCTCAGCTTCCCAAAGTGTTGGGATTACAGGCATGAGCCATTGTGCCTGGTCTAATATCTTCTTCTTGTATTTTCCATAGAAATACTGCCTGCCTGCTAGAGAGTCAAAGTGAACATTTCCTTTTGTGAAATCATGCAGTATCATAACTATAAATCCTATTTAAAACTCAATAATCCCATCCCCAGGTGTATATGTATATGTATATGTATATGTATATGTATATGTATATGTATATATATATATCCCAGAGAAATTCTCTCACAGATCTGCTAGAATGAACAACAAGACCCTGTTTGTTTTAGCAAGGAATTGGTGTCTCTTATTTCCCTGGAGACAGAAAACTAGGCTGAGTCAGGAGGATCAGCTGGGCCCAAGAGTTCGAGACCAACCTGAGCAACATAACAAGACTCTACCTCAAAAAACCCTATGTATATGTTTTTTTTGTTCTGACCTCTGGAACTGGAAGATAATATACTTGGATGGTGTAAGTCACTAAATTTGTGGCAGTTTGTTATAGCAGCAATAGGAAATGGGCACCAGTGCAATGCATTATTCTCTATTAACTCATTAGACACACAATGGACACACAGTATGGAATACTGTGATAGGCAGAATAATTCTTTGTCTCTTCCCACCATTATACACACACACACACTCTCCACATTCTAATTCCTGGAGCCTATGGATGTGTTACCTTACATGGAAAAAGGGTGATGATTAGATGGAAGTAAGGCTGCTAATAAGCTGATTTTAAAATAGATTATTCTGGATTATTCTTGTAGGCCCATGTAACCAGGGTCCTTAAATGTGGAAGAAGGAGACAGAAAAATTAGTGTCAGAGTGATGTGGCATGAGAAAGACTTGGCCTGCCATTCCTAGCTTTGAAGATGGAGGAAGGGGCCACAAGCCAAGAAATGTGGGAGGCCTCTAGAAGCAAGAAAGGGCAAAGAAATAGATTTTTCCCTAGAGCCATAGAGTTTACAAAACAGAAGATTTTCTCCTAGGAAGGAATGAAGCTCTGCCAATGTCTTGACTTTAGCCCTTAGTGAGATGCATTTAGTGAAACTTTTGATTTAGTGAGATGCATTTCAGACTTCTGACCTGGAGAGTTGGAAGATGATTCATTTGTATTGTGCAAGCTACTAAGTTTGTGGCAATTTGTTACAGCAGCAACCAGAAATGGATACAAATACTATACAGCATTCTGTATTAATTCGTTAAACACATAAGATACAGCAGGCTGTACAGATTGTATAAAAATTCTAATTAAGAGGCTGGGCATGGTGGCTCACGCCTGTAATCCCAGCACTTTGGGAGACCGAGACAGGTGATACCCTGAGGTCAGGAGTTGAAGACCAGCCTGGCTAACATGGTGAAACCCCATCTCTACTAAGAAATACAAAAATTAGTTGGGCCGGGTGGCGGGCGCCTGTAGTCCCAGCTATTCGGGAGGCTGAGGCAAGGAAAATTGCTTGAGCCCAGGAGGCAGAGGTTGCCATGAGCCAAGATCATGCCACTGCACTCCAGCCTGGGCAATAGAGCGAGACACCATCTCAAATAAATAAATAAATAAATAAATAAATAAATAAATAAATAAAATAAATAGAAAAAAGAAAAGAAACAGGATATGATTTTGAACACAAAACCTTCAATGTAAATTTAACACACATGCGCATACATATACATAAAGCACAAAATTTATAATATTACAAGCATATTTAAGGATACATACTGAAAATTGTATAGTACGGTTTATGGGGTAGAAAATGGGAGCAGAAATTAGAGATAAAAGGAAGCGGTGGGGGGAAGCTAAAGATCTTGCATGGACCAAGAAGGAAAGTAAGTTAAATTGAGTGTGATGTAACATAAACTTATTTTTCTATTTAAGGTGCACATGGTTGAGCTCTAGGGCTTTTTAAGACACTGTGAATCTCAAATTATTTGCATGACTTGAAAGGGCACTTTGAATTAGTGAAAAGTCTTGGGAATACCAAAAAAAAAATTTTTTTTTTCTTTATGAATGTGTACCCCACTGCTAGGCATATATTCATGAGTTTGGGGACAATGTCTTTCTTCCACCATTATGGCTCCAGCACCTGGTGTGGTGCCTGACACCTGGGAGGTGCCCTGAAAATAACTGCACAGTGGTTAAATGAGAGACTGAGTGATCAAATGACACTGGGCTAGCGAGTGAGTGAATGTTCAGATTCAAGACAAAACTAAGAAGTGGAGTTGTTGATTGCCGGATACTTTTGATCAATTTATCGATTTATACAAGCCCTCACCAAGCACCTACACAGTACCTGACATGAAGTTATGTGTTGTTGGGGATTTAAAAAATAAGTGAATGTATACTGTGCTATGTGTACATTCTGTTACCTGTCTTCAAGGGTGGCTTAAAATGCAAGTAGAAAACATCTTTCACACAGGAGATGATGTGGATGAAAGCCTCAGAATAAGAGCAAAAGGAACAATGATAAAGTTAGGGTGACAAAGAACGTTCTAGGGGTTACGTACAGTACTTCACTGTACCAGCTCCTTTAAGTGCTCACTTGGAGTATTTGAATTAATATTCAACTTAAGGAAACCCCTTTCGTGTGGCCTGCCTGACTTTGCCAGAGCAAAGTGACATTGGGAAAACAGAGGGCACTTCAGAGTGACGGGGAGAGGAAGGAAGGGGGTAATGACGGCTTGTGTGGTAGGGGAAAGGCAGGTTGCCTTAGAGGACAACCAGCAGCTGTTCCCTGCCCCTCTCTGGCCCTGGCCTGCAAAACCCTGCAGCTGAGTCAGGGGTAGCTGATACTCAGGCCGCTGGGCCATTTCTGCTTCACCTCTTCACCAGTTGGCCTTTGTCAGGCAGCTCTGATGAGCCTGGCTGCCTGGTACGTTTTCCTCTTGGAAAGAATGGGGGGAAGTTGACCTACTCCGCCGATAAGGAGGGAGATCTGCTTCCTCGGCCACAGCCCTTGGCAGGTCCCCTCCAGGATTTCCCTGGGCCGTCTGAGCACCGTGGGGAGATGAGAGGTCAGGCGTGGGCTGTGTGGAAAACTCTAAAATCTCCACAGCAACCAGGGCCACTGAAGGGAGAAAAAAGTCCTCTGGTGATTAGCCAAGATCTTTACTCTTCATTAGTCATCTGGACTTAGACACTCTTTCCATCTGGGGAAAACTGTGTTATTGTCAAGGAGCCTCACTAGCTCATTTCTTCATCTTGCATCTCCTGAGCACCTTGGAAATCCAGGAATTCTTTGTTAGGCTGGTCTAAGGTTTTGAAATGGGCAAACAGACAAGCAACCCCCTCAGCCCCTGCCAAAAAACAAACAAACAAACAAAACCCCAAAAACAAAAACACCTGCCCTCTTTGTTTTTTTCCACATATTAAAATGGACTTGCCTTTTAAATCCTCTAGTCTTCACTTTCTACCTCTTCCTCCTGAGGACTCTCCATTTTCATTACTTTAAATTAAAAGTCCTTCACTGGAATGGTTTTGACCCCCCAGGGGAAATTTGGCCATGTCTGGATTCATTTTTGGTTCTTAAAACTGGGGAGTGTAACTGGCATTGAGTGGGTGGAGGCAGGGAGGATGGTAAACTTCCCACGATACACTAGTAGGCTCCCATAACAAAGAACTGTCCAGCCCATAAACAGATAGTGCGGAGTTTGAGAGGCCCTGCTCTAAATCTTGCTAATTTCCACATCACCCTTCCTGATCCCCTCCATTTCTATCTCCATTTATCCTAGTTTCTCTTCAAGACCCCAGATTGCATTTTATTCCTGCTTGATTCTGGCAGTTTACCATGGTGGTGTGAGGCATTGGCATATTGAGTTTAAAGACAGGGTGAGCCATCCAAGGGGAAATTAATAGAAAATGGTAGAAACAATAGTGATGATAATGGCCATGGTATTAGCTCTTTTTTATTGGAAGTACATAATGCATTATTCTAGTTAACCCTCAAATCTATGACACCAGTACCATTACTGTACCTTTTTCTTTTTTTAACTAGTTCCCTGCCTCCACATGGAACACATTGAGTTGACAAATCATTTACTGACTCAATTTGGATAAACCTTAAGCTGAAATAAGACATTTTCTATGCCCTTTAGGAAGTAGTTCCAGTGTCTCTGACAAGTTTTTCCTTCTCTTTTTTTTAAATTTTACTTTAAGTTCTGGAATACCTGTGCAGAACATGCGTGTTTGTTGCATAGGTATACATGGGCCATGGTGGTTTGCTGCACCTATCAACCCGTCATTTAGGTTTTAAGCCCTGCATGCATTAAGTATTTGTCCTAATGCTCTCCCTCCCCTTGCCCCGCAGCCCCCCACAGGTCCCAGTATGTGATGTTACCTTCCCCGTGTCCACGTATTCTCATTGTTCAGCTCACACTTATGAATGAGAACATGCGGTGTTTGGTTTTCTGTTCCTGTGTTAGTTTGCTGAGAATGATGGCTTCCAGCTTCATCGGTGTCCCTGCAAAAGACATAAACTTGTTCTTTTTTATTGCTGTACAGTATTCCATGGTGTGTATGTGCCACATTTTCTTTATACAGTCTATCATTGTACCCTTTTTACCAAAGAAACTAAAGCTTGGAGAAAGTAAAACTTGCTTAGTCAAGGTTATGGAGACGTGGAGCTGGATTTTAAATCCATGCTTAGTCAAACTTCTCAGCATGTTCTGTTGTACATTAGGACTTTTTAAGATGCTGTGAATCTCAATTATTTGCATGACTTGTAAGGGCAGTTTGAATTAGTGAAAAGTCTTTGGAATACCAAAAAAGGATAGTAGTTTTCGTTATGAATGTGTGCCCCTCTACTAGGTGTAAATCAGTAAGTAGTTTGTTCTCCTGCTGACTGTGCCTACCTCTTGTTCTTTCTTATTTTGTTTTTGAGAAAGAGTCTTGCTCTGTCACCCAGGCTGGAATGCAGTGGCGAGATTCTGGCTCCCTGCAACCTCCACCTCCCAGACTCAAGCAATTCCCCTGCTTCCGCCTCCCGAGTAGCTGGGACTATAGGGGCACACCACCATGTCTGGCTAATTATTGTGTTTTTTGTAGAGATGAGGTTTCACTATGTTGCCCAGGCTGGCCTCAAACTCTCGGGCTCAAGCAGTCCTCCCACCTCGGCCTCCCAAAGTGTTGGGATTACAGGCATGAGCCACCAAGCCCAGCCTTTTTAATTTTATTGTTATTATTATTTTTAACTAACAAATTGACGTTTTCCACCTTGTTTACTCTTACCTAGAAAGATGTCACTCCTAGTTCTATCTCAATCTTGATCAGCCTTCAAAGTTGGAGGCATTTCTTCTCCTGGAGCCTCCTCCATCTCCTGCAGTCTTCACTGCTTACTCTTTCTCTGTTCCCCTCCAGTGGATGTACAGTTGTGGCTTGAGAGTCTTAAAGCCAGAGGGGACTTCATCGTCATCGGCAAGGAGATTACGCAGGAGTGCATGTCCGAGTCTTCAGCCTTTGGGAATAAATTTCCCTGGGGCCCCTCCAGGGAATGTACTGAATCAGATTCTGACAGCAGGGCCTGGGTAAGTGTGTGCTTTAAAAGTTGTATGAGGGCCGGGTGTGGTGGCTGATGTCTGTAATCCCAGCACTTGGGGAGGCTGAGGGGGGTAGAGCACTTGAGCTCAAGAGTTCAAGACCAGCCTGGCCAACATGGCAAAACCCCACTCTACTAAAAACACGAAAATTAGCCGGGCTTGGTGGCTCACGCCTGTAGTCCCAGCTACGTGGGAGGCTGAGGTGGGAGAATCTGGGAGGCGGAGGTTTGAACCCGGGAGGCAGAGGTTGCAGTGAGCAAGATTGGCCCCCTCCCCTCCCCCCAAAAAAGGTTGTACAAGTGGGAAATAAATGATAAGAACACATGGATAAATAGGGAACAACACACACTGGGGCTGGGTGGAGGGTGACAGGAGGGAGAGAATCGGGAAAAATAACTAATGGGTACTAGGCTTAATACATGGGTGATGAAATAATCTGTACAACAAACCCCCAAGACACAAGTTTACCTAGGTAACAAACCTGTCCATGCACTTCTGAACTTAAAGTAAAAGTTAAACGAAAAAGTTGTATGAGTGATCCTGAAGCACATGACCCTGACCTAGCAATTAGCAGATGGGGAAACTGAGGCTCTGAGAGAAGTGAGCTGGGACCAGTACCCAGGTTTCCTGATAGTCATTCCAGATCTCCATTTCCAGTGTGAGGCCACTTAATTTTGGTGTCTCTCACCTAGCTCTGGATTTAGGAGAAGCTAAATAAATACTTCCCGGCTGAGTGATTAAAAAAAAATTGTTAAAAACATTTTTATAGTGTTTGTCTTCTTTTTGCCCCTCCTATTCCAATCTTTCAGTTTTAATGTTATTTCAGGTAATGATATTTCATTCTTAGCTCCTCATTTTAAATGTCATACTCATCATTTTTTCCTGAAATGAAACCAATGTATTTCTATTGCCATTACTGAAAAATGTTTACTTACAGCCCTTTTGAAATCTTTCAGATTCCTGAAGCTAATTGGAACGAAGTAACAATGAGTAGCATTCATGGATTGTCTTCTATGTGTCAGGAATTGTGTGTTTCTATTTTACATGCACAATTTCTGATTTGTGAAACAATGCTGCAAAACAGGGTTTTTTTATTAATAAAAATGAGACTCAGAGGGGCTGAAATAATTTTCCTTAAGTCACTAGAGCTAGTAAACACCAGTGACAGGCTTTAGCTCTGATGACAAAGCCTGTGGTTGTTGCACAGTGGTTCTTAGCATAATACCAAATGCACATAATTTAAATCATTGAGATGATTACTCCCTCTCTTCCTTATGCTTTGATTCCAACTGCAGTTTTAATATCAGTTTTAAATGCTCTGAATAATGTTTGTCTTCTGAAAGACGATATATGTATTAGCCAGAGCATAGCTGGGAAAATATATACCGATCTGGGTCTTTCAAACAGAGACAATGCAATATTGGGAAATGGCCACATGGATGATGGGAGAGCTGAGAACCTAAAAAGGAGATGAGGTAACCCAGAGCTGAGTAGCAGCTCTACCATCCCTACGTCGGGAGAAATAATAGGAATAGATGTAGTCGTGTCAGAGTGTGGAAGCCGGGGTAGGGGGAGAGAGATAGAGAGAGAGAGAGAGACAGAGAGAGAGAGACAGAGAGAGAGAGAGAGAGAGAGAGAGAGAATATTAATACTTTGGCTTCTCACTTTACTGTTTTAATCTTCTGCCAGTGCCTCCCATTGTCAAGTCCATCCAAAAGCCAGAAAACAATGGAACATGGGAAATGTAGCTTCCTGAAATACAGAGGCAGGCAGAAAATGGAGAATGGATATAAGAGAAAAAAGGTGAATGACCAGGTAGGAAAGAACAGCTAAGCCTTCCTGTCATCCCCCAGCTAATACAAGCAAATAGAAACTACTGCAGTCTTTGGAGTTAGGCAGACTCCAATTTGAGTCTCTTGACACTTGAGCTCTTTGACATGTCACTTGAGCTCTTTCAGCCCTGAGGACTTCATCTTTAATAAAAGAATATAAGTATTTCCTATGCCACAACATTAAGATGAAAAAGGTATAACATGAAAAGACCAGCTTTTAACACAAAAGGACCCTCAGCAAGTAGAAACTGTTTTTATTTTATTGCATTCTTAAAAACCTGTAAAATTACAATTTGATCACACTGTTTTCATGGTGACTGGATGTTGCAGCGTGTCATGGCACATAGCAGATAATGGTAAGTTCTGTTCTCTTCCTCTATAGGCAAGGGCACAATACCGTTTCAATTAGAGATTCAAGTCTCTTTTTTTTGCTTTTTGAGAAGGAGTCTCGCTCTGTTGCCCAGGCTTGAGTGCAACTTCTGGCCTCGCAGGTTCACACCATTCTCCTGCCTCAGCCTCTCGAGTAGCTGGGACGACAGGTGCCCACCACGACGCCTGGCTAATTTTTTGTATTTTTTAGTAGAGACGGGGTTTCAGCATGTTAGCCAGGACGGTCTCGATCTCCTGATGTGATCCGCCTGCCTTGGTCTCCCAAAGTGCTGGGATTACAGGCATGAGCCACTGTGCCCGGCCGAGATTCAAGTCTTATTCAAGAAGTTGTTCAGTCTGTTTCCCCAATGTTTTTTGCTACTTGCTCTCCCAACACACACACACACACACACACACACACACACACACACACACACACACTCATACATGCAGACATTTCTAATTTAAATCCTGGTAGTTGTTGAATCCTGTAACATTTTTTGTACCTGAGTTCTTTCACTGACACCTTGAGTTGCCCTCCCTTTTGGAGGTTAAGGGAAGTCTAAATTCAAGCTCACAAAGAAAGGGACTTCGAAAGACTGTAATTGAAGCTCTTGTTCTGTCTGTCCCAGAGAGACACAGACAGTCTGACCTACTGGTGAGGTTACCCGAAGTGTGAGTTTCCTGAGGATGTATGCGTTCTTGTCCAAGAACAATATTCTCCCTGGTGACCCCAATGCATGAAAAAGATGGAAATAATTCATTAGCACTTAAGCAGACGTTCTTGGGACAGCTGAGGCTACCAGGGGCATTTCAGATTCAACTTGGTTCCCACAGAAAGACTCAGCAAGGCTGTCTCTCCAGGCTTCTTGGTTAAAAGCTGTCTTTTGAACAGAGGTGCTCTGCCTCTCTCGGGAAAAGCTGAGATGTTGATTCTCAAAAGTGACAAGTAAAGAAAATAGGCAGCCTACTAACATTTGAGTTAATTGAGGCTCGTAAAAATCAAATGACGTGCCACATCACATAGTAGAAAACTCCTCCGAAATGGGACTCAGATTGCCAATAAATAGCTGAAGCTAGATTTGAATGCATATTTAAGCCATTCACTCCTTTATTAATTCAAGAAATATTTAGTGAGTGTACACTCTGTGCCAACCTATTTTAGGTACTAGAGATATAACAGTGAATAAAAAAGAGAAAAATCTCCTGTTTGTGGAACTTAGTAAGGAAAGACAATACACAAGATATACAGTTAAGATAAATACTTGATAGCTTTGATGTTTTCAAGTGTTAAGGAATAAAACCAGAGCAGACAGGGAAGGGGGAAGCATTGTTGCAATTTGAGACATGATCTCATTGCCAGGGTGACATGAAGCCTTGTAGTAAGTGAGCAGAGTGTGGCTCTTCATGGGAATGGCTTATCTGGTAGAAGGGACCTCAAGTGTACAAGCCCTGAGCTGGGACCATGCCTGGTGAGTCCAGTGGGGCAGGGGCAGGCTGCCTTCCTAAAATGCCACATCAAAAAGAAAGCTATTGATAGGTTGTCGATTCGCTCAACAATATCTGCTCTGTGCCTGATGCTGTGGATGGAGGATGTTAAGAATCTTACATGTCATGAAACAATTGGGGAAAATATCAGATTGGGAAGATTATGAATGATGTAACCAGTAGTTACTGGGAACCTGCCACAGTAGACACGGTATCAGAAAATACAGATGTTGGTATATACAAATGTGAACCTTGGTACAGCTGATATAGATATTCTGGAGGCAAAGATAGAAAAGAAACAAGGCACCCACCTCCCTACACTCAAAGAAGCTTCCGGTTGAATTGGAGACAACAGTACATGTGTACAGATGTAATGTACAAATGCGTGAGCCAGTGACCCATAAATAAAAGTGTGACAGGATATTTTGGTCTTTGCTCTTTTCCCTTGTCTCCCTCCTGGGCTATAGCATGTACCCCTTCCCCACTTCAGGGTCTGGGCAAGGACAAAAGTAGTGAATGAGAAGAGGTGACCAAAGCAGAAATTAGAGATGGATGTGTTGAGCTTAGCTGGACTTAGAGTTATGCAAAGATCTACTCTATCAGCAATGTCTGGTGGTTTTATAGACATTTGACACTGAGATGAGTTAGGGCTGCATCCAGCGCATACCTGCTAAGTGAGAATCCCGTGCCGTGTCAGCCTGTTGGCTGAGTTCAAGAGTGTGGAGGCTCCCATCACGATATTCCACTGAAGGTGACTCCCTGAGCACTGTGATCAACCCCTTCAGCCTGAACTCTTTGCAACGCCTCGCGGACTCTCTGTGTGGGATGGATTAACCAACACTATGACTTGGTCTGTTTTCTTCTTTCTCCTTTAACAAGCTATATTATCTCTGCCACTTACAATATTCAGGGTGTGTACAGTAAGGGAGTTAGTTAAAAAGGACTGCTAAGTACAAATAAACAGTAAAACTTGATAAACTAAAGACTAAAATAGGGATATAACAGTGAATGAAAAAGAGAAAAATATTTTTCACCTTATGCCTGTAATGCTAGCACTTTGGGAGGCTGAGATGGGTGGATCACGTGAGGTCAGGAGTTCAAGACCAGCCTGGCCAACTCAGTAAAACTCCGTCTCTACTAAAAATACAAAAAATTAGCCAGCTGTGCTGGTGTGTGCATATAATCCCAGCTACTTGGGAGGCTGAAGCATGAGAATTGCTTGAACCTGGGAGGCAGAGGTTGCAGTGAGCCGAGATCACACCACTGCACTCCAGCCTTAGGGATGAAGTGAGGCTCTGTCTCAAAAGAAAAAAAAAAAAGGCAAAAATAAAAAATGGTGTATGTGTGTCTAAGTTCACTTGGGAAAGCATCCCAAGGGTGGAAATTTCTCAACTTGTAGTGCTTCTGGGTTGCCTTGGACTTACAAGTGTTAAATTGCATGAAGCCTTTGCCATTTTGTTTCTATTCTTCTATTTTCTTCCTGGGATATAAATGTATATTCACCCCGCCTGAACTCGCAGGAATCCTAATCCATCTCCAGTTCCAAGAGGAAGGAAGAACCTGCTAGAACAGAGGAAGCTGCCTGGAAGATGAGATCCCATGGAGCCGGCCTGCTGGGAAGCAGAACAGTGAGCCCAATAGGATGGAGATGACGCTGGAGGTTTCCCATGGGCAGGAGTGCCATAGAGCCCAGCACAAGCCTCTTTATCAAATAAGTGGACCCTTCCCATAGCTTGGTGATAGTTTGTCATTCATTGCTCTCTCTGTCCCCTTCTCTGGAGAATTTCCTTCCACTTGTAAGAGCTGCCTCACCCAGGAAGTTATGCTCAAAGGGGAAAGCCCACCTCCGATGCTGATGGATGCAGAAGTACCAATGCCTGATCTCCTCAGGGGATGACTCAGCAGGGCAATTTATGCTGCAGAGGCTCCCAAGGCCCCGGGCAAGGCTAGAACTTGTCTGGGACTGCATCCATGTTCAGCCCCTTCCCCTTTCCTGCTTTACTCCTCCTTTTAGAGATCCTTCCAGAAATAGACTCCCTCAAATGATATGTGCTTGAATACCACTCTCCGGGTCTGTTTAAAGGGAACCCAATGTAAGTCACCATCTGTGTCAGTTAGGTTGTGGTGTATCAAATCGCCCTGAAACTTAGCAGATGAAAAAGGATAGACATTTATTATCTCACTTTTTTGGGGGGGGAGTCAGGACTTTGGACGCAGCTTAGAATCTCATAACATTGCATTCAAGACCTCGGCCAGGGCTGCAGTCCTCTAAGGGTGTGACTGAGGTTAGTTGATCTGCTTCCAAATTGGTTCACTCTTGTCTGGTAAGTTGGTGCTGGCTGTTGGCTAGAGACTGTGATTCCCTGCCCTAGGGGCACCTTTCCCTTGGGTGGTTTGAGTCTCTTCATGGAGTGGTAGTTGCATCCCCCCAGAAGGAGTGACCTAACAGAGGACAGGAGAGAGGCTATGACACTTTGTATGACCTCACCTTGGAAGGTGTATACTGTCACTTCTGCAATGTCCTATTGATCACACAGATCAGCCCTATTCATGGTTGGAGGGAACTACAGCAAGGCATGAATCTAGGAGCTGGGGATGCTTCGGGGTATCTTGGTGTCTTCCATACTATCCAAGGAAGACTCAGTTTGAATTGTAAGAGTTCCTATGATTTTGAACTGTTTGCCCCTTATTTTGGCTTTCTATTAATATTTTTTCAATAGTAAGTTTGGTGTTCTTTTCTTCTCTTTCCAAATTAGACATCTCAACTCCTAGCCTACGTTAATCTGAAACTGTTGGTCTTTACCAGAAAATAGCTTTCTCCCTCACTACTAAAAGAAGTAATGGCATGGACAAGGCACTGTCTTTTGATGGTTCTGCAAATTTATCATCACTGTAAATGTCATCTTATCATGGCTTGTGTGCTGGCTGAGAATGATGGTGCTATCCATATTAAACATGAAACCTTATTCTCTCCTCAGGCTGTTAGGTCCAGGAACATTCAGTGTAGGCAATATTAAGTGACTAAGGGATAAGTCGTGCAGGATTGAGAAGTGGGGAACTTGGGCCAGGAGTTGTATTTCTGTCTTAGATATGTGTCCAATGTACAGATACAGAATGCTGCTAATTTATTGCAAAATAGATATAGTTCATTTTCACATTGCTTTATCATTTTCTTCAGGAATCTAGGGAAAAGTTTGTAAGAAAATCACATTAAAAATCTGGTGTGGAGGTGGAGATAGGGTCTCTAGCATTGCTGTTTGGCATGAATTAGGAATTTTCAGCATATACGGTACATGTGGGTTTGGTTTATATTGTGGGAGGCAATCTTTGATTTTCTCCTCCCACTTGGCTCTCACAGCCCTTGTCTCTTGTTTGATGGGAAGAGTCACTGAGAAGAAGTAGAGTGTAGCGTTTTGGTGTTAGGTACGCCTATGTTTAATCTCTTCTCCATTTTACCTACTTGCTGTGGGATCTTGAGCACATAAACTAACCTCTCAAAGCCTCTGTTTTCTCATCTTTGAAAAGCTAATACCTACCTCCCAGAGTGGTTTGAGGATTAAATGAGACTATACTTGTGTCTGCACTGCCCAGCACAGTGCCCAGTCACGGGAGTCACTTGATTAAGTGGAAGCTGCCACATGGATTAGTCATCCTCTATCTTAGCTCCGTCCATCACTTCCTGTGGACCTGATAAAGATTGCTGCATATCAGGGTTGAGCAGGGCATTTCCAGTCCCCAGGACATTTTAACTTTCAACTTGGGCCCTCTGTGTTTCAGGGCCACTGGTGTCCTGGCACCAGCTCCTACTAGCTTTCAGGAATTCATTGTACTCTTTTCTCAGCTCTGAGCTCAAAGATGCCATGTTACTAACTTGAAATCAGTCATGCTGAGAATATTTACACCATGGCAAGCAGCCATAGGCAAAGTATTTACACCATGACCCTACCGAGCAGGTCTCCCATTTAGAGCCAGTTATGAAAAATTTACCAGCACGTCTCTTCCCAGGATGTTTCTTCAGGAAAGCAAACTGAATTACTCGACTGTTTTGCTATTTTTTTTTTTTTTCCTTCCAAATTCCTCTTTAACCATTGCTTTTCTTTTATTTTCCATTATGAACCACTTCAAAAGCTCATTATTTCCCCCACCCCCAGCTTGCCATTCTCTTCCTGTCTATTTCTTTCCTTCATCATGGTACCAGAGAAATATCCCAAAAGCATTAATTTCAATCATACCTACTGATTCCTGCTCAGAATTTTTCCATAGCATTGTACTTGTGTTGATGGCATGTCTTTGATTTCTCACTAGAAGTGGGATTTTAAATACCCTTGCTCTCCTCTCCCTGCTTGAGAGACCCAATGTGTTTATTATATGGGAATTTACATGGAAGAAACATGGTTTTTCTTTTGTTTGTTTGTTTGTTTTTTGGAGACAGAATCTCGCTCTGTCACCCAGGCTGGAGTACAGTGGTGCAATCTCGGTTCACTGCAGCCTCCACCTCCTGGGTTCAAGCAATTCTCCTGCCTCAGCCTCCCAAGTAGCTGGGATTTCAGGCGTGTGCTACCATGCCCGACTAATTTTTTTTTCTATTTTTAGTAGAAATGGGGTTTCCCCACTTCGGCCAGGCTGGTCTCAAACTCCTGACCTCAGGTAATCTGCCCACCTCAGTCACCAAACTGCTAGGATTACAGGCATGAACCACCACACCTGGCCAGAAACATCATGGGTTTTAACCACGGAAGAAATGAGTTGGAATCATAGCTCTGCCTCTATATAGCTAGCTGTTGGATCTTGAGTTGTTTACTTTCCATTGAGTTGCTGTGGGATGTTAATACATGCACAGTTCTAGAAATAGTGACTGGCAAACAGTAAGTGCTCAATAAATGCCAGGTCTTGCTATTGCTGTCCTTCCTTACTAATGCACAGCTTCCTCTTCAGCCTGTCCAAGTTCTTCTTTGTTCCGTTAAAGTGTCATGCTCAATAGGATCTGATGCTGTTTCCCAAATTCGGGGTGTCTTCCTCTCCCCTCCCCTCTGCAAATTCAACCCACCACTTATGATCAGAGTCTAGCCTTACCTCACCGCAAAAGTCCTGCTTAACTTTCTCAGGCCTTCTTTCCATCTTCCTATCTGAGAAAGAAATAGAAACTCCAAGGTAGTCAAATGAATGTGGCATGTTCCTTGTGGACCAACCCTGTATGGCTAGAGGGATATCATAGCTCCTGTCTTCCTGAAAAATAAAAATTTGTATTGAAAGAAGCTGAGTTCATCATAACACAGCACATAAAGTGCTGGGTTGGGGAAGAGCAAGGGCTAAAGGGGCACAGAGGAGGGGCGTCTAGCCCACAGTTGTGTTTCAGAGAAAGGAATGACATATACATTGAGAGAACCAAGAAGTATGGATGTCATCCAAATGGAAATAGGAAGAGGTGTGGTAGGAATAGGATTGTTCCAGAAAGAAAGAGTGCAAGTAGGAAGGCCAATGCTTAGAGCTATCATCATGATATAGAGAAACTAAAGAGTTCTCCAGGAGCTGGAATGGAGTCTTGAGGCTGAGAAGATGGAAGAGTGTGTGGGGAGTCTGGGTTATCCCAGGCTTTAGCTGCTACATTAAGAAGTTGAGTTGTTTTGTTTTGTTTGCTTTTAAGATGGTGTCTTGCTCTGTTACCCAGGCTAGTCTTGAACTCCTGGACTCAAGCTATCCTCCTGCCTCCTCCCATGTAGCTGGAATTGCAGACACTTGCCACTGAACCTGGCTAAAAGTTGAAGTGTTATCCTAAGAACCATAGGTGTTAAAGAGAAGCATGATTTGATTAGATTTCCATACTTACAGATTACTCTTTTGCTAAGTTTGCTTCTATGTTACCCACAGTTACCTCCCTGAATAAAATGTCACTTTTCTGAGCCTCAATCTCTTCCTCTCTAAAACAGGGTAATAAGTTCATAATTTTGCTGAGAATGCTATATGAGATAATACATGGAAAAGCATATTATAAACCCTTAAAACTGTCTACACATTAGAGGGATCATTATTAATTTTGGATGCAGGGTGTGGACTCATGTATCCTGGTATCCTGGAAAAGTTGAGTTCACATCCTAGTATTCCCACTCCTTGGGAAAGTTGCTTAATTTTTAATTGCTGACATCATCATTTCCACTTCACAGATGAGGATTACATCTAATGCATAAGCCTCTGATGAAGAGATGTTTATAGTGTGTGATTTGGGGGCACTAGTGTTTAATGAATGTTAAGTTCTACATACACACACATATGTGCATGCACACATACATATCACCCATCTGCTCTAATCTTTCTGTACATAAAGGCAAAACACATATCTCCATCTTAAAAAGTAAAAACAAAGAATGACTTGCATAGAGCACATTAGAGTAAATTTTGTGATCATATTGAAATAGATGGTGGAATAGTGATTGTCTCTCCCACTGTGTTTAACATTGAACCCAAGTAAGTCAAAGCTCCTGTCCTTGATTTCCCTCACCTCCAACAGAGACACACACACACACACACACACACATGCACACACACTCGATATAAATCCCGACGTGCTGGTCTTTGGAGTGATGGCTCGCAAACATAAAGTTTTACTCTCCTTAATGTACACACCTCTTCTGAAAGCAAACGGGTTCAGCATACCCTGTATCCCCAGTCCTTTGATCATCTACAACTTTGGATAATTTCAGGTAACAGTGAGATACACTCTGGCTGGGTGTGATGGCTCATGCCTGTAATCTCAGCACTTTGGGAAGCTGAGGCAGGCGGTTTACCTGAGGTCGAGAGTTCAAGACCAGCCTGGCCAAAATGGTGAAGCTCTGTCTCTAATAAAAATACAAAAATCAGCCAGGCCTGGTGGTGGGAGCCTGTTACCCCAGATACTCGGGAGCCTGAGGCAGGAGAATCGCCTGAACCCAGGAGGTGGAGGTTGCGGCGAGCCAAGACTGTGCCACTGCACCCCAGCCTGGGAGACCGAGTGAGACTCCATTTCAAAAAAAACAAAAAACAAAAAACTCTGATGTTTCAGAGTGAAGTGGGTTATAGAAGGAGGAATTCTTTAGCTTGCAAAATGTTGTTCAAGTTTTCCTAGGACCCAGGGAACTACTATTCATTGTAAAGCTTCCTTCTTTATTGTGTAGGGGTTTTCCACTGAATTACACATGTGATCTGGCACACGTATTGTAAAATTCATGGCTTTCATTTTCTGGGACCAGATAAGCCAAGAACACAAGAGATTAATTAAAAACAACTGGCTGGAATCATTACTCTTTCCACATCTAGGAGCAGCTTAGCGTATTAATCCTCATTTTTTCATTAACATAATCTGGAAATAAGATTACCCTCTCCTTATTGGTCAGGTATCATAAAGAAATGGTGGCAGAAAGCCTCAGTCATGGATTTCTTCAGTACCTGAGACCTCCCAAGGTCGTTGGAAATACTGGCAGCTGGAGTTATCAGTTTATGAGCTTCCGGCTTTGTTTTAAGTGTGATATTTTCTTAACTGCGGTTTACCACGGGATAGCCCTTTATGTTGGAAATCTGGCATCATTTAAAAGTTAGCTAATCTAAAAAGTACATCTTAGATTTTTATCAATGACTTAATCCTACCTCCACAAAGCCTTCGCTGTACTGTGCAAAGGTTGGCTTTGTCCTGTCTATAGTTTGTAGAGAAATGGTGTAGGTGCCATGATGGCTTGTGAGGTAGAGAGAAAACAAGGAGCTGAGTCAATTGAGGCAGAATTATAGAGTGGGGAGCAGGTACTCAGATGAAAGGCCAAGGTCTCCTGTCACTGTTTTCTGCTGTGATTCCCAACCACGTTATGGTGAGATGACAGAGGGAACTGGGCCTGTCCATCTCTCCTCCTGTCCCTTCAACAATGATGGAACCTGTACGGTGTATGAGGAGAAAAGCATGGTGCTTCCTCTCTAGCTGGAGAGAGAATTTTCATACCCAAGTGCTTTAGTATAGCCATACATAAATCATTGCCATGTGTCTTTGATCTTCACAGAATTCAAGGCTGTAGGAAAGGAGAGGGATTACTTTATGTGGAGTAAACAATGTTAAATCCCTAATAGGAGAAGGAGGATTAAAGAAGGACCTTGGAAAATGGAAGGGCATAAGGAATATAAAGGTATTTCACCAAAGAAGAAATATAACTGGTTGAAAAACGTGGACCCAAATTCAACTTCATAAGTAAACATAAGTAAGCTATATGTTTTATAATATTGACAAAGATTTTTTCCTTCAATGAAATTCCCTAAAGCCTGACAAGAATAAACTAGTCACATTCAAACATAATGGGGAGTCTGATATGCCATCTCATCCATCTGCTAGCTAAAGGGTTACCAAAAAAGATGCTCATATTGATATATTATTATTAACCAGCAAAACATGGGAAAACGTTCCAAATTACCCAAAACAAGGGGATAGTTAAATGATTGTTGGTGGACAAAAATTACATAGCTCTCCTGAGTGACATATATGAAGAGTTCATAACAACATTACTAAGTTCTTAGGAATTATTAAATGCAAAATTTAAGAGAAAATGTTTGCATACAATGAAAGTGATTTCAAATGCACATAATAAAGCATAAAGGGTCGGGTGCGGTGGCTCATGCCTGTAATCCCAGCACTTTGGGAGGCCAAGGCATGCGGATCACCTGGGGTCAGGAGTTGGAGACCAGCCTGGCCAACATGGCAAAAACCCATCTCTACTAAAACATACAAAATCAGCGGAGTGTGGTGGCGCACGCCCCTGTAATCCCAGCTACTTAGGAGGCCTAGGCAGGAGAATTGCTTGAACCTGGGAGGTAGAGGTTGCAGTGAGCCGGGATTGCACCACTGCACTTCAGCCTGGGCTACAGGGCAAGACTCTTTATCATGGTGGGGTGGGGTGTGAGGAAAATAAAAATATAAAAAAGCATAAAGGAAATAGATCAGTGTGCTACCAGGAGTTATTCTCAATATTTAACAATTAAAAGAAAAATATGTAGATTTCTACTACCAAAATTCATTTCACGACTTTTATAAGTGACAGAATCTTCAAATATGCCTAACAAACCATCAGGGCTAGATAAACAGGAGGTAGTTTCAGTTTGCATTAAGCTTGGGCTGTCCCATCCATGCCTTCCTCATTCATGGGTGGGGATTTGATTGGAGAGAGCCACATTCTGGAGAAAAACAAAACTCACAGTATGAATCTACCTTCTCAGAATTGCAGATCCCAAAACCCAAGAATAAGCTGAGTGCGGTGGCTCACATCTGTAATCCCAGCACTTTGCGAGGCTGAGGCACGCAGATCGCCTGAGGTAAGGAGTTAGAGACCATCCTGGCCAATGTGGTGAAACTCTGTCTCTACTAAAAATATTTTAAAAATTAGCGAGGCGTGGTGGTGTGCACCTATAATCTCAGCTACGCAGGAGGCTGAGGCAGGAGAATCATTTGAACCTGGGAGGTGGAGGTTGCAGTGATCTGAGATTGCACCAGTGCACTCCAGCCTGGACGACAGAGCAAGACTCCATCTCCAAAAGAACAACAACAATAACAACAACAAAAAACCCCAAGAGTATATCCGTGGGGGAAAAATAACACTGCATTTAAAACAAAAGAAAACCAAAGCCACCATAACTTTTTCTTTTCTTTCTACTTTCTCTGTGTTGAGAAAGTAGGAGGGAGACGTGATTCCAGGGTTGTCCCTGACACTTGCTCACTATGTGAGCCTGGTCAAAAATCTCCACTATCTGGGCCTCAGTGTTCCCATCTGTAAAATGTATTGGAGTCAACTCTGAACAACAGGAGATGGGACCCAAGCCAGCTGTTTTTAAGAAGGAAATTTCTTAAGGATAAACAAGAGACCACAAAAATCCATGTATGTTTGTGTTTATTCTACTATAATAACTTCCAAGAAACTTTGCACAGCAGTAGGATGCAATGTAATCAAATGTTGGCATGGAGTGGAGACTGTGGCAACTCCTGTTTCAGAAAACGGGATATTTAATTGATCTCCACAGCCCCTTCCAGGCTTAGCACCCTTGCATCTCTGGGGTTTGAGTTCCCGTTTATATCCTTCTAAGATGGGCATCCAAAGTCCAGAAATACCTCAGCAACTGTTGTTCATGCTAAGAAAATAGTTGAAGCTTCTCTCCTTCTCTAGGCCAAGATCTTGGTGAAGTGTCTTGTGCATTTCACACAAAGCATATGGTATTTTCTCAACTATCAAGAATTTGTGAGAAAATCTAGTATCTATTAATACATGTACAATCCCATTATCTTTCTGAGACAGAATCTTGCTTTGTTGCCCAGGCTGGAGTGCAGTGGCATGATCTCGGCTCACTGCAACCTCCCCCTCCTGGGTTCAAGTGATTCTTATGGCTCACTCTCCCAGATAGCTGGAACTACAGGCGTGCATCACCTCACCCAGCTAATTTTTGTATTTTTAGTAGAGATGGGGATTTGCTGTGTAAGGCTGATCTTGAACTCCTGACCTCAAGTGATTCGCCTGCCTTGGCCTCCCAAAGTACTGGGATTACACACGTGAGCCACCATGCCTGCCCCAATCCCATTCTCTATCAACCCCAAACTTAGGGCCCAGTTAAGACTTTCACAGCACTAAGAAAGATGTTAACACTACTACCACTAAGTATAAAAAGAATACATAATAATGTTAATAATAGCAATTAGGGATACAAACACTGCTCATAATGTTAACAATATTAACTGAATCTGTTAAAGATTTTTAGATGCAAGCTACTTCTCTGAGTAATTAGCAAAAAGAAATTTAGTAGAAACATGTAGTCTTGCTTGTAGGATCGAAGGAAGAATGGGACAATCAGACAGTAGCAAAGACAGGAATCAGGGCTTTTTATGGGATGAGATAGCAAGAAGAAATAGCTTCTTTGGGATGACAATATTGATGTGAATCATCTCCATCCATGCAATTCAACCTAGATTGTCAGGAGAAAGAGTAGACAATGCTGTCTGAATTTTCAGATGCATTACCCAGGAGAAAAATTTCTACCTTTTTTGAACATTTGTATGATGACCTACATGAAGACCTGTGCTAACAGTTTGTTGACGTATTCCAATCTCCAGCACAAACTTTCAAAGAAGTATTAATATATCTTTTCTACAGATAAAGCCCTTGTGGCTCAGAGAAGTTTAGTAACTTGCACAGGGTCACACAGCACAGTTGCTGAGACTCTAATCTGGGTCTTTCTTTGTCCAGTCGGCCATCCAGGCTGCTCTCCATGGTTCTTGCTCATCAGAAGATGAACCTCTCATGGTCCAAACCCTCCCTAGTTAATTCACAGAGCATCTTCAAAGTAATTAGATTTTCTTTCTCCTATATTTTGCAAAGTTTGATGACCTGAATCAAAAGGAAAAAGTTCATTGTGACAGCAAATCTCTCTGCATGGCTACCAACTTGCTCTTCTGCAATTCAACATTTATTCTTTTTCTTTCTAGAAACAGCCCGGCATTATAGTAGATATTCATTTATTTGCATAATGTTTGATTCCCTACATGAGTCTATGCTCCAAAAGAGCAAAGACTTTGTCTCCCAATTTCTAAAAGAGGCTCTTGATAAAATATTTCTTGAAGGAATGGCTGCAGCTGGCAGAAGCAAACCAGGTCGCAGATTTCACTCCTTCCCTTGTCCAGTAACCGATTCAAGACGTATTCTCCAAACCAGCAATTCCTCCTACTTCCCTATTTTTGGTAATTACTCCTCGGCATCCTTACCAACATCTGTTGTTTTTTTGACTTTTTATATTCACCATTTTGACTGAGGTGAGATGGTTTCTCATTGTGGTTTTAGTGTGCATTTATCTGATGATGACTGATGTTGAACAGTTTTTCATATGTTTGTTGGCTGCTTGTATGTTGTCTTTTGAGAAATGTCTGTTTCTATTCTTTGCCCACTTTAAAAATACACTTTTTATTGGAATGGTTTTAGATTTACAGAAGAGTTACAAAGATGCCAGAGAGTGTCCTTACACTCCACATTGTTCCCCCCATAGCTAACATTGAATGTGTCTATCAGTTCCTGCAAACTAAAACACTCACAGTGGTACATTTGTCAAAATGAAGAAACTGGCATTGGTACCGTACTGTTAACTAAATTTCAGACTTAACTAGTTTTCCTGTTAATGTTGTCTTTCCATTCCAGGAAACAATCCAGAGTGCCATATTGCGTTAAGTCATCATGCCTTTCTAGTCTCCTTTGATCTGTGACAGTTGCTCAGTCTTTCCTTGTTTTTTATGACCTTGACAGTCTTAAGGAGTACACACTGGGTACCCTGTAGGATGTCCTCATCTCCCCAAGTGATTTTGACACCACACTCGACTTTTGCCTCTTGAGGACAAGGCCACATCTGCATTGTCACCACTACATACCACACATTCCGCGCATGCCTGGCCCAGAACAGGACCTCAGTGAACACGTGCTGGGATAAACGTGATTCCTGTCTTGCTAAACTGAGTGGCCCTGCAGCAGGAGCCAGGCCTGGTGCATCCCTGCATTCCACACTGCGCCTGCCTGACCTGTGCAAAGTCTGTGACAAGAACTCTCATCCTCCAATGGGGCTGAATGCGTTCGACTCAAGTAGGAATTACAGACAGAAATCATCACATAATTACAACAAGAACTCTAATTGCGATCATCTGACCACTTTTTGACATCTCTCTTTCCGTTCTTTCATAGATGTGTTGCCCAGTCAGATAAAATGAAACAAAGACAAAGGAGGCTGCTGGTGTTCTCACCAGAGCCGGGAAGACAGGCTCTTGCTCTGGGCGTGTTTATAAATTTAAAAATATTTCAGATGCTTTTGCGATACTGCTTATTCTGGTTCAGTGCTCAGGGGGAATGCGTGAGGGGGGACGGCCTTCCATCTCATGGGACTGCAGGATTACGGGGGCACTTCACTCTGCCAGAGGGGAAACACGGCTGCACTGCGGAAAGGATTCGATTCAAACATTAACCGAAAACAGCAACAACAGAGTGTTTTTTGAGTATGGTCTAGTGGTTCTTTGTGCTGTATTAAGTACATTCCATACATGAATAGCTAATGCTGACACTATTCTAAAAAGCAGATAATTTTGGTTCTGCTTGAATAATGAATAGCAAACGATGAAAGGATAGCGGCTTGAGAGGCCACGGAGGATGCTCAAGAGGGATCACAAGGCTCAAGGTGACAAAGCTGGGGGTGGAACTTGCATTTCTATGCTGCTCAAGCCACCACTTTTTCCAGCACTCTTTAGAGACCTCAAAAGCTGCCTTTCTATGTATATAGGCATGCATGCATTTATCTCTCATTGATCATTTTTACTATTAAATAAACACTTTTTTATATTATAAATATTTTTGTTATTAAATATATTTCATATCTAGCATTATTTAGTGCAGGATTCCTCAAAGTGTGGTCCATGAGACAACTACATCGAAACTCCATGAGGAGCTTGTCAAAAATGTCAATTCCTAGACTCCAGATCTTCTGAAACAACTCTGGGGGTGGGGCCAGAGCTTTAAAAACAAGCTCTGTGGTTGATGCAAATTCTTACTGAACTTTGAGAACTTCTGCTGTAGGGAAGTATGCAGGACTTGGAATCAGAGGGCTTGTCTAGTGTCAGTTCTGGGATGTTCTAGCTGGTTAATCTTCAGCAAATCAAAGCCTCAGCTGTAAAATGGGTAGCTTCTCACTTCACATGGTTGCTGTTAGGATAACAAGAGAAAATACAGCGAGGAGCCTGCTATCCCTGAGAAATCGAGCATCTCACAGTTCTAAACTTATAGGAGAAAGAAGTCCATGTCAGAGTATCATGAGGCTGGGAATGGTGGCTGAGATGGAAGGACTGCTTGAGCCCCGGAGTTTGAGAGCAGCCCGGGCAACATAGTGAGACCCATCTCTACACAAAATAAAAAAAAAATAGCTAGGCAGACCCGTCTACACAAAACAAAAAAATTAGCTATGCATGGTAGTGCACGCCTGTAGTCCTAGCTACCTGGGAGGCTGAAGTGGGAGGATTGCTTGAACCCAGGACATCGAAGCTGCAGTGAGCCATAATCACGACACTGCACTGCAGCCTGGGCAACAGAGTGAGACCTTGTCTGATAAAGAATATCATAATACTGTCATGTTGCACTTTTCTCATCAGGTGACAGCAAGCTTTTGATGTGACTTTATACAACCACACATAGTACCATGGAATTGAAATATATCCTTGAGGCTTTTGTGCTAAGAAAAACAAAATTTAGATGAAAACGGAAAAGCTAGGAGGAGTGGTGATGGTTAACAGCATAGGATCTAAATCAGGGTTTCTCGGCCTCTGCACTATTGATATTCAGAGTCCAATAATTCTGTGTTATGGTGGGGGCTGTCCTGAGTATGGCAGGTTGTGTAGCAGCATCCCTGGCCTCCATCCACTAGATGACAGGGACACCTCCTTCCCAGTTGTGAAAACCAAAAATGTGTCTAGGCATTGCCAGATGTTCCCTGGTGGAAGAATTGGTCCTGGTTAAGAACTGCTGTTCTTAAGGAAGATGAATGGGTTCAGTTCCTGGCTCCACTACTGATTGTCAGTGTGAACTTGGGAAACATGTTTAACCCCCAAAGCCTTGGTTTTCTTAGCTATAAAATGGAGAAGGATAATATTCTAAGTCCCTACCCTACTGAGTTGTCATTAGGATCACGTGAGAAAGCACACCTCAAAAGTGTAGCAAAATTCTTGGCTCTCTGCTGTGTGTGTGTGTGTGCACGCACGCTTGCTCATGGGAGCAAGTGTGTGCGTGTCTGTATGTGTGTGTGGTTTAATAAATCTTGAAGATTTGTCAGACTTTAAAGCTTTGAAAAACACACTCCTCCTTTTCTTCCTTTTTGCAGAAAGGGTTATTCAAAATGTGACAATTCTTCAGGTCAGAAGTGAACTGAGAATGTTATTACTAAGTTGTGGACACTGAAATTGAGCTGAATCAGATATATTTTACCCTAGAACCAGCTAACTGTTGACACCTGATGTTCTATAGAACACAGCTACAGAAATTTAAATGAATTAAATTCAATCAGACTCTGAAAGAAAATCAAAATAGGCTGAGACTGGGTTTCAGCTCCCAAAGCATCTCTTATGGGGTGCTCGTGAAAGTCTCTCTACGGCAGCTTTAGTGACCCACCTGCGCAGACACCACTCATGTCTCAGCTTTTTTTCAGACTGCAGTGAAAATCATTCATTTCTTCTCAATGTGAACTTGCTGGTTGGACCCATAGTCAGGGTTGAGACTGAGGAGGTGTTTGGTTTAGTTCTCCCCTGGTCTGGCTGCTTGAACGCAATCTGTAGATGGCTGGTCTTTCAAGAGCATGGGAGGTTTTTAACATTTGGGACAAATTAACCAGTATGACAAAAGCAAAACAGTTCCCCTCTTAAGATGAAGTGTTCCTTAAGTGCCTATACGATTTCCAGCCCAGCCTGGATGTGTCTCCTCCCCTGTCTGCTCTGAAGGGGCACTGGAACCCAATGTGTGAACAGAATAATGAGACGTGGTGGTTCTCCTGTGGGCCGGGCTCTGCAGAGCTGAGTGACAAGTCGATGATAACAATCTCAGTGGAGCCTGAACTTGGCCTGAACCCGGCACTTTCCGCCTTCCTCGCCCTTACTTGGGATGACTTTGGTGTCCCCTTCTCCAGCCTCCGCACTACCAAGCATTTCAATACTTTCTCTTTTATTATTTCTCCTTCAACAATAACCATAATATATGACTTGATACTTTCCTGGCATAGGCCCAGTTTTCATGAATACTAATCATTCACCCAAATCCTTTCTTTCAGAATCTCTCTTCTTTGTTCAGGGAATGTTGCATCTTGCCTGCAGTGGGAATGAATGTTATAAGAAATCGGGTTGATGAATGCCTGCTTCCCTCAAACTTGAGTGCCTTCTCACAGTGGCAGGACTATCTGCCAGTCACCTACCCTTTGATTAAGTACTTCCAAACATGGGAAGCTCACTACCTTATAAGGTGATGTGTTCCGTTCCCTTGGGGGACAGCATCAACTGCTGTTCTCTGCTGTGGCAGCCCGGTGGTGTCCTTTCTAACAGGTATCAGCATCCGCAACTATTTATTAGTTCATTCGTTGATGATCTGGGCTCCCCCTCCCTGCAATAGTTGTAAGCTCCATGAAGACAGAGAACTTCTTGATGTGCTGTGCATTTGGATCTTCTGTTGTTCTCCTTGAATGTGAGCTGAACCAAAAGATGAATAAGTGAATGAAATAGTTTACTTTCTGAGCCAGATCTCCTGGTAGGCAGAATTTATGTCTATTTTACCCCCAGCATTTAGCGTGGGGGCTAAGACAGAGTTAATATTATGATGTGGTAGAAAGAACACAGAGATTTGAGGTCAGACCTGTGTTTAAAAATCCCACCTATTCCACTTGCAACGGCCTTACGTAATTAGTATTTCTGAGTTGTAATTGCTTTAATCTGTAAAATAAATGTAACTATAGCACAGTACCCAATTCACATGTTGTGAAGATTAAAAGATTTTTCTAAAGTACTTAGCAGTGCCTGGCACATAGTAGGTGATCAACAAATATGATTTCAATTGCATTGAGAAGACCAGATGATTCTTACTAGCGTGGCCAGAAAAGACAAGGGGTAGGGGTACGGTTCATCTGTCTGTCTCCTCCAAGCCTGCCTCTGTGTCTTTCCAGAGGTGAGCAAAATGAAATGACCTGTTAATTTGTTCTTGGAAGCCACTTTAGTGTATCAGGTGTCTCCAGAAGAGCATCCACAATGAGGTGGCATCGATACAGGAGACCCTTGTGCGTTGATCAATGGCCCCCATGTAGTTTGTAGCATAATTGATTTCAAATGTGCGTTTATTTTTCTTTCCCTCCAACTTGTGGCTGCCTGGATTTTTAAACTTTTTATTCCCCCAAATGTGCCTGGATGTTGGATATCATACAAATGCAACCTCTCTCTCCCCTCTCTCTCTCCCTTCCTCCCACCCTCTCCCTCTCTTCCTCCCGCTCGCTCCCTCTCAGATTTGTCTGTCACTATCCTAAATTAGGAACAAATCAAAATCAGTTTAAATCTCCCAACTTAATAAACACCAGATCCCCCAAATGTCAGAGAGTCTAGTCTTTTGCAAAGTCTTTAACTTGTGGCTCATACTTGAGACTAAGGAAAAAAGTGGTAAATGACATGAAATAAAGAGGGGGGTGTTATAGGAGCAGATGGGTTACTCACTAGGCCAAGAATGTGAGGACAAGTGGTTTGGGGCCAATCTCTACCACACGGCTGGACCATGTACAAGCCTTCTGGTCTCTGAGGACTCTGCCAGGGGTTTTGAGTTCTGATTAGGACAGCCTAGACTTCTGCGTTATCATGAGTGGTTAGCTGTGCAGCAACAGGAATTGTCTTCACTAAGATGTTTCTAAGTCATAACAGAATGTCAGCTTTTCAGGGCCCAAGAAAACCATCTATGTCTTCATTTTGCAAAAGTACTTAGCAATTTTGACCATGATTTGTATCATATCCAAATGATACTTCTTTTTTTTTGTACTTGGTTTTATTCATGGAAAGACCTTTTAAAGTATGAGGGTTAGAAGAAAGGATATTGGATTGGGAGTTGATTCTAGGTCTGGATTATCCATAAACTTATTATGGGTCTTAAATCACTTAGTGCTTCTGAACCTTCCTTTCTTCATCTGTGATCGGAGGAAGGCCTCAGGTGAGTTGCTTAAAATTGTGGTCTGTGCAACATTGGGAGGTTTCTAAATATGGGGGCTCTTTACCCTCAAGCTGCACCCCACCCAGATCTACTCCACCATGATCAGATGGTGAACAGATATCCACATCTAACCCCTGGCACCTGCTGAATATGAGACTTTATGTGGCAAAGGAGACTTTGCAAATGCAGCTAAGAATTTTGACATGGGGAGATAAGCCTAGGTTATCCAGGTGCTTTTGGTGTAATTGTTCCTTATAATAGAGAAGGAGAGTCAGGGTGAGAGAAGGAGACATGATTGAGGAAGCAGGGTGAAATATTTGAAAGTGGGAAAAAGGGTCATGAGCCCAGGAATACAAGTGACCTCTAGATGCTGGGAAAGGCAAGAAAACGAATTCTTCTCTAGAGACTCCAGAAGGAACGCAGACCTGCTGACACCTTGATTTTAGGACTTCTGACCTCCAAATAATACACTTGTGTTGTTGTCAGCCACTAAGTTTGTAGTATTTGTTACCATAGGAAGCAAGTATACTTGCCTGTATTTGATTTACAGATTGAGTTTGTTTGTATTTTTTTTTTAAGTAAGATTTCATCTGAGGAAGGATTTCAGTGGTAGAAAATGTTTGAGAACAGATCCCTAAGTTCATTTCAGTTTGAAATGACTGTGATCAGCCAGGCACAGTGGCTCATGCCTATAATCCCAGCACTTTGGGAGCTGAGGCAGATGGATCACCTGAGGTCAGGAGTTTGAGACCAGCCTGGCCAACAAGGTGAAACCCTGTCTCTACTAGAAATACAAAAAAAATTAGCCAGGCATGGTGGCAGGTCCTGTAATCTCAGCTACTCGGGTGGCTGAGGCAGGAGAATCACTTGAACCTGGGAGGCAGAGGTTGCAGTGAGCCGAGATTGCGCCACTGCATTCCAGCCTGGGCGACAAGAGTGAGACTCCGTCTCAACAACAAAAAAAGGAAATGACTGTGATCTTCTTAATATCAAAAGACAGCTCAGGGGACAAAGAATGTGAATGCTTGCAGCCTTCGTGGGGAATGGCACGACATTCTCCAATAGTCAAACCTGCTTTGTCACATCCTCCTCCATCACATCTAGCAAGCTCTCCATGAGACTGCAAGCTCCAGGGGAGCAGGGCCACTCTTTTTTGTTCACTATAGGCTGGTCCTATTGTAGATGCTCAGTAACTATTCTTGGAATAAGGATCAATAAATGAGTAAAGTGCCACTGGCTCTGGTAGAAATGAAAATGGTATGGCCACTGTGGAAGACAGTTTGGCAGATTCTAACAAAACTACACACTGTCTCACCATGCACTCCAGCTATCCAGCTCCTTGGTATTTACCTAACTGAGTTGAAAACGTACATGCACACAACCAATGTTTGTAATAGCTTTATTTGTAATTGCCCAAACTTGGAAGCAACCAAGAGGTCCTTCAGTAGATGAATGGATACGTAAGCTTTGGTACATCTAGACAATGGAATAATATTCAGCACTAAAAGGAAATCAGCTATCGAGCCATGAGAATATAAGTGAAAACCTTAAATACATATACTAAATGAAACAAACCAACTGGAAAAGGCCATATACTGTATGATTTCAACTATTCTGGAAAAACCAAAACCGTGGAGTTAGTAAAAATATTGCCGGGTGCGGTGGCTCACACCTGTAATCCCAGCACTTTGGGAGGCCAAGGCGGGTGTATCACGAGGTCAAGAGATCGAAACCATCCTGGCCAACATGGTGAAACTCTGTCTCTACTAAAAATACAGAAATTAGCCGGGCGTAGTGGCATGCACCTCTAGTCCCAGCTACTCGGGCGGCTGAGGCAGGAGAGTCACTTGAACCCAGGAGGCAGAGGTTGCAGTTAGCCGAGATTGCACCACTGCACTCCAGCCTGGTGACAGAGCAAGACTCCATCAAAAAAAAAAAAAAAAAAAAATCAGTGGATGCCAGGAGTTAGAGAGAAGGGATGACTAGGTGGAGCACAAAGGATTTTAAAGGCAGTAAAACTCTTCTGTATGATACTACAGTAGCAAATACATGGTATTGTCCATTTGTCCAAACACATAGACTACAACACCAAGAGGGAAACCTGATGTAAACTGTGGGCTTTGGGTGATCATGATGTGTCAGTGCAGACTCATCAATTGTAACTGATGTATCACTGTGGTAGGGGATGTTTATAGTGAGGAAGGTTGTGTGTGTGGGAATGTATATGGGAAATCTCTACTTCCTGTTCCATTTTGCTGTGAATCTGAAAGTGCTTTTAAAAAACGAAGCCTACAAAAATTTTTAAAGACCACCGGTCTATCTGCAATTTTTCTATGTAGGCTATGCTTTGCAAAGACTACCCTAAAAGGAAATTCTCTTCCCAATTCTCTTGCCTCTCTGAGCAACTCCTCCTCCCCTCCCCCAACTCTTCCTTCCTCCTTTTTTTTGTATTTTTAGTAAAGATGGGGTTTTGCCATTTTGCCTAGGCTGGTCTCGAACTCCTGACCTCAAGCAATCCACCCACCTCGGCCTCCCAAAGTGCCGGGATTATAGGCATGAGCCACTGAGCCCGGCCAACTCCTTCTTCTTATGAAGATTTTTCTGTCTTTCTCTCTTCTACCACCTCGCCTGTGCTGTGTGCTATATCTATTATCCCCAATACCCCCTGAACTAACCTCAACCCTGGCACTAATCCCTGCTGCCCTGTCATTGTCAACACTTATTCATGTGACCTATTGGGCTGTGAGTCCCTGGGGGGCTACGCATGGCCTGCATTTCTGCATTCCTAAGTTTTAACATGGTTCCTCTCTCACACACACCCCCGGCAGGGCTCAGCACATATTTATTGGCCAAATGATTGAGGTTTAAAGACCTGCAAGTATTTTGCAGTGTCTGGTCCAGCTTTGCCAAAACTTTCCTCTCTTTCTCTCCCAAATGTCCAATTCTCTTCTGTAATTATTTCCCTCACATTTCTTTCCTTATTCCAGTTGTATCTGTGTCAGATTGTCTTCTCTTCCAGTACTGAGGTGAAAAGTACTGAGTTCTGTTCTAAACCAAGACATTCTCCAACTTTCACGAGTCTTGAAAACATTAATATGGGTATTTCAAAAAGTATGTATGGTAAATGTGTTAGGCTTAGTATTTAAATTAATATTCACAGCTTTCCTCACTAGCACTGGGCTTTCTCAGTTTCCTTTTTATTTTTATGAATTGCATTTGCAACTGTAAGATTATCAAATTCTTCTTGAATATGGTATAAATACACGAATATATAATAAAGACATGCCAGTTCCCTCTTTGTAGTGAGTGATTAGGGGCAAACTGTGAGAATATAATGCCCTAGAATAATTCAAGAAGTTGGCAGATTCTGACAAAGGGGGAAACCCCACTTGTAAAGAGTCAGTGGGATATAAGACATAACTCTCTAAATGAGCAGGTGGGCCTGTCCCTGAGGGTGGGGGGCGCGGCTTCTTATCTCATAGCACCTCTTTCTTTTTTTAAAAAAATAATTTCAACTTTCATTTTCATTTCGGAGGGGGTACATGTGCAGGTTTGTTACATGGATATGTTGCGTGTTGCTGAGGTTTGGGGTACAAATGATCCCGTCACCCAGGTAGTGAACATAAGACCCAGTAGTTCGTTTTTCAGGCCTTGTCTCCCTCCCTGTCTCCCTCCATCCATCCCTCCATCCCTCCATCCCTCCATCCATCACTCTTTCTCTCTCCCCTTTCTTTTATTCCCGGTGGCTATTGTTCCCATCTTTATGTCCATGTGTACCCAATGTTTAGCTCCCACTTATAAGTGAGAACATGTAATATTTGGCTTTCTGTTTCTGTGTTAATTAGCTTAGGACAATGGCCTCGAGCTGCATCCGTGTTGCTGCAAAAGACATGACTTTGTTCGTTTTTATGGCTGCATAGTATTCCATGGTGTATGCGTACATACCACATTTTCTTTATTCAGTCCACTGTTGAAGGGCACCTGGGTTGATTTCATGTCTTTCCTACGTGAATTGATAGCACCTCTTTCATTCTTTCCCAGATGCTGAACTTCGCAGAAAAGGCAGATATTCGATCATTTCCAGTCTTTTCCCTTAGATGATACACAAATATCCTTTGAAGGTATGGCAGGAAATGATAACCAGTCGTAATACCTTAATGTGACACTTCATTCATTAGATCTCCTCCAGAAGATGAAGTCCAATGTATAGAGAGGATAAGTAAGGGTCTTGGAGAGAAGAATTGGGAAAAGAGTCTGCAAGGGATAGAAAAGATCAGAGGAGAATTTGAGGAAGCAAAGATTAGGAAACATTGATTTTCATTAATAGTATTTCATTCTAAGGTTCCAGGATGCTATTGACAAATTAAAACCTCCTATTCCTGTTGTTCAGAGGTATCACAGAATCTGAAATGTAGACTGCAATGAGGAATGAGTCTGGCACGTGCAAAATGGCTGGGATGGTCCTTCTCACATTGTGGTTTCCATACCACAGTGGTGTGGAACTATGGAAGGAATTGAGATGTGAAACTTGGAGCACCCCCAGAGGGTGGGGACACAAGTACTCTGGGTCCAGACAGTTCATTGCTGACACTTAGGGGAGAGAGCAGATGTGCAGGGTGTGACCCCAGAAGACAGAACGGGTCCAGTGGGAGTTAGTTAGAGGAAAGTGGATTCCAGGTCCTCATAAGGAATGGATTTTTGCTATGGGAGGATGATGGCTACCCATTACTGGGTGTCTCCAGGCAGAGGTAGAGGAAATGGCTATCTGAGTGGAAGTTAGAGTAGAGACCCTCTGACAGCCCTTCTAATTATAGGACCTCACAAAGGTGGCTCTGGGCAGAGTCCTGAGGACAGAACTCAAATTCATTTCCAGAAACTGTACTTCTCTGTGTCATGACAAAGCCTTAGCAAATATTAACTTGAACATATTTCTAGGCTAGGTAAAGCTTCATTTCATTTCTGGCTCCTCCAATGATCATGCAAGCGTCTTTGAGGAACTGCGGCCCAGGAAGATTAAACAACTTTCCTGTGTAAAACAGGGGAAAGAATGTTGTTGTCAGGTTAAATAAGAAAAAATGTATACCATGCTCGGCATATAGTAGACCCTCAAACAATGTTGGTTTTCTCACGTGCTTGACCTCAGAACACCAGTTGTGTGCATTGAGCATTTGTGTGACTGTCTCCTTAGTGAATCTTACTTGGGTCACAAACTAGAATGGGCTTCATCCTTTTAGTAAGGTTTCCTGGGCTGCAGGATTGGAGGTGGAAATGAGTGAATGAGTTGTCATCTCAACCCAGCACAACAGCCTTGAGCACGTAGCTCTTCGTTGCCTGCTGTTCTTCATTCGCGTGACAGTGCTAACGTAAGGTTGTTTGTCCCCCAAATATCTTCGCATTATCTTAATGTCGTTCTGCACATTACTAATTGCTATTACTCTAAAATATCAAGAAATCAGAAGGAACCTCTGGATAATGTTCTATTCTGGTGAGATTTATCTATCTTAACTCTATTTACCAGGTTAGAAAAATACACTTAAACATTTAAAATCTGTTTTCAACAGAACAAAGGGCTGAGAAATTTTTTTCTGGTAAATGTACTTGAATCCTTCTTCAGTTGAAAACTTTCATATCTACCTGTCTAGCTTTATATCTGTGTGCCCTTCTGTCTGTCTCTCTCTCTTGCCTTATTCCAGAAGTAACAAAAATTGATCATTTCTATTGCTTTTAGAAGTATGCTTTCTGTCTGGACTCAAGGGCATAGCACAGAAGCAGCTTTAAAATATCTTTAACCAAAGGCTAAGACAAATTTGTTGTCATATTTCCATCTAATTTCTTATAAAGATTAAATACTAATATTTTGGTTGGTTGGATTTTTTTTCATTACATAAACTTACACTGGACTTGAAAGCCCTTTTATAAAATGTTTCTTCCACTAGATATATAAATACTTTTAAAGTCTCAATATGCAAATATTAAAAATGAATATCATCTTTTATTTTCTAACTATTCCATCCAGGAAAATTTGAGGAGGTCCTTAACTTTGCTTCCTCCCCTGTCTTCAAATATTACTTTCCATGCTACAGTACTTGAAGATTTTTACCTTCTGTTTAGCAGTTTAAATTCAACTAACTATCTTAATATTTAGAGATTTGTTAGTAAATTATTTAAAAGAAACTGGGAAAAGGAAGCAGTGATCACTAACCATCACACAGAGTCAGTCATGTTTAATTAATTGTGCCTTTCTTCTTTCAAAATAGGGCTGAGAGAGAAAGAGAGAGAGAGAGAGAGAGAGAGAAATTCTGAGACTATAGTTATCTCTGGGTTTTAGAAAGGCATATGATAGTCATTGGGAAAATCAGAAAAATATGCCTTGATTATCATACATTGAGCCAAGGAGTTGATATCCAAAATGGGCCACAAGTAACTGGAGGTGTCTGATCAACAGGGAGAACACAAAAACACTCAGTTGGAGCAATGTAAGAGGGATTAGAGCATCTGATGGGATACTGGACCAGGTAGACCTGTAATCTTTCCTCCATTCCTAAGATCCTGTGAAAATAATCCAGGTACCAGAATTCTCAGACAGGACCAAAAAAAAAAAAAAAGGTAGTTGACCCTCACAACAACAGCTTCTTCAGTCTTTTAGAATTTTATTAGCTTAATTCTGGCCAGTTATTTTTTATAGCTTACATGAATCTAATTCAAAACACGCTGAGAAGCCAAATCTTTGCTGGGCTTGAGAATGTAACTAATAAAAAGGCAAATACACCAAGGTTGCCAAACACTGCAAAAGAGAAGTATATGACACCAGCTCTAATGTGAGAAATTGTAGAGCCTTATTTTTGTTCTCCTTTTGATAGGAAACATAAGGGTTTTTTCATGCTCTTGGAAAAGGGCCTTTGCAATACTTAGTATGACTTTAAAAATATCATTATTATCAAATGAGAAGAAACTTCACGTCGTGGCAATGAACTGGGTATAATCCAAGCACTGCCTTTTTTCTCTGGGGACCTCCATGCAAGGCGACGTCTCTCACATTTAATGTCCTTTGGCAGCCAGCAAAACCTCAAATCCTGTTGAAAGACCCAAACCTCACATCATGGTCCCCAAGGTGATGTTGAGATCATGCAGGTGGTCACAGAAGAGCAGACACGAGGGCCACTGTGGGCAGACCTCTTTCAAAGCTATGGAGTAAGAAACGTCCTCTTCACCTTCATTGTTCAGTGCCTCCTTAGAAAAAATCTGCCTCAGTCAATGTACACATGGACAAGTAAGCCAGTGTCCACTTCCCAGAAGAAGTTAGCAGATGTCTGACAGAGAATCCACCTCTCCACTCCGTTTGCGAAGTGATAGCTTTGCCAAGTGAGCAAGGGTTCCTCTAGTTTACCCACGTAAGTGAGATGCATTAAGCATATTCACAATAGAATTTTATGTTAAAAAATGTAGTTTCGCGGATTTAAATGCCCTTCACATAGCTGATATACAATAAATATATGTTGGATCCTGTTTCCTTGTTGAACTTTCTGGTATTTTGGAAATGATCCTGGGCCATCTGGAGAACTGCAAATAACTTTCTACTCTTCGTGGTGTAAAAAGGCAAATCTCCTTACCCTGGCCTCTGAGTCATCACCTCTCCAGATCATCCTTTAACCTCTTGTACCTGCCTTCCTCCTTCTACAGACAGGGCTTTCTCTACATGCCGCTCCTTCTACCTGGAATCCTCCTCTTTTTCTCTTCACCTGGTCAACTCTTTGCATCCTTCAGATATAAGCTCAATTATCAATTCTGCAGGAGTCTCTCCTCTCCTCCCTGTCAAATCCATACACTGCGCTCCAGGAATACCATGTTCCTCTCCCTTTTCTTTTTTTTTTTGAGACGGAGTCTCGCTCTGTCGCCCGGGCTGGAGTGCAGTGGTGAGATCTCTGCTCACTGCAAGCTCCGCCTCCCAGGTTCTCGCCGTTCTCCTGCCTCAGCCTCCTGAGTAGCTGGGACCACTGGCGCCTGCCACCACGCCCGGCTAATTTTTTGTATTTTTAGTCGAGATGGGGTTTCACTGTGTTAGCCAAGATGGTCTCCATCTCCTGACCTCGTGACCCACCCGTCTCGGCCTCCCAAAGTGCTGTGATTACAGTTGTGAGCCACCGCACCCGGCCATTCCTCTCCTTTTTAAGCACTTAGTGTTGTTCTAATTTTCCATTCATCTGGGTGATTACTGATCAATGGGTGTAACTTCAACTACATAGTAATTGACATGAGAGCTTGTGTCTCCTTGCATAGCTTATCTCCAACTTCTCTCCCAGTGTTCAGCATATCCTGAAGCTCAATGAAAACTTGCCAAATGAATGAATGAATGGGATAATGAATGAATTTGCTCTAGTCCAGCTCTGCCACTACATTAAAGGGTTCATGCACACTTCTCTGGGCTCCAGTTTTATTCATAAAAAGGGGATAAGAATACCTACACTGTCTACCTTATAGGATTTTTATTAGAATTATATAAAATAGTGCACAACATTTGGCATATTATAGGAACTCAGATATTGGCTGACATAAGTGAATGAATTTGAAAACATTTGGCAACATCTCAGATTTGTGACATACCTTATATTTTATATTTTTCCTTGATGCAAAACACATCTCATCCTGAATGATCCTTTTTTTTTTCCACTACAATTTCATTGCTCAATAATTTTCTCTCAAAGCCTCCATGTCTATTTGGTCTGGCCTTATAGTAATAATAATATCTCACATTTGTATATTTCTTTAAAGTGTATAGATTGTTTGGCAGCCCTATTTAACATCTCCATCAACCGTAGGATGCATTTAAAACATGTGGTATATTCATACAATAGAATATTATACAACCATGAGAACAACTGATTAAAGCTACTCACAACAATTTGGTTGAATCTGAGAAACGGGAGTGAAGGAAGGGGACACAAATTATATTGCGTGATCCCTTTCCTGTAAAGAAAGAAGTGCAACTAATTTTCAATAGTTACCTCAGGATAGTGGTTGCCTTTGCTGGAGCGAGGGATTGGAAGGGGACACAGGGAGCTTCAGGGTCATGTTTTGCTTTTTGATCTAGTTGCTGGTTACATGTGTAAATTCGGTACAGGGAAATTCACCAAGCCGTGCACTTGTTAAAGGCACACTCTCTACATGTATGTTTTACGTCCATAAAAACTTTGTAAATTGCTTTTCTGTACGTGACTTTATGTAATTTCTACTTCAACCCTGGGAGATTTGACAAGGCAAGTATTTTTTATTTCATTATAGAGAGGAAGAAAATGATACTTGGACAGTAGATGCTTTCACAAAGCTTACATTTGCAGCACATGTTATCGCTGCGATTGAAACCCAGGTGTTCTTAGTCTAGAAGTCTTTCTCCCAGACTATCTTATCCTCAGTAGGTAACAAAATACCATTTAAATGTGCACATCTCTCAGAGGCCCATAAGGAGTGGAGTGAATGATGGAAAAATTAGGTGACTGCTGAGGGTCTAATCTTGGATCGGGAAAGCTTACTGATACCCCAAAGCCCACCACGTTGATAACCATCTGCTTGGTTGTCCCACATTTCTAGCTGAGATAGAATGAAGAGATTTATCATGGAGGGCCCTCCTCCTTGTACCACCTCCCACAATGGCTGCCAATTGCTGTTTAGGGAGATGCAAATGAATCCCAAAGACTGAGGCAATGACAATGAGGACATATGCAGAATAAGATACAATTGAGCAGACGTTAAGCAGCTGGAATCCTCCTTAGCATATCCAGTCAGGTCCCAGATGAACTGATTCTACATTTGTGTTCTTTGGTTCAGCACCCCATGTGCTAATCTTTGCAATGGGACGGCAGAGCAGAGCCCTGGCTCACACCTCATCACAGAGGCCTTAATGGAGGAGAAGAGATTTAGCAAGACTCTTTAAAGACACAAGGGGCTTGGTGGTTGACAGGAAGAAAGAGGTTCCAGATGTAAATATGCTACAGGAGTGGCCTGAGTTCACAGGAAAGCTGATGATTCCGTGGATTGACAGGCACATAAAGGAACAAAGAGCAATATGAGAAGTTTGTTTCTGAAGATGGAAAATCTATGAAGATAGAAAATGAGATTATATTTTAAGGTGCAGAGCTTGAGCCTATCAACTGCAGGCTGGATCTCGAGTCCTGTTTACTTCCAGACCAGTGCTTTCTGTTTTAATCACCTGCTGTGTGACCACAAGCAAGTTATTCCATCTCTCTGACCACAAATATGGTGGTTGTATACTCGAGCTTGTGGTCATGCCTCTGGTGGAGTTTGACAATGCATCCTAGCAACCAAAGCCTGTTTGTGGATAAGGAACAGAAAAACAAGTTAGAGAGATCATAAAAATATGTTCCATTGTAGAAAAAAAAAAAAGAACATTCAACACTTTCCTTAACAAAAACAATGGATATGTACCTCAAAATATTTGACAGATTAAGTCTAAATAGAATCCTTATTAAAGATAAATGCATGGCATTCTTTTAACTCCCTCTTTTTAGGAATTGAAATGATTTTTATTTGCTTTTGTGTTGCTTCATTTTCTTACTATTTTCTAAAGTTGCATTGTGTCATGGGACTTCACTTGGACCCATTTTTTTTGTGTGTTGGCTTTGCTGAAGAGGAATATTTTTTGTTTTTTTGAAAATTGAGGTTTTCTGAAATCTGGTTTTATTTCTCAATAAAAACACAAAAATTCATATTTTGATTTTATTTTCTTATGTATCTGCTGGTTCTTCATGGGTGTTAATAAAAAGTACCCTAGGTAATAAAGAAAAATGCACTATGCCCCTTGCAGAGATTCACTAATCAGAGTTCGTATTCCTTTCACACAAATATTCCAACATGCCACGTTTTCAACATATTTAGAGCAGCCCAGCACACATTTGTAGACATTCATCTTATATTTCGAGTAGGATGCCTTTGCTCTCGCCCTTAAGTCTTGCATAGCTCCAAGCTTATGTTTTTACCTCTGGATGGCTTCAATCAGCATGATAGACATGAAGGCACCGGCTGTTGAAAGTGGGTTCTCCTCTGCTGGACTGCTGCTTACTTTGGCTTTATCTCTCCCTTGCAATCTCATATTTTATTAAGTGCATAATTTTCTATCAGCTTCAGACACCAGAGTCACCAACTGAGAAAAAAGCTGGGAGGCCAGTCTTTGACAGTGGTAAATTTCACTGTGCTTTAAAAAACCCCAACCAACACACACCATATGCTGCCATCTGAAGGAAGACTTATTTCATCGTTTAGACTTTATGGCCTTAGATTTCAGCATGACATGAGTGATGTGGAAGGGAAGTACATTTGGATGATAAGATGAGGATAATTTGTACTGGGAAATTATTCACAATTGTGATAAATAATCCCTGGCACACAATAACAGAAAATCTCAACCCTTGAACTGAATTATATATGTTTGTGTCTCATAAACAAGGTAGAAAATACATTTTTTCAACTGATGTGTTTGCAAAGTCCTCTCACTTCCAAGCTACCCTCGTTAATAATCATAAAGCAGCATATTTCCAAGCTCTGAATCACATTAATCTCTCCACATGTGACCCGATCATGCACTTTGGGAAAATGGATGGGATGCAGTTGCCTTTGTGTGTACTATGTGTTTTTTGTCATTTTCCTGGTGGCTGGCTTGGAAATGCAGAGTCTGGGAGAATGATGGAGAAACCAGGAAGATAAAAAATGAATGTTGCAAGAAAATTGGACTTTTTGTGGTTAATCACTAAAACAATGATGGAATGAAAAGATAAGGGTGTTTTCCCCCCCTTCCCGTACTACACATCAGAGAAGGTGAGAAGGGAATGATGTTTCTGTTCTTACTCACAAACCTTACCATCATATCTGGAAAAGTTAATAGGGAGACATAATAGGACTTTTTTTTTTTTTTTGAAAGCCTTTGCTTATAAATGCTATAGAGTTGGCTTTTCCAAGAAGGTGAGGTTATCCAAGGGTTGGCGGACAGGGGAATGCCTAAATGCAAGAAAGAATGTGAAGGTTCTTCAAGAAACAGAGGGGGGTAGAAGTGGGAAAGAGAATGGTGGAGTGAAGCAGAGGAAAGATAAGATGAACAGGCAAGGTAGGCTTGTGCCTCCCATCAAGGCTGCCCCTGGAAGAGAATGGATCTTGGATGGTACATGGAGACTGTTACATCATTGGAGGTTGGATACTACGTTTGGAGCCTTGATTGCTTTTAGGCTTCAGGTCAGTAGAGAAGTCTGCTGAGAGGAGTCTTTCTGTTGGGTCTTGCTGTGCTGTACTGCTTATAGACGAGCAGTGCCCAACAGGAGCATGGGTGACCTAGCAGATGGAGCAGGAGTGATGCTGGAAACCATCACAATGGATCACGAGCAGGCTCTAAACATGTCTTCTTAGCACCCCCTATACCCTGCCCCTCTTCCACCAGGGCAGCTCTGCTTCTTTCTGCTTATTATTTGAAGGTGCTGTATAAGACTTTAAAGAAAGGATCCTTTAAATAAATACCAACATTTGGAAGCCATTGATTGAGTTCAACCTCTGTATTTATCAGAGATAAAAAATGAATCCTAAAAAGATTATTTCCCCTCCATACAGTAGGTGAAGGGAATACAAAGCCACTGAAGTATCCTCAGAATAACACAAAGGGGTGGGAAGAGAGGCATGGGAGGGACAGGTGATGCTGTTTTGACCCAGTACAGGTTATCATGGGGACCAAATGAGATCAAGTGTCCAAAATCACTTAGTACACAATCAAGCTTTATTACTTCTGCTGCTTACCTGAGCCAAATCATTCATATGTATGTATTAATCACTTACAACAATGGTATATAATCTGTTCTGCGTGACAACAAAAATGGACGCGATGAAATTCACATTTCAAGACACTTATGATGGAATGCTTTCAAGTTAAATTCTACAATCTTACATAAAAAGAAATACTGTCTGGAGCTCAGTGCAAAAAGGAAGAAACTTTGGTTTTATAGAAAGAGTTCACCTGTGCTGTAGAGGGCAAGCAAAGTATCAGGTAACCACGGGAGGAGAGGAGGGTTTGAGTCAAGTGCTGAAGATTTGCTAAGTTTTGGCTAGAATCTGGAATCTCTGAACTAGAAGAAGGTCTGGGGACCTCTAGTCCAATTTGTTTGCAACTGTAGGACATTCCTGGGTGTGATCATATGGGAATTGTCTGCTTGAGCCTTTTAGGGAACCTAGATGATGATATTGCCAGGTACCATGCTAGGTTCTTCCCTTTTATAAAAGGCAACATTATGAAGCTGTGATTATCTCCATTTCATAGGAGGACAAAGGTCAGGGATGTTCAGTGACCTGTTGGGTTTGGCTAAGCTGTAAGGTTAAGTTTTGCAAGAAGAGCTGAGGAGTTAGGAGTTGATACTTTGGAATCAGACAGGGCTGCATTTAAATCCTGGTTTTGCTACTACATAGTTAGACAATTTACATAATCCCTCTGAGCTTCAGTTTCCTGGTGTGTAAAATGGGTATGATCATCATAAATCCTGCACAGAGTTATGAGAATTAGAGTTAGTAGACAATGTTGTAAAGCACTTAGAAAAGTATGTGGCATGTTAAGGACTTGACAAATAATGTGTTTCCACTCTCATGGACAGAAAAGAAAGAAACATAGACTGGAGGCTACAAATTCATATGTGGCTTTGAGGAGGGAAGTGCCATTATAAGAAACAAGATTTGGTTTTAAATGCTAAGTCTGAATGTCAAAGCTTGTCTCTTGCCCACAGTAATGAGCTTGCATTTGTCTGTATGTTTTGCTCAAGGTTTCTCAAGTCCAGCACTATGGGTATTTGGGGCTGGATAAATTCTTTCTTGGAGGGGTTTGCAGGGGTGGAGGCTGTCCTGTGCATTACAGTATATTTAGCAACATCCTTGGCCTCTGCCCATTAGATGCCGGCAGTACATCCCCCAACCCCCGTGACAATCAATACCGTCTGCAGACATTGTCGAGTGTTCCCAGGGAACAGAATTGACCCTGGCTGAGAACCATTTGTCTATCCATTGCCTCTGTTCCTTCTACTGCAGCAGTCCATGTAGCTCCCCTGTGAGCATTTTGGCCCAGACTCTCCTAGCAGCTCACAGCTGGAAAGTCCTTGCACAGCTTCCCCAGGAATATACAATAACTCAAACCAAGACTGTCTTTTTTCCCTTAATTCTCATGATTGCACAGTGTTGCTTTTCAGTTTTCAACTCTGGGAATTTATCTTTTCTCACTCGCCAAAGCCACAGCTGAGAGCAAGCAGCAGAAACTGATTAACACTGTCTGTCCAGGCTGAAGCTATTGAACAATTACAAGGTATATATGTCCCGAGTACAGTCTGAACTTACTATATGAACCCAGTTAAAGACAACATGGTTTGTATTTTTTACCATACGAATTTCGTGGGGACTATTTTTCTTCATTTTGTTTTCTTTTTCAGCTATTAGAAAAACTAACAGTCTTTGTCTTCATGTCCTCTTGTTCTTCTCTTTGTGTCATTTAAAATAATTACTGGGAATTTCAGTGAGGGGTTAGGGAGGTTTTTAAAGAGCCCACCTGGTTTAGACATGTCTGTGTGGATGTTGAGCACAGTGTAGTTCTCAGGGGCATGAGGCACACACTTTAAGATCAGGTTCCTTGTCTTGGTGGGGAGAAGAAAACCTGGATGGATATACATTTGGGGAAGAGCTGGAGGGCCTTAATATTAGTTAAGCACCAAGCTAAGCCTCTCACTCTGTTGTCTTATTCATCCCGCACAGGGTATTATGTGAAATGGAAATGATAGTAATTTATACTATAGAGAAAGTGAATAAGGCTCAGATAGAGAGATTCACTGACCCTATATTACACAATTTATAATCCCAGCTGGGATTCAACCGCACGCTCTCTGATGCCAAAGCCTGTACTCTTTGCAGCAATCAACAGGACCTCTACAGAGATGAAGGCTGATGTATTAGGATTTTATCCAGCCTGTTCTCACCCTTCCTTTCCTTTCCTTGATCCCTAATAGCATGCAAATTCTGAAATCTATGGTATATTCCTCTGTATACTCCCCCAGGAGGACCAAGTAGAGATTTTGGCTAAATCACAGGAGGATTGCAAATGACCAGGTAGGCAGGTCAAACCTTGCCTCATCTTGACTGACTTACTATCCTGCAGCTTCAAGATTTACTGATAATGGGTGGCCAGGAGAGGTGCAGAGTCTGGACAGATAGAAAATCAAGGATTTGAATACTTGCAATTTGAATCCAGGTCTACATGACCCTTGGGAAGTTATCTTAATTTGCTCATCTTTGAAATGGGAAAGATGATCCTACTTTGTAAGTTGGGAGAGCACCCAGGACAAAGGAGATGCTCCATAAATGGCTGTCTCCTTCTGCTCCACCTCCTTATTATGACGAGGCATCTTTACAGGTTTCTCCACCCACCTCTTCACACCTGCAGCCTGAACCTCAGCCCTGAAGGCCAGGGATGATGTATTTCTTCCTCACTGCATCAATACTATTTGAAGTCCCATCAATGACTCTAGATGCTTCCAAGAAGCAGGCTCTTTTTCCATGACTCGCTGCCCTCCCAACCTTTGTCCCCTTCCAAGTTTGGGGCACCCTGTCTCTCCCAAGGTCAGCAACTACTTCTCCAAGCTTTCCCTCTCCCTCTGCTTCCTGTTTGTAGCAGCCTCATGTACTCTATTAGGTGAGCTCCTACAAACACCACATTGTCTCCCCTTTCTTGGGACTTGGGGCAGTCAAAAGAGATACTGACCATTGCTTGTTTTTTCTTTTTATTCACATTTGAATGAACAAACAAACCTGTTTGTTTTATGACAGTGACCACAGACAACAGAGAAGAAATCATGTCTCCTGATGCAAACATGATACGGTCAGATATGGTCTGACCAAGAAATGTTTCCAACTTATTTTTATTTAATAGAACAGACATTGCAAAATGTAGCATATTCTCTTTTTCAGGCACTGTTCTAAATACCTGATGCATTTTAACTCATGTCATCTTCATAAGAAAGCCAAAGAAGTAAGCTCTTTGATTGTCTCCATTTTACAGATGAGGAAACAGATGTGAGAGGTGAAATAACTTGCCTGAGGAAACACAGCTCAAACTGGAACTGACTCCTAAGTCTATGATTTTAACCTCTATGCATATGTAATCCTTGTGAAGATGGTTCTATGAAAAGTCCGTAACAACATACAACCCATTAATTTAGTACCAGATGTAAAATGTGATTTAACTGCCTTATTGAAAAGAATAAACTTGCATGAAATTGAGACCTGACTGTTCCATTTCTAGGAAATTGTCCTTCTTGATGTGTTTGAGCCAGATCTGAGAGCTTCTGCCAGGAGAGCAATTAGAACTTGCAGACTCCCACTGAAGTCCCATTTAGCTCCGTGTGTCTGGGGGAGGAAACCAAGGCAGCTCATAGCAATAACTTCATTGAGTTGTTACCCTGTTGATACCTTTCTATTCATCAGGCTTGCAAAGGAAGCAGAGAACTCTGTTTCCCTGCCTTCCTCATTCCCTCACCTCCCCAAAAACATACACCCACCGCCACTGCCACGTCCTTTATTTCTCTACTCTTTTTTTTTTTTTTAGATGAAGTCTAGCTCTTGTTGCCCAGGCTAGAGTGCAGTGGCGCAATCTTGGCTTACTGCAACCTCCGCCTCCCAGGTTCAAGCTTCTCCTGCCTCAGCCTCCTGAGTAGCTGGGATTACAGGTGCCCGCCAACACACCTGGCTAATTTTTGTACTTTTAGTAGAGACGGGTTTTCACCATGTTGACCAGGCTGGTCTCGAACTCCTGATCTCAGATGATCCACCCACCTCGGCCTCCCAAAGTGCTGGGATTACGGGTGTGAGCCACCGCGCCTGGCCTATTTCTCTACTCTTTCTCCTTTACTCTGCCTGGATGGACACGGCCAAACAGATTCATGAGTTTTGTCTGTGAATTTCATTAGTTGGTCATTTATTAAACTCTCAAATCTCCCAAATAAAATTTATTAGAATTAAATGATTAAACATAAAACAAAATTATAAAACATTTATTTATTCTTATTTTAGAAATGATACGTTTTTTCCCCCCCCCAAAACTCATTTAAGTGTTTGGGGAAAAAAAGAATTCAAAGAGAGAACAAAAATTAACCATAGTCCAACCAGTCAGAAACATTCACTGCTAACAGTTGGGAGTGAAGTGTTCTCCCAATCCCTAGAATTTCTCTCTCTCTCTCCCCCACAACACTCTCTCTCTCTCTCCATGTGTATCATACAATTTTAATCAGTATCCTATTGTGTATGCTGGTTTGAATCCTGATTTTTTCATCCAACTTTTTATCAATAGCCGTTTGCCATTTCATGAAATAGTCTGTTAAAATATCCTCTTGGATGGCCTACCTGATGAACCATAATGTTTAAACAATTGCTCTACTTGTTAGATGTCTAGATTGTTTCCCATGTTTATGCCAAAATAATAAACATTTTTCTACATATATCTCTGTCTGAGTTTTTTCCCCTTTCTTTGTCTGTGTAAATATTTTTGTTACAAAAAGATTTAAGTTTAACTTTCTTAGGATAGATAGATTTAGAGGAAAGCAAGGGACATGAGTTTTTTTTGAAGGATTTTATGCACGTTATAAATTTTTTTTTCTGGATAATTTCTATCAGTTTGCACTCTTATGAAAAGAGAATAACCGTATCTATTCCAGTCTTCTTTTGCCCAAACTGACCATTTCAACTTTTAAAAGCTTAGTTTATTTGATAAGTAAAAAAGAAAATCTCATTTCAATTTTTCATTTTCTAAAAAATTTGAGATTTTGAGGCTCTTGTTATCAATTTTGATGAGTACATTTTCTAGTTTACCTATAGCTGTATTCATTAATTTCACCATGTTTTCAGGTAGGAAAATCGACCAATGATCCTTCATAATGAATTTTAAAATACCTATGCCAAAGAGCATCTTGGTGAAATTTAGAAATAGATACTCTCTTTGTCACCTTTTTGAAAATGCTCTAAGTTAGATATCGTAACTTCTGTGTTGATACTGTCACTTGTCTGAGGAAATAGATATATCTCCCTTCCTTGTGCCTGTTTGTCTTTTCAGTTTATTTTCTTGAAGACTTCCTTAACCTTACTGTAGACTCTTCTGGGGATGGGGATGGACAGACATACTTTTTAATTTCTCAAGGCATTTTTTGTTCTCTGTTGTTTTTTTTTTTTGTGCATTTTTAACCGATGTTTATTCTTATCTTTTGACTTTTAAATTCAGGGATACAAGTGCAGGTCTGTTACATACAAAAATTTCATGACAAAGACAACAAAAGCAATTAAAACAAAAGCAAAAATTGACAAATGGGGTCGAATTAAAATAAAGAGCACCTGCACAGCAAGAGAAACTACCAATAGATTAAATGGACAACATACAGAATGGGAGAACATTTTTGCAAACTGCTTCTGACAAAGGTCTAATATCTAGCATATATTAGGAACTTAAACAAATTTTGTGCATGTTTTATTAATATTCTAAGTTTCAAATCTCACAGAAACGTTAACAAGAATTTGCTTTTAAAATTCTCTTTTGTTCTCTGCATTATCTGTTTTCCCCAGGGTCATTTCTTTTTTTATTTTATTTATCTTCTCTAGTTTTTGAGAATATGGAACCCTTTTCTCAACTATCTAATGATTGAAATTTAATATCAATTTAAAGTTCTGGGTATCAGGGTGAAGTGATCAATCAGTGAGTAGCCATCACACTGGGGAGTGCTAGATACTATAAAGTGAAGAAAAATAAGGTTTTCTGTAAGGAAGGATGACATCTGTACATAGAATTTTAATTAAGGTCTTTTTCCATCACCCATCCCTCCATTTTCAACCTATTTATTCCTCCAGCTCTTAATGATACCTGGTATTTATAGGTCTCAAGACTGCACAAGGTTCTGTTAGGCTAAAGCTTTCCTCTTAGGCAGGTGCCCCATTCACATATCTGAGCTATAGCTTCTTTCACCCTGCACAGCAGATGTCCCTGGTCCCTAGACTCAGACCCATTCAGCCTCATCAGTGATGTTGGCTGTGGACAGTTTGTGTAGTTTTGGACTCAGTTCACACTGACGGTGACTCATCTTTAGCATGAGTAATGGGACTTGCATTTTTTTTTTTTCCCAGAGTTTCTCATTGTTTGCAGATGCAACAGGTGCTACTGATTAAGGGCAAGAAGGTTTTGAATTCATGAGTATTAATGTCACCACAGACAGACTCAACCAAATGGGGGATGAGAGTAAATGGAATGATACTTCTCTTGGCCAATCCTTGAGTAGGCAATATATTCTATGCCATTCTAAAAAAGATCTGGGTAAGATCGAGTTTCAAGTGTCCTTAGTGGCGACCTTGATGACTTTCATGACACTGTTAACATGGGCTTTCTTCTTCCCCCAACTTTTCCTGGGTGCTCACTTCTGCTCCCTGAGACTTCAACTGCCTCAAGTCCTTGTCCCAAACCTTACTGTCAGGGGAAACCTCAATAATTACTGTTCTATCCTCTCTTTTCTTTGTTTCCATATGTTTTCCCGAGGACTCCTCTCCCATTCTCTTTTTTTGTGGAAACATTTAGGAACAATGTTTACTATGATTTTGTTGTAAACTCAGCAAGAAGAGTTTTGAATATAGATGTTATTAAATCTATTAATATTTTCTTTGTACATTTAAAAATTGCTTTTGAGTTTAGAACATATGTCACTGTTCACCTATTACAGATACAGGATTTATGTCCATTTCTGTAGGGGAAACGAAGATACATAATTCACTTTGTTTGACTCAGAAAATGTTGGTTGAATTAATCAATATACTCTCAATGTCTTTCAGCCAAAGTCTGTTGGAAACATAGCTGTATTGACAAAGTTGGGTTTACTAAGTTGTTGTGATGACGGTGAATGCACTTCATACAAAACTGTGGGTTTTCTCAGAAGTTGCTTGAAAAGACTTACAGACTTGTATTAGGTGATTTGGGGGAGGCTTCAAGGAAGTGGTCTTTACCCTGGATTTGATGCTCTCAGGATGGAAGGTAATTCTACGATTGGTTTTTATTTTATTTTATTTTTTAATTTTTTCATCCATAGTAAGGTTTTATTCAGTGATTTTTTTCCTTTTTTAAAAAATTTAAGTTCTAGGGTACATGTGCACAACGTGCAGGTTTGTTCAATTCCCACCTGTGAGTGAGAACATGCACTGTTTGGTTTTCTGTCGTTGTGATAGTTTGCTGAGAATGATGGTTTCCAACTTCATCCATGTCCCTGCAAAGGACATGAACTCATCCATTTTTTATGGCTGCATAGTATTCCATAGTGTATATGTGCCACATTTTCTTAATCCAGTCTGTCATTGATGGACATTTGGTTGGTTCCAAGTCTTTGCTATTGTGATTAGTGCTGCAATAAACATATGTGTGCATGTATCTTTATAGCAGCATGATTTATAATCCTTTGGGTATATACCCAGTAATGGGATTGCTGGGTCAAATGGTATTTCTAGTTCTAGATTCTTGAGGAATCGCCACACTGACTTCCACAATGGTTGAACTAATTTACACTCCCACTGACGGTGTAAAAGCGTTCCTATTTCTCCACATCCTCTCCAATATCTGTTGTTTCCTGACTTTTTAATGATCAGCATTCTAACTGGCATGAGATGGTATCTCATTGTGGTTTTGATTTGCATTTCTCTCATGATCAGTGATGATGAGCATTTTTTCATGTATCTGTTGGCTGCATAAATGTCTTTTTTGAGAAGTGTCTGTTAATATCCTTTGCCCACTTTTTGATGGGGTTGTTTTTTTCTTGTAAATTTGTTTAAGTTCCTTGTAGATTCTGGATATTAGGCCTTTGTCAGATGGGTAGATTGCAAAAATTGTCTCCCATTCTGTAGGCTGCCTGTTCACTCTGATGGTAGTTTGTTTTGCCATGCAGAAACTATTTAGTTTAATTAGATCCCATTTGTCAATTTTGGCTTTTGTTGCCATTTCTTTTGGTTTTTTAGTCATGAAGTCCTTGCCCATGCCTGTGTCCTGAATGGTATTGCCTAGGTTTTCTTCTAGGGTTTTTATGGCTTTAGGTCTAACACTTAAGTCCTTAATCCATTTTGAATTAATTTTTGTATAAGGTGTAAGGAAGGGATCCAATTTCAGCTTTCTACATATAGCTAGCCAGTTTTCCCAACACTATTTATTAAATAGGGAATCGTTTCCCCATTTCTTGTTTTTGTCAGGTTTGTCAAAGATCAGATGGTTGTAGATGTGCGGTGTTATTTCTGAGGCCTCTGTTCTATTCCATTGGTCTATATGTCTGTTTTGGTACCAGTACCATGCTGTTTTGGTTACTGTAGCCTTGTAGTATAGTGTGAAGTCAGGTAGCGTGACGCCTCCAGCTTTGTTCTTTTTGCTTAGGATTGTCTTGGCAATGTGGGCTCTTTTTTGGTTCCATATGATCTTTAAAGTAGTTTTTTCCAATTCTTTGAAGAAAGTCATTGGTAGCTTGATGGGGATGGCATTGAATCTATAAATTACCTTGGGTCGTATGGCTGTTTTCACGATATTGATTCTTCGCATCCATGAACATAGAATGTTCTTCCATTTGTTTGTGACCTCCTTTATTTCATGGAGCAGTGGTTTGTAGTTCTCCTTGAAGAGGTCCTTCACATCCCTAGTAAGTTGGATTCCTAGGTATTTATTATCTTTGAAGCAATTGTGAATGGGAGTTCACTCATGATTTGGCTGTTTGTCTATTATTGATGCATAGGAATGCTTGTGATTTTTGCACATTGATTTTGTATCCTGAGACTTTGCTGAAGTTGTGGATCAGCTTAAGGAGATTTTGGGCTGAGATGATGGGGTTTTCTAAATATACAATCATGTCATCTGCAAACAGGGACAATTTGACTTCCTCTTTTCCTAATTGAATATCTTTTATTTCTTTCCCTTTCCTGATTGCCCCAGGCAGAACTTCCAACACTATGTTGAATAGGAGTGGTGAGAGAGGGCATCCCTGTCTTGTGTCAGTTTTCAAAAGGAATGCTTCCAGTTTTTGCCCATTCAGTATGATACTGGCTGTGGGTTTGTCATAAGTAGCTCTTATTATTTTGAGATATGTTCCATCAATACCTAGCTTGTTGAAAGTTTTTAGCATGACAGGCTGTTGAATTTTGTCAAAGGCCTTTTCTGCATCTATTGAGATAATCATGTGGTTTTTGTCGTTGGTTCTGTTTATGTGATGGATTACATTTATTGATTTGCATATGTTGAACCAGCCTTGCTGGGGATGAAGCCAACTTGATCATGGTGGATAAGCTTTTTGATGTGCTGCTGGATTCAGTTTGCCAGTATTTTATGGAGGATTTTCGCATCGATGTTCATCAGGGATATTGGTCTAAAATTCTCTTTTTTTGTTGTGTCTCTGCCAGGCTTTGGTATCAGGATGATGCTGGCCTCATAAAATGAGTTAGGGAGGATTCCCTCTTTTTCTGTTGATTGGAATAGTTTCAGGAGGATTGGTACCAGTTCCTCTTTATACCTCTGGTAGAATTCAGTTGTGAATCCATTTGGTCCTGGACTTTTTTTTGGTTGGTAGGCTATTAATTATTGTCTCAATTTCAGAGCCTGTTATTCGTCTATTCAGAGATTCAACTTCTTTTTGGTTTAGTCTTGGGTGGGTGTATGTGTCCAGGAATTTATCCATTTCTTCTAGATTTTCTAGTTTATTTGCCTAGAGGTGTTTATAGTATTCTCTGATGGTAGTTTGTATTTCTGTGGGATCGGTGATGATATCCCCTTTATCATTTTTTTATTGCGTCTATTTGATTCGTCTCTATTTTCTTCTTTATTAGTCTTGCTCGTGGTCTATTGATTTTCTTCAACTTTTCAAAAAACTAGCTCCTGGATTCACTGATTTTTTTGAAGGGTTTTTTGTGTCTCTATCTCCTTCAGTTCTGCTCTGAACTTAGTTATTTCTTGCCTTCTGCTAGCTTTTGAATGTGTTTGCTCTTGCTTCTCTAGTTCTTTTAATTGTGATGTCAGGGTGCTGATTTTAGATCTTTCCTGCTTTCTCTTATGGGCATTTAGTGCTATAAATTTCCGTCTACACACTGCTTTAAATGTGTCCCAGAGATTCTGGTATGTTGTGTCTCTGTTCTCACTGATTTCAAAGAACATCTTTATTTCTGCCTTCATTTCGTTACTTACCCAGTAGTCATTCAGGAGCAGGTTGTTCAGTTTCCATGTAGTTGTGCGGTTTTGAATGAGTTTCTTAATCCTGAGTTCCAGTTTGATTGCCCTGTGATCTGAGAGACAGTTTGTTGTGATTTCTGTTCTTTTACATTTACTGAGGAGTGCTTTACTTCCAATTATGTGGTCAATTTTAGAATAAGTGTGATGTGGTGCTGAGAAGAATATATATTCTGTTGATTTAGGGTGGAGAGTTCTGTAGATGTCTGTTAGGTCTGCTTGGTGCAGAGCTGAGTTCAAGTCCTGGATATGCTTGTTAACCTTCTGCCTCATTGATTGGTCTAATATTGACAGTGGGGTGTTAAAGTCTCCCATCATTATTGTGTGGGAGTCTAAGTCTCTTTGTAGGTCTCTAAGGACTTGCTTTATGAATCTGGGTGCTCCTGTATTGGGTGCATATGTATTTAGGATAGTTAGCTTTTCTTGTTGAATTGATCCCTTTACCATTATGTAATGGCCTTCTTTGTCTCTTTGGATCTTTGTTGGTTTAAAGTTTGTTTTATCAGAGACTGGGATTGCAACCCCTCCTTTTTTTTGTTTTCCATTTGCTTGGTAGATCTTCCTCCATCCCTTTATTTTGAGCCTATGTGTGTCTCTGCATGTGAGATGGGTTTCCTGAATACAGTACACTGATGGGTCTTGACTCTTTATCCGATTTGCCAGTCTGTGTATTTTAATTGGTACATTTAGCCCATTTACATTTAAGGTTAATATTGTTATGTGTGAATTTGATCCTGTCATTATGATGTTAGCTGGTTATTTTGCCCATTAATTGATGTAGTTTCTTCCTAGCATTGGTAGTCTTTACAATTTGGCATGTTTTTGCAGTGGCTGGTTCCAGTTGTTCCTTTCCATGTTTAGTGCTTCCTTCAGGATCTCTTGTAAGGCAGGCCTGGTGGTGACAAAATTTCTCAGCATTTGCTTGTCTGTAAAGGATTTTATTTCTCCTTCAGTTATGAAGCTAGTTTGGCTGGATATGAAATTCTGGGTAGAAAATTCTTTGCTTTAAGGATGTTGAATATTGGCCCCCACTGTCTTCTGGCTTGCAATGTTTCTGCTGAGAGATCTGCTGTTAGTCTGATGGGCTTCCCTTTGTGGGTAACCTGACCTTTCTCTCTGGCTGCCCTTAACATTTTTTCCTTCATTTCAACCTTGGTGAATCTGACAATTATGTGTCTCGGGGTAGTTCTTCTCGAGTAGTATCTTTGTGGTGTTCTCTATGTTTCCTGAATTCCAATGTTGGCCTGCCTTACTAGGTTAGGGAAGTTCTCCTGGATAATATCCTGCAGAGTGTTTTCCAACTGGGTTCCATTCTCTCTGTCACTTTCAGGTACACCAATCAAACGTAGATTTGGTCTTTTCACATAGTCCCATATTTCTTGGAGGCTTTGTTCATTTCTGTTTACTCTTTTTTCTCTAAACTTGTTGTCTTGCTTTATTTCATTAATTTGATCTTCAGTCACTGATACCCTTTCTTCCACTTGATTGAATTGGCTATTGAAGCTTGTGCATGCATCACGAAGTTCTCGTGCCATGGTTTTCAGCTCCATCAGGTCATTTAAGGACTTCTTTACACTGTTTATTCTAGTTAGCCATTCGTCTAATCTTTTTTCAAGGTTTTTAGCTTCCTTGTGATGGGTTAGAACATGTCCTTTAGCTCAGAGAAGTTTCTTATTACCGACCTTCGGAAGCCTACTTCTGTCAACTCATCAAAGTCATTCACCATCCAGCTTTGTTCCATTGCTGGCAAGGAGCTGCTATCCTTTGGAAGAGAAGAGGTGCTCTGGTTTTTAGAATTTTCAGCTTTTCTGCTCTAGTTTCTCCCCATCTTTATGGTTTTATCTACCTTTGGTCTTTGATGTTGGTGACCTACAAATGAGATTTTGGTGTGGATGTCCTTTTTGTTGATGTTGATGCTATTCCTTTCTGTTTGTTAGTTTTCCTTGTAACAGTCAGGTCCCTCAGCTGCAGGTCTGTTGGAGTTTTCTGGAGGTCCACTCCAGACCCTGTTTTTTGGGTATCACCAGCGGAGGCTGCAGAAGAGCAAATATTGCAAAACAGGCAATATTGCTGCCTGATCCTTCCTCTGGAAGCTTTGTCCCAGAGGGGTACCTGGCTGTATGAGGTGTTTCTCGGCCCCTACTGGGAGGTGTCTCCCAGTTAGGCTACAAGGGCCACTTGAGGAGGCAGTCTCTCCATTCTCAGAGCTCAAATGCCGTGCTGGGAGAACCACTGCTCTCTTCAGAGCTGTCAGACAGGGCCATTTAAGTCTGCAGAAGTTTCTGCTGCCTTTTGTTCAGTTATGCCCTGCTCACAGAGGTGGAGTCTATAGAGGCAGTAGGCCTTGCTGAGCTGTGGTGGACTCTGCCCAGTTCAAGCTTCCCGGCCGCTTTGTTTACCTACTCAAGCCTCAGCAATAGCAGGCGCCCTTCCCCTCCACCAGCTGCAGCCATGCAGGTCCATCTCAGACTGCTGCACTAGCAGTAAGCAAGGCTCCATGGGCATGGGACCTGCCGAGCCAGGTACAGGGGAAGATCTCCTACTCTGCTGGTTGCTAAGACCTTGGGAAAAGTGCGGTATTGGGGTGGAAGTGTCCCGTTTTTCCAGGTGCAGTCTGTCAGGACTTCCCTTGGGTAGGAAAGGGAAATCCCCTGACCACTTGTGTTTCCTGACTGAGGTGACGCCCCACCCTGCTTTGGCTCGCCCTTCATGGGCTGCACCCACTGTCCAACCAGTCCTGATGAGATGAACCGGGTACCTCAGTGGGAAATGCAGAAATCACCCATCTTCTGTGTCAATCACGCTAGGAGCTGCAGACCAAAGCTATTCCTACTTGGCCATCTTGGAATGACTGGTTATTTTATTAATTCCTATCTAGAAGGCAAGTAGAACAAAGGGTAGCATTAGTAATTACTTGTATTAGCCAGGAAAGGATGTTGTTTGGTCTTTTAAATTAATTATTATTATTATTGGAGAATATACTTTTATCTTTCTCAGGCATGAGTGTAGACTGGTCTTATCTTCGTCTTGCTCTTTCATGGTTATTTTCTCATCATGGTCTTTCTTAATGTTAGTGTTCTGTGAAATCATTTTACAGGAAAGTATCACAACCTAGCTATGCATACTGGGCACTTCTTACCAATGCCAAGCTTTGGCTAATAGACGCAGACCAGTCCCTTGCTGTCAACACCTCTCTTTCTCTTTCTCAGCCTTAATGGAAGTTCTTCACAAACTGTGATGTGACGTAATTTCCATGCAGTTTTGCTGGGGCAGTAGTTTATTGTTGATGTTAATGGGCTTTAGAATCTATTACATTTGGGTTTTGAACTCCAGCTTTGCCACTTGTTAAATGTCTTATTAACTACATTATATTCTCTCAGGCTATTCTAGCCCATGTAAATGGTGATCATGGTCCTTATAGAAGCCTTATGTATAATAGTAATATTGCTATAATAGAATATTGCTATAATAGAGTACATACATAATTCCTATAATAGGATACATAAAGTACCTGGAAGATCCTTTAATCCCTAAAAAGTAAAAACACAATATATGTTCTCTTTCCATCCTTTTATTTCTCAGTTTTGTTAAGAACATTCTCCTCAAAGACCATTGTCCATAAAGACCCTACCTGCACCCGAAGGGCTATGAATACACCTCCCCCACCCATCCAAAAATTTGAGTGAATGTGCTCTCCTGTCCACACCACCACCAGCCCCATTCATCTTCCCCTCTGTCTTGCTCTTACGGCTGGTTTTCACTCTGATACATAGTTGGAAGGCTGAGATCTTTTTTTTCCCTTAACTCAGATTTGTGCTACATATGAAATGTTTTGGATCGTATTTTTTTCTTTTTCTTTTTCCTTTTTTTAAAAAATTTATTTATTTATTATTATTATACTTTAAGTTTTAGGGTACATGTGCACAATGTGCAGGTTAGTTACATATGTATACATGTGCCATGCTGGTGTGCTGCACCCACTAACTCGTCATCTAGCATTAGTTATATCTCCCAATGCTATCCCTCCCCGCTCCCCCCCCCCGCTCCCCCCTACCCCACAACAGTCCCCAGAGTGTGATGTTCCCCTTCCTGTGTCCATGTGTTCTCATTGTTCAATTCCCACCTATGAGTGAGAATATGCGGTGTTTGGTTTTTTGTTCTTGCAATAGTTTACTGAGAATGATGATTTCCAATTTCACCCATGTCCCTACAAAGGACATGAACTCATCATTTTTTATGGCTGCATAGTATTCCATGGTACATATGTGGCACATTTTCTTAATCCAGTCTATCATTGTTGGACATTTGGGTTGGTTCCAAGTCTTTGCTATTGTGAATAATGCCGCAATAAACATACGTGTGCATGTGTCTTTATAGCAGCATGATTTATAGTGTTTTGGGTATATACCCAGTAATGGGATGGCTGGGTCAAATGGTATTTCTAGTTCTAGATCCCTGAGGAATCGCCACACTGACTTCCACAATGGTTGAACTAGTTGACAGTCCCACCAACAGTGTGAAAGTGTTCCTATTTCTCCACATCCTCTCCAGCACCTGTTGTTTCCTGGCTTTTTAATGATTGCCTTTCTAACTGGCGTGAGATGGTATCTCTTTGTGGTTTTGATTTGCATTTCTCTGATGCCAGTGATGGTGAGCATTTTTTCACGTGTTTTTTGGCTGCATAAATGTCTTCTTTTGAGAAGTGTCTGTTCATGTCCTTTGCCCACTTTTTGATGGGGTTGTTTGTTTTTTTCTTGTAAATTTGTTTGAGTTCATTGTAGATTCTGGATATTAGCCCTTTGTCAGATGAGTAGGTTGCGAAAATTTTCTCCCATTTTGTAGGTTGCCTGTTCACTCTGATGGTAGTTTCTTTCGCTGTGCAGAAGCTCTTTAGTTTAATTAGATCCCATTTGTCAATTTTGGCTTTTGTTGCCATTGCTTTTGGTGTTTTAGACATGAAGTCCTTGCCCATGCCTATGTCCTGAATGGTAATGCCTAGGTTTTCTTCTAGGGTTTTTATGGTTTTAGGCCTAACGTTTAAGTCTTTAATCTATCTTGAATTGATTTTTGTATAAGGTGTAAGGAAGGGATCCAGTTTCAGCTTTCTACATATGGCTAGCCAGTTTTCCCAGCACCATTTATTAAATAGGGAATCTTTTCCCCATTGCTTGTTTTTCTCAGGTGTGTCAAAGATCAGATAGTTGTAGATATGTGGCGTTATTTCTGAGGGCTCTGTTCTGTTCCATTGATCCATATCTCTGTTTTGGTACCAGTACCATGCTGTTTTGGTTACTGTAGCCTTGTAGTATAGTTTGAAGTCAGGTAGTCTTTTTCTTTAGAAAGCTGGTAATAATTAATCCTGTACTTGAAACAATGGAAAAATTGATAGAAATTTTAGAAGCTGCAAAAACCCAAATAGAGTCTACAGTGTTCTCTCAAAATAATGAAATTGTGACAATAATGTGTTATATTTAAGTTTAAGCAGCAATTTCTTGGGCATGATTCTGGCTAATAAAAAAAATACAGAAGGGTTTAGAAAAATGGGTGGGATCCTACAGTTGTAGGATGGAATTTAAGAACACAGTTCACACATAGACCAAAGCTGCTCTGATACTTGCTTTAGTTTGGGCTCCCCTCGAAGCAGACACTGAGCAAGAATTTAAGTAGAAGAAATTTACTAGGGAGAGGAAAGAAATACCAGTAGAAGTGTGGGCAGGTGAGATAGAAAAAGGAAGGCAGTTAATAACAGACACGTTTCCAAGGCAGTAACTCCTGTGACCACTGGATGTTAGTCTTGCTTGGGAACTCTGACGGCCAATGTACAACAAACACCTCCATGTGTCTCTCCCGTGAATGAGGAAGTCAGGGTATTTATTCACTAACTCTCCTCAGTCATTGGCTGGGGGATGTTCCCAGTGGGATTTGTTTCCTTGTACTTCTGACTTCCTGCACTTACAGATGGGCAGGTAAATTGGGCTTCAGCAGCTGAAGGAGGTCCTGAGGCAGACCAGGCACAGTGGCTCACGCCTGTAATCCCAACACTTTGAGAGGCCGAGGCAGGTGGATCAGTGGAGATCAGGAGCTCAAGACCAGCCTGGCCAACATTGTGAAACCTCTTCTCTACTAAAAATACAAAAATTAGCCAGGCACGGTGGCGCACACCTGTAATCACAGCTACTCAGGAGGCTGAGGCAGGAGAATTGCTTGAACCCAGGAAGGCGAAGGTTGCAGTGAGCCAAGATCGTGCCACTGCACTACAGCCTGGGGGACAGATCTGGACCCCATCTCAAAACAAACAAACAAAAAAACAAAACAAAAAAAATCCTAAGGCAGAACCCAGTGAGCACTTTAGCGATGAGAATATATGACTGGGCACTCATAGCTACAATGCTGATTGCAATTTAAATTCGAAGTTACATGTGTATGCTGGTCTGAATATTTGCATGCCCTCAAAATTCATATGTTGCAATCTAATCACTAATGTGATAGTAATAGAAGGTGGGGCCTTTTGGGAGATAATTAGGTCATGAGGGCAGAACTATTGTGAATGAGATTAACTTTCTTATAAAATAGGCTCAAGGGAGCTTGTTTGCAGCTTCTACCATGGGAGGACACAGCAAGAAGTCAGTGGTCTGCAGCCCAGGAAAGGGCCTTCGCTAGAGCCTGTCCAATGCTGGCACTCTGATCTTGGGCTTTCAGCCTCCAGGATTGTATAAAATAAGTTTCTGTCACTTATAGGCCACCTGGTCTATGGTGTTATAGTAGTCCAAGCTGACTAAGACAATGTGACTTAATAGACATGTCCTTATTTTTAATGGCAAACGGCTTTCCGAAGTATAGTTTCAGAAAGCAGCATAGATTAGTGAGAAAGACATTAAGATATGAACTCAGACAGGCTTGTTTCCCGTTTCTCATGGTGTCTGTCTTGCTTGACTTCTTTGGGCCCTGGTTCCCTTATTCCTTCCGCAGTCATAAGCAATGATCAAATGAGGTTACCAAACGCAGCATGGGGTAAGATGTTTCGTAGGCACTCAGGAAATTGAAATTCATTTTGCATTTTCTTCTCTATACAGAAAGTTTATTTGGCCCCACTTGCTTTCAGAAATTAGTCGAGAGGAAACTAAAGGAAAAAATGGAGTTTGAAGCAATGATTTTTACCTACCTTGGTTATGATTGTATGGTTGCTACTCCCATCAGCAGTACAGAGAAGACGTCTAGGTGTCTGGAGCTGACGTGCAATGTACCATTGTCTTTCACTGCCACTGGTTCTAACTGCCGTGGAATAGAAGCCAGTGATTGTGTGGGACTTCCTTTGTTCATTAGTATCTTCTGATTATTGAAGTAAAATATATGTTTTTCTACTACTGAAATCTGTTATAATCAGGTGTCCTCAAAGGTAACTTTATACCCATCAAAGCTAGAGAAACTGTTAACTCTGTTTGGCCTTTGCAAATGTTTCTCTCTCTCTTTTTTTTCTTTTTTCTTTTTTTTTTTTGAAACGGAGTCTCACTCTGTCACCCAGGTGCTGGAGTGCAGTGGCACAGTCTCCACTCACTGCAACCTCTGCCTCCTGGGTTCAAGTGATTCTTCAGCCTCAGCCTCCCGAGTAGCTGGAATTACAGGTGCATGCCACCATGCCTAGCTAATTTTTGTGTATTTACTAGAGACGGGGTTTTGCCATGTTGGCCAGGCTGGTCTCAAACTCCTGGTCTCAAGTGATCTGCCTGCCTCGGCCTCCAAAAGTGGTGGGATTACAGGCATGAGCTGCCACACTTGGCCTGCAACTATTTCTTAATGGACATTCGTCTTCTTTGTTTCTATGTCACTTAAGAGATCATGAACTCTTAGCCAAAGATACCTTCTATTACTACTACTATTATTGCTACCAATACTAATAAATACTGTGAGAATGACTAGGACGATGATGCCTATTACTACTTTACTATTACTACTATTACTATTGCTGCTACAAAACGGCTACTACTACTATTATATTATTACTACTTAATGCTACTGCTATTATTGTTGCTGCTGTTGTCACTAGGACTACTACTAGTGATGCTACTGCTGATAGTTTTGCTACCACTTCCAGTTGCTGTAATGTTGTCAATACAGTGCCTGCCTGGGAGATCTTGTAAATAGCATATGCAGTTGTTTCTGTGCTTAGCATATTTATCTTCATGACACTGCCATGAAGCAGGCACTGTTTTTGCTCCATTTTACAGGTAAAATCCTAAGGCTGAGAGATGTAAACTAACTCGTCTACTGCCAAGAGTTACAATTATAATTTGATTTTAGATCTGCTGGACACCCATGCTTAGCTCCTACCTACTACCCTCTGTGGTTCTTTTTGAACACTCCCTCCCATGTTTAATTTTTTTGCAGAAGGTCAGGCTGCATGAGTGTGACACAGGAGGACTGAGTATACTAAGACGGACGCTGGTGATGTGATTCCATAAAATTTTAAACTCAGTTAACAAAGCAACATGGGAATAAGTAGACCACACAGCTTAAAAGTGTGATGTGGGCCATGCACGGTGGCTCATGACTGTAATCCTAGCACTTTGGGAGGCCAAGGCAGGCGGATCACAAGGTCAGGAGATTGAGACCATCCTGGCCAACATGGGGAAACTCCATCTCTACTAAAAATACAAAAATTAACTGGGCATGGTGGCACATGCCTGTAGTCCCAGCTACTTGGGAGGCTGAGGCAGGAGAATCACTTGAACCCAGGAGGCAGTGGTTCCAGTGAGCTGAGATTGTACCACTGCACTCCAGTCTGGCCACAGAGTGAGACTTGTCTCAAAAAAAAAAAAAAATAGAGTCACAATCATAATTTGATTTTAGATCTACTTGACACCCATGTTTAGCTCCTACCTACTACTGTCTATGGTTCTTTTTGAACACTCCCTCCCATATTTCATTTCTTCGCAGAAGGTCAGGCTGCATGAGTGTAACACAGGATGACTGAGTATACTAAGATGGGTGCTAGTGACGTGATTCCATAAAATTTTATAGTCAGTTAACAAAGCAACATGGGAATAAGGAGACCGCACAGCTTAAAAGCATGATGTGGGTCATGTGCAGTGGCTCACATCTGTAATCCCAGCACTTTGGTAGGCCGAGGCAGACAGATCACAGAGTCAGGAGATTGAGACCATCCTGGCCAACAAGGAGAAACCCCGTCTCTACTAAAAATAAAAAAAATTATCTGGGTGTGGTGGCACCACCTGTAGTCCCAGCTACTTGGAAGGCTGAGGCAGCAGAATTGCTTGAACCTGGGAGGTGGAGGTTGCAGTGAGCTGAGATTGCACTGCTGCACTCCAGTCTGGTGACAGAGCAAGACTCCATCTCAAATAAACAAAAAAAATGATAAAACATGATGTATGCATAACACTGTATTTCCTTGGACAAATCTCCTAACCTCTCTGAACCTCAGGTTTCCAGATCTATCATGTTAAAATAACAGTAATACCTCATTTCCAGAGTTGTTCTGAGGATTGGGAGGATGGTCTCTTTGTAAAAGCCTTTTGTAAATTGTAAGCATTTTCAATCATAAGTTATTATTACTCTAACAAATTTGGAGGCCGTGTGATGACTAGACAAAGAAGACAAGTAAAGCTAATAAATGAATGCAATTAAGCAGTAGTTTAAAACCAATTATTTTATTTTTGCCACTTTGTTTATTGTTACAAGGCCAATTGTCACATGAAAAATATTCAGGGAAACTGTCATTTGACATTCCTGGTGGTCATGTGTAGAGTGAGGATGACTAAATGAGGCAGAAGAAGTGCTGCATCTTTGTTTCCAATTCCTGACTTCTCTCATTCCACGTTTCACTGGGGTGAGGTTGTCTAGGCTCATCCAATACTCTATTCTACTGGTTTCTTCCTACTTTGGGGAAGGGAATAAGGCTCAGGGTTGGGCTTTGACTCTTTCCTTTCCCCAACCTCCTTGTATTGAAGACTTTTAATGCTTAAGAAAGATCAGGAAGGGTCAGAGTCAAAGCTCCCGGTATTTCTCTTGCTTTTCATAACTAGTCATGATTCATTGAATGAATAAATAAATAGGTCTCAGGTTTTTCCTTTAAGAAGGGACTTAATTACCTCTTTGTTCCACTATTAAACAACCTTATATTACCTGGTTAAGTGCATATATAGCATCTAAAGAGTGTATAATATAGTCATTTATTTCAAGTTCATTTGTTTTTGTTGTTGTTATTTGAGACAGGGTCTCACTTTGTTGCCCAGGCTAGAGTGCAGTGGTGCAATCTTGGTTCACTGCTATCTCCGCCTCCCAGATTCAAGCGATTCTCATGCCTCCGACTCCCAAGTAGCTGGGATTACAGACGCCCGCCACCACACTGAGTTAATTTATTTTTGTATTTTTAGTAGAGACATGTTTTCTCTGTGTTTGCCAAGCTGGTCTTGAACTCCTGGCCTCATGTGATCTGCCCGCCTCAGCCTCCCAAAGTGCTGGAATTACAAGCCTGAGCCACAGTGCCTGGCCTTATTTTAAGTTCAGATCCTATCCTCTATTACAGAATCTTTGTTGTGACAGGTGAAAGAATGGCTCCTGCACTGTCTTCAATGGTCCCAACCCCACCCTTCAATGGAAATGCATCACATGACATGGATTTCAGCACTGACCGTCTTTTCCCGATAGTCAGTAGAGAAACTATTCCAAAATATCCTAACTACTCTCTTCCTTTTACTTCATGGCTACTTGGGCCAGTCAGCCTCTTTGCTCCTCTTCTCAGAGTCCCACTTCTGGATGAGCTATCCGTCATTCTGCTCCACTTTGGATATGGGTCAGTTGGGGTGGGAAGTAAGACCTATGGTCATCTTCATCAAGTGCGGGATCCAACTGGAATGCCAAGACTAACCCTCGCTGAGCACACCTGCTTTTCCTTTTTGAGTGAAAGGAATAATTTGTTTGTTTCTATCTTAGTTATTTGTATTACTTTCTTCACTATTCCTCGAAACTGGATTTTGTCTTTTTTTTTGGTCTTTTTTCTTTTTCTTTTTTTCTTGATATAGGGTCATGCTCTGTCACCAAGACTGGGTTGCAGGTGGTGCCCTCACAGCTCACTGCAGCCTTGACTTCCCAGGCTCAAGCAATCTTCCTACCTCAGTCTCCTGAGTAGCTGGGACTACAGGCATACACCACCATATCCAGCTAATTTTTGTATTTTTTGTAGAGATGGAATCTTGAAATGTTGCCCAGGCTGGTTTTGAACTCCTGGCCTCAAGCAATCCTTTCATCTTGGCCTCCAAAGTGTTGGGATTACACGTTTGAGCCACCATGCCTGGCCCTAGATTGTATCTAATGAAAAATGCATGTTGAAGTTTGAAGAAGTTTAGTAACTAGAACATAGTATTTGAAAATTATTTGCTCAATGAAGAAACAACAGTGTAGATGAAATCTTAGTAGTGAAGGTTCAGAACTCCAGCAATTTCCATAAAGAGGAAGCTTTTCATCCTGTGTTTCCATCCCTGGTAATGAATTTATCAACCCAAGTCATCTTAGTAATGTTTGAGTAATTTTGTATTTTGCTGAATTCAAATCATGATTGAGTAAAATGAAGAAGCAATACCAACTTTCTTAACATAGTATAGCTGGCCACATTATTCTTAGAACAGATGTATTTCTGTTTGACATGATAATGTATGGCTATGGGTCATATTTGGAGATTTAAATTTGTTTTCTGATTCCCGTCTACAGAAAGTGATCCATCAATAAATGGAGTTTGGCCACCACAAAAATGTTCTTTATGGAGTTCAGAGGCAGAAACTATACATCCAGGAGTGAATTGACAATGATCTCATATGACAGATGGACTTAGGTGTGTATTATATCCAGCCCTGAGATCCTTTTAATATGTTTTTTCTGTGTCATAGAAAGGTAGGCCCTGATCTTTCACCATCCCATTGTGTTCTATGTGTATCCAATCAAGCAGATATTTAATCATCGAACTAGAATTTTACGTTAAATTGTTGGGGCTCTGGCTTTTTTTCAAAAAAATCTGAAATGCAACATGCCTCAGTGTAATTAGGTAAAATCAGATGTTCTAAAGAATGTTTTTACTTCCATGTATGTGTACAAACAATTTGTAGCTTAATTTACAAATATATCAACTTCTTAGCTAAGACATAATTATGTTCTTGGATCTTCTGATATAAAAAGTTAAATCTTTACAGAGAAAGCTAAGAAGATACATGAGCACCTTTAGAATAATGATTAATAAACAAGACATTTGACAAAATGTTGGTTAAAGGCATTAAAATCACTCCCTTATTCCTGAAGTTTCAGATCTGGGAGATTCCAGTTTTGAAAAGAAGTATATAAACTTGACATCTGAGGGGATGTGTATATGAAAGACCCACAAAAATGTCTATTGAGTTCTTTCTTCTTCATCAGAATTAAGTCCACAGATGAACAAGCTAAGCTTTGTGTGGGGTCCTGAGATAACCTTCATCATGATTTTACAGCTAACAGGCAAAACTGGTCATGCACTTGTGCAATTTTCCCGTTTGTTTATGTAAATTCAGCCACACATTCAAATGCTGTCCTCTGTTCCATCACCTTGGTTCTCTTAGCTTCTGCTTCCTGCAAACTAAATAGCCAAGTGTCTTCGTGTGTGCAGCTACTACGTGATACTTTGCCTTTCATTCTCAACATTTTACTCACCCAGCTCCCTCATCCCTGAATAATATCTCTACCCCTCTGTTGAGCTGTAAATCACAGATGGAGTAGTTAAAAGAACACAAAATGTAACACAAGGCACTTCTCTCCCCCGGCTACCAATTTGTCTTGCACTTTATTAGGAGGCACTGTGATGGGAAATGCTCTAAGATATTGCTGAGGTTTGGGGAGTTTGCTACAGGATGCTGAAGGGCCTGCCTGCCAAGAAATGGACCAGAGAAATAAGTGCAATTTTATGACTTGGCTCTGTTGAGAATTTAAAGCAGGGGGACTTTCTGAAAGTTCTGCATATTTCAGCAGGTACGAATTTGGCTTCCAGTTACGATGAAAATTATGAGATGCTTGGGGTTTTAGCAACCTTCTAGCCCAGGCATGGCTTTCTTAAATGGTGATTTTCCCAGCTCTGGCTAAGTATGACCAATAATGAGAACTCATTATGTCTCAAAACATTCTGAATGAGAATAGTGTGGGCTAGTCTTTGCTAGTAATGATTATAGTAATAATAGAATAATAACTAACATTTATAGAGTGGGTTTTTAAAACATCTGTCAGACCAATTCCCTAAGCATTTTGCTTTGTGTAAATTATTTGTACACTGAGAAAGGCACTAATAGTATTTCCACTTTACAGAGAAGCAAATAGAAGCTCACTGAAATCAATGTACTTACCCAAGGTCACACAAGGTTAGATTTCTGAGCCTAGTCTCTTAACTATATTCCCCCGCATGAGCCGAACTTCCCCCTATATATTCTCCCATGTGAGCCAGACTTCCCCATCTTGTCATGCTCTCACATCAGTCCTGTATCTCTGCTCTGGAGCTACATGGAGCATACCTATCCATCTCTTTTCCTACTTGCATCCTGATATGGTCTGGATGTTTGTGTTTGTGTTTCCTCAAAAGTCATAGGTTGAAGTCCCAATCACCAAGGTGATGGTCTTAGGTGTTGGGTCCTTTTGGGAGATAATTAGGTCATAAGGTTAGTGCCCTTATAAAAGAGGCTCCAGAGGGTTGCCCCATTCCTTCCACCATGTGAGGACACAGCAAGAAGGCGCTGTCTGTGAAACAGGAAACAGGCCCTAACTATTCACTAAATCTGCTGGCACCTTGATCTTGGACTTCCCAGCCTCCAGAGCAGTGGGAAATTAATTTCTGTGTTTATAAGTTACTTTATGGTATTTTGTTATAGCAGCCTGAACACGGTGAGACACATTTATTCTGAAACATTTATAAAACAGGCCTATGCTGTAACCCCTTTACACAGAGTGTCTAGTTTAACAAATTTGGCTATCCTGTGAAATAGGTATTGATACTTTCATGTTGCAGAAAAATAACTTACACTACTTTCTGTAATCCCATTCCTGGTCAAAGATGACCAGTGGCTCTTTTGACCCAAACTTCACTTAATCTAAGGGACGGACTATTCTTGGTGTATTAGCAAATATTCATTCTCGGCTGGGCACGGTGGCTCACGACTGTAATCCCAGCACATCACTTTGGGAGGCAAAGGCAGGCGAATCACTTGAGATCAGGAGTTCAAGAGCAGCCTGGCCAACATGGCAAAACCCCGTTTCTACTAAAAATACAAAAATTAGCTGGGCATGGTGGCTCGTCTGTAATCCCAGCTATTTGGGAGGCTGAGGCACAATAATCGCTTGAACCTGGAGGCAATGGTTGTAGTGAGCTGAGATCACACCACTGCTCTTCAGCCAGGGCGACAGAGGAGACTGTCTCAAAAAAAAAAATTTCTCATATCCCCATTTCTTAAACATTGTATTTATTGTCTGGACAACATATGAAAAGACCTTGGCTAATCATCTCAGAGTTGATTGATTAATTTTTTTCATGCACTTTGTATCTTATGCATTTGGCACTTAATATGCAAAGATATCCTTTTGCCAAGAACCAGATATGGAAGACATAGGTAACACCTGATTCCTTTCTACGCCGTGGTGTGTAATATCCCGATGTGTCAAATCAATGTATTTCAAGGAATGCAAATCAGGTTGTCCAGAGGTATCTTGGATTAGGGGGAAAAATGAAAATACTGGAGTCTGTTTTCTACCTCTGTCTCCTCTTCATCACTCCTAGAAGTTCATTTTGAGCTTTGCTGCTGAATCGCTCACATTCTGCCGGTTCTCCTCTCTAGCAATGAAGTATCTGTACAAGTTTCAGGTCAGTGTTGAGAGGTAGTAAGTCATTTTTCCTACTGCTTTTCTTGGATTTCCCCAGCAGGCCAAATGAGAGGAATTTCCCCAGAATGCATAATTTATAGTTCTCTCATAGACGATGGATTTACAGTTTCGTGGTGAAAATGGAACACTCATCCCAGCTACCATTTGTTTGGCGGTTGCACTTTGGAAAAAAGACGTGTGTGTAAAATCATTGTAAGCTTATATTTAGCCTACTTTGAGTTTCAGGGATTACAAACTGCCTATATAACAATTATAATATTGAATTAATAAGCTGCTAATATTTTAAATATTTTGATAACTCCTTTACTATGTTAAAAGGAAACTATTCAAGCATGGAGAGTCTATTGTTTCTCTTTTCATAGGACATAATAATAAAAAATATTTCTGAGAATATATTTTGATCTTAAAGTTTAAAAAGCTTATGTAGACATTTCAGATTTTCCCCTTCGATGTTTCTTGTCATTAATTGAGTTATGTTAATTTTTCTGTACTCTTCATGAGATCAGGGGAGCAATCTAAATATTCCCTAGTATATCATGAATCCTACACATAGTGGGTAATTTATCATCTGATATTCAAAGATATTAAGAATAAGTGCATCCTGAATTAAAAAGTTACCTGTAAACTGAATCTGAATTTCAATATGTTGGCATTTATTTTTCTATTTATTCCCTACATAAAATGAGGAATATCTCTTAGCAAAATATTAGGACATCCTTTCCCACACCACCACCCAGACCTGATAGGCAGAGCATCCCATAAGGCTGGAAGTGGCTCATCCTGTATGGTGCTAAATTATCTTGTGTCAATGGGAAAAGCAATCTATATTCCTTCCTTTCTCCTGCCATCCTAAGGGCAGTTATTCTAAGCTAGGGTTTCTCAACCACAGCGCTGTTGACATTATGGGCCAGATCACTCTTTGTTGAAGGGACTGTCCTGTGATTGTAGGATGTTCAGTGGTATCCCTCACCTCTACCCACTAGATGCCAATAGCACCCCACTCCCCAGTTGTGACAATCAAAATGTCCCCAGACATTGAAAAATGCCCCCACAGGTCCAAAATCACCCTTGGCTGAGAACGACTAGTCTAAGCTCTTGTTTTTCTCCACCATTTTGAGTTAGTAGGAACTTGTTAGGGTTGCTGGTAGGTTGGAATTCTGTGGTTAGGGTCTGTGTGTCAATGGTCTTTCTTGTGCATTTGCTGATCAGAGAAGGCAGTGTGCTATAGTGGAAACAGTACTGTCTTTGGAGTAGGTGTCATCATATTTTAATTACAGTCTCCAGCAGCTTTCTTGACCTTTCTGAGACTATATTTCCTTTTCTGTAACTAGAGATAATAACCACTGCCCTCTGATATATTTTCCTTATAGTCTACAGTAAATATGAAATAAAATAATGCAAGTGAAAGGATTTTGCACACTCTAAGAGGTTGTACAAAGGATTCCTTGTTGAGCAATATAATGTTAGATTGTTTAAGCAAATTAGATGACGACAATATACTCATTGCTTTGCACAATGTCTCGTCTATTCTGGCAAGGTCATGTAGAAATTGTTTTCATGCCCAAATTATCCTATAGCTTTACTGTAACTCAGAAACAAACGTGTAGATGTGCATGTATATGACTTGGTTAACACATAACTTTGATGACTATTTTGAAAACTGGGGGAAAAAAGTATTGGCAAAGCCTGAATTTGATGACTCTAGCAATACCTGAAGAGGTCCATGTAAGGAGTCTACAACCAGATGAGTTCCCACAATTGGAACGTGCACCAGCAATGTGACACAAAAGTTCTGGTAAGCTCTTTGTGGACCTCCATTAGGTCATTTATAGATAAAGTCGTTAATGACTTGATTTGGGTTATTTTTTATTACAATGGCCAGCTTTTGAAAAGCTATGGAAGAGATATTACTTCCATTTGCTAAGTTAGGGAACAGATGCTTGGAGAAGCCAAATGTCATGCAGCATGGATTTAGCAGGAACAACTGGGACTTGATACCGAGAGTTCTTACTCCATTGTTGGTCTCTACCCCTGTCCTTTAAAAGAGTTAAAGGGAAATAGCCTTGATTTTTTTCATTCCTAAGTTCATTTAAAGTTGATGGACAACTTACTAAGAAGGAAAGTCTAGCAGTGTGAATCCAAGGTTATTATTTCACATGCCTTTATTGGTTTTGTTTCTTGAAATGCCCTTCTTTCTCATATAAACCTACTAAATTCCTACTCATTCTTCCAAGCCAGTCTTGAACATCACCTAAGATAGGTCATTTCCATCTCTCTTGGCCTCTGACTGCTTGTGCTAATTCCTCTCTCTGACACCTCATGCTGTATTGTGAATTTGAGGGCATTAGGCTCTCTAAAAGGCACTTGGCACAGAGTAAAGAGTCAACAAATAGAAGCATGGAAGGGTTCATGAATACAGAGAAGGAGTGCAATAAATTTTATTCAATTAATTTGATTAAAGTAAATGGGTTGAAGCTAATTGATGGGTGGATACACCAACTATCTTTGATAGAATTTAAGAAGCTGGCTCAGAAAAGCCTTGTAATTTTCATGTTCGTGTGCCTTTAAGAGAACTAGTCAGCTCAACCCAAAGCAACGAGGATGCTAATTAACTCTGATCAGAGAATTTATTTTCAGTACTTTGTAGAGGGATAGAGAATTGTAATGTTTGTAGTGAACAAATTACTTATCTCTTTGAGGCATTCCCACTTGGCCAAGAGCTCTTTGATCATGGGGACGTAAACACATAGGCCATCATGTATTAGTTTTACATATGAAAGCCTTGAGTTCCTTTAATCCTTATGGGACAGCAAGATTTATCAGTGGAAAACAGATCTGAACTCTCCTGACCTCACCTTGACACAGAAATCCTTAATTCGGGTATAACGACAGGCTGGAAAGAGCAAATGCTTTTAACTAACGTCAACACACTCTGGCACTCTTTGTAATTAATCAGGGCAGAAAATTTGCAGACAAGAGAGTACCATAGGCTGCTGCAAGTCATATTCCTGTCTAATCAGCAATAGCACGCACTTTTTCTTCACTCCACTTGGCGTTTCAAAAGGACCATCATTTGAAAATGACAACTGCTATTGTTGGGAATCATTGGAAACTTGGTCAGCCTTTGAAGACCCAGTGTTTATTGTTGCAGGCAAGGAATGGTAATGTGCTTTGGTTTCAGTTAGTTATCCCAAATAATACCCCCCTAGAAACCACTAAATCCAGCCCTCTTACTGTGACAAAGCCCATCTCTATTAAATCTATGTATTATTTTATAACAAGGGAGTGTAAAAGCATGAAAAAAATGATGGTTGAGAATATAAATAAATACAAGCGTAAGATTTGGAGTGCAAAAGTGAATTATTTTATTAGTGCAGTGCGTAAAGGAGGTGACTTCACGTTCCCAGCACATGAGATGACAGTCCCCACTGTAGTGAGAAGCAGTCAGGCTACTGCCAGAATCGTATCTAGGTACTTTTATATTTTTATATAAAAGTATGAGTTGGTAAACACATTAAAAATGACAAAGTGATTAGCATTTTAATGTGAATTGGAACCTTTGAGGATGATCCTCATAGTTTTAATTGAAACTTTTATTTTTAAATCTCTTTCGTTACACAAAACGGAAAACGTGATGAGGCATCGTAGAAAGATTCAAACTGAAAGGAGCCCAGATGTTGGCGTGGAGAAAGTTATTCAACCATTCTGAGCCTCAGGCTCTTCATTTGTTAAATGAGGACCCAAGGGCCTGCTCTGTGGGTTTATTTGGGGATTAAATGAAATTGTGACCATAAAGAGTTAGAATATAGTAAGTGCTTAATCAATGATAGTGACTTTATGTTTTTTATAGCTATGAGATGCTCACTTTTATAAGCTTCTAGGTCAGAGATAGGGACTATGAGAATAAAAAGGAGTGCATAGGCTGGAAATATTAGGAAATGGGTATTGTGAAATTAAATGTCTTCTAAAACATTTCTGTAGAAAGTGATGATATATAAAATATATAACAATTAGTATGACATGGGTACCAGTCAGCATGGATAAAAGCCATACCCCTGGGTTTGGGAATGGGGGCCAGCTGTGCCAACCTTTAACCCTTGGTTGCTGGATCATGCGGCAATGTTGTTTGGTACATCTAGGGCATCTGGAGGCCTTATAGGCTGGGGGAAAGTCCTTGGAAGAAATGGCTGTTGATTATGACATTTGGCTTCCATCACATATGGAAGTATTTAAATAGTTAAATAGGAGGACAGCCATACTAATGCTTCTTAGCCTTGTCTGTAGAGAAACTGGTCATGAAAATACTGCTACCTGGGTGCTTCAGGATCACATGATATGTGCTGTGTACACACAGCTCCATACAGTAGGGCTTATGAAGGGCAGGGCCAGAGCTCCATTCACCTGGGGACATCTACATAGGACTCTCTGCTCAGAATGAGGCCAGCCTCAGATTCAGATCTGATTCTGCCTTACTGTTAAGTAAAACTAGACCTTTCCCAGGTGTATGATTCCTTTATTTGTATGGGATCTTTACAAATCCAGAAACCCAAATGGTTCAGTCTTGTGGCAGCATCACCTTCAGGAATCACAGTTTATCACCCACAGGTATGACTGGCATTGACTGAAACCCATGGCAGAGAACTCAAATATGCAGTCCACATTTATATTTAGTTCTCCTGCTTCTTTTTCCAGTCACTTTCCTCCTATATTTTAGCATCTTTCTCTGAGCAGAGGTTTGATGGTGTCTGTGTGTGCACTGTGTGTGTGTTTGCCCACACACGAATGCATGTGCTATAGGGAAGAATCGGCCTCAACCCTAAGCGTACTCAACATTTAAAAAAAAATTTTTATCTCTTTCCTTTGAGTACTTTATTATTTAACTCAAATTAACCTTCAATGAGCAAGAAAAAGAATACTAGACTGACAATCAAAAACGTTTTGGCTAGTTGGATGGAAAAGAAAGACTAGGCACCTATATGAAAAAATGTTTATTACATATAAAATAAATGATTTGGGTTTAGTGACCACTTAGATATCTTTCAGACCTAACCCTAAGTCAGCTTATCATCCAGATTCTTAAAAATATAATTGAATAAAATAAATGGAGAGATATAATATGTTCATGGATTCAAAAATTCAATATTGAGAACCTCCCCAATTTGGATCTCCCCAAATTGATCTCTAGATTCACTGCAATTGCAATCAAAATCCTGGCAGGAATTTTTTCTTTAAGTCCCAGGATACATGTGCAGGATGTGCTGCAGGTTTGTTACATAGGTAAACATGTCCCATGGTGGCTTGCTGCACCTATCAACACATCACCTCGGTATTGAGCCCAGCATGCTTTAGCTATTTTTCCTGATGCTCTCCCTCCCCCTGCTCTCCCTCCACCCTGCAGGTCCCAGTGTTTGTTGTTCCCCTCCCTATGTCCATGTGTTCTCATTGTTCAGCTCCCACTTATAAGTGAGAACATGCAGTGTTTGGTTTTCTGTTCCTGCATTAGTTTGCTGAGGATGATGGCTTCCAGCTACATCTATGTCCCTGCAAAGGACATGATGTCCTTCCTTTTTTGGTTGCATAGTAATCCACGGAGTATATGTACCACATTTTCTTTACCCAGTCTATCGTTGATGGGCATTTGGGTAGATTCCATGTCTTTGCTATTGCGAATAGTGTTGCAATGAACATGTGAGTGCATGTATCTTTATAACAGAATGATTTATATTCCTTTGGGTATGTACCCAGTAATGGGATTGCTGAGTCAAATGGTATTTCTGGTTCCAGGTCTTTGAGGAAGCTCCACACTGTCTTCCACAATGGTTGAACTAGCTTACATTCCCACCAACAGTATAAAAGTATTCCTAGTTCTCAGCAACCTCACCTGCATCTGTTGTTTCTTGACTTTTTTTAAAATTTTTTTATTTTACTTTAAGTTCTAGGGTACATGTGCACAATGTGCAGGTTTGTTACATATGTATACATGTGCCATGTTGGTGTGCTGCACCCATTAACTTGTCATTTACATCAGGTATATCTCCTAATGCTATCCCTCCCCCTTCCCCACATCCCCCAACAGGCCCCTGTGTGTGATGTTCCCCTTCCTGTGTCCAAGTGTTCTCATTGTTCAATTCCCACCTATGAGTGAAATCATACGTTGTTTGGTTTTTTGTCCTTGCGATAGTTTGCTGAGAATGATGGTTTCCAACTTCATCCATGTCCCTACAAAGGGCATGAACTCATCCTTTTTTATGGCTGCATAGTATTCCATGGTGTATATGTGCCACATTTTCTGAATCCAGTCTATCATTGATGGAAATTTGGGTTGGTTCCAAGTCTTTGCTATTGTGAATAGTGCCACAATAAACATACATGTGCATGTGTCTTTATAGCAGCATGATTTATAATCCTTTGGGTATATACCCAGTAATGGGATGGCTGGGTCAAATGGTATTTCTAGTTCTAGATCCTTGAGGAATCACCACACTGACTTCCAATGGTTGAACTAGTTTACAGTCCCAACAGTGTAAAAGTGTTCCTGTTTCTCCACATGCTCTCCAGCACCTGTTGTTTCCTGCATTCTAACTGGCGTGAGATGGTATCTCATTGTGATTTTGATTTGCATTTCTCTGATGGCCAGTGATGACGAGCATTTTTTCATGTGTCTGTTGGCTGCATAAATGTCTTCTTTTGAGAATGTCTGTTCATATCCTTTGCCCACTTTTTGATGGGGTTGTTTGTTTTTTTCTTGTAAATTTGTTTGAGTTCATTGTAGATTCTGGATATTAGCCCTTTGTCAGATGAGTAGATTGCAAAAATTTTCTCCCATCCTGTAGGTTGCCTGTTCACTCTGATGGTAGTTTCTTTTGCTGTGCAGAAGCTCTTTAGTTTAATTAGATCCCATTTGTCAATTTTGGCTTTTGTTGCCATTGCTTTGTTTCTTGACTTTTTAATAATCAATCACCATTCTGAGTGGCGCGAGATGGTATCTCATTTTGGTTTTGATTCCCAGCAGGAATTCTTTTGGAGAAATTGACAAGTCAACTTTATAATTTTATGGTACAGAAATATAAAATAATCATAATAGTCAAAGCAATTTCAGAAAAGAACAAAGTTGGATGATACGCATTACATAATTTTAAGAACTACTAAGATTTTTATCTGTAGTGATCAAGACAATGTGGTATTAACATAAGCATAGACATATATAGATTAATTAAATAGAATGCTGAATCCAGAAATAGACCCACACAATGGAACTAGGGTAATTCAATGGAGAAAAGATATTCTTTTCAAAAATATAATGAAAAGTACACCATTTGTTATATATCAAAATGAGATTTTAAAAACTTTGATCCTGACCTCACAGCGTATACAAAAATTAATTAGACTAGTAAACTTAAAGGTAAAACCTCAAGCTAGAAGATAGAGCACAGAAAATCTCTGTGACCTGGGTGTAAGCTAAGATTTATTACATATGGTATAACAATCAGAAACCATAAAATCTTTTAAAAGATTAATTGAACTTTATCAGAATTTAAAATGTTTTCTTTTTAAAAGGCACCATTCAGAAAATAAAATGCATTAAGCCACAGACTTGGAAAACGTAATGTGTGTATCTGTCAAAGAATTAAAGACTAGAATATTTAGAAACTCTTACAACTCAATGAGAAAATGAATAACCTAATTTTAAAAAAGGGCAAAATATATGAACTAACACTTCAGAAAAGAAGATATGTGAATGGTTAATAAGCATATGAAAAGCTGCTCAACATTACTGGTCATCAGGAAAATGTGAACTAAAACCAAAATGAGACGTGACAACCCTCCCACTGAATGTGTGATATTAAAAAGACTGACAACAAGAAGTGTTGGCAAAGATGTGAAGCCACTAGAATACTCATGCATTGCTGAAGGGAGTATAAAATGCCACAACCAGTTTTGAAAACTGTTTGGCAGTTTCTTGAAAGGTTAATCATGCACTTAAACAACCCAGCAGTTCTACTCCTAGATCCTTACCCAAGAGAAATAAAAGCAAATGTTCACACAAAGATTTGCATCTTAATGCTCATAGTAGCTTTATTTATAATGCCCCCAAAGTGGAAACAATTCATCAACAGAAGAATGAATAAGTTCATACAATGGAATACTATTCAGAGCAAAAACAGGAATGAAATACTGAGAAATGTTACAACAGGAGCAGAGCTCAGAAACATTGTACTAAGTGGAAGAAGCCTGATGAAAACAGCTACATATTGTACAATTTCATTTATGTGAAGTGTACAGAAAAAGACAAATTTATAGACAGTGAAATCAAATTAGTCGATGGCCTGAAGCTGGAGGTTAAGAGGTGACATAAAAAGGGAATGAGGGAAGATTTTAGAGTGACAAAAATGTTCTGTATCATGATTATAGTGATCCTGACCTACGTGAATAACTCATCAAACTCTGCTTTATTTATTCTGTTCTATTTTATTTTTTTTGGAGCAGGGTCTCCCTTTGTCGGCCAGGCTGGAGTTCAGTGGCGCAATGATGGCTCACTGTAGTCTCCACCTCCCGGGCTCAGAGATCCTCCCACTTCAGCCTATTGAGTAGCTGGGACCACAGGTGCACACCATAACACCCAGCTAATTTTCTGTAGAGAGGAGGTCTCACTATATTGCCTAGGCTTGTCTCAAACTCCTGGGTTCAAGTGATCCTCCTGCCTTGGCCTTCCAAAGTGCTGGGATAAAAGACGTGAGCTGCCGCCCCCAGCCTCTGCTTTTTATTATATGTAATTATATCTCATAAAATTGATCTAAACATTTGAAAAAATAGTGAATGTAGAACACAAAACACACTGTATGCTGTTAAATGAACCAATGTGTATGTTACTTAGCACGTGCCTGTAATATAAATGGTTCTCATTCCTTCTTTGTGATCTATATCTATATCATAAATACGTATATGTAGATATATATTTCAGGTCCTTAAATACTTTCCTATCCAAATAATGGACTCTCAACAGTTTTGTTCTTCCCTTCTTATTTTTGCGTTCCTTCTTCCTTCCCTCCTCCCTCTTCTCTGTCTCTTTTCCTTTCTTCTTCCATTCTGTCTATACTATTTTCTTCTTGACAATTCTATATTATTTTCTGCTTGACAACTAAATGCTGCTAATCTTTGCTAAGGTGTTAACGGCCAACAGTGTGTCAATGTGTGGTTGCTCTCAGGGGTCTCTTGGTGAAGGACTCTTGAGAGAGTCTTTCCATGGCCTTTCTGAGGGATCGGTCCCTAGGGATAGAATTTTTGTCTATACAGTAGACTTCGAAAGAAAGCTGGTGTTAATTAGTCCGGTGTATTATTGGCTGGGGAAATGCTGTAACCATTTATTTAGTAGAAAAACAAACATAAATCTTCAGATAGGCACTGTGTATTAATCAGACAAGTGGAATTTCAAGCTTTATTTCTCATGTTTAGTCTCTATTGCTACACGAGGGAGGGTAGCATCTGTGGAAAGAGTGTCACCTTTTAAGTCCCGCAGACCTCAGTTTGAATAATAATACCACTTGTTAGGTATGTGACAGAGAGCTCCTAACCTTAAATTCTTACTACAGTCTGATGTTTGGAAGTAAGGCACTGAAGAGAGATATGGGCTAGACTAAAGGAAGTTCCCACTCTGAGATAAACAGAGAGGTTTTCAACCACCTAGGTAAAACTAGAAACTATTGTTTGGGACTCTAATTAATCAGGGAACATGTGCTCTTCTAATGAAATAGTATCTGAAATCTGCTTTTATTTTTATTTCTTATTTAACTCTTTAGTAGGCATAGGAATGCAAACACGATCAAAAGTGAATTATAGGTTAGGTAATTGTCTGGTTAGTTGGCTTGGGCTTTAGTTACCTGAACCTACGGCTGGAAGGAAAATTCAAAATATACATTAAAACTTCTCAAACATTGCATTCATAAAGCATCACCTTGTTCTCTTAAAGGCATCTTAACATATACTATTTTGTTTATCACAAAGGCCTAGTGAGGAAGGTGTCTAATGATACCATCCAACTGTGTTTTAAGGGCAAAGGAATAGAAGCCTAGGTATGTGAAGCGGTTGTTCAAGATTCTTAGCTGGTTAGTGAAAAAGGATAGCCCAGAATTCTCATCTTCGATACGGTGCTTTATTATGGAATAATACTATTCATCCCTGGCAAAGTGTGCCTTTTAGTATCATCCCTCATCTTAGTCTTTGTAGTCATGATCTATAGCCCTTTCAGTGGTGGTGTGTTTTACAAACCTAAGTCACGTGATAAATGTCAGATCCTTTTAGCTTCCAAATGCAGAAATATCTTTGTGGAGAGTGTATATCAGAACTTCATGGAGGCAGCCTGATTTATTGAAAACCATTTGGGGTTTGAGAATAGACGGCCCTGGGCCAGCAGACGTGTCTGTTATGATGCTGTTTATTCAGATTATTTTTTGCATGATTTTTATCACCACCAAGTCTCCGTGTCCTCGTTATTCATAATGAGTTCCTATGAGAAATGAAATGACATATGCACAGCTCCTGGTCTGTAGTAATCACCAACAAATAAGGATTCACCTTTTCCTCTTCCTTTCCTATTCCATTTTGGCCAGCCTTCATGTTACAAGGAAAGAAATAGCCAATAGAAAGTGTGATGAAGTCAGCAGAGGAATCAGAAGGAAAACAGAGACCTACTCCTGCCTTCTCTTCTGGTATTTTGCAACAGATCTTTGCAGTTTCTGATGGCTCATTTTTGACCACTGTTGATAGTTTTGAGGAATTTCTTTACACTCAAAAATGTCTTTTAATTCTCAAAGCAGAGGCTGAGGCAAAATTAGGCCACCGGTTTATTTTCAGTTCTTGGTCGGAACGCAGGCTTCGTTCATCCTTGTTTTGTCTGCAGAAACTCTTGCTCTTCTGTTCCCATAAACATCTACATTTAGCTGTTGAATTCTTTCCAGGGAAGGCCTATCAAAATTCTTGAAGGGTCAGAGATGTAAGTGTTAGTTATCTCATGTGCTAGAAGGAGCTTTAGAGATTATATAGCATAATCCTTTCATTTCACAGATGAAGAAACTGCCGCTTGAGAAGGGGAAATGTCTTGTCCAAGTTTACCCAGGGAAAATCCCAGGGTAACCTTTCAGTTCCCCTGAAGCTTCTCCTATAGTCATAGTCATTTTGACATATTAATGAGGAATGAAAATCCCAGAGGTGATGTTGTTGACATAATTGCACAAGCCTTCTAAGTAACTTTGTCAAAATGGGAACATCTCCATAAGAAACAAAACTATTTAGTAGACGTTGTTTAGAGGTAAGAATTTTACTTACTTCAGAGTGATTTCTATGCACAGTTAATTAGCTTAGGAAGCTCTTTGTTTGTAGAGGAATGTCCACGGATGGTCTCCCAGGGGTCTATGACCCCCTGAAATTTAAAACTTCCTGTGTGTTTTCAAATGAGAGGGCTGGGTACATGTTAGAGCCCCCAGAGTCAGCCAAACATAACTTCCCCTTAAAGAGTGTCCTACATGATAACAAAGGAATGACTCCTTGACTATCTTTTTTTTTTAATTGGAGAAACTTCTAGACTTTTTTTAATTAGACTGGCTTACACCCACTTTATTGTGTGTGGTTGTTGGTAGAGACTGAGAACACACAGTAGAAACTCAAACAATCCATCTTTTCCTCTGAAGCTTGATCAGTCAGGATCCCAGAATAGGACTAAGCTTAGAAAGGTATTGAAAACCAAATGCTGCATGTTGTCACTCATAAGTGGGAGTCAAACAATGAGAACACATGGACACGGGGGAGGGGACAACGCACACTGGGGCCTGTCAGGGAGGTGGGGAGGGAGAGCATCAGGGCAAATAGCTAATGCATGCAGGGCTTGAAACCTAGATGACAGATTGATGGGTGCAGCAAACCACCATGGCATCTGTATACCTAGGCAACAAACATGCACGTCCTGCGTATGTATCCCGGAACTTAAAATAAAATAAATTTAAAAAAAAGGTGAACACAGGGAATGCCATTGAATTTCCTGTTTTTCTTTGTGGATTTAAGTGCAAAGTCTAGGTCAAATACTTTGGCCTTAGAACTTGAGGAGGAAGGCTGATGTTGCATCTTAATATAAATACTTGGCTATTAGCATATGATATCCGAGTATTTCTTAATTCCTGCATTAAATCAAATCAGTATAAAATTACTCAATTTCACAGCTACTTCTCGTCTGTCAGTATGGTTATGGATCAGGAGGCACAGAACAACTCAAATATTTCTCAAGGGAAAAGAAGTTAACCATTTATTGATATGCATAGCTTGGCCTAACTAGGGAGAAGGCAGAGAAATGCTGTGTAAATTAACAGCTTCTTTAGCCCTTCTTTAAGGATCTGAGTTTATTTAGCTTTCCTAATACTCAAATTCATTTCTTGAAAGAGAAGAGAGGATTCTAGTAGAACCTTCTGACCTCCCTGTTATCACAGCACCTTTGTCCCTAACAGCCAGTGACATGTCAGTTCCAAGCCCTCCGCCTCCCTGATACCACCCCAGGGATGCATGACAAAACCATTCCTACCCCTGCTTCTCTTCTTTGTTAAGGGAGTGTTTCAAGGGCATTACTATATTACAAATGATTTGTTATCTTTGTGGTAACTTAAAAACCTTATACTTGAGTAATATATAACTTGTGTGTGTGTGTCTATGTGTGTGTGTATCTGTGTGCATCTGTGTGTGCATGTCTGTGTGTGTATGGGTGTGTTTCTGTGTGTGTCTCTGTGTGAGTCTGTAAGTGTGTGTTTGTGTGTGTGTCTCTGTGTGTGTGTATGTTTGTCGTATGGGCTTGACTTCCAGGTGTGTTATTATCTCCTTCCCTAGGACAACCTTTTTCCCAACTTGCCCTCTACATGGTTAATAATGAATCCACAGGTATTTTGGACACCTGATATTTTTATCCGTGGTGATTGGAGCTGCGAACAAAAGGGATAGACACAACATTTTTTATGCTACTGTAGGGAATACAATTTCACTTCCTTTCTCCCACTGTTTGCCAAATACCCACAATGAACAAAGCACTAGGGGTTGGAGGAAAAACTCCACAAGTCTTCCCTTCAACGCAGTGGCCGTTCTATATACACATTTTATAACAGAACGGCCAGACTGGATCATTTTGATTTCTCAAGTCTGAAATGTAATGAACATTTCTTATTTGAAATGTTTAAAATGTGAGGGAAAGGGCAGCCTGCCTGCCTGCTGGTCATCATGAGAAACTGTAATGTGCGGGAGGTACCGTGGAGGAGCCGTCCTGCTTGGGAAGTGATGGCCTCTGAGGGCGTGCCAAGATCAGCAGAGATCTGGCCTCATAAATCCAGGCTTTGAGTCATCCTAGTAGCGTTGCCCCTGCCTCCCAGACTGCATGCCCATTTTCCGTCCCTGCTCAGCCTGTCAGGAGCCCTGGCCTCTGCTGTGTTGGCTGAGCTGGGTGTCTGTTTTCATGCAGGGTTCTGGAAAGAATCTGGTGGCATGTGGCTTGTTCTGAGTCCTCTATAAAATGCTGCTCACTTGTTAATTTCTCTTCATTAGGTCCTTTGCCAAAGGATGTGCTAAACACAGGGATCAATGCTACCATGAGAGCATTTCCACTTGCCAAAGTGTGAAATGTCAACTCTACAGCTGCAATCTTCACAAAGAAACAGAGTCCTTTATATCCCAACAAAGCACTGGAGAGTAATTCTAGGGGTAGATGTGCAAAGTAGGTCATAGGAGAGAGTTGGAACATCTAAGCCCCTTGAAGCAAGGGATGAGCTCTGAGCACTGCGACAGGCACCCCTTGGCTGGCTGGTCCTGGCTGACCTCCCCTCTCACCTCTCATTCCTCCTCTCCTTACCCTCACAGCTTTGTCCTCTTTGAACTACTCCTACTGTGTTCTTTCTCAGTGCTAGGATTTCATGCCTGTGTTACCACCGTCTGGAACATCTTGTCTTCTGGATACTCTTGGCTACGTCCATGTTGTTCTTTATGATTCTCTTTGCATCTTTTCTGCTAGCAAGCCTGCCTGCCTGCCCGCCTGTCCGTCCTTCCATCCTTCCTTCCTCCCCCGCCTCTGACTCTCTCTCTCTCTCCTTCTTTCTTTCTTTTCTCCCTACCCTTCCCTCCCTTCCCCTCTCCTCCCCTCCCCTCCCCTCCCCTTCCCTTCCCTTTCTTTCCAGACAGGGTCTCGCTCTGTTACGCAGGGCGGAGTGCAGTGGTGCGTAATCTTGGCTCACTGCAACCTCCACCTCCCAACTTCAAGTGACTCTCCTGCCCCAGTCTCCCAAATACCTGGAATTACAGGTGTACGCCACCACGCCTGGCTAATTTTTGTATTTTTAGTAGAGATGGCGTTTCACCATGTTGGTCAGGCTGGTCTTGAACTCCTGACCACAAGTGATCCACCACCTTGGCCTCCCAAAGTGCTGGGATTACAGGCGTGAGCCATTGCACCCCCAGCCGTGTGCGCCCCCAGCCATGGCAAGCTTTTTAGAATCTTCCAGATGGGGATAAATATTCCTCCTCTGTGCTTTGATAGCCCCTTGGTTTTACCCCTTTATAAAATGTATTCATAACTCTTAAGGCAATTGATTATTTTTCCTCGTAAACCGAATGAAAGAGAATCTGTTTTCAGAAAGAACCTGTTGGATACATGCAGAAGAAAGATAAGAGTCTAGAAAATATCTTGGGATGTTGAGTCAGAGTTTGAATGCTGCTTTCTAGCTGTGTGATCTTTGGGACATTACTTAATGTCTCTAAATCTGCTTTCTCATTTTTAAAATGATGACAGTGCCACCTTATTTGTAGGACTGCTGTAAAGTTTGAAAGGAGATAACGGGCAAAACATACCTGATAGATGTTATTCATAAATATTGAATACCTATTTACATGGAAGGGGAAGCAGCAATGTTAAAGACAGCAACTTGCTCTTGACAGAGATAAAGAAAACACAGTCCTCAAATATGGACATTATGAAAGCTAATCAAAGGTGTCACAAAAATAAGTTCCACTTTTTGAGCACCTACTGAAGGCCTGCAAATGATGAGCTTTATATACATCGTCTCATTAATTCTCACAGTTATCTTGCAAGATAGAAACTGCCATCTTCATTCTATACCTAAGGAAACAGTCTCATGAAGAGTGTGCAACTGTCTCAAGGCTACAAAAGTTGCAGACTAAGACTTTGAGTTTACGTTTGTTTAGCTTATTGTGTCACAACTGGGTGGTTTTTTTTTTTTACCACCCCTCTCCAAGGGAACTGTGGAAATATCTGCAGACACTTTTCATTGTTACCAACTGGGTGATGGGGTGCTATTAGTATGTGGGTTGAGGCCAGTGGTGCCACTAAACATGCTACTATGTACAGGGCATTCCTACAGGAAAGAAATAGCCAGCCCCAAATTTTGATAATGCTGAGGTGAACAAACCTGGTCTAGTATTTTTGCTTCAAAGTTTCCCTTTTTCATCTTAAAGTATTCCATTAATGTGGTTTTGATGATATGGAGTCATGTAAGAGGCTAGTGGCATTTCAGAAAAGCCTTGTGCGAGCATACTCATATAACTCAATTCCCTATACAAAGTGATAGAAATGGCCACATAGACATTTATGCCCTGAACAACCCACTTAGAACTTTGACCTGCCCATGCTTCAATAACTTCACAACCACAAATCTTAGAAATGGGAGGAATATGGAGGGTTGGGAGCAGAAAGAATGCAGAGGTCACACCCAAGATGAGTTCTCACACTGCTATAAATAACTACCTTAGATGGAGTAATTTATGACGAATAGAGGTTTAATTGACTCACAGTTCTACAGGAAGCATGACTGGGAGGCCTCAGGAAACTTACAATCATGGCAGAAGGGGAAGGGGAAGCAAGCACCTTCTTCACATGGCAGCAGGAGAGAGAGAGCACACTAGGAGGAAGTGCCACGGACTTTTAAACTATCAGATCTTGTGAAAATTCACTACTATGAGAGCAGCAAGGGGGAAATCAGCCCCTATGATCCAGTCACCTCCCACCAGGTCCCTCTTCCAGTTTGACACGAGATTTGGGTGGGGACACAAATCCAAACCATATCACAACCCTCGCTCCACTTAGGAGCTGGTTGTCTTTGGGAAATGGAGCTGATCTCCCAAGATATATTTTTTACATCTATAAAATGGGAATATTAAAGACTGCCTCAAAGAAATGAGTCAGGATTATGTGAAGCCATGTAGTATGATATTTTGTTGAAGGATGTGGCACCTCCTGGGTATACAATGTTATCCTCCAAAGAAACCTCTTGGAATGTGGTTGTTTGTTCATCCTCTGCATGTAAGTAGCAGAAACTTTTCTTTTTTTAACCCAAGGGGTTGACTGCAGAGCCTGTGCTATTTTGCCTCCCCTTTCTACCTTCCCAGCATTCACTTCTGGCTGATAGAATTGTTACCTCTCAAGTTCATAATGCCAACCTTCCCACCCCTACTACTCAACAGAATGGTGACAAATGGTGCTTCACACGGGTAGTATCCCTCAGGTTATTTTCCCACTTACACCTGTCACCACCCTTCTTCCTGCTCCTGAGTAGAAATGTTACTGCTCACAATGAAGCAGCAGGAGACTCCCTGAGCGAGAAAGGACACTAAGGACACTTGGTCCCTTCCAAGGCTCTGGTTTTGCCTATTAGGTATTCCATTGAATTAGCTCTGCTTTCACATATGAGGTATTCAGTTAAGCAAAATCCCACTTTTCTAACACCTCTCACATGCCAAAGCCTTTGCTAAGCACTTTATATGCCTTAGTTTATCATGGCGCTCAATAAGACTTCAACAAATATTTGTTAATAGTTGTATGAATGCAATAGTCTTACGAAAGAAGAATCACACATTCTTATGATACAGAGTCTCAGAGTCACACAGGAACTGTGGGGAAGACCAGCCATAGGACACCAGTTGTCTAATTTCAAAGCCCACAGTATGTGTGTGTGTGTGTGTGACAGGTTCTCCATGCAGTGGCACAATCTTGGCTCACTGCAGCCTCTGCCTCCCAGTTTCAAGCAATTCCCCTGCCTCAGTCTCCCAAGTAGCTGGGATTACAGGCATGCGCCACCATGCCTGGCTTAATTTTGTAGTTTTTGGTAGAGACAGGATTTCAACATGTTGGCCGGGCTGGTCTGGAACTCCTGACCTCAAGTGATCTGCCTGTCTCGGTCTCCGAAACTGATGGGATTACAGGCATGAGCCACCGCACCTGGTCCAAAGCCCACATTCTTAACCAAGACAAAATACTAACATACAGTAAAAGAAATGTCCTGCCTGCACCAGGACCTGCTGATGTTAAGAGTCATTCTAGACTGCTGGCTGTACGCACATCCCAATTTTTTTGATTTATGAAAAATATCTCCTCATCCACATATGCGACAGGTATTTATTGAACTTCTGCTATGTTCCTGGTGATGTGTTGGTCCATACAAGAGTAAAAAAAACAGACTAAAACTCCTGCTCACATACAGTTTACATGACAGTGAGGTGGGAGGTGATGATCCTTAGACAAATAAACAAATTATAATAGATGAATATTGAGTGTTACCAAGGAGATGAGTGGGCTACCCAGGTAGAGATTAAAGCTATTTAGGGGGAGGCATCACAGAGGAGACAATATTTTTAAAATGACCCTGAAGAACGAGAAGTCAGCTGTGCAAAAACCCTGGGAAGTATGTCCCAGGCTGCAGGAGCAACGTGTGCAAAAGCCCTAAGGCCAGAAAGGCCTGGTATGCCTGAAGTGTAGAGGGCAAAAGAGAGAGTACAGATGCGTGAAGATGCCATTATTCTGATTTTTTTCTTTTTGAGTCAGAGTCTTGCTCTGTCATTCAGACTGGAGTGCAGTGGCACAATCTTGACTCACTGCAACCTCTGCCTTCCAGGTTCACATGATTCTCCTGCCTCAGCCTCCCAAGTAGCTGGAATTACAAGTGCCCACCACCACATCCGGCTAATTTTCATATATATATATATTTTTTTTTTTTTAGTAGAAATGAGGTTTCACCATGCTGGTCAGACTGGTCTCAAATTCTTGACCTCTGAGCTGAAGTGATCTGCTCACCTCGGCCTCCCAAAGTGCTGGGATTATAGGTGTGAGCCACCACGCCCGGCCTCTGTTTTTTTTTAATTGTAATAGATGAAAGACAACTACATGAAAGAAATAGATAAACTTGGACACTTTATTAATAATAACTGATGTTGTTCGAGTAGTACTCAAACCCTAACCCCTGGCACTTCTGAATGTGAACTTATTTGGAAATAGGGTCTTTGCAGGTGTAGTTGAGATGTAAGTTAAGATGAGGTCATACTGGAGTAGGGTGGGCCCTGAATCCAATATGACTTACGTCCTGATATAAAGAGAGGAAATACATCTGTGTGTCTATCTGATAGACACACACAGAGAAGAGAATGCCACGTGAAGACAGGGACATACGGGGAAGACAGCCATGTGATGAAGGAGGCGGAGACTGGAATTATGCAGCTGCAAGATTTCCTTTGGTGTTCCTTGCTAAGAGATGCTAGGAGAGAGAGGATGGTTCTGCCAGCACCTTAGACTTTAGACTTTTAGCCTCTAGAAATGTGAGGGAATATACTTCTGTGTTTAAAGCCAGCCAGTTTGTTGTAGTTGTTAGGGCAGTCCTAGAAAAGTAATACAGTCACTCATTAGTTATAACATCTCTCTCAATTGATCACAATCTATCTGCCCTCCCAAAAGGGGTCCATAGAGATTCCTCCCTGAAATGGACTTTGTCAGAGGGCAAGATACCTTGGAAATTGACAGTCCCAGTGTCCTAGCAGCTACATAAGAATGGACAGGCTCATATTTACAGCCTGGCCTCCATCCTGACTGCAGCACGAACTGAGGAACTGGTTATATCTCTTGGCTGAGCAAAAGGCATTCTCACTTCCTAAACTTATGGGCGTCTTGTCTTCCTTCGTTCCAAAAGAATGAGGGACCTGGGTCACTCCCAGGTCCTCATAGCTCCTGTAATTGCAAAAAAGAAAAAAAATGGGGTTATGCAGACTGCACTCTCTCTGTGGGGAGGTTTGGATTACCCCAACATGGACTTCAGATGATTAGAGAAAAAAATAAAGTTTAATTTGCCCCAGAGTGGTTCTTTGCTTGAACAAGTGTTCCTCATTAACCAAACAAGGGTGTTGGTTTTTTTTTAAATTTTTTATTTTCACCCTGAGTGGCAATTACCTTTTCTTACTAGCACAAAGTTCTCTATCTAAAAAAATGTTTTAAATAATCAAAAGGAAATATATTCCAAGGATAGTGATGAATTTCTGAGTGGCAGGAGGAAGATGGAATCTCGCGGGGATGGTGATGATGAGCAAGGATTTGGATAGACATGTACCCCAGCTCTGTAACCTGGATGAGCTGGTTCCCTTTCTGAGAGCAATAATTCCTTATTTGTAGAGTTATTGTTGATATGCAATGAAATAATACATAAGACTCTCAGAAGTGTGTCATTCTTAAGTCAGATGTTATTACTCTAGCTCGGTGCCCTCATTGTATAGATACATGGTGGCCCAGGGAATGATGGTGTTGATTCAGGACCAGGACCTGGTGAGAATGACTTGCTACCTATCCAAGACATTTCCTAGGTTTCATCGCCTAAGGATGTGCATGGTGCCCGAGAACTCTCTCGTGTGCCACAGGAGGGCATGTAGACTTTGTTCTAGGGCCAGAAGATACATAGGAAGATATTCATTTGGATCTCTCTGCCCATTTCCAGCTTATCCAGGAAGCTTCCTCTGGTGGGGTCTGAGATTTTACCCGACTTGCCAGCTAACAAGTGAGTCTCCCAAGCTTTTATGGATGTTGGCAGAAGATGTGAGACTCCTGGGTCAGTGACAAAGGGCTTTATTAATCCCAGTACAGCAAGTAGCCTGCACTTCACATTTGTGTCAGCTGTCCTCACCTGTCTCCTACAGGACAACGCATAACTGTAGGGAGAGTCACAAATGGGGAACCCCAGGCTGGGAGAACCTGAATCTTTACTATGGGACAGCAACCATGCCTGCCTATGGCTCCAGAGGGAGATAATATTTCTACCTTCCAAGCCTGTTTGTTACATAGCCTTAAAATCTATGGTGGAAAAAATATAGAGTTTGGAACTGGGTGTAGCTGGGTTTGCTGACACTAAACCTTTGGTCTGCTTCTGCTTCATTATGAAACCATGGGCAAGTGACTTACTATCTCTGCACCTCAATTTTTTTTAGTCTGCGAAATGGAGGTAAGAATGCCTATCTCAGAGGATGAAGATAAGTTTGGCATATTACAGACACTTAAAAAGAATAACACCTACATTTTCTAATCTGCTATGGCATGTGATTGTGTTCTTGCCATGGCTCCGTCAGAAGAGGAGCATAAACATTATTTTGAGTGCCTTTGTCTCTGCATAGAAGGTACCAGGATAGAGGCCAGCAGAGGATGAGTGACATATTTTGATCAAAGTTGCACAAATAGAAGCTTGATTTCCCCAAGCTTCCCTCTGAGCTTCTTGAGAAGGAAGAGTTGTATCTCAGCCCAGTGGGTGGTTTATGAACAGGCCAACTTCTCCTCGACCTGAAGTCAGGCAAATTTTTTGACTTTCAGATAGAGCTCGTATCTTATGACCTGTGCATATTCCTTGTGTTTTCCATTCTGGCTTCTGTTAATGTAATGCAAGACGCTTTCCACACTCCACCCTGCTTCTCCCTGGACGACTTCCTGCATCACCTTTGCCTCCCCAAGACCTAGTCTCAGATTTTCTTCCTTGGCTGCTGCCTTTACTGTTTAGGCAAACCATGATCACCATCAGTACCTCCTCCACCTTCCTTCTCAGCAAGTCTTTGTCTTCCTCTATGCCAAATGAGCATTTGGGGGCATGGAGTCCAACTTCTTCCTCCACGTGTGGCTCAAAGAAGTTGGGTAGCTGAATTCCTCCTGGTGGCCTCACTTCTGCTTTGCTAATTTTTATTGTTTTGGACTTCTCAGGCAGGGAAAACAAACAAAGTCCTTGGCTCCTGGAGGGATCCATAGTCCAGAAGGGTTAGAGGGCTGCTAAAGATCAGGGCTTTGATTCTACCCACATTCCAATGAGGAGTGGACCTGCCCCTGGAGTATAACATCTCTTTCCCCAGATTCCTGATTGCCCTGCTGGCTGGTGGCTGCATGTGGAAAGAATGAGGCAGCTCCTCATGTCAAAATCTCTTTTTCTGAGATGTAGCTGTTCTGTACTGTAAGATCCCTTTTTATGATGATTTTTGAATGCTGGTAGTGATGGAGAAAGAAAAAATCTGTTCATTAAAACAAAATTAGGCTGGGCACAGCAGCTCACGCCTGTAATCCTGGCACTTTGGGAGGCCGAAGCAGGCAGATCACCTAACATCAGGAGTTCAAGAAATAACATGGCCAGCATGGTGAAACTCCATCTCTGCTAAAAATACAAAACTTAGCTGGATGTGGTGGTATGTGCCTGAAATTTGAGCTACTCGGGAGCCTGAGGCAGAATAATCACTTGAACCCTGGTGGCGGAGGTTGCAGTGAGCCGAGATTGTGCCACTGCACTCAGCCTGAGTGACAGGGTGAGACTGTCTCAAAAAAAAAAAATCATCATCATCATCATCATCATCATCATCACTTATCTTGTCTGTTCACCCAATCCATTCCTCTATCTATCAATCTATCATCTATCTCTATATTGGACGTCGTATTTCAGATGACCTAAATCTTACAGATTAAAACTGCAGCATTGAGGATGAAAGTCTGTATATTCTGGTTGTGTTCTTTCTTGATGAGGACAGTCTGCCTAGTCCAAACGTTTATTGGAATTAATTAGTTTGCGACTTATAGAAAATCCTGGTCTCTTCTGCCTCACAAGTAATATCTGTTCTATGGCTTTCTGATCAGTACTGGCAACTATTCATTGACCATTTAGAATGTCAATATTAGAATAATATTAGAAGTCTTATTCCGAAACTTTTATTAATTGGAAGGTTTTTTCCCCCTCTCCTTCAAGAAGAAAGTCTACTTTTGTTTAAGGAAAGCATACAAAGTAGTTTTAAGGCCAGGGTATTTCCCCGTTCTCTTGTCAGTGAAAGCAGGGGACGTTACGATAGATTTCACATTACCAGGTTTTCTCACAAGAGGAGGAAATGCCAAAAAACATAAGCGGGCACTGGGAAGCAGAGAGCCTCAGCAACAGGTGGGAGGACCCACTGCAGAAGTGGGAGCAGGAAAAACAGAGGGCACAGCAGCAGTCCTGAAGGATGTCAGGCCTTTATTGGAACAGTACTGGGTGCTGGTTGCAGGGTCACAGGATAAGCCTGAAATCTCGTTTTCTAAGCAGGGTCTTTGAGTAGAGTCAGATCATTAAGTATTGAACTGAAGGCTCCTGAAATCCCCTTTACAGTGTCTCTGAAGTGATCATAGATCCTGGGGTGGGCTCACGTGGACTCTGTTACACAGACAGAAAGGGCATGAGGATTAGAGGCCTATAGGGTCTAACCTGAGGCTCTGCAAAGTTGTGAAAGAATTGTTTACATGTGCTCATTCTTCTTGTATTGAATAACACAAGAAACAGATTTTTTAGCCACAAATTCAGAAACAAAATGAGTCACTGGTAACTTGTTGAAACATTATTTCTTGAAAATTATATGAGATGTTGAATGGTACTTGTTTAGGCATTGATTTAATCCTGTATGATGAACAGATACAACCCTATTTGCTGAATGAAAAAAGGAAGGAATAAATAAGACCCAAATCTAGGAGAATTTGTCACAATTATTGATCTGGTTTTATCTTCAGTCCAACTAGCCTTAATCATTTGGGTAATTTTCCAATAAGAGAGAGGTGATACCTTCCTTCCTCTCTAGTCATTTAGGGTTCTTGATTCAACTTCCTACCCATCTTTCATTCTTCCCCCAACCTTTTTTATTGAAACCTATCCTCAAAAAAGGTGCAATTGTTGGTCACTGTATTTTTGTGTGATTATTAGCTCTTGATTCTGGAGCCTCAGCTGCACTTATTTTATTTCTTGTTGGGGAACAAGAGGCTTTATTCCCAAGGATTGAAGGTCAGGAGACAGGTTGGGGTAGGATAACTGAGGATGACCTCCAACCAACAGTCAGCTAGGAACTGAGGCCTCTTCCTAGTTCCCCTGAAAGGTACATCTCTCTGTCTGCCCTCAGATACTTTGAGACTAAATTTTCTCATTTGCAAAATGTGTTAGCAATCTCAACCTCAGGTGGCTTTAGAGAGTAAAATGGAAAAAAAAATGTCCGTACAGAAAGCACCTAGTATAGTTTTTGGCACATGATAAATGCTCAAAGTGGTAGTTATTGTTATCACTATTTTCATTATCACCATCAATATTAGGGACTAGGTTAAAATGGCAGAAATAATTGTAGAGTGAGACCTCCTAAAACATGTTAAAGTTTATTTTACAGCCTGAGAAAAGACATGTCTTCACTACGTTGAAATACACTGGAGATTACATGTAAGATATTATCATAGTGTAAGTTTGTGCTTTAAAGATCACAGGGAACCTTGGCAGTCAAGCAATTCTTTCAAGAACAGAGACATGAAGCGAGAAAGCATCAATTGACCTGGGGGTCCTAGAAATAAGAAAGCAATCCTGACCAGACAGAAAAATTCGCGCTTTAGAACCCCACCTTCTAAATGTGAAGACAATGTTTTCCTCCATGAGTTTCATGTTGGATCTTAAGTTCTTTTGAAGACAGATGTATACAATTCAGATTGGGGTTCAAAGACCGTGCTAGAGTCAGGGGTTGTTCAGGTTTCTAATTTCTGGGTGGGCATGTTGGAACTTCTCACGAACTATAGGATGGCCAGGTATTGAAAACATTCCTGTTGAGAATCGGGCAGCCAGAAGTTCAGTGGGCGTTTACACAAGGTGAAAAAAAAAGATCAAGTTGAGTGATGAATAGCTTAAGAGTGTTATATTGTTTTTTCTTATGCATTCTTCACAGTGTTACTGAGAAACTCCTGAGTGACAGCCTTGCTCTGTAGGGACAGTGATGAAGAAATACTCTGCTGCCAAGGAGCTCACCGTTTAGTAAAAGAGTCACATTCACAATTACAGTACATGTTGCACAAGCTATTCAAGTTATGTGTCTAGGGTTGTGGAAGCAAAGTGTGTGTAGCCACTTAAATTTCTAGGGATTTGGGCAAGTCTCTAAAAAAGGGGTTTGATTTGATCCTTGTAAGAATGTGGAAGAGTTCGACAGGCAAGAAGAGAGATTTTTAGCAGAGGAAACAACAGATGGAAGGGAAAACGCATGGACAAACACAACACAGACTCCCCACCCAACTTTTTTTCTTTGGGATGGGATCATGTGGTGAGAAGCATGGGGGCTGAAGAGATACCAGTTGTGAACGGTTTTTGTGCTAGACTGAGGAGTGTGACTTCAACTTATGGGCCAATTAGTATATTTCTCCCAGCCCACTGAGAGTTTGTAGTTTACTACGTCTGCACCCTGCCCTTGCCTCTCCCATAGTAAATTGTTATAGGGTGAACTGAGTGCTAGTTACTTATTTCTCTCTTCTACTAAATAGAGAATTCCTTGAGATTCCATATTTTGGAAATTTTCTCTGATTTGTTTCAGGGTCCCAGGCAGTGCCTAACACATAGTAGGAGCTTAGTAAATAAGTGTTCAATCGGTATTCAGGTGGTCTCTGAGAAGAGGTGACATATAAACAGAAGGAGCCATTTGTAGGTGGAGCTGAGAGAAGAACTTTCTGGGTAGTGACGGGAGCAGACACAATGGCCATAAGACTCAGTAGACATGTTGTGCTCACAGAAGACAGAAAAGCCTTAGGGAGGGGGTGATACTTGAGGAGGCTGCACAGCAGTTCAGAGATGCTGGACTTGAATGCCTTGCATGAACCAGTGTTGACCTCTAGTTTTTCCTCCACTTCACATGAGTCCCCAACAGCATACAGTGATTATGGCAGGTGGACTCACAGGTGGCCCCCATGATCCCACCTTCTGGTACTCACACTCTTTTGCAATCCTCTCCCACTGAAAGCGTGAACAGAACTGGGGATCTCCTTCCATCCAAAACAATATGGTAAAGATGATGAGATGTCACTTCCAAGATTGGGTTATAAAATATACACCATGGAATACTATGCAACCATAAAAAAGAATGAGTTCTTGTTCTTTGCAGGGACATGGATGAAGCTGGAAACCATCATTCTCAGCAAACTAACCCAGGAACAGAAAACCAAACACAGCATGTTCTCACTAATAAGTGAGAGTAGAACAATGAGAACATATGGGCACAGGGAGGGGAATATCACACACCAGGGCCTGTCAGGGGATGGGGGGCAAGGGGAGGGATAGCATTAGGAGAAATACCTAATGGAGATGTAGATGACGGGTTGATGGGTGCAGCAAAACACCATGGCACATGTATAACTATGTAACAAACCTGCACGTTCTGCACAAGTTTCCCAGAACTTAAAGTATAATTTAAAAAAAAATGAGTAATAAAAAAAAGATTGTGACTTCTGTCTTGAAATTCTTCTCTTTCTTGGATTCTTCTTGTTTTCATGCTCTGATGATGCAAGCTGCCATATTGTGAGTTGTCTTAATGGAGAGGTCATCTAGCAAGGAACTGAGGGCCATCTCTGGTCAACAGCTGGCTAAGAACTGAGACTCTCAGTCTAATAATCCTCCAGGGACTGAATTCTGAAAAACAACCACATGGCTTGGACACCAGTGCTTCTCCAGTCAAACTTTCAGATGAGAACCCAACCATGGCACCTTGATTGCAACCTTGTGAGATCCTATACCCAAGGGCCCAGCCAAGCTATGCTGGATTCCTTATCCATAGAAACTGTGAGATAATAGGCCGGGCACAGTAGCTCATGCCTATAATCCCAGTACTTTGAGAGGGCTGAGGCAGGTGAATCACTTGAGGTCAGGAGTTCCAGACCACCCTTGCCAACATGGTGAAACCCCGTCTCCACTAAAAATACAAAAATTAGCTGGGTATGTTGATGGGTGCCTGTAGTCCCAGCTACTTGGGAGGCTGAGGTGGGAGAATCGCTTGAACCCAGGAGACAGAGGTGGCAGTGAGCCGAGATCATGCCATTGCACTCCAGCCTGGGCATCAGAGAGAGACTCTGTCTCAAAAATAAATAAATAAACAAACAAACTGTGAGATAATTAATATATGTTGTTTTGAGTCGCTAAGTTTGTGGCAACTGGTTTTGCAGCAACAGATACCTAATACAGTGATGTTCTAAGGTCCAGTGAGGCAAAAACAAAAAAACAAAAAAACAAAAAAAAAAACAAGTATGTATGATGGGAGAGAAGCCCCAATGTGGCCCAGTCATTGGCCAACTGCTTCCAGAGCTTTGAGCCTGATAGTTTTGGGCATGGCCCTGCTAAGACCTTGGCACAAACTCATCATCAACAACTCTGGCTTTTTGGAATATGGGAAAGAAGCTTCTCCTAAAAACAGTCAATGAATTCAAATATTTGCTCCAGCCCTCACAATCGTTAATAGGAACATTCTGTGAAATCTTCTGGGATCACAATGACATGGAAGAATCTACTTATATTTCAGCAAATATTACGATGAACAACAACTATCCACACCGGCCTAGAGAGTCAAAGCAAGGACTGAGCAGGTCAGAGAGAAGAGGAGGTTTAAAAGGAATATCATAGAGCTCACTCAGAAAATCTCTTTCCTACTGAATGTTTTTTGGGTCTACAAGAGTCTAAAGATAAATGATGCAATTAGCAGTGGTCTTTTTCTTTTTCTGTTCTGTTCTATCTCTAAAGTTCAGCTGAATGGATCACCAAGGACTCAACATGCATTATCATTAAGTGTTGAACTTTAAAGAAAACCAAAAACACAGGGAATGCCAAATCTTTTTTATTTCTTCCTAAATGCACTTCTGAACTTGCTAAAAGTATTGGGACTTTTTTCCTCCAAATTATGTTTAGTTCATATGTTAACACTTTAGTCAAGGTTTACTTAGAGTTACAGAGTTTGAATTTTGCCCCAAATGAAGCATTTGGATCTGAAGGTGTGCTTTACAAGTACTGCAAATGCTGAAAAGATTTCTGCCAACCTATACATGCTTAGTTTTATAAGTTGTATATATTAGGGCTCTGGGTAAAATTACATATGTAAAGCACTAAAAGAGATTCAGTGAAAAAGTGATAAACTTTAAAGCATCCTGAAAACCACTAATATTGAGCATCCGCAAAAAAATATTGACCATCTAAACTATAATAAATTATGCTCATTTTTATATCTAAATTATACTTATTAATATAATTTACTGGACACTTATACCAGGCACCTTGATGAGTTTATTTCAAACATCAGTGTTTCAATCATTCAATACAAATGTATTCTTAACCCCTAGCAGATAATAAAACGAGCTCTCAAAAAAGGTAACCATGTCATCTTGATCTTTGCTCTTAAGGATCTAGTGATAAGGCATAGAAGATACAGTAAAAACCATTAATGTGACAAGAGTCACAGTTCGATCCAGTTTTCCTGGTACTCCCTGTTACCTGGAATAATTCAATGCACTCCTTTTCACTCTCAAAAACATCCCAGTTTGGAAGATAATATTGTGTGGTCCACCCTAGCTGGGGTAGACAAGGTTCAAAAGTCCTATACGTGTGACAAGAATTATCTTTTGGTAAAATTGATCACATTTCATGCTTCTACTTAATGTAAACAAAAGTTGATCATCAAAATTTATCATTTAACTTACATATTGATAGTTTAGGTTCATTCTGGGGATTTACTCTACCATAAATTATTGGCAACTGTCTAATTCTCTTGACCACTATGTAAAATTAGTCTTGTTTTACCAAGGTCAAGGGAAAATAAGGTTTAGTCGAGTCACTTTTTCCAGCTCTGACAGTTTCCCAGTTGCCATGGATAATATTCATCCATTAGAAAGCATAAATATCTGCTTTCCTATATGGATATGATGACTATTGTGAATATCTAGGGAGGCAGCCTACCACCCACACTGCACTTTCTTTTACTTTTTGTTCCTCCAAGGAATAATTGTGAATCAGAGAATAACTCTATGGAAATCGGAGCTGAAATAGCCTATAAATCACACCTGTCATCGTATCCCCAAACTGTGGTTGATTTATGATACAACCTAATGCCTCACTGCCATGGCCACGCCATTCTCATGATATGAAATCACACAACACACACCATCAGGGAGTACTTAAAGACTGTACAAAGGGAGAAATAAAAACAAAACAGGATCAACACTGGAGAACACCGAGACACGTATCAGATGCAAACACATAACTGGAAAATCTGGGAGATGATGGAAATAAATGTTCACACTGTGGAGAGGCAGAGAGACAATCATTTGGACAGCACTGGATTATCTAAGCTAATGCAGAAGGAGGGTGGGGGCATGCAAATACTGGAATAATTGAATCTTATCTCCAGATACAAAGATACTTCCATGGCCTCATCCTCCAGCACTCTGAGTTGGTTATTTCCAAGCAGAAGAATGGTCAAGGTTAGCTCTTATCAAGGCTGGGTGAAAGTTCCTCAGTCACATTGGTAGCAAATAGGATAGGCGAAAGGAGAAAGAAAACAAGCATAGCAAGGGAAAGGAAAACTAGGAGAAGTGGGGCTGACTAATGGTTGTTTTCTATCCTTATTTAAGCTAGACACTGGAGATCTGGGGAGAAACTTGGGGAACTGCCTCATAGCCACGTCCACCCAGATTAAATTTGCAGAGCTCAGATTCAACTTCCAGAACCCATTGGCACTACCTTGAGAATGTGCTTCCTCTTATGAGTCAATATTTAAGCTTGTTCTCTGTGGAATGTCCTTTATTTAAAAATCTCCAAGTCTCATGTATTCCAGAACTCTATCTGGGGTTATTTTCTCAAATATTTCAACAAAGAGAGACAATCAATGACGAAGTCGTGAGAGAAGCTAATGTGAAACCTAATTGTCCTTCTTGGGGCTGCCATGAATGTTCTCTCCCTCCAGGCTATGACCAGAATCAGCTCAAAACTGTCAAAGCCGTGCAGAAATGGGAAAAGACAGAGAAAGGCAGGGATCTGGGTTGTGCTTGCCTTGCCAGGACAGCCCCGTGTCTTCCAGCAGCCTGTCCTTTCCAATTGTAAATGATTGCACTGGTGATGGTTATTAGAAGATGATTCCACACTTGTGGATCCTCTCCCTTCACATGTTCTGCCACTTAACGTGTTTCATTTTGTCTAGTTAGTTGTCATCACTTTGGGAATTAAGCACAGTCTCTGGATCAGACAGATGTTTATTGGATGGATGAAAAAATGGATAGAAGAATTTCTCAGGAAGATCTCAGGGCCGTCCCAAATTTGTGCTCACTTCACCACCAACTTGCTGTGTGACATAAATCAACTTACTTGCTCTCTCTGGTTTCCTCATATGTCAAAATGAAAATGCCTTTCAGTTGGTAATCAAATCCTTTCCTGCTCACATATCCTGAGCTCCCAGAATCCTGCTAGGTGGCTGTGTGGCAGGTGGCTTTCAAGCAAAGATTCATCACTTTTGTAGGGTTTCAACACCCTACAATAAGCCCAGGTGACACCATTGTACCAGCTGGGACTCAAGTAAGAGGCCTGCTCTTTGGATGTTGTTTATTGCCTGATTCACTGGGATGAGAAAAAAAAAAAACCACTAAACTCTTAAAAATTCTTCTTTCAAGAGTTCCCACGTATTCTTATGTGAAGGCAGTTTAACAGTATGGTCAAGACCGTATTTACTTTTGTAATTCCAACAGGTGCCACAATCTGAGAGAGACCAGTGGGAAAGCCAAAATTAGCAGACCTGAAGCCTAGAGCCAAGGCACAGAATGCAGGTTGTGAGAGTCAAAGACTCCCAGTATTAGAAAAGACCTGAGGTTCGCTAAGGTCAATAGCCTCACCCCAGATTGGAGACATCTTTCCTCAGTAGATATTCAACACTGGTTTGATTCTCCTCTGTGATGTTCAGCTCACTCTATGCTAAGGCAACCCATAATATTGTTAGAACCCTGAGAAAGAACACTGGTCAAATTCTCCTCCAACTCTACTAAACTCAGAGCCTGCCTTGTTTGAGAGCAAAAACAGTTGTGATGCTAGATATTTATAGGTTCCAGCATTTAGGAGTATGGGTTCTATAGTCAGATTGCGTGTGCTCCAATCCTGAATCAACCACATGTTAACTATATGACTTTGTGCAAGATACTGAACCTCTCCCAGTACCACTTTTCTCACTGCAAAATGGAGGTAATTATAGTACTCAACTTGTAGCATAGTGATGAGTTTTAAATAAGATCATGCACATAAAATGCTTAGTACAATGATCTGCAAAAACTAATAACATTTATTAAATACTATGTCTAGAACTTATCAACTGCCATTCACAAGATCCTCGTTTTCCTCTCTTTAGCAGAGAGATGATTAGAACAGACACCAAACCATGTCCTTGCGGCCACCAAACCATGTCCTTGCAGCCACAAATATACGAATATCAGGAAACGGGGCTGAGGTTAGAATGAGTAATGATTTCACGTCTCAAGTCTGCCACTTCCACTAGCTGGGTGTCCTTGTGCAAATCACTCTGGACATCAGTTTACCTGTCTGTAAAAGAGAAACTGGCTCACTCCCTTGAATCTTCCAAGTATATACAACTGTTTAAAACACATTAAATCTAAGCAGTAGTATAATTTTAAAAACTTTTAAAGTGTATACATGAATTTCCCCTGCGAAAATCTGATATATACCTTCTTATTCTACCCTTCCCCCAATACTCATATGCACCAAGTTCAAATCACTGCCCTAACAGGTCTCTAAGTTTCCTTTCCTAGCCTGAGTATTAGCCCATTATGCTTATGAAAAACAACCAACAGAAGTAATTACTCAAAAATTAGCATGGACATTTGTTCATCTGTCAAAAATAACAAGAAAATTGCGTTGGGAGGAACAGAGGTATAATATTTCATAAGCTCTTCCAGTGGTATATATAAAAATTAAATGAAAGTCAACATGCAGAGGGACAAATGCATGGTAGATCAGATTAATATTCATTATCTTAAAATGTTTGTGTACACACTGAACTATGGGGTATTCATATGACTTACCCCACAAAGAATTGAAAAATCATTAAACCTATAATGATTCTATTTGTCCGTAGAGTCTGCACTCATTTTCCCTTCTTTTCCACCTATTCATCAATGGCTCTTTTTATCAGGTTCTATTTCTCACCACTGCCCATCTCAGACTAGAAGTACAAAAGAAGTTGGCAAATATTTGAACAATAGGCTTCCTGGGCTGGATGACTTCTTACCTCCGGTCCCCCTAAGGCTGCATCTCTGCCCCAATTTCCTTGGCTCCCACCCTGAAAGGCAGCAAAAGGAAACAATAGCTGTCAGCCTGGGCCAAGCTATGTCTTTCTGAGATGCAGCTGAATAATCAATTACTGGGTAAGTGTATCTGAATTTCCCTGGCTGCCTTCCATATGTCTTTAAAACATCAAAGTCTACAGGAGTGGAGCAAGGCTGCACAACCCTCCTCCTGGGTTCCCTCACCATGCTGCCTCTCAGCCTGAGCCTCCAGTGGCAGCTCCTACCCTTGCCAGCTTCACCTGGCTTAGGCCATTTTTCCCTGCAAGGTGTCTGGAAAGAAACCATTGTTCCTTTCAAAAGGGAACTCCTTGGAAAGAGAGAAAGTGCAGACAACAACAGTTGGCAACTTTGTGGCTTGTGGCGAGGACAAGGAGCTGTGAGGTAGCTACTGTAGACAATTTTATTTTTCATTTTGATACATTAAATGGCTATATTCAAATAAAGCAAGTAGATGCAAACTGTGAGAGCCTTCTCTGAGAAAACAGCACCCTCAATGTTCTCAAGTTTCCATGTACCCAGAATCTACACAGTTAGGAAAGATTATCTGTCCTTCTGGTTGTTTGCAGAGTTTACTGTAAGACAAGTCAGAATATCAAGTGATTCAACAGAGGCACCTTGCCAACCATGAGAGCAAGCTGGGGAATAGTTTAAGAAACAGAAAAATTCTTGTCTGTGAAGATGTCCAGTTCTTTTGAGTGTTGGTGTGGATATTTATGTCACTAGGGAAAATGATGGCACAATCAGAACGTCTGATATGAAAGTGGTTGGCGGGCAGATCAGACAGCAGTTTGTGAGGGTTCACTTTCAAAACCAATACTGTTGGCCGGGCGCGGGGGCTCATTCCTGTAATCCCAGCACTTTGGGAGGCCGAGGTGGGCGGATCACAAGGTCAGGAGATCGAGACCATCCTGGCTAACACGGTGAAACTCCGTCTCTACTAAAAATACAAAAAAAAAAAAAAAAAAATTAGCTGGGTGTGGTGGCAGGTGCCTGTAGTCCCAGCTACTCGGGAGGATGAGGCAGGAGAATGGCGTGAACCCAGGAGGCGGAGCTTGCAGTGAGCCGAGATTGAGTGCCACTGCACTCCAGCCTGGGTGACATCTCAAAACAACAACAACAACAACAACAACAACAACAACATCAACAACAACATCAATACTGTTTATATAACAGGTTGCACACCCAGGCCAAAAGAAACCCTATGAAGATAATTTTCTAAGAGATGTGGATATGCATTTTATTTGCTTAGCTGAAGCTGAGGACTCAGACAGATCCATATGGAGCAAGTGGGTTAACACTTCCCAAAATCCTCAACCTAGTGAGGAGGGACCCAGACTTGAGTATTCTCTTCTGTAACATGGGAGCTATAATCCTACCCTTCACAGATGTGTATGGTGGAGGCAATGCAAAATGAGATAATCACTACCTGCCAGATGGTAGAATTTTATCTGTTTATTCTGGGCTCCAAGACAAAGTGATAAAATCCACTGAGTAGCAATATGTATTTAGAACAATCTTCCAGGGGAGGCTTTACCTTGAGAATGTATGATGACAGCTAATAGGTATGGAGTTTCTTCTGTGGGGAGAAAATACTCTAAAATTAGAGTGTGGAAATAGTGGTATATCCTGCAAATCTACTAAAAACATCAAATTATACATTTAAATAGGCAAATTGTATGCTTTGTGAATTGCACATCAATAAAGCTATTTAAAAAAGAGTGTATAGAAACAGTATAAAACTAACAGAGAAATAAAAAGCAAAACAGAAACAAACAAACAAAAGTCCCCAGGTCTTAGTGTGGAGATATACCAGACTGAATTGTTCTCTTTTCTTCTGGAGCTCAAAGTCTTGTGGGCAGCTACACATTTGCTAACTCGTCCAATAAACAGAGAGTTTTGCATAGAGAATGAATAGGAGTAGGGCAGTTTGACAGATACTGATAATCACTCCACAAAATACATGCTCATTTTTCCTTTAGCAGTAATCTTCCCTGAGGTTAGCAACTATACTTAGAGGTGTGCTTGCAGCCAGGTTTGGCCCTGGGACTCAGTTCTGGCCAATGGCATGTGAGCGGAGAAAATGGGTATATTTTTTAAGCCATGTCCTTTAGAGGAAGCGCTTTCCTTTTCTCCCCTTGCCATGCACAGGGAAGCCAGCTTCAACCTTGTGAATGGGGTTAACACCATATGGATAGGTTCTGTAGAAGGAATATTTCTGTCCTCCCTAAATGCATATATTGGAACCTAATCACCAATGTGATGGTGTTTGAATATGGGGCCTTTAGAAAGTGATTAGGTCATGAAGGTCAAACCCTCGTGGATGGGACTAGTCAGGACACAGCCAAAAGACAGTCGCCTATCAACCAGGAAGCAGGTCCTCATCAGATGCAGAATTTGCTAGTACACTGGTCTCAGACTTGCAGCCCCCAAAACTGACAGCAATAACCTGTTATAAGCTGCCTCATCTATGGTACTTTGGTATAGCTGCCCAAACAAAGACAATGGGAGTGAATCAAAATAGAAGAAACAGAAGGAGCTTCAGCAAGGCTTAGTTACTGCTTTAGACTGCCTGGCTGCTTATGGACCATTTCATGAGGAAGAAATATATTTCTATTCTGAGTGAGCCTCTGAATTTTGGGTACCTTTGTTATACCTGTTTAGTCAAGAAGCAAGAAGTTGCATTAAAGAAATGAGTTAGGAGAGGTGTCACGAAGGAGAGATTTAAGGAAACCTACAGGATGAAGATGTTACCATAGGGAGTGACAGAAGAGTGATTCCAGGCAGGAGGGTGACATTTGCAAATGCCCTGTGATGGGAAAGAGCTTATAACCTAGGGAACTTTTAGAAGGCCAATATAGCTAACATGTAGCTAACCAATGGGTTGGTATCGGTTGAGTTAAGAAAGGTAGGCTTCTTATTACCCTTCAAATAGGATCCAATTTCAGTTTTATAAAGATCACTCTGGCTGGTGCCTAGATAACTTTGAGGGTCGGGGCGATGATGAAGGGGACGTGTGGAAAGAGCAAGACAAATGACGAGACTGTTGAAACAGGGTAAGAGATGGTGCCAGCCAGGACAAGGGTGGCTTTGAAGGTGGAGTGGAGTGGGCAGATTTGAGTAGGTTTGGGGAGTAAACCTGTTGATGAACTGGATGTGGGGAGAAAGTAAGGAAAGTAAAGAAATCAGAATGACTTTTGAGTTTCCAGCCTAGGCAAATGAGCAAAGGGTGGAGCTAAGAACTGAGGTGAAAGAGAGAGAGAGACGGTTTGCACGTGTCCCCTCAAAAATTCAGGTGCTGGCCGGCAGCGGTGGCTCACACCTGTAATCCCAGCACTTTGGGAGGCCGAGATGGGCGGATCACCTGAGGTCAGGAGTTGGAGAACAGCCTGGCCAACATAGTAAAACTCTGTCTTTACTAAAAATACAAAAATTAACCAGGTGTGTTGGGCACATGCATGTAATCTCAGCTACTTGGGAGGCTGAGGCACAAGAATCGCTTGAATCTGGGAGGTGGAGGTTGCAGTGAGCTGAGATCGTGCCATTGCACTCCTTCCTGGGTGACAGAGCAGGACTCCATCTCAAAAGAAAAAAAAAATTCAAGTGCTGAATCTTGGAGGCTAATGTAATGGTGTTAAAAGGTGGGGCCTTGGCTGGGCGAGGTGGCTCACGCCTGTAATCCCAGCACTTTGGGAGTCCGAGGCGGGCGGATCACGAGGTCAGGAGATCGAGACCATCCTGGCTAACACGGTGAAACCCTGTCTCTACTAAAAATACAAAAAATTAGCCAGGCGTGGTGGTGGGCACCTATAGTCCCAGCTACTGGGGAGGCTGAGGCAGGAGAATGGTGTGAACCTGGGAGGCGGAGCTTGCCGTGAGCTGAGATTGTGTCGCTGCACTCCAGCCTGGTCGACATAGCCAGACTCCATCTCAAAAAAAAAAAAAAAAAAAAAAAGGTGGAGCCTTTAAGAGGTTATTAGGCCATGAGGACTCCTCCCTTGAGAATGGGATTAAGGACCTTAGGACCTTGTAAAAGAGGCTTCATTCACACAGTGTTCAGCTGTCTTGCCCCTCCACCTTCACCATGTGAGGACATGGCCTTCCTTTCCTCCAGAGGATACATCATAAAAGTGCCATCTTGGAAGTGGAGAGCAGCCCTCACCAGACGCCAAACTGGCAGGTGCCTTATCTTGGACTTCCCAGCCTGCAAAACTGTGAGAAATAAATTTCTGTCCTTTCTAAATTGCTATGTAATGGTATGTTGTTGTAACAGCACAAATAGACCAGTAGTTTCTGGTGAGGGGAAAAATTAGAAATTATGTTTTTATTTGCTGAGTATGACTTACTAGCTCTCATCTTGGAAGGTAAGTTTAATTTCCAATTGACTGACATGTAATGTGATCTATAAAAGCCTCACTGGTCACAATCTCTGCTGAGACTTTGCTTTTTTCCAGTTTACCCAGCTAAATCATTTAACTGTTATGCCTAGAAAAGATTTTTATTTCTTATGCACTTTTTAAACTCATTATTTCTACTGGCTTTTTTTTTTTTTTTGTAGACTCCATTGGCATTTTTACATAGACAATTATGTTATCTGCAAATTAAAATACTGTACTTCTCCTTTTCTAAACTAAATGCATTTTATTTCTGTTTTGTTTAGTTTCGTTTTGCCTCTGATTTCACTGGTCAGGACCTCCAGTAAAATGCTAATAGAAATGGTGGAAAGCAGAATCTTGTTCTGTCTCTAATCCTAAGAGAAAGCTATCTGGTCTTTCACCATTAAATCTGGTGTTAACTGTAAGTTTTTTCATACATGCACTTTATCAAGTTGAAAAAGTCATCTTTTATTTCTAGTTATCTTCTGTTTCTAATTTTTGAGAGTTTTTATTTTCAGAAAATGGATATTTTATTTTTAAAAATGCTTTTCCTGTATCCATTGAGATGATCATATGGTTTTCCTCTTTTAGTTTTAGTATGGTGAATTATACTAATGGGTTTTCATCCTTGGATTGCATTTTTTGGATAAGCCCCACTTGATATATTATCCTTTACATATATCATTAGATACAGTAGTTCGAAGTAAGATGCTAACAAATTAAACCCATATATATGAAGAATGTTGGTCTGTAATTTTATTTTCTTGTACTATCCTTGTCTGTTTTTTGATATAAAGGTTAACACTGGCCTCAGCTGGGAAGTATTTCCTCTTCTTCAATTTACTGAAACAATTTGTGTAGGATTATTATTCCTTATTCCTTAGATGTTTGATAGAATTCACCAGAGAAATTATGAATTATGGGGATGGAGCCTTATTTTTTTGAAAAAATTTAAGAATTTGGTTTCTTTAAGAGATACAGGGCTATTCAGGTTGTCTATATCTTCTTCAGTGAGATTTGATAGGTTGTATCTTTTAAACCTGTCAATTTTATTAAAAGTTGTCAAATTTATAGTTCTAAAGTAGTTCATATTTTCCTCTTATTATGCTCTTAAGATCTGTGGATTCTGTACTAACATTACCCCTCTCATACCTGATATTATGGGGTGTGTGTGTGTGTGTGTGTGTGTGTGTGTGTGTAAGATTGTGTTTCTTAGGGCCAGTCTAACTTGATCTCAAAAAACCAGCTTTTGATTTCATTTATTTTCTCCATTTTTTATTCTATTTCATTATTTCTTACTTTGATCTTCATTATGTCCTTTATGCTAGTTACCTTTCTTTTTTTTTAACTGCACTTCTTTTTTCTAGTTTCTTATGGTGGAAGCTGAGTAATTGAGTTGAGACTTTTTTAAATTTTATCATACAGGTACTTAGTGCTACAAAATTTTTCCTAAGTGCTGCCTTAGCAGCATGCCACAGAATTTTAAATGTTGATGTTCATATTCATTAAGTTCAAAATACTTTCTAATTTCTGTTGCACTTTCCTTGTTGACTAATGGGTTATTTAAAAGTATGTTATTTAGTTTTCAAATATTTGAGATTTTTCCAGATATCTTCCTGTCATTGATTATAATTTATTGTGATCAAATAATATACTTAATTTCTAATTTAATTCCATTGTGAGCAAGGAATATACTTTGTTTTTATTTATTTTGATTCAACTGCAGGAAAGGAATACACTTTGTAGGACCTGAGTATTTTAAACATGTTGAGAATTGTTTTATCACCCACAATATAGCCTATATTGGTAACGTTCTGTGTATTCTTGAAAGGAATGTGTGTTCTGAGTTTAGCCGTGGAGAGCCTATACATATCAATCAGAACAAATCTGTTAATAGTGTTGTCAAATCTTTCACAGTCTGATATTCTTTTTGTTTTATAAATTATTGAAAGTGATATTGAAATATCCCACAATAATTTTTGATTTGTCCATTTTCCCTTACAGTTGTATCAGTTTTTGTTTCATGTATTCTGATACTTTGTTATTTGGTGCACAAACATTTAGAATTGTGTCCTCTTGATGGATTTATCTTTTTATTATGTAAAACCTTTTCTCCCCCTAGTAATTTTCCATGTCCTACATCTACTTTGATATTAACATAGCCATTCCAGCTTTCTTTTGACTAGTATTAGCATGATTTATATTTTACCTGTCTACATTTAATATGTTTTCCTGCAGGCAGCATGTAGTTAATCTTCTGTTTTGATTCAGTCTGAAAATTTCTGCCTGTTAATTGAAACATTTAGACAATTTACACTTATATGATTATTGATATTGTTGGGTTTAAAGTTTTTCATCTTGTCATTTTTCTTTTTGATCTATTCTTTGTTTCTTTTAGCCTCTTTTTTTTTTTTTTTTTTTTTTTTTGAGACAGAGTCTTGCTCAGTTCCCCAGGCTGGAGTGCAGTGGTGCAATCTCGGCTCATTGCAACCTCTGCCTCTCAGGCTCAAGTGATTCTCCCACCTCAGCCTCCCAAGTAGCTGGGACTACAGGCAGTCACCACCACGCCCAGCTAATTTTTGTATTTTAGTAAAGATGGAGTTTCACCATGTTGGCCAAGCTGGTCTCGGACTCCTGACCTCAAGTGATTTGCCCGCCTCAGTCTCCCAAAGTGGTGGGATTACAGGCGTGAGCCACTGTGCCCGGACAGTTTAAATAATTTAAAAATATGATACATGTGCTCATTAAGCTATGATTTCTGGTGCTCTCCATTTCATCTGATATCATTTTCTTTCTTCCTGAAGGATTTACTTTAACATTTATTGATTTTGTGTGTGCTGGTGATTAATATCTTCAGCTTTTGTATTTCTGAAGATGTATTTATTTAACTTTGACTTTTTGAAAGATAGTTTACTGAGTATGTTTTAGATTGCTAGCTTTTAATTTTTATTTCAGTTTTTAAAAGTTGTTGTTCCACTTTTTTAAATTGCATTGTTTCTGATAAGAAATCTTCCTTCACCCTTATTTTAGTTTTCCTGGACATAACTTGTCTTTTACCCCTCTGGCTGCTTTTAAAATTTTCTCTTTATCACTGATTTTAAGCAGATGTTTTTTGTGAGTTTGATACTTTTGAGCCAATTTTGATTGTGAGGTAGCTTTCTATAGTTTTCCTTGTGTCTCTTGTAGCAGGGAGACATAGGGTTTCTTGGGTCTGTAAGTATACAACAACTTTCATTAAATTTTTCAAAACAATTGACCACAATTTCTTCAAATACTGTTTCTGCCTTTACCCATCCTCTTCTTCACAGAATCCAGTTACTGCCTCGAGTTGTCCTTTAGTTCACTTAGGCTTTTTTTCTCTCTCTCTGAGTTTTATTTTGATTAGTTTTTATTGCCATAGTTCCAAGTTTACACATCTTTTCTTCTAGGATATCTAATCTGGAAATAATCTCCTCCAATGTATTTTTCATTTTAGACATTATAGATTTAATTTCTAGATGTAGAATGTGAATCTTTTTTTAAAAAATATCTTTTGTCTTTTTGAGTCAAAGTATCTTGTCAAAACTTATGAATATTTGGAGTACAGTTATAACTACCATTTTGATGTCACTGTCTGCTAATTCTAATATCCATAACTGTTTTGGGTCACTTTCAATGTATTAATTATTCTCAATTTGGGTTGTGTTTTCTGGTTTCATTACATGCCTGGTCATGTGTGTATGCTAGTCATTGTGAGTTCACTTTATTGTATAATAGATATTTTTGTATTCCTGTAACTATTCTTGAGATTTTTCTGTGATGTGATGGAGTTGCTTGGAAACAATTTGATCATTTTTTGGTCTTCGTATTTATTATTTATTTCCTAGGCAGGTCTGGAGCAGTGTTTAGTCTAGGGTTTATTATTCCCTACTGTGGAGGCAAGAGCTTCCTGAGGGCTCTACCCAATTCCCTAAGAAGTATGGGTTATAGCTGGGGTAAAAGACATTATTTCTGGTCCTGTGTTGAGTACCAGACAATCTTCCCTTTAATATTTTGGATGATTCTTTCCTTTATTTGGAATCGTTTCTTAAGATGCCTGGGCTGATTAGTACTCTGTTGAATATTCAAGCAGGACCATCTCATGATCTTTGGAGTTTTCTCTAAGTGCAGCTCTTTCCTTTCCAAGATTCTGCCCAGCATACTCTGGCCACCTTGGTTTCCCTGGTTACTCAGCTCAACTCTTCAACTCAGAGTCTTCCAGGCTTTATATGAGATCCCCTTCCCTACACCACAGACTGATGAAGCCCTTTCAAAGATGTAAGCAGGGGCCATGGCAGTCCTATCACCATCATCTTTTCCTCATCTTTCAGGGATCACTCTTTTGTAGTTTGATGCACAGAGTTCTGAAAACCATTTTTCTATGTATTTTTTCTCTTTTTGTTTGTTGGTTTGTTTCAGGTGTTTCAAGGGTTAACCAGGGTAAACCTTGTCAATTTATGTTATCTGGAAGCAGAAGGTACCCTTCCCAATGTTTCATTTAATCTTATCAAAAGTTAACCTTATGCCATTTTACAGGAGAGGAAGGTGAGGCTCACATATGCAACATGACTTTTAAGCTCAAATAGCTTATAAGAGTTACATCCCAGAATTCATCTTAAGTTTGTCTCTTGGAAATAGCTGACTATATGATTTCCTCTTCTCTGAATTTCCTTCACTTAATCTACTCTGGAGGACAGGGAATGGAAAGGGATTAGGGTTGAAAATAAGACCGCAAACTACTCTCTGGAGGCCAATTCCCTGTTCCTTTGGGATGTGAAAATTGAATAAGGGTGGGTATTTGAGCCTATGGTCCAGATACAGGAATCACACCAGTAAGAGTCATTGTTTTCTTTCCTCACAACAATCTTAGTATGTCAAATTGAAAGCATTTTTGAAGATCTTCTGCTTCAGTGGGTCTCAAAGTCAAAAGCAAAACAAATAGAAAACCAAGTCTTCACTGGGGAGGATATCAAAGTCTTGGGTTATAAAGCACAATAGAATTGAGAAAATGCAGAAGAGTGTGAAAAGTAATATGTTCCATTTTTTTTCTTGAGATTCCAGCATGTTCCTTTACCAAGAACAACTTATATCTTGATGTAAACCCTTCAACATAGGGAAATTCATTCTCTCAGAGGGTACAACTATTCTCATTTTTTTGAACACCCCTCTTTCTTCTGTGCATATATTCCATTCAATGTTGGTCTACTGAGAGATGGTTGGGTATATAATGCAGACCCAGACAATTATAACCACATTTCTCCAATTGTGTCAATTAGCCCAGCTTTTACTTCCAAGTCCCAAGCTGGGTCATTCTAATTCTTTTCCAGGACTTTGCTCATGTAGAGCTGAAGAAAAGGAGGTTTTATCTTTTGGGAAACAGAATTGGAAGACATGATCAGGGATATCTTGAAACATGTAAAAGAAACTTGTGTGCAATAGATAAGAATAAGACAAGACCCAGTAGAAACAAAGCCATGAATTAGAGAAGGCTAAGGAGGAGGATAATGCATCAGAAAACAAGACATCAACAGAGTTTAGTCATTTACAATCTCTGTATCCAATAGTACCTGAAGCTGGTATCTGAGGTCAACAGAGTTTAGTCATTTACAATCTCTGTATCCAATAGTACCTGAAGCTGGTACCTGAGGTCAACAGAGTTTAGTCATTTACGATCTCTGTATCCAATAGTACCTGAAGCTGGTACCTGGACTTCCCAACTGCATATTCTAATAAATTGCATTCTATGTCTAATGGTGTGAGTAGGGTTCATGACACATAGAACCAAAAGAGTCCCGATAAATACAGAAAGGAAGTAATTTACCTGATATTAAGACCTTCAGTTGGTAGGTGAGCTGGAATTAGAATTCTACTCATTCTCTTTTAAATACAGCAGGAAGCAAGGGAGAGAATTTAGGACCCTGTTTTTTCACCTTGGAGGGAGCAGTCTCCACCATGCACAAAGGCTGCTAGCAATTTTTTATTATTGTTGGCACATGCATATCAAAACCATAAAAACTTAGTGCCAGGCACATTCTAAAGGTATTACATGATCCTTCCACAACCTGTGAGGAGGATCTTGTTATAATCTCCCTTTAGAAGATAAGGGAATGGAGGCTTGAAGAGGTGAAGTCACATGCCTGAATCCTCAGAACTGGTTAGTGTTGGAGCCAGGATTCTCAAATGAGGGCAGTCTGACCTCCCAGCAATGCTCTTGACCACTTTGCTGTTCTTGTCCTGTGCTTAAATGTCAAGTCCCTTCTGCTTGAGCACCAGATGTGCTCAGGAAGTGATTTTCAACTAGTTGCTGATAGCACAGTTTGGTTTTTCATTCTATACAGGCACTTTCATTCAGAGTTATCACTGAAGAATAAAAGAGCAGGTGGAAGCCACATTTCAGGACAGAGCAAGAGAGAAAGAGGAACACAATTTCCCCCATCCTTTTGTAAATCTGTCTTCCCAGTTTTCATCCGTATGATTTGTTTGTTACATTTGGGATTGTCTATCTAGACTGCTGAGGGTAAATTCTGGTGCTTAAGGGAATACCCTTAACATAAGTTTCAAAAAGATTCACTGTCCCAGCTCAGGTATCATTATAGCAGAATTCTCTTGATAAATCTGTGAATCTGTTTTGCTTGTATATGAAAACAAACTAATAGGCTTTTCCTTTCTTCATATCAAAGCACTTGATTTTATAGAATTCCCAGATGTCCTGATTACAAAATGAAAAAAAGAAAAGCCCTGTGAGGAAAAATTTGGGCTAATGCATTCTTTGTAGGTTTTGGTCTTTGAATGGATCCACCATTCATGACTCAGTAGTATTATGCATGACACTGTAAATGGACAGATGACTTATTGCGTACAGGAGTCTAGGAAATAATTTTCCTATGCCAATTTTTTAGTAAAAAGAAATTTTTGTTAAAAAATAAGTAGACCTCTAACTGTAAAGGAGACCAAATCTAATAAACAAAATGACATAGACATCTCTGGCATTTGTTAAATGGCTTTTGGCTTTTGTCAGCAGTAGGGTTTAGCAAAGTTCTGCTGGGATGGCTGAAGAGAGCTCAGTAGGGGCTGCATGTTTAGACAGGGTGGGGCTGAGAAGCAGTCACAGAAGGCCCACCCTGGGACTGGGCTGTGGGAACAATAAACACAGGGTAGTCTCCTATGTCATAGGAAGGAAGAGACCATCACTGGACTCTTTGGAAGAACGGAACTGCAGGGTCCCCAGGGGCTTTGGGGCTGGTGTCATCTCATCCCTGAGGTCATCATCACACATGTCTTTCTCACACACCAGATGGTCTTGGCCTCGAAGTTGGCAAGCTGAGACCCCTCTTGTCCCAGTTGGCCAATACCTACAGGCTAGATTTGGCAGGATAAAACCACATTTGGAACAGGAGAAGAGAGGAATATTGCCCCAACCTTCTTAGACAGCTTCACTCGGCAGATGGGGAACAGGGAGCCATGGGTCCTTGTATTGGGTCTGCCAGTTCCTTGTCCTGTGAATTTGGGCAAATTCCATTACCTCTTTGAGCCCCAACAGTCTCATCTAAAAAGTGAGCAGCTACAGCTTGAAGGAATCTTAGAGATTATCTAATTAAAGCAGGCTGTAACTGTAAACATGAAGGAAATAGCTAAGGGGCCATTATTCTATTTTCTGTAGAATTTTCAAGAAATTCAGAATTTCCCATGTTTGTTCTTTACCCTCAGGCTGGAAGTAAAGGGGCAAAATGTAGGTTATAGATATAGACAGAACCCCTGATGGATTGGAATCTTCCAGGTGATATCCAAAAGACCATGTGTATTAATATTTCCATAATATTTCTCCTTAAGCCAACTCACTTTTTTCCCAAATAGAAATACATAAAAAGGAATCTTTATATCATTTGCCACAATAAAAATTTTAAAACATTCTATTATTTTCACTGTTTTTTTTTTCATTACCTTCCAATTGGATACTGTCGCCTGCCAAAGGCTCTAGCCTGAAGCCTGTTCTCTCGTTAATGCTTGCTAATCTCCCTTTTTAACAGAGAAGAATTAAAGACACGCTGGGGCTGAGCCAAGAGAGAACTTCCCCTTGATGTAATCAGCAAATAAGAAAGTGAGTCCCTTTTCAATTACATTCAGTCCCTGAGATTTCATTGTTATTTTGTTCATGCACTTATGAAAATCACCTCCAGTACTGCCAGTGGAAACTGGTTCATATTTTTTGCCTTAGAGAATGGGAAATGGAGACTCTCTGATGCCTAGCCAGAGGTCTAGTTCAACAGTTTTATCCTTGATAGGCTGAAATCCATCCTGGCCATTTGAGAAATTTCCTTGCAAGAGGCAGAACCCTGTACTTTTATCACTGCTTGTTTTGGTGCAAGCTTTATACATGCCCTACATAAACATAAATGATTCTCTAATAATTCTGGTACTACCTAATTCTTTCTGGAAAGTGACAGAACAGAAGCCTCAGGAACTAGTACCAAGCATTGCACAAACCATTCCTCTACCATTTGGAACGTCCAAGCTTCTTGTAAACTGGTGAGGTTTATGTTCACACATAGATAGCTACAGAAATCAGGCACTTTCTAACCATAAAAAACATCCCTGAGCAATTCCACGTAAATGTAGAACCAGACAAAACAAAAACCACTAGGGACCTAGGGACAGAAATAAAATTAAAAGGCAGATGGGCCTTGTAGAAAATCTCTGTTGTTCTTTTTTACAAGGACATTTTAAAATCGAGTGTGCCAATGGGCTCTTGAGAAGGAGGATACTGTTAAATGTGTGGATATGACAGGAAATGCTCTTGATAATTGATAAACTGAATATATACAGTAACTCAGGGTCCTGGGTCCTCAGAAAGGGATCACATTTCTTTCTTCTGTGGCTGTTCTCAGATCTGAGGCATCCAGCAGATCACAGAGCTTAGGCTCTATGGTGGGGCCCGGGGTGGGGTCCTGGTTTATAGAGGCCCTTTAGCCCTCATTATCACACGCCTTGCTTCATTTACTTTATCAGAAAGAAAATGGTGGTGGTGGTGGTGGTGAGAATGGCTTAATTAACCACCCGAAATCGTGAGAGACTTTACTCATCACCTCCTTTAACCCTTACTATGATCAAATTATTCAGGTCAAATGATTCTACCTTTACAACAAAGACTCTGAGGCTCAAAGAGATTAAGATGCCTACAGTTGCAGAGAAAGAGCCCCCTGGGATCTGAAGAGGAAGAGGCTCTATAGTCAGAGCCAGGCTTACTCCGTCAGACGTTCTGAAATCTTCAGTCCCTGCAGCCTTCAGAATGATTCTGCCTCCCCCATCCCTCTAAACGCCCTTCATCCTGTGCAACATGAAATATCCAACTGGAGCATTTCAGGATGGAAATGATATGTCTCAAAGACATGTATATCTTACATAGACATACAAACACACACAGCCATACTCTCTAAGACTACATATGTTTGGAGGGAAAGAGTTTAATAGGGTTTCTTAATGGACCTTGAATAAATTGTATGGGGCATTTTTCTCTTCACAGTAACTCAAAGAAATACATGCTGCTTTGAAGATTTTGAGCTTAAAAAAGCTACTTGGCTGGGAACGTCTATTAAAGATGGAAAAAAGAATGCCCACTCTAATTTGACAATTTAGCTAGGGAGTTTGATGTTCTACATGAAGTTAAATTTCTGTAATTTGTCATGATGCCCTAGAAGAATTAGGATCTTCTGGCTACATTTACAACTTGCATTCCTTAACACATTTATTTGTTTGTTTGTTGAGATGAAGTCTCACTCTGTCACCCAGGCTGGAGTGCAGTGGCACGATCTTGGCTCACTGCAGCCTCTGCCTCCCAGGCTCAAGTAATCCTCCCACATCACCCTCCCAAGTAGCTGGGACCACAGGTGTGTGACACCACACCTGGCTACTTTTTTGTATTTTTAGCAGAGAGGAGGTCTCACCACGTTGCCTAGGCTGGTCTCAAACTCATGAACTCAAGTGATCCATCTGCCTCAGCCTCCTGAAGTGCTGGGATTACAGGAGTGAGCCATCATGCCGGGCTTTAATATGTTTTTATTGGGAATCTACAGTGTGCCACATACTAGGGACAGTGTGCCACATGTGAGGGACACCAATTCGAAGGAGCGTTATCGAAAAAGCCTAAGCTGTGTTGGGCACAAGCCTTTGACAGGGAGCTTAACCTAGCCCATGCTTGAGAGAAGGCTTCCCAGAAGACATAATTTTAAAGCTCGCTTCCAGGGAAGAACATAGACAGCATCAAAAGTTCCCAACCTGTGCCTGGCGCAGTAGTTCACGCCTGTAATCCTAGCACTTTAGGAGACCGAGGTGGGCAGATCACTTGAGATCAGGAGTTCGAGACCAGCCTGGCCAACATGGTGAAAACCCATCTCTGCCAAAAACTACAAAAAATTAGCCCTGTGTGGTGGTACGTGCCTGTAGTCCCAGCTACTTGGGAGTCTGAGGTGGGAGAATCGCTTAACTCGGGATGCAGAGGTTGCAGTGAGTCGAGATCATGCCATTGCACTCCAGCCAGGGCAACAGAGTGAGACCCTGTCTCAAAAAAAAAAAAAAAAAAAAAGTTCTCAGCCTGAAGGCATTTTCATTTTCACAACAGGTTTCTTCAGGGATATACATGATTTTCCTTACTAGGGAGAAAACATTTGGAGCAATGAATTTTCTATACTTTACTCTCCTTGTATCTCCTGGTCCTGGCAGATACTAAATGATAAATGCTCTGCTGGATTTATATAATGATTGAGTTTCTTAAATTTTTTTAAAAGTCATGTATTCATTCATTCAACACAAATGTTATACAAAAATCATATTGATATACCTCCAAAGCATATTAGGAATACAATCCAAGTTGGGAAAAAAAGGCGCTTAAATATAACATCATGTTATATATAACATAAAATTTGCCATTTTAGCCATCTTTAAGTGTAAAATTCAGTGGTATTAATTACATTCAGAATATTTTACCATCATCACCACTATCGATTCCCAAGCCTTTTTATTACCCCAAACGGAAACTCTGTAACCATCAAGCAATAACTCTATTCCCCTGCCCCCAGCCCCTCTAAATATACTTTCTGTCTCTATGAAGTTGCCTATTGTAGAAGTTTCATATTAGTGGGATCTTAAATATTGTACTATGAGTTGGCTTATTTCATTTAGCATGATTTTTTTTTCTTTGAGATGGAGGCTCGCTCTGTTGCCCAGGCTGGAGTGCAGTGGTGTGGACTCGGCTCACCACAGCCTCCACCTCCTGGGTTCAAGCGATTCTCCTGTCTCAGCCTCCCGGGTAGCTGTGAATACTGCGTGCACCACCACGCCTGGCTAATTTTTGTATTTTTAGTAGAGATGGGGTTTCACTATGTTGGCCAGGCTGCTCTCAAACTCCTGACCTCGTGGTATGCTCTCCTCAGTCTCCCAAAGTGCTGGGATTACAGGCGTGAGCCAGCGTGCCTGGCCTAGCATGATATTTTCAAAGTTCATTTATGTTGTAGCATGAATCAGAACTTCTTTCCTTCTTATGACTGAATAATATGCCATTCTGCGGATATACTACATTTTGTTTATCCATTCATCTGTTGATAGACAGGTTGTTTTCACCTTTGGCTACCATGAATAAAGTTACAATGAAAGTTGGTGTAGAAGCATATTTTAGTGCCTATTTCCAACTTTCTTGGGTATATACCTAGAAGTGGAATTGCTAGGTCATGTGGTAGTTCTGTTTATCTTTTTCAGGAGCATGCAGACTATTTTCCACATTAGCTATACCATCTTACATTCCTACCAGCAACATACAAAGGTTCTGCCTTCTCCATGTCTTTTTTTTGTGCAGCTATCTTAGTGGGTATGAAATGGCATCTTACTATCATTTTGATTTGCATTTTCCTTATGATGGGTGGTGGTGAGCACCTTTCCATGTGCCTGTTGGCCATTTGTATATCTTATTGGGAGAAATGTTTATTCAAATCCTTTGCCCATTTTAAAGAATCGGCTTGGTTGTCCTTTTGTTGTTGAGTTGTAGTTATTTGTACATTTTGGATATTGAACCCTTACAGATATATGATTTGAAATATTGTCTTTGATCCTGTAAGCTGTCTCTTGACTTTATCGATATTGTCCTTTGGTGGACAAATGTTTTTAGTATTGATGAAGTACAATTTATCTATTTTTTGTTGTTGCTGTTGCTTCTGTTTTTGGTGTCATACATAAGAATCCATTGACAAATCCCATTCGTTTAACTTTGCTTTGAACAAACACATATTGACTGTTTATTCTATGCCTGAAAATGTGCCAGGCATTACAGATAAATAGGCCAGGTGCGGTGGCTCATGCCTGTAATCCCAACACTTTAGGAGGCCTAGGCAGTGGATCACTTGAGGTCAGGAGTTTGAGAACAGCCTGGCCAACATGGTGTAACCCCATCTGTACTAAAAATACAAAAGAAAACAATTATCTGGGTGTGGTGGTAGGTGCCTGTAATCCCAGCTACTTGGGCAGCTGAGGCACGAGAATCACTTCAACCAGGGAGGTGGAGGCTGCAGTGAACCGAGATCGTGCCACCGCACTCCCAGCCTGAGGGACAGAGCAAGACTCTGTCTCAAAAAAAAAAAAAAAAAAAAAAAAAAAAAAAAAGTAAGACAGACAGAAAAATCTCCTATCTCTCATGAAGTTTACATTCCTCTTGCTAAAGGAGACAAATAATAACAATAACAATAATATTAATAAATGGGATAACATTAGATAGTGACAAGTTCTATGATGAAAATAAACACAAAATTAAATCATCATAATACAATATCAGAATATAATGGGATGGTGAGCAATAGGGAAATGGGGAAGAGAAGGTACCTAAATTGGTCAGGGAAGCCCTGTCTGAGGTGTTGCTAGATTAACTGACACTTGAATGGTGAGAAGGGGCCAGTTATTTAAGGATTTGGTGGTGAACACTTTTACACTGTTGGTGGGACTGTAAACTAGTTCAACCATTGTGGAAGTCGGTGTGGCGATTCCTCAGGGATCTTGAACTAGAAATACCACTTGACCCAGCAATCCCATTACTGGATATATACCCAAAGGATTATAAATCATGCTGCTATAAAGACACATGCACACGTATGTTTATTGCGGCATTATTCACAATAGCAAAGACTTGGAACCAACCCAAATGTCCAACAATGATAGATTGGATTAAGAAAATGTGGCACATATGTACCATGGAATACTATGCAGCCATAAAAAATGATGAGTTCATGTCCTTTGTAGGGACATGGATGAAGCTGGAAACCATCATTCTCAGCAAACTATCGCAAGGACAAAAAACCAAACACCGCTTGTTCTCACTCATAGGTGGGAATTGAACAATGAGAACACATGGACACAGGAAAGGGATCATCACACACCGGGGCCTGTTGTGGGGTGGGGGGAGGGGGGAGGGATAGCATTAGGAGATATACTTAATGTTAAATGACGAGTTAATGGGTGCAGCACACCAACATGGCCTATGTATACATATGTAACAAACCTGCACATTGTGCACATGTGCCCTAAAACTTAAAGTATAAAAAAAAAAAGAAGATTTGGGAGAATATTCTCATTGCATGAGAAACCACACACTTAAATCCAGCCCACTTGATCACAGTGGCAGAGCCAAGCTTTGTAGCCATGCTTCCCAGCTTTCTTTTGAAACGAATTGTAGTATGCATTTCAAGATTGATCAGCAAAGTTGAATGGCTTAATATTTTAACAGTAGTGGGAGAAAAGGTAAAGGGAGAAAAAAGGAGGTGATTTATATTTCTTTATGTATCAAATTTCTGGGATCCTTGGTGGCCATGAGGGACTAATCAAATGACATATTAACTTGACCAGTATTTTGACAAGCTGTGCTGGAATGTAGGCTCCCAGATTTACTGAAGATCAATAAACAAATTTTCTCACAGGGTAAGGCGGCAGACAACCCTGATCAGCTATCCTAGAAAGGAATGCAACGCATACATTCCATTCTCCAGACCCAGGACTAGCTACAGTGGGATTTCTCGGTGGCAGAGGAAAAACAAGAAGATACAAGCATCTGGTCTTTGGTGGGCTTGCTGAGAAATATTGGAATGACAGATTGTCTTTTGCAGTCCCTAGTGTTGGATGGCAAACCATGCTGGTGGCTAAGTGTACAAGGCACATTCCACTCTTGCAGGACGATGGGAAGCCAAGCCCATTTTCCAGAGATTTTCTGGACCCCAGACCAAACTCTACTCCTTGGGAAAGCACCACCCAAAAGCAAACACACCCCAAACACACTGCATTCTCCCACAGCACAATTCCCAGAGTTGCATTGCTCAGCACAATCTCAGCTTTTAAAAAACAAAGACTAAGAGAAGACCCTTCTCTAGGGAGAAGAGTTTATTTCTGATTCCCCAGGAATTAGCCTTATTTGGCACTATTTTATAACTCGAGAGACAGAAAAAAAAAGTCTTTTTTTGAGTTTTGATAAATCTTAATCACCATAAATTCCACCACCCCTTCCTGCCCCAAACAGGGAGTTTTAAACCCCAAATTCATTTCTCCAATCTCTAAATGCCATAACATTTCATTCCACTTGGGACTTTTCCACATTCTGCCTCTATTTCTGTGGGGCCTTTTTGTTTTATTTTTTTCAAGATTTCCTTTATTATCGCTCAGCAATGACACCTCTCTCAATATAACAGCTATGTCTTATTCATCTTTGCTTTTCCATAGCACCTACCTACTTGGCACCAATGAGTTCTCAACAGTTTTTTTCTATGGCAGACAAATTTGGTGAATTTGGAAAGTCATCTCATATTTTACATGTGCTTTTACAAGCCTTGTAGTGGCCATTGTTGGTTTATGCATAGCTGTAATAATGTTAGCATTACAACCAACTCTCTGATAAAAATACCAGTTAGATATTTTAGAAAAACAAAATGATGTAAGGTTGTCACATCCCAAAATCTAATTGTACTATTTCATGAGGAGATGAATAAAACTAAATAGAATAATTTTCTTTATAATTTATCATAGAGAAAATTGATGTAACAAATTTATATACTCCCTAATATCTAAAAGCCACAAACATAGCACTGGGTGGAACAAATACAAAAAGGAAAGGTCTCCATTAAAACAGAGTGCTTAGAAAATTAACAGTTTAAGCAATATCTATGCATGAGTGGTAGCACTATGAATTATTGTAAATGGCTATGGCAATAGACATTAAGAATAAAAATGCAGGGATCACATGTCTTTAGTGAAAAAGAAAAAAAAGGAATAACATACTCATTCATTTTGATCCAATTCTTTCTCTCAGGTGAATTAATATTAAGAAAATAATTCAAGGCCAGGAATGGTGCCTCACACCCATAAGCCCAGAACTTTGAGAGGCCAACACAGGAGGATCACTTGAGCCCAGGAGTTTGAGACCATCCTGGGCAAGACAGTGAGACCCCGGTGCTATAAATAATTAAATAATAAATAAATAAATAAGTAAATAAATAAAATAGATAAGGCAATTCTTTACTAATATAGATAGGATTTTAAAATATTTATATAAAAATTAAATTAAAAATTATGTACTTTTTAGGCTTTCAGTGTTTTAAGATCTATATTATAGCTCAGGCAGCTGCTATACCAAACTGGGCTTCAGTCTTATCACTAGAATGTGTAACAGTAAAAATGAAGGCATATTTCATTACTAGTTTAAAAATACAAATAAATATGATTGCAAATAGGTAAAATATGAATACATATAAACAAAAGCCAATATCTTTTAGATTTTGTGCTGAGGTGACTGTATTCAGGAAGCTTGTTAAAATAAGATTAAAAAACAGTTTTCTAAACCATTTTCATAATTTAAAATATAACAAATAAACTGGAAATGACGTAAGGAAGATGCGTGAATAAGAGCTAAGGCTTGTTTGGTAAAATAATAAAGTTTTGCTTTTACGATGTTCATTTTTCTTCCTCCTCTGATCTGAATTGAAGCTTCATGGCTCTATTTTCTAACAGCTAAGAGAAGATCAAACATATTCTTGAAAAGTGGAAACTGTTATCCTCTGAAGGAAAGAAGATCATGATCACGTGCATAAGAGCAGATACCTTCCTTCAGGGATTGTAAAAACAGTTCTAAGGTCTAGAGATTCATTAGCGTAATTTTCTGTAACTTTTGAATTTTATTAGAGAATAGGAAGTATTCCACTAGCTTAGCAACACTCAGATGCTCTAAACTGGAGGATATCCATGTTAATCACTTCTGGAAACCAAAGAAGTAATTTCATCTTTTTAAGAAAAGTAATATTTTCTAAAGAGCCTAGCATCTGGCTGGGCATGGTGGCTCACGTCTGTAATCCCAGAACTTTGGGAGGCTGAGGTGGGTGGATCACGAGGTCAAAAAATCGAGACCATCCTGGCATGGCGGCATGCACCTGTAGTCCCAGTTACTCGGGAGGCTGAGGCAGGAGAATCTCTTGAACTTGTGAGGCGGAGGATACAGTGAGCTGAGATTGTGCCACTCCACTCCAGCCTGGCAACAGAGCAATACTCTTGTCTCCAAAAAAAAAAGAGCCTAGCGTCAATGGTAATATTGTGAGCATATATAATATATAAATGAGTATTGAGACTAATGCAGTTTGTGATTTTGTGCCAAAATAACTCTACATCCTATGTTGATGGTTTTATTAGAAGGCTGATAGTATAGGGGCTGAATGTATCTTGGTTCCAGAGAAGCATTTTATAAAGTCTCCCTGACAGCCATGTATAGAATTATGACATAGGAACTACATGGTAGGACCGCTGGACACAATCACCAATGATGGAGGAGCTCCATCCAGCCAGGGTTGATTAATGACTTCTTGTCAACTTGGTGGGAGGTCTGCAGCAATGTGACATGGGAGCACTCCTGGGACCTGTCCTGTTTTTCCTTTTTATAATCAGTTCCTTGGGTTGAAAGTGTGCTTATCACATTTTCAGCTGACACTAAGTGGGGGAGAGATTGCTAATAGCATAGGTGACAGAACCAAAACACAGTATCAACAGGTAGGAACAATGGACTAAGAGCTAGAAAACAGAATTCAATAAGGAGAAATGATAGTCTTTTGGGGCTAATAGTAAAATCAGTAAGTTTAATACTGGAGACGTCAGATTTGGTTAGGAAGCAGGGAAGAGGGATTTGATTTTTTCACCTATTTTTAGGCTATATGTATCTTCGGAATAATGAAGACATTTAAATAGAAAATCACTGTTTATGTCATGAGATCTGCAGTCCAGCCTTTCTTTGCCTTCCTTTGCATTAGAGTCATCTGGAGGACTGTGTCTATGTGAGAGTCTCATGTTTCAAGAGGTTCATAAAAACACTAGAGAGAAATCAGAAAGATAAACAAAAGAGTGAAAGAAGAGAAAACCAACACGTCCTAGATACTTATTCTGTGCCTGGCACTATCCTGCACTGGGAACTTCATATTTGTTCTCATAAGTCCTATGGCAAGGATACTGTATTCCTCAATTTGTAGATTCAAATAGATAGAGACTCAGAATTTAAGGAACTTGCTCAAAGATTAATGGCTAGCAAAGAGCCAAAGTGAGGTTTGAGTCTAGAACCGTGGTTGCTTAAGCCCAGACTCTACTTTCTCTTTTAGAGAAACCACCCAAATTTAGCATTGCATTCATATCTTTCAAACATTATCACATTATTCTACAGAAGAGGTAACACGTACCTATGTGGCTCTCCAGATACGAGAACCAAGGTCTTTGGTGCAATTTCTTAGGGCAACCAATTTATGCTTCATTTAAGGAAGAGGTTATAATGAGTGGAATTATTCAGCAGTGCAAAGATTTGTTCACATATATCTTGAATTTTCTTTTATTAGAGCTGTTTAAACAGAGATAGAAGATCATCTGTCATAGATATGTGGAAAAGATTCTTTACTCTCTCTTACTGACAGAGAGATCGAACTCAAAGACCTGCACCATCCCTTATAACACTAATGATGTTGAGTCTGTAATCCAAGGCCACAAGAAACTCAACTGTATTCAGAAAGAACGAGTTTGCCAACTTCTCTTCTTTAGTACTGTTAAGCTTCTGCTGTTCAATCCCATGTAGCATTCCAGGTTGCTGGAATTTGGTTTGCAGCTTCATAACTTGGTAACCTGTGACTACAGCTCAGTTACCTGAACCCTCTAGCATGAGTTTTCACGTGTCCACAATGGGGATGATAATAATGTCTTCAAATATTGTGCAAACATTAAATGAAACATTGATTTAAAAATACTAAGCATAATCCCAAGACCATAGCAAAATTACAGTAACTGTTAATTATTGATAGTAATAGTGTTAGGACTATAGTTATGATAAACAGAGTGACTACAGAAGTTTGCTGGGGGTTTACGTTTTCATTTTCTTTGTCTTCTCTCTCTCTCACTCTCTTTTTTTAATGCTTCAAGGATTTCAGGCTATTTAATGAGGCAGTTTGGACCTTGAGTGGACCAGGATTTCTGGGGTGCTGCCTTTCCTGTGACTCTCCTGCACAACTGACCTTAGAATCGAGACAGCGCTGGAAGAGCCCCCATGGTTCTGAGGAGAGAAGGAACACAAGCATGGAAATCCACTTAGTTTCACTTAGTTCAGCAAACAAATCAAGAACCATGAACCCCTTCTTTTTGTCTTCTTGCCATTTTTATTCTTATATGTCTTGTTAATCTTTGATATTTACACATGAGGCATGTTCCTTTTCACATATCATTCAAATAGTTTGGAAGTGTGTAAAATATAAAATAGGAGTCCTTCATCACCCCATATACTCAGTCCCCTCCTCAAGATGCACCTTCACAAATCCTCAATACCCTAAAGGACAGTGTGGTTGAGAATTTGATATGTATCCTTGCAGATGTATTTTTTTCTTCTGTCCAACCACAAAGAGTACCCACTTCACTGTTTCACTTATAGCCCCAACAATCATGTGAAGGGTTACCACTTTCCTTATGATGAATATAAAGATCATAAAGGTAGAGTGAGTGGCATACTGCCGTTATAGGCTGTATGTAGCAGTCAGGGTTGAAACTCTGACCTTGCTGTCTAAATCAGTGGATTCTTACCTCAACACCAGGCTGCCTTGGGGTTGTGAAAACTAGCCTTCTGAATGATGACATTAAAAAATCATTAAAAAAGAATATATGAAATCAAAATTGAATTCATTAATATTGGCCACTGAAGCTTCCACATTTAAGAGAAAACTAATCTTATAAAACTCTGTGAAAAAATATATAATCAAACCTTTTACTATCCAAAAATGTGTCATAATTATTTTCTTTAAAATGGAAGACAAAGCAATAACACTGCTAAATTTTTAAGAGCCAATTTAGACATTTTGGTATCTTATGTTTGGAATGAAGAATGATTTGATACATTCTCAGCTTCTAGCTAGTTTAGTCTTTTCCTACCACCAACTCGTGGGAGGAGTTCAATACACTGCAATTCAGAGGGAAGAAAATGTTTGTCTTTCTTCAAAATACTTCCTTTTTTAGGAGTTGTTTATTTAATAATCAGAATAAGACATTTTTTGCAGGCTTGGCAAGTGGCTACCAGTTTCGAGTTCATTCTGATTTGATTAATTGGACCACAGAGAAGACACGGGAGTAGAACTGACTAGATGTTTCCATTTTTTCGAAACTAAACATTTGGGTGCTGCTGCATTTTTTGCCTGTGTACACGAGACCACAGTGTTGTTATATGCTCTTAAATCCACTGTTGAATTTAGAACATTTCATGTTTTATTTTGTGACGCCTTTCCTTCCTGATGAGTAACCATTTGATTTTAAATTCAGAGCTCACTGTACATGAAATGTGCAGACCTAGGGTGACATGTCTATGACAAGTCCTCAGTGTGGCTAACAGGCTCTCCCATCTGTCACAGGATGACATGTGGTCAGGTTATACAGACTGGAGTTTCCCAGGCAACCGAGTCATGCCCTATGGGGATTCCTTGGGAAGTTGAAAAAAGAAGTTGGAGATGAGAGGTCTGGAGCCACCACGTCTCCTAGCCATTGTTTGCTTTCTTTTGTCTTTTCTCCTGCATTCCCCATGGTCATTCTCACCAGAGTCTCCAATGTGGGGAATACAATCCATTTCTGGTGCTCCAGAACGTTCTTGGGGGCACACAGAATTTTTAAAAACTGTAATAGTTTGACACTTTAGACTGTTCTTATAGTCACATTAGATAAAATCATTTTAAAGTTTGTAAAGTGAATCATAAATATAAGTAATGTAAGTTACATAAATAGAAGTAAATAGTTCAGGTGGTATTTGGCAAAACAAACAAAACTGAGGTCAGCACACAAGCCATTGGACTCGGTTTCCAAAATCTCTGCTATTCTAGTTTTTTTCTTTTCTGAAAATTCCCATTGTTTTTCTTATTTCTTAACAACAACAATAGTAATGATACCTAAAATTGAAAGCTTCTTAAGCTGATAAGCAACTTCAGCAAAGTCTCAGGATTCAAAATCAATGTGCAGAAATCACAAGCATTACTATACAGCAACAACAGACAAGCAGAGAGCCAAATCATGAATGAACTCCCATTCACAATTGCAACAAAGAGAACCAAATACCTAGGAATACAGCTAACAAGGGAGGTGAAGGACCTCTTCAAAGAGAACTGGAAACCACTGCTCAAGGAAATCAGAGAGGACACAAACAGACAGAAAAAGAATCCATGCTCATGGATAGGAAGAATCAATATCATGAAAATGGCCATACTGCCCAAAGCAATGTATAGATTCAATGCTATTCCTATTTTCTTTCAAATTCACAAAATGTGTATATATCTAATTATATGATCTTCTGTTACTATTTTTTTTTAACAAGGAGGAAGAGTTATTTGTTGGCTAGAGGGAGAGACTTATAAAATTGCCCCCCAGTTCATGTTAAGAGAGCTTAGTCTGGAGTCATATAAGCCTTTTTGTTAATCTCAGTTTCATCATTCCCTAATCTACTGGCCTTGGGTTAGCGGCCTTGGATTATCTGATCTTTTTGTACCTCAGTTTCTTTCTCCACAAAATGAGGAGAGCAACAGTACCTTCCCTGTAGAATTACTGTAAGGATTAAATGGCTACTGCATAAAAAAGGCTTAGCATGGTTCCCAGCACACAATGTAAGCACCCGATAAATTCTAGTTATTGTATGTTCTTCTCATTATCATCATGTTTCTAAGATGCTACTAGTCACACAATACATTCTTTTTCACAGTGGTTAACATGTGAAGAGAAGCATATTTCAGAATGATGGTGCATGATATCTCTATACTGAGATTTTGGAGCCATTATAAATACTGTCAGATTGCATTATTCATTAGTATTATCCTTTTTAATTTATGAGATTCCAGGCAATATCCTTGGTTCCGTGACTTCCTCCAAAGTAGAGCCAACTCATGCCTGTTGACTGGGAACACGTTGGCATTAATCTTCAAGTCATTGTTTAAGAGATGACATTTATGACATGCCACTCCCATGTTCTCAGAGGGTCAAGCAAAGAGAAAGTGAAATTCCTTGAATCAATCCTAAGAAAATATTTATTTCTATCCAAAGATGCAATAGTGTCATCAATTGTTCTTTATGTTTGTTTTCTAGTAACAACCCTGGTTTTTAAAATTGTTACATTTCAGCCATTAAATGGATAGGCACTCAATAAAATACAATGACAATAGCTCTCAGGTCACTCTCATTACTATTTCTTTTTTAATCCATGCAGATGTCTGATGCTAATTAAAATGTTAGTATAAAGAGAAGGCTGGTTAGGCTGATGGACCCAAGTGTTTGCAATGAGAGGTCCCTCTTACTTTTGCTGGGTTCACATAAACCAGAATGTATGAGTTCAAGGTTACTTCCAACCTCCTAGAAACACCTCATTTGTCCAGTCATGTTGGTGTCTCTTATAACTTTTGATATTTTTTGCCTTTTTAACTGTGTCGTAAAAGTGCATAGGGAGATGATAGCTCTAAGAGATGAGGTCTCTCAAACTAATATGGACTTTTAAAAATTGTAAGTGTAGGCAGGGTGAAAAAGTTCAGTGGAGAAATTGCAAAATCCATCCTGAGATGTGTAACACAGGGTAATACAGGGTTGCTTTTACTTCCCTAGAGAAAAGGAACACAACACAGATTGTCTAATCTGTCTTAAAAAAAAATCATGCCTTAATATTTCCCATTTCTTTGATGAGATAGAGGCTTAAAATTCATGCTCCAGGTTACTCCATGAAATGCATAACTCACACGTACGCCGTCTACTCCGCCCTGACTCCATTACTCTTAATACAAATGGGATTTCAGAAAAAATAATTATATGAGAAAGGAGATAGTTACCATTTATTCAACCAATGATTTATTCATTCATGACTCCCATAAATAACATTAAGAGCCAGCCTTGTGCCATCCACAGAGTAATAATTGCTAAGTTCACTGAGCATTTGCTAAGTGTCAAATATTACATTATTTAATCCGCATAGTACATACATGAGATATGAACCACCTTCTTTCCATTTTACAGACAGGGAACTGAGGCTTGGAGGAATAAGAAACTTGTTGAGATGGCAGAGCCAGACCTTGAATCCAATACAGTCTCTTTCACTCTTATTTTTTCATCCTTTTCCCTCCTTCTCTTCTTTCTTCTTCATGTTATTATAAAAAAATTTTATTGCACTTCTGCTACACGAGTCACAGGTACTGGAGTCCCTCCAGGCTGATCCTGAGACCTGTTGTCTTCTCACTTCAGACTTTCTTTGTAAGCTTCAACCCTGAGACTTAGCTGTGTGAGTCATGCCACATTTTGATATCTTCAGCCCAAACCTTTTCTCTGAGATCCTATTCTAATCTTACATCTTTAAATCTCAAGGGCCGCTAAAACTCAACATTTTAAAAACTTAACTCTGTGTGTCTCACCACCCACCCTGTCCGAAACCTGACGCTTTTCAGAGATGTTACCTCATTGAATAGTTTCCCCATTCCTCCAGGCATGCAAGCCAGAAATGAGACCCATCCTTGTCACCTTTGTCACTCTCACCTGGGACCTGTGATAGACTCTTCCCAAGACCTTGTAATTCCTTCGATGTCTTGAATCTCCCCCTCCACTATGCTGGTCTCCCCTATCTCATCTCTGGCCTGAACAACTGCAATGCCCTCCCAACAGTCCTCTTCCAATCCATTCTCCATGCATCAACCAGAATGGGATTTTTCCAAATGCCATTTGCTCCCATTGCCCCTCCCCCATCTTCAAACTCTCTAATGGTGGCCAGGCATGGTGGCTCACACCTGTAATCCCAGCACTTTGGGAGGCTGAGGCAGGCGGATCATGAGGTCAGGAGTTCGAGACCAGCCTGACTAACGTGGTGAAACCCCGTCTCTACTAAAAATACAAAAATTAGCTGGGCGTGGTGGTGCACACCTGTAATCCCAGCTACTCAGGAGGCTGAGGCAAGAGAATTGCTTGAACCCAGGAGGGGGAGGTTGCAGTGAGCCAATATCACACCACTGTACTCCAGCCTGGGCGGCAGAGTGAGACTGTCTAAAAAAAAACAAAAACAAAAACAAAAAAAAACTTCAATGGTTGCCTATTGATCTTACAATAAAGATCAACATTTTTAACATGACTCCAAGTATCTTTTAATCATCCTGTCTCATAATTCTATGCCCTTTGATTCCTCTACTCTGGCCACCCTGATCTTGTCAGTTGAGTGAGACATTTTCACCCAGATGCAAGGTCTTGGCATGTGCTGTTCCCTTTGCCTGAAAAAGCCACCTCCATTCCAAATTTTACCAATGTAATTTCTATGCTTCCTTTATATCTCAACTTAAGTATAATTTCCAAACTTAAGTTTTCCTTAATCTTGCATACCGGATCAGGTCTTTTGGTATTGTTATTTAAGAAACTTTATTTTAGGCTGGGCACGGTGGCTCATGCTTGTAATCCCAGCACTTTGGGAGGCCAAGGCAGGTGGATCACTTGAGGTTAGGTATTCAAGACCAGCCTGGCCAACATGGTGAAACCTCATCTCCACTAAAAATACAAAAATTAGCTGTGCAAGATGGCGCATGCCTGTAATCCCAGCTACTCAGGAGGCTGAGGCATGAAAATCGCTTGAACCTAGGAGGCAGAAGTTGCAGTGAGCCAAGATCGTGCCACTGCATTCTAACTTGGGCAACAGAGTGAGCCTCTGTCTTAAAAAAGGAAAAAATAAATAAATAAACCTTATTTTATTCAAAGCAGCTTAAATAATTAGTACTTATGTACTTATTTGTGTGTTTATTTAATATCAGTTCTCTTGACTAAGAGGTAAGCTCATGAGAACAAGAACCATGTCTGTTTTTATTTACCATTACATCCTCCAATGCCTAACGTAGATCCTAGTACATAGTAGTATTTCAATAAGTATTTAGGCAAATACATTGTGATAAAGCATGTGTCTTAGTCTGTTTGTGTTGCTATAAAGGAATACCCAAGGCTGGGTACTTTATAACAGGGGTCCCTAACCCCTGGGCCATGGATCAGTACCTGTCTGTGATCTGTTAGGAACTGGGCCGCACAGCAGGAGGTGAGCAGTGGGTGAGTGAAGCTTCATCTGTATTTATAGTTGCTCCCCATCGCTCTCATTACCACCTGAGCTCTGCCTCCTGTCAGATAAGCAGCGGTATTAGATTCTCATAGGAACACAAACTATGTTGTGATCTGTGCATGTAAGGGAAATAGGTTGTACACTCCTTAAGAGAATCTAATGCCTGATTGGTCACTGTCTCCTATCATCCCCAGATGGAACAGTCTAGTTGCAGGAAAAGAAGTTCAGGGCTCCCATTCATCCTACATTATGGCGAACTATATAATTATTTCATTATATGTTACAATGTAATCGTAATAGAAATAAAGTGTACAACAAATGTAATGCACTTGAATCATCCCAAAACCCTCATCCTGCCCCTAATCTGTAGAAAAATTGTCTTTCATGAAACTGGTCCCTAGTGTCAAAAAGGTTGGGAACTGCTGCTTTATAAGGAAAAGAAGTTCATTTGGCTCATGATTCCGCAGGCTGTACAAACAGCATGGCACCAGCATCTGCTTCTGGTGAGAGCCTCAGCCTGTTTCCACTCATGGTGGAAGGGGAAGGGGGACTGGTATGTGCAGAGATCTCATGAAGAGAGAGGGGACAAAGATGAGTGAGGGGATAGTCTTTCTAATAATCAGCTCTTGCAGGAACTAAGAAAGTAAGAATTCACTCATTAGCATGAGAAGGGCACCAAGACATTCACGAGGGATCCACCCCCATGACCAACACACCTCCCAATAAGCCCCGATCAATTTTCAACATGAGATTTGGGGGATAAATATCCAAACTATAGCAGCATGACAGGATTATTCTATAACTAAGCAAACTTTTGTGTTCTACTTACTTGTGAACAACAACAAGCACCACCTTTGTCTCTAGAGCAGGGATTCTCAAACTTTAGTGGTGATCAGAACCTCCTGCTGAACTTGTTAAAACAGAGCACTGGGTCCTACCCCCAGAGTTCCTGATTCGGAAGGTGTGGACTGAATGTATCGCAACTCTGCATGTTTAATGAGTTTCCTGGTGATGCCGATGCTGCTGGTCTGGGAACCACACTTTGAGAACGACTGTACTAGTCCATATGGAGTTTCAAAGGTCAGTCCCTACATCTCTGTGTTCCAACATTTTTGAGAAATCACCACTTCCTCATCACCACACTAGTCACAGCCTTGGATGCTCCAGGAAATGGACAGGCCTGCCCTTTCCTTGGTAGTTTCTAGACCTAGGAGAAGCTTCAGTATTTCCACAATTGTGTGTGGCACTGCTCAGGAATCCAGTTTCCAGCAGCAATTTGCCGAGCAGTAATTCTCCTGATTTTCAGCAGGGATAAGTGCCTGCAACTGAAAATAAAATGGGGAGGGAAAATGAGGAGGCTTAGGTTTCAAATGTCTTTCACTGAGGAATTAATTTTAAAGAGACACATAACAATAAAACATGAAATGAGTCCAGACACCATCATTCAGGGCAAGCTTTACTCTCTGAAACTGGCACTGTGCCAGCCTGGAGCCAGGTGCCTCTCTTGGATCTGAGTCAAGTGCCCTGTGGCCACCTATGAAGCACTCAGGTAGGATCCTGAAAGCCCCTCACCTCCAGCTGCCCGCTCGATCACTATTTCAGGTCCTGCCAGAGGACTCCCAGCTGGCTGGCCAGGGTCCAGCAGCTCAGGCTGGCTCCTTCCATCATCTGTGCTGCTGTAAGGAGGACAGGCAGGACCGTCAGGACATGAGAAGGCTATTGGACTCCCTTGTTTGCTTGCAGCTCACCTCAGAGAGGTATTGTTTACACATGATTACAGTGTTTATAGCTTATGATCTCAGGACTAGTGGCTGCAGAAAGAAACACGAGGGCCAGACAATCAACAGTGAGATCCAGGTTTTGATATCAAACAAAACAAAATAATAGGACATTTTTGGCAGGGAGGTGGGGTGGAATGGAAGAAGATCAACTGTACAGAGAGGGGCATTTATAACATGTCCTGAAAGCTGATGAGCTCACTGGTTTTAAGCTAATTCTACAAAGTGGGCCTCAGGTGCAACTCAGAGGGCAGGCAGGTGATGTGCTGTTTGCCCAAAGGGCATGTGTTTGAGTACATGCATGTCTAGTTGAATTGAAAGCAGAGGATTTGTGCTTGTTTTATCCAACATTTAAAAGTGCCTGGTGTGGTGGCCATGAAGATGTGCCTCATAAACATTCAACTACGGGGTGGGTAATTGACCAAGGGCACAGGCCACACTTCTAGTGGATGGCCCCTAGCCAGTGAGCAGTGAGTGTGTGTAGCAGAGTTACTAAGGCAGACTCATTTCTTTCTTATTGTTTTTTTTTTTTCGAAATGGATTCTCACTCTGTTGCCCAGGCTGGAGTGCAGTGATCCAATCTCGGCTCACTGCAACGTCTGCCTCCTGGGTTCAAGTGATTCTCCTGCCTCAGCTTCCCGAGTAGCTGGGATTACAGGTGCCTGTCACCATGCTCAGCTAATTTTTTGTATTTTTAGTAGAGACAGGGTTTTACCACGTTGGACAGGCTGGTCTCAAATTTCTGACCTCAAGTGATCTGCCCACCTCTGCCTCCCAAAGTGCTGGGATTACAGGCATGAGCCACTGCATCCAGCCAGGCAGACATATTTCTAAGAGACACGGGACTCCTCTAATGTGGCTTGAGTCCTTTTCTGTGGCTTCTAGAACCTTCCTTCTACTGCACGGATGTCTAAGTTGAGTTAGAAGTCTAAGTGTAAGTTGAGTCTAAGTCTATGGCTCAGTGTACCCATTTCCATTTTTTCCCTCTCTCCTTCACTTGGGGTCATGCCCACCCACATTATGATCTGACGAGTTTCCCAGCCTTTCCAGCTCCTTCCCTACTTCTTTTTGCAGACATTTTCCCTAAGATCCTTGCATGTTTAATCCTGGTAATATGAGAAGGCACAGAACATTCTTTACTTGTGTGAAGATATAGAAACATTTACTGAAAAGAGGTGGATAGAGATTCTAAGAAATTATTTTGTCAATTGATCCAGGGTCTCATCAACATCATCTACCAGGATTCTTGCTCTGTTTTCTTCCATTCATCAAGTTTGCCTCTGTCCAACATACACATGCTCACTCTCCTGCAGAGGGTCTTCAAGAAAGTTTCATCATCTCTGGGGAATAATTTGGCTTCTAAATCCCCTGCAATCATGGCTGCTTTTTAAACTTCCTTATCACTCACCTCAAGTGACAATCTGGCATCTCTAAATCAGCTACAGTGTTGGGATCATTAAATACACCAAACAAGATAGCTTAAATAATCTTTTTAACAGCCCTATGACACAGATAGTATGATTCCCAATTGCTTTTAAGCTGGCAGGCAATTGTGTATAGTGGTTATGAATCAAGGAAACATAAATCAAATGTTGTGTTGCCTTGGGAAAGTTACCCAATCATTCTGAGCTTACCCTCTACCATTTGTTTAAAAAGGAAGAGTGAGGGGAGAAGTAGACAGTAACACTGTAGGGTGACTGTAAAGATTATATAAATGAATATTGTATATGTGGAGTTGATGTAGGAGGCTACATCCTTTAATGCTTACCGGGTATTTACTATGATTATCACAAAAATAATTACAGTAAGAAAACATGGGTGGGCATGGTGGCTCATGCCTGTAATCACAGCACTTTGGGAGGCCAAGGCAGGCCAGTCACTTGAGGCCAGAGTATGAGAGCAGCATGGCCAACATGGTGAAACCCTGTCTCCACCAAAAATACAAAAATCAGCTGGGTATTATGATGCATGCTTGTAATCCCAGCTACTTGGGTGGCTGAGGCACAAGAACTTCTTGCACCCAGGAGGTGGAGGTTGCAGTGAGCTGAGATCACACTACTGCATTCCAGCCTGGGCAACAGAGCAAGAGTTGAACATTCTCAAATGTCTTGGAGAGGGGGAAAAAAAAACCAGGCACAAGGTATTTCCATCCCTTAGCACAAGATGTGACACATACATAGTACTTAATATTTGTGAAATGAAAAACCTTAAGTATTAAAGTTTCTCAATCTTGGCATAATTGACACTTTGGGCCAAATAAATTTTTCTTGGGGGGGTTCTGTCCTGTGAAGTGCAGAAGGTTGAGCAGCATCCTTGATCTCTGCACACGATATCCCAACAACAACCCCCAGCCTAGTTGTGATGATCAATAATGTCTCCAGACATTGCCATATGTTCCCTGGGTGGAGAATGTCCCCAGTAAAGAACCACCATTAAAGATAGTGTGTACATAGCTCCTGGATCTCAGAGTCTTGAAGTCCAGCAGAGAAGTCATTCTACTTTATTTTAATTTTTGCTTTAATTTTCTATGTCCTGTGACAGAGTTTGAAGAGCCCTATGGATGTTCAAAGAGCACAAGGAAGGTTTATAAATCCATACTGGAGAAGTTAGGAATGGTTTGGAAGGCTTCCCATGAAGAAATCTGAGCTCAGGCTGATGCCAAATTGAGTGCTTCTCAAATTATGACCTATAGAATTGACCTTTCATTGGTTACATTTATAAATAGACCCACTGGGTCAATCTGAACCCATTTTGAGAAGACTGGGCTTGGTTTCACTCCAGCTCCATGGTGGAGAGAATGCATTCCAGCTTTCACATTTTAGAAATTGACAACAACAGCAATTTTTTGTGTTAAGCTGAAGCTGATGATTAACGTTTCTGCCTTTTCAGGGAAATGACACCCTTGATAGCCATGAAGTAATTCATCTCTTCTCAGCTGCTGGTCACTTGGGGGAACTGGGCAAGCAGAATGGGGGGCTGAGATGCCCTCTGTCAGTTATTCTGTTCTACTGAGGAATGAGCCAAGGAATTAACAATCTTTTATTTCTTCAGAGCACATTAATAAGTTATTTGATATGCTCAGATAGGTCTGGAACCGAATGGGATGGAGGCTAAATAGTTCTGCACATAAAATAGGGAAAAGGGAGAGGAAGGGGAGTCTCTGGGGAATACAGAGACTCAGGAAACATGGTGGGTGGTCAGTTGACTTGTAAGAAACGGGATATCTAATACTCATTTTAAGTTGGTTTCCACCTGTGTAATGCAAACCTCATTCTATGATGGGGATGGTTGCCCAACATCATGAATGCACTTAATGCCACTGAATTCTACACTTTCAAATGTCTAAGATGGTCAATTTTATGTGACATGTATTTTACCACGATAAAATAAAACCAGTGTGAGTTTTCAAAATTTAACAACAGCCAAACACATGCGTGCATGCACACACATACGTGCATGCCTTCCTTGAGTGGTTTGGGACAAACTAAAGGAGCTACCTTCTATGTCTGGGTTGATGTAGGACAGAGGAAAGAACAGTGGAAAGTTAGGGTGGGTGAACATGAGGAAGCAGATCCCTAGGATGTCACTCAAGTCCTGGCAAGGATGCTAGACTTCCTACACTATATGGGATTAGGGATCACATTGATGGTGTTCACATTTCAAGGGACAGGATGAACTCAGCTGTCCTCTGGCTTATATAGAAGGATTAAAAAAAAAAAAAAAGATTCAGCTGAGATGGGAGAATCGTCTAAACCTTGGAGGTTCAGGCCGCAGTGAGCCAAGATTGCATACCACACTCCAGCCTGGGCAACTGGAGTGAGACCCTGTCTTAAAAAACAAACAAACAAAAAAAGAAACAAAACATGAGATTCAAGGAGACTGCATTTTGTGCTCTAGCCTGGAGTTTATCAACAATCATTTACATATTTATATTACCTGTCTCAGAGGGCTGTTGTAAGGGTCAAAGGAGTTAGCTATTCCAATTTAATACATACCAACTTATATTACTCCATGCTACCTTTTCACATACTATTAATGGTTTATTTTACATTGTGTTACATCCCTTTGATGGTTGTTGGCTTTGATTTTTGCTCTCTAAGGTTTTTTTTCCTTCGTAAATTTTCTCCTCCCGCTGGCATGTCTTGATTTCTGCTTCCTTTAACTCCTTTTCCCTAGAATTTAAGCATATACATGCCATTTTGGGTCAGGCTTGTGACTGGCAACGGGGATAGCCCATGTGAACTGTGAAGGTACTTTTTTCATGTAATTCTGACTATTAGGGATGACTTCCAAACCCATTTCCACTGAGGTGTTTTCTGGTCAAGCCTTCAGGGATGGCTATACAGACATCTGTTGGCAGTTTCCTGGAGTACAAGGGGCTTCTCTTCCTACATTAGAGCACCTAGAAACCTGAAATGACTGCTGGCATGACTGGGGGTGGTTCACACCCACTGGTCCAATGCCTCAGGCTACCCAATAAAGAACGGGGAGATGAACCTAGCATGTGTTTCTAGAATACAACAGACTCAGATCTAGTTTCATATTCTACCATTGCCTCTTATCCAAATTATGTCAGCTGGTAATTACTTCTTTGCACATTAGACAGTCTTGCTTTCATTTTCCAGATTAGAAAACTAATTTGATGCTTATTTTCCTTAAATGGTAATGTAAAATTTGGCCCCATTCCAGGGAAGCAATCAATGAATGAGAGTATGTTTAATCGTTATCACTACTCTTCATTTCTAAACCGAACTAGGGTCTCTCTCCCCTACTATGGAACTTTCTGAGATATAGTCATGCCTTGTCTTGCTTCTATTTTCCTGGTTCTACATTATCAATGAAAGTTAAGATACCCTTCATATGTAAAGCTGAATTCTAAATTGTAGTGCTTGTGAAAAGATAAGGCCTTCCAAATGTAACATTTAGCAGGTGGAATCACCAGGTCTGTGAGTGATAGCATGCATAAAATTTTAATTAGAATAAAAAGCATTTAGGCAACAGGTATTTATCGGGCACCTAACATTTGCAAGGTATAAGACAAATCATACCTGGACTCCAAAACCATGCTCTTTTGACTTCACTGTTCTGTGTCTACACATGGATGAGGAATACAGATGAAAAAAGAATCTGACAGACTTAGGTCATCATCCTGGCTCTGCCTCCTTGCTCTGTGACCTCAGCCAGTGATCTCACCTATCAGTGAGCCCCAGTTTCCTTATCTATTAAAGTGGATGAGTAATAACCCCCTTACGGTGTTGGTGGAGGATTGAAGGATTGGGGACCCTATGGAACATGAGTCCCCATTTCCTTTCCCCATTATATGGTGCAGATGTTGCTACTGCTTATCATAGCTTAGTAGCCCCATGACAAAGGGACATCCAAATTTTTGCTAAGTGCATTACGTTACACTCCTTTAATGGATTATGTCCCAGCCATTAATGATAATTGTTCAGGGAATCTTAACATCTGCAACATATTCCATATATAGTACTAGTCAAGGTAGAACACAAAAGTATACACAATGCATTCTCAACTATGTAAAACAGTGTTTACAGAAGGAAGATATACCACATCATGTTCACTCTGGTTATTTCTGAGGGGTGGATGAATGGCTGCGGAGTTACTTTTTTTTTTTTTTAAGAGACAGAGGCTGGGTGCGGTGGCTCACTCCTATAATCCCAGCACTTTAGGAGGCCGAGGTGGGCAGATCACCTGAGGTCGGGAGTTCCAGACCAGCCTGACCAACATGGAGAAATCCTGTCTCTACTAAAAATACAAAATTAGCTGGGCATGGTGGTGCATGCCTCTAATCCTAGCTACTCGGGAGACTGAGGCAGGAGAATTGCTTGAACCCGAGAGATGGAGGTTGCACTGAGCCAAGATTGCGCCATTGCACTCCATCCTGGGCAACAAGAGTGAAACTCCATTTCAATTTAAAAAAAGAGACAGGGTCTCACTATGCTGCCCAGGCTGGTCTCAAACTCCTGGGCTCAAGGGATCCTCCTGCCTTGGCCTCCCACAGTGGTAGGATTACAGGCATGAGCCACAGCACCTGAGCCATTCTTAGTCTCTCATTATACTTTTCTGTGTTTTTCAATGTTTTCAGGAAGAGCTTGTATTGATTTTGTCATAAAAAGCAAATACTTATTACTATTTTAAGTGAAGAAATATCTAAAATCCTTCCATATTAAGCCTACTAGTCGATTCTATAGTGTATGTGACAATTTATTTGTTTTTTAGGGGTGGAGAAGGGGAAAGTTGCTTTTGTTTCCTCTTTATTCTGTTTTTGTCTTCTTTATGTGCTTTTAAACAAAATAAACATTTCATAATTAAAGCAGTATGCTCAAAGCTGTGTGTTTGTGAGAGATCTTTCATTTACTATACAGTTAACTCACTGGGCAAAGCAATATTTAGGCAATTCTGAAGTGTTTCTTTATGTTATAGAGGGTAAGGGGGAGGGAGGCATTTCAATTGTAATGATTTTCCTCTATGTCATTTAGCAATTTTCCAGGACTATTTCATTATGGCCGTGCTGGGCCATTTGAGGTACCTGCTCTCTAATCAGCCCTGGCTGACTTCCAGTCAGCCTGGGCGGAAACTCACTAGGCACAGGGTTTAATTGGGGCCACCCACCACGGAAGCGCTTCTCCCCTTTGTCCAGAGAGATGGAAGCTCTTAATGTAGTACACATAAAAACATCCAATAGTGCAGAGCAGGCACAAGCAGGCTCTGATGTCCCAAGGCTGCTGTTATGTCCCAGTTCAATGTTAGCTTTTCAGACTTTTCCAAAGGGCTCCTCTCCTCTCAGGGACAATGTAAAATGCGAGACACTCCATCCAATCACAGGGGACGGTGGGACCCTGCAGAAAGAGAGCAATATAAAGTACTAGGTTGCTCTCTGGACACAACCCTTATGTTTGCAACCTCTCTAAATAGATCCCAGACTGCTTTAAAAATAAGACACATGTCCCTCCCCACTCCATCTCTTCTACTATTCTCCCTCTGGCACCTTGGATTCCTTAAATTAATTCCTTGTAAAAGCCAGTTGAGTTCCAATAATTAGTTTTAAATGATCTGCCTCTTGAAATTGTGCCTTGCAGTCTTGTGGAAACACCAGTCTCACGCGTGGTGGGGGCCAAGTCACTATGCAGCTCTTGGAAACAAATTGCCTGTGTAATAGGGTGCAGCTTCACACGGCACTCTCAGCAGGATGGTGACTGCGTAACTGGGTAGACAGGGTGTCCAGAGGCCAGATCGTGGTGGGTGTTTTGGGTGATGCAGAAAGTCAAGGGAGTTGCAACCTGTTTGTGTGCTTATAATGGGAAATGTTTAATTTGGATGTGAATGCAGCATCTGCAAGCCTCCTATTAGCTGTGCTTCGTGGGATCCCATAGCCAGCATCCTAGGAGTAAACAGTGTACTTGCTCTGCTCCACCCCCACCACATCGGGCGGAGGGATAAAGGAGACAGAGAGAATGGTAACAAGGCTACTACTTAACAAATGCTTAATGTGGCATTTCACCTGATGATCATGATCCCCACATCCATGTGAGACAGCACTATTATTTTCACCATCATGTAGAGAGGGAAACTGAAGGTTACTGAGGGCAGGGGACTCTCCGAGTGCATCCTGTTACTGTCAAGTTTCTGTGTGACTCTACAACAGCATTTCTCAGACATTAATGTGTGCACACACTCACCTGGGGGTCTGGCTCCAATGCAGGAAGCAGTAGGTCACCTGAGACTTTGCATATCTAATGTGCTCCCAGGTGACGCTGCTGTTGATGGTCTGGGGACTACATGCTGATCACAGAGAGGCTAGATGATGGTTGGTTCTCATCTGGCTGGCTCTTATATTCACCTGGAGCCAGAGGGCTTTAAAAAGAATTCCAATGTGCATTCAGACCCATTAACTCAGTATCTCCGGGGGCAGGACTTGCTCAATGAGCACCAAGGTTGAGAAGATCTGCTAAGGTGGGGAATTGTATGGCTAAATAGGTGAGGGCAAGTCTCAAGGCACTTAGACTTATTTGAACAACAACAATAATGTACAGTTTAGTTTAAAAGGGAAGGAGAAAAAGAAACCACTGTGTATTGGAGAGTGAGAGATGGAATGAAAATGAGGAAAAAACTGGGGAATGAGGGAAGGAATAAAAACAAATAAAATCTCTGGACATAGTTGATAGGCAGGTATGGAACCTGCTTGGTCATGGAAGTTCTCCCTTATGGGGTGCAGGAATAGTAGTAAGATTCCATAGTTGGTGTTGGCTTAAGGGGTGGTTCAAAGTGCCTGTTTCAACAGCCTGGATTGTTTTCCTTCTGCGCAATGAGGTTTCAATTTAACATATTATCAAGCATGTATGTGCTAGCCCTTAGTATTAGAAACAAAGATGGCAATGACATCTCCCTGCTCTAAACAGCTGACACAGCAGCATTAGTTGGGTTGGTGGTCACGGCCTCTATTGTACTGTCTCATTTTTATGACAGAGACCATAGGGGAATGGTGGGTTATTATGGGGACACTTGGAGGTGTGCTTAATCCAGCCTAGCTCAGCCAGGGTGGTCAGGGAAGTCTGCCTGGATGAGACAATTCCTTTTTTGAGTCTTTAAGGGTGGCAGATGCTAATGGTCAGAAATAAGGTAATTGCAACGAGTATGGAGAGGAACAGAGTCATTGAGAAAGCATGATTAGGTGACTCCTTACACCCCCCATATCCTAGGATGACTCCCAAGCTTCCCAGTTTGGGATTCTGGGCATATGGACAATAGCCGATGACCTATGCTTGGTGCCTTATCAAGTTTAAGGTGCCTCCGAATTCATTTAGTTAAAAATGCTCTGTAAGTGGTAGGGAATAAGTGTCTAGAGCTTGGCACAGAAATTTAGGCTGAAATAATAGACCTGGGACTCATCAGCAGATCAGATGGGCCCTGATTGCTCAGGAAAAGAGGAGATTACCTTGTGAGAAAAAATGAAGGATAAGGACCAAAGTCTGAAGCCCAATATTTAAGAGACAAAAAGGTCAAAAAAAATTTATCAGTAAAAATTAAAAAAAAGAGGCGTGGGGGGAACTCAGAAAAACAGGACAAAGTAATGACCTGGAAGCTATGGAGGTAAGAGGGTTTCAAAAAACAGGCAGTGGTCATTAGTTTCAAATGCTACAATGATTTAAAGATTAGCATGGGTTCTCTTTCTCTAGCATTTTTAATGGTTCTCTCTGAGTGAAAGGAGAAAGGTCTACATCTCTCTATTTCTATTCATTTATTCATAAACTTTATTGCACTTTTATTTAGAAGAACATGTGACTGGGGACAGAAGCCAGATTGCAGGTTGTTGAGAATGAATGTTAATTGACAAAGGATATAATGTACTTATCTTCACCTTCACAGCCAAGCCTTTTGAAAGAGCCCCCGGAGACAGTGTGAGTACATGGAAAGGATGCATGTAAATGGAAGAAAAAAGCAGAATTGGTAGCTTAGAAATTGTAATGCAGTTCATAGAAGTAGGTGGACTGAATCTTTGCTCCTATTTAGTTCCCCAATCTAAGATGAGAAAAGGCCTGGCTGGGTGCTGTAGCTCATGCCTGTAATCCTAGCACTTTGGGAGGCTGAGACGAGCATATTGTCTGAGCTCAGAAGTTCGAGACCAGCCTGGGCAACATGGTGAAACCTGGTCTCTACTAAAATACAAAAAATCAGCTGGGTTTGGTGGCGGGTGCCTGTAATCCCAGCTACTCAGGAGGCTGAGGCATGAGAATTGCTTGAACCTGGGAGGCAGAGGTTGCAGTGAGCTGAGATGGTGCCACTGCACTCCAACCTGGGTGACAAAGTGAAACTGTCTCAAAAAAAAAAAAAAAAAAGAAAAGAAAAGGGCTAAGGAGATGGCAACCCATGCTGGGCATGATGAATGGCTGTATCCTGCCTTGAGGTGAGCTAAAATGAAATCCAGTAGGTCTTAGGCTTCTTCATTCTGTCCCCACAAGACTTTATTAGCCCAGAGGGCTGCTCTTTTCCTAATTTTCATAGCTTCCAACTTTTGGTCACGTTTTTTGTGCCTATGCAATAGGGAACATCATTTTCTAATGCTCACCCAGTCACTGTTTCTGGGAATTGCAATTCTGAAATCAAATGGGCAATATCAGGGCTCAGACTGAAGTATTCACCTCTACACAAGAGTTCACAGCCTTAGGAAGGGATTGGCTACAGGAATAAGAATCAAAGGAAAGTTAAGAAAGAGGAAGAACACTACCATTCATTGAGCAGTAGTGGTTGAGGATTTGCATTAGACACTTTACGTATGTTGCCTTATTCAATCCTCATGAAAATAAATAGATGTGAGGTAGGCATTGCTCCCCTGTGTTAGAGATGGCCATGCTAAGACTTCATGTTTAACATCACATAGTAAAAGTACTGACAACTTTCAATGAAAGAAATAGAAATGCAACAGACTAATATAAAGGGGGAAATAGGGTTGGAGAAAGATTTCTTGGCTTAACTGGTGGTGATTTCAAGGATCAAAGGAGAAGAGACAGAAATATTGGCCTCAGACTGGAACTTGTGTATTTTCCTTTCTTTTCTACTTTTATCTGTATTTTCTTTTTGCAGCTCAGGAGGACAGCCAACAACTCCAGGTTTAAATCCCTTTATTCTTTCTGCTATATTTTGCTTCCTCCACGAATAAGAAATGAGTCAAAAGCATCCAAAAGCTTTAAGTCCTATTGACTAGGAGGTGTTGCTGGCATTCAAGTGCAAGTACTGTGGGTCATAATTCTTGGTTTGTGATAATATTTAGTTACATCAGAAATCCTGACCCACTTAATGGAAATACTTATAGGGATGCCCAAGAATGTGTATTTCTAACCATGTTCTGGGTGTTCTTGATTAGCAGTAGTACCCAATCCTTGCTGTTCCAGGACAAAGGCTTAGTGGGGCCAAGATGGTGTTAGAGATGAGAGTTTGAGAATCGTTGGGGCAGACATCTGAGCTTGTTCATGATGGGCTCATGATAGTGGAAAAGAAGGAGAAAATACTCCATGTAAACAAAAGTTATTTGCCTTTCTTAGGCAGCCTGATATTTTCCAGAGCTTTTACAAAGAATATATACCACTGTTCACTGTGCAGAGAGGTCAGAACTTGGCCTCCAGTTCACTTGTGGAAATTAGAAGTCTAGTTCTAATTCTACCTCTTCAGCCTCTGGCAAGCATGCTACTTTTAATAGTAGGGCTTGGGAAACGACTAAAAATAGACCAAAGAAAGCAAGCCCATGCAGCCAGAGTACAAAGAAACAGAGAAAATGAGATGAGCAGAGAAAACCTTATCAGATAGATAAGTCAGACAAGCACAGGTTTTAAAGGGAAGAAATGGATACCAACGTCCTCAGAAAGTTAAGCAGAAGAATAAATAGCAGGTGAAGGAGAGCAGTTGGTAATTGCTAAATTGTGTGTGATGATGGATCTATTTATAAAACTATTTAAACTAAGGGGTTCTGCTTCCTGTATTGTTGCTAATAAGTAAACAGAAGTTTGTTTCCTGTCACTCGTTTGAATTTCATTCTTTGTGTGGCAAAATAAACTCTTTATCTTTCTGGATGGTTATCTCTGGAGGGAAAACAGTTAGGACCTGCTGCTCTGTTCTCTTTCACCTCCTCTCTCTCCTCCCCATTGTTTTTGAGGTCTGGGTTGCTAACTGGACTGCATTTCTGAGACATTGACCAGAAAGTAGCCCTTAGGTCTTAGGCCTTCAAGGAGGTAAATCCATTTCCATCTCTCTCTTTTCCTTTTGGCTACTGTGTTGAAATAAGTTAAGCCTTGTGTTCTATTTTACCCTCTTCTAGGTTTAGATGTGTGACTATGGACATCTATCTCTTTGGACATCAAAATGTTTTCTACAGGAAAGTACTGGACACCCGTTCAGTAAGACCCAGCCCACTGTTTGATGCAGCTTTGAGCAGCTAGAGGAGGAAGAGTTTCCCTCTACTCGCTGACGGAAAAGGAGAGGAGCAAATAAGGAGTTAGTCAGTCATAGCACAGAAAGTCAACTGCACCGGAAGAGGCAGTAAGTGTTTCTTACTTTCCATGGAAGGGATGTTTGCATCTTCATGAATCCAGGGACAAAGGAAAGTGAGTAAGCAACGTGGTTTGCCATTTATTTTTTGATCTGTCTAGGAGGAGGCAAGTATCTTAATGTTATTTGGCAAAAAAAATAAAAATAAAAATAAAAATAAAAAAATAAAAAAGCTTATGTCAGTAGAAAAAGAAAATCAATGCCTAGAACTGTACCATTGATTTTAAAGGAAGAGAAAGGAGGAATATTTTTCGTGGTTAAGAGTGAAACACTGTGATCTCTCTATCTCAAATTTCCCCCCATTCCTCCCTCCCTCCCTCCCTCCCTCTGCTCCTCTTACAAACATTTATGAATGTCTGTTACGTGGCATATTCTGGGCTACGTCTGACAGAATACAACACATCAGCGATGAGCTCTGCCCCCCCATATCCCCATTAGTTTATTGCAAACTTCAGATAGCCATTGTAGTGTCCTAGATTTATCATTTTAAAATCAGGTAAGACTGACATTCCCAAGTAACTTAAAAGCTACTTTGCAGTTTATAACTCCAAGACTGGAGCATGGGCTCATGATTCTCTGTCACCATCTAGAGACAATTTATACATATTGCAGGGCCAGTTCCTGGAAAACTACGTATAAAATCATCCCAGAAGTTATGGCTTTGCAAGTATTTATCAGCCCTAAAAAAGAGACTAGACATCTACAAATGAATGGAACTGCAAGTTTTTATCTTCCAGGTCTAGAACTATGCAAGAAATGAGTCTCAGTTTCTGTGCCCAATCATGGAGGACTTGAATCTGTGGAGAGCAAAGATTGACTGGGGTATGGAAGAAGAGCTGTAAAATCAGTTAAGGATAAACTACTTACATTAGGTTCAAGAGGAGCCCTCTAGACTCTCAAAAAAAAATGGGCACTCAACAAAAAAATGTCACAGAATAGGACTGGGAATCTGTACTATTTATCCAGGTTCTCACCTAGGGGAATTTTACCCACCAGGAAACATTTGGAAATCTCACAACATTTTGTTGCATTTTGGGGGCTGCTACTGGCATTTAGTGAAGTAGAGGCCAGAAATGCTGCTAAACATCCTATGTTTATAATGTACAGGATGATAGCCCCTACCACAAATGATTATCCAGCCCAAATCTCAGTACTGCTGAGATTGAGAAATTCCACAATTGAGCATAGAGCATAGTTAAGGGTTGTTCTCCGAGACTTCAGCCCTGACCATGGCAAGTAACCTATATTGTTAGCCCTAAAAGAGGAGGATCAGAAAAATATGGACAATTTCATGCAAATGTATCTTAATGGAGAGACACAAATCAGGGCCATGGTTATTTTTAGCTGAGTGTGGACAAGCCCTTCACCCTCCAGGTTCCGTCAGTGTTCACCTGATGATGTCGCTGACAGTGCTGTCAATCCCAGTCTCCTGTTTTATTCAGTCCGTTGCTTGGTGATGTGACCTCCAGCAGTGTTTTACTGCATGTCTTTGATGTCCAGTTTCCTCTTGTGTCCAGTTCTTCATGGAATCATATGAAGCACTTAAGTCACTTGTGTCTGAATCACCCACAAGTGCTTACTACAAATGCATGCTTGGGCCCTACACCAAATCCATGGAATCAGAATCACAGTGCTTCATGGCCTGGAAATCTGCATTTTTAAGCTAGCATTACAGGTGATTTTGACGTATATTCAAGTTTGACACAGGATGTATGAAATAACAGAAATACACCATCACTTCTTAAAGTCCACTTATAATGTGCTTTGAAAAATATATTCACTTACCCCTCAGGCTATCCTTTTGATGTAGCATGTTGATTCCTATTTTACAGATTATAAAACAGAGGCCACAGAGCTTAACCAGATTAAGTAGGGAAACCCAAATGATTTGTTTAGCCCTGATGTTCTGTGAGGCTTAGCTTCATGTTCCTTAGGCAGACACATCACCTTCTCTGCCGCTACAGCCTGGGTTTACCTCTTCCCAGCTGCATTCCATAAAACCGACTATGTGTATTGAGCTATCACTTAATCGAGGCTTGACATAGACCTCATGTTAACTACTTCAGTACCCACAGGACTGAGCAGAGTAATACATCTACTTCCACTACCACTACCCTGGTCCAAGCAAGACACTGTCATTGTACCCCTTCATGCCAGCAACAGCTGCGTGGTTTGTTTCTCTCTGACCCTGCCTCAGCTCGTCCAATCCCTACACTCGCTCAAAAAATGGTTCACATTTTTTTATTATTGGATATGATGTTGCCTCCTACACATACACAAACCCACATTCATTTAAATCTAATGGTTTCCAACATGCTTCGCCCCAGCTTACAAGGTCCAGCTGACCCAGCAACTGCTGTGTTTGCTTCTTCCTCTGGCCTGTAACACTTTTCACGTGGCAATCACTTAACTACCTTGAGACCTTCACTTATGCTGTGCCCCCTGTCCTAACATGCAAGATCCTACTCCCCTCTTCCCTTATAAAACCGATCCACTCTCTCTGGCCTTATTTTAAGTGTCAGCTCCTAACAGATGCCTTGCACGTGTATGTATGCGTGTGTGTGTGTATATATATGTGTGTGTGTATATATACACCCACACACACACACACACACACACACACACACACACATCTTATCCCATCTAAATTAGATTCTGCTGCCATCTAATTTAGGAGACTATTCTTTTCCTTTTTAGTATTTGTGTTCATTTTGCTTCTATTACCGTTGTCGAGCTATCCAATCAGATTCGTTTCCACTGGCCCGTGAGACTGTATTTTGTTCACCTCTGCAAACAGGGATCAAAGGATCAAATAAATGTCTTGAGTAAACGAACAGGCACACAGCAAACTGGATGCACATTCCTAGTGATGGCGTGCGCTGTTTGTTATAACTGATTTCTGTGGGTTTGGGTATCTGGGGCCAAGATTCAATCTCGAAGAGTGGGAAGCACGGTCACGTCAAGAAGAGAGAGAGAGATCCGGGAGAAGAGGGAGGCCCCCGCGTGCCATGAGTTTTTACATGCTGCAGACAGTGACAGCTCATTGTTCTGGTCCTCCCGGCTGCCTCAGATTTGCTGACTCTGGGAAGCTAGGTCAGCTTGTGCGCATCTGAGCCTCCTTTTCCTCATCTTTATCAAGGAATTAATAATTCCCACCTGAAAAAGGTAGGGCCTGAGGCAAATGCGATACAGCAGGGGATAGCTCCCAGCACTTAGGAGGTGTTGAGGACGCTATCTTGACTCTTTGCCAGAAGAGTTGAAAATGAGAAGTCTGCACAGGCAGCGAAAAAGTCGCGCCACTCACCTGAGCCTTTCGTCTTCCGAACTCATCTCCCAGTGCGCTTAAATTACGTTTTCCAAGCCTGACCCTGGGCGCTCCCCTCCTTCTCATGGCGGTCGGTCCCTCCCTCCCTATCACTCCCACCCAGCCTCCCCGCCCCCTTCGCCCCCTCCCTCAGAGCTGGAGCCGGGAATCCCACGCCCTTGCACCAGCCCGGGGGCTCGGACGAGCCCGGGAGCCGCTGGTCGCCAATCACCGCGCGGTGGAGAGGCGGGCGCTCGGCTCCGGCGCGCTGGGGGAGCCAGCTGGCGCTGTCTTCCCCATCGCCTCAGACGCTCACACCGACACAGACAGACGCACAGACGGGCGGGCAGACACCGACAGTCTCCCAACCGTTTGCGCTCCAGTCCCGGCCCAGGGAGCCCCCCGTACCCTCTGGGGTGCCGCAAACTGCAGCTCGGCAGGCCCGCGCCGGGAGAAGGGAGGGCGCGCAGGCGGCCGGAGGAGGGGAGGTCCCAGCGCGCCCCCGCTGCGATGTGAACGGCGGCGGCTCTCACCTGGAGCCGCACCTGGGGCGCCGAGCTCCGGGGCCGCGGAAAGAATGCGCGCCGCCCGTGCGCTCCGCCTGCCGCGTCTGGCCACCCGCAGCCGCCGCGTCCGCACCTGACCATGGAGTGCGCCCTCCTGCTCGCGTGTGCCTTCCCGGCTGCGGGTTCGGGCCCGCCGAGGGGCCTGGCGGGACTGGGGCGCGTGGCCAAGGCAGGTGCCGCCGAGCGGAGCTCCGAGAGCGGGTGGCAGGGGGCGCCCGACGCCAGCCCCGCCGCGCCCCTCACGCGCGATGTCACCTTTTCTCTTGCAGGCGCTCCAGCTGTGCTGCCTCTGCTGTGCGTCGGTCGCCGCGGCCTTAGCCAGTGACAGCAGCAGCGGCGCCAGCGGATTAAATGATGGTTCGTATTTGCCCCCCATCCCCAAGAAGGGCCTTTCGCAGCACTTTGACCCTTCCTTCCCCCAAAGAGAGAAAAGATGGAAAAGCGCACCCCCTAACCTGGCAGGTGTGCGCTGTCTTGGAAATGGTTCCTGTTTGGAGAGGGGGGAAGGTTGGCAAGGACTGAACTTATCAAAAGAATCAACGCCCCGAGCTGCAAGTCACATAAAAGCAAATACTCTCCCTCCTTCACAGGTGGCTTGTTAAGAAGAACAAGAAAAAAAAAAAAATCCTAACTGCAGTGAGAAATTCGAAGGGAAGTGGACATTAACTAAGGAATTACTTATTTCCTCCCTCTCCTAACTCTTGTTGGGGGAAGCTAATTCTTAGTGGGAGATGAAAGAATGTGAGCCTCTTTCCTCTCTCCATCTTTCCTCATTTTTCTCTCGACTTCTGTTCCTTTTCTATCTCTTCTTTTTTTTTCATTTCTGCTTCCCTTGTTTTACGGATGTCTAAGGCTGCTTTTAGAGAGAGGAAAGCAGGTGACTTCAGGTCTCTGAGTCCTTTATCTATCTTTTCTGACGTTCGCCAGCCACAAACTTCCAGAAAATCCCTCACTTCTGACATTTATTAACTTCCCAGTGGAGCCCAGAGGGAAATCCTTGTTTTGATTGTTTCCCATCAGCTACAGGAGAACAGCTGATTCCTGACGCAAGGTGTCTAGGAAAACCTTACAGCTCAACCTGGATTCTTTAGAATTCTGTAATTTTTAGTTTTGCAAGGTTATCTCCTTTTCTTGTCAGGGGAATGGGGAGTGGGGCAGGATGGAGTCATGGAGAAGGGATTCACCTTTTGTCCAAACAGAGAGGCTGCAGTTTCTAAAACCACCCCTCATTCTTATATCAGGATCAGATGGCTGGAGGCCACGTCCGACCCAGCCACAACCTTGTAAGGACCTCACCCTTACTCACCTCCTGAAGTGGTCAATCAGAGATCACTCTTTACAGGGGACACTGACTGCCCTTCTTCCATCAAGAACCGAATGTAACCGACAGCCTGTTATTCTCCCCTTGGAAACAAGCTGGTAGCAGGTGTCTGGGGCCGTTTGATGGCTGGTTCCATAGAAGGCTGGCTGGATAACGTTCCTACAGAGCCTTCCAAGTAAGAGCAGGCAGAGTTTCAGATGATTTGGGACAAGAAGGTGAGACACAGACTTCCTGCATATGTCAGGAATCTTTTTCATAGTTAAGTTTTAGTTTGACAGAAGGAGAAGGTAGACTTTCTCTAAGAAATTGCACATAATCAAGAGCCACATCCCTTTAAAGCAATGTATCAGATTTTTAAGAGAAGAAAAATATTGTATGTCTGGCTCAGATTTTCAAGGTTAAGAGAGGGGAAAAACTTTTCCCCCCATTATTGTAAAATATGTATGTCAATTATACAGCATTTTTAGTTAAAGGAGGGAGTCAAGAAGAAAAATGGGAGTGGGAGGACATAAAGAATATAAAAATGAAAGCTGCCCAAGGAATAAGTCACAGATGGTTCATAAACAGAAGAAAATTATTGTCTATTGTGGAGAATTCTTTTTTAATGTGAGCCTAATTAGGCCATCACTCATTGATCTTTGCTAGCTACAGGGGCTCCACTATTCCTTAGTTTTTTTTTTTTTATTGGAGGAGGGGGAAGGTTGTTGACTGTTTAGGGAAAAGAGAAATTTCTCTTCCTTTTCCTCCTCCAGTAACTGGGGACCCAAGTGACTCAAACATACCTCGTCATTATTCAACAGCTTTCTAAACACTTTCCAAAGTAGTTTCCCATTCTGTGCCTTGAAAGTGGAAATGCAGGCTGTTTTTTAATGCACAGAGGGCATATTCCAAATCATTTTGTGGGATGATGCTTTTCAGCTTCAATGTTTGGTGAAAGAAAACAGTGTGCTGGCTTTGCTTTTCAAATAGCAAATTGTATTTTAGCTCCTCCTCTTTGGAACATTCAGCAATTAGTACTGCTCTAGGGAGCAGTGGTGAAGGTATTTTTAAACATGCCTTTCCAGGTGTCCCCTGATCTGACACTCCCCCACCAACATGCCTGAGCAATTTTATACATCAGACTATATAGGAGGGTTCTGACAATTTTGAGGCATTTTTGTGCATGCACTGTATTTTATGCTTACAATTAAATGGGATCATCCCTGTGAAAGCTCACAGTAAAATGCTAAGGGTGATACAAGTGCTGGAGTTTTCTTATCACACATAAATAATATTGGAAAAATGAAAATGCTGTTGCTTGTTAATGATCTGAAATATCATCTGAGGCTACCCCACACTGTGAGTTAGGACTTGAAATGTAAACTCTGCCTCTGCCAAAATGTTCCCGATTCAGTTTAAGCACAGAGAAATTAACCTCCTTGAAGAAATTTCCCGATTTTGTAGTTTTATGTTTATTAACTTTATCTTCAAAAAAATTAAATTTTATATATATGAATGGTTCTGTGGCCAATATTATAAAAGGCCCAGACCATTAAACATCAAAAGAATGTTCTAAATCTCTCTCCAGACAATGAGAGGTGTTACATTTTTCCACAGACATCCATGAAATTCATCAAAATTGTGCTTGGCTTTCGGGCACCTGTAGAAATGACTGTGGCCGAGTTAGTTGTAGAGACAGGTCTTCTGCTGCCTGTGCTGCTCTGAATTATATTTGATCTAGGTGCAAGGCAATAGGAACAAAGATATCTTTGAGCTTTGTGTTGCTCTTTGCCAGCTTGCTGGAAAGAGACCATTTGGAATTGTGGGCTCTGGGTGCTGACAGCTGAACTTTTCCCATTGCAGATTACGTCTTTGTCACGCCAGTAGAAGTAGACTCAGCCGGGTCATATATTTCACACGACATTTTGCACAACGGCAGGAAAAAGCGATCGGCGCAGAATGCCAGAAGCTCCCTGCACTACCGATTTTCAGCATTTGGACAGGAACTGCACTTAGAACTTAAGCCCTCGGCGATTTTGAGCAGTCACTTTATTGTCCAGGTACTTGGAAAAGATGGTGCTTCAGAGACTCAGAAACCCGAGGTGCAGCAATGCTTCTATCAGGGATTTATCAGAAATGACAGCTCCTCCTCTGTCGCTGTGTCTACGTGTGCTGGCTTGGTAAGTACACCCCAGTCTGAGTTGAGCTCCCTCTTTCGTGTTTTGTGTAACTTGAATGAACAGATGTCTGCAATATAAATGCTCTTCCAGCCAACTCCACACATTCACACTGTCAGCCTTGATACTTCTAATATTCTCAATTGAATTAATCTAATGTGCTCCCAGAAAAAGAAAATATAATAGAACTTTAATTACCATTTAGAACAATCTTTTGATGTTTAATGGTCTGGGACTTTTCATTCTCCATGTTTGAGATGATCCCCAAGGAAATTAACTTGATGGATGCCATTCGCTTTGTAATGTCCCGGGAGACCAGGCATTCTATAAATCTAACAAGCTTCATGCGTCTACATGGCTTTGAAATGGGAAAACTGTATTTCAATGCGAAATTGCATTCAGCAGCACTGGTAAGATCAACCTTCACTTTGCTGAAGGGAGGCCTTTTGTCTTCTTTGAACTAATCTGTTGCTGGTGTCCTGCTCACATAAGACATCCTTTTAGAATGTGGGGTGCTGTGTTCCTGGGCTGGCAGGATTAAATGTGGCATTCAGGGAAGCAGAACCTTTTAAAAGCATTTGGGACCAGTGTTATTTCCTCCCTATGTAATCCTCATCTGCTGAGCACCAGGCCAAGAATATCAGTGTAAATGATACTCTTCTCAGGATTCAATCAAATATACGAGGCGGTAAATGTTGTTCTGGGTTGATTTCATTCTGTGTTGTGATTGAGAAGTGTCTTGAATTGACAGAAGAGTTTGTGTGTGTTGAGACACATGGTGATTGTGCTCTGGCATGGCCAGAAGAAGGAAAATGTGAGAAAGCCCAAGTGAGGATGTAGTGAGTAATGTACATGGTACATCATGGCACAAAGCAAGAGGGGTGGCTTGGGTACGGGTGAATGCGGACTCCCATGTTCTTTGTTAGTTGAAACTTTCAGTTACTTTTTAATTTTTTCCCCCTATTATGGCCTGAAATTTAGCTAAAACCTTTCATTACAACCACAATCACGGTATTCTTTCTTTGGTCTATTTAAAATGATGAACATGGCTCACCATTGACCTATATATTATAACATGGTTACATGCCCCTGTGTGTGCACACATGACTATATCTTGTTTTTTTGTTTGTTTGTTTGTTTGTTTGTTTTGTTGTGGCACATCTCCTTCTCTTTACTTAGCATCCCCTTTGTATTTCTCTTTCTTCTGTCTATTCCGGTGTCCTAAAGGAGGAGTTTACACAACCCACCGTAGTGGCTTAAACTATCCCATTCCACATACCAGTAGTTGAAAGCAGTCTGCCCAGGTTCTAATTCTCAGACCAGCATTTACTCATAGGACCTTAGACAAATTGTTTAACTCTGTGTTAAGTAGAGTTAACTATGCCTTAGTTTCTTTATTTCTAAGATGGGAATAACAAGAGTTTACATCACAGGGCAGTGGGGATTCAATTATTTCTTATGTGGAAAGTGCCATAGCAGTTCCTGGCAGGGAATAATTTCTCTATAGCTGTTCTATTTTCAGCAAAATTTAGCCTCCTCATGTTTAGCACTCTCAGGACTTCACTCTGTGAGTGATGGGAAATCTTATCAATTGTCTCAAATTAATAATCTCATAGTAATAGATTAATATTATCAAAATTTCACATGAGTAGAATCATAAAATTTTTCTGTATGAAGATTTCATGATGTTTTTATCCATTTTTTTTTAAAACTTTTAGGTTCAGGGGTACAAGTGAAGGTTTGTCACGTGGGTGAACTCATGTCACAAGGGTTTGTTGTACAGATTATTTCATCACCCAGATATTAAGCCCAGTACCCAATGGTTATCTTTTCTGTTCCTCTATCTTCTCCGACCCTCCACCCCCAAGTAGACCTCAGTGTCTATTGTTCCCTTCTTTGTGTTCATGAGTTCTCATCATTTAGCTCCCACTTATAAGTGAGAACGTGGGATTTGAATTTCTCCTCCTGCGTTAGTTTGCTAATGATAATAGCCTTGCTCTCCATCCACGTTCCTGCAAAAGACCTGATCTCGTTTATTTTTATGGTTGCATAGTATTCCATGGTGTATATGTACCACATTTTCTTCATCCACTCTGTCATTGATGGGCATTTAGGTTGATTCCATGTCCTTGCTATGGTGAATAGTGCAGCAATAAACATTCACATGCATGTGTCTTTATGGTAGAATGGTTTATGTTCTTCTCATACCTAGTACTGGGACTGCTAGGTTGAATGGTATTTCTGCTTTTAGCTCTTTGAAAAATTGCCATACTGCTTTCCACAATGGTTGAACTAATTTACACCCCCACCAGCAGTTTGGGGCTGTTATGACTGAACATTCTTGTATATGCATTTTGATGAACGTATGGACACATTCTGTTGGATACATGCCTAAGAATAAAGTTGTTGAGTCACAGAGTATGTATAAATTGAGTTATTCCTTATCTGAAATGTTTGGGACCAGAAGTGTTGTGGATTTTCAATTTGGGGAGGATTTTGGAATATTTGCAGAATATATTCTGGTTGAGCATCTCTAATGCAAAAAATCTGAAATGCTCCAATAAGGATTTTCTTTGAGTGTCATATCAGTACTCAAAAGTTTCAGATTTTGGAGCATTTCAGATTTCAAATTTTTGGATTAGGGGTACTCAACTTGTATATGTTCAGCTTTAATGAGTACTGACAAGCAGCTTTTCAAAGTGGTTGTACTAATTTAAACTCTCATCACCAGTGTATGAGAGTTCCAGTTGCTCCAAATCCTCCTGAAGACTTGATATTGCCTATTTTTCCATTTTAGCTGTTCTGATTGATAGTTGTGAAGTAGTACCACATTATGGGTGTAGTTTGCATTGTTCTGATGGTTAATGAAATTGAAAGCACTTTTTTGTTTACATTTTCTTAGACATTGCTCAGCTTCTTTGGTTAATCAGGGGTTCATAACTCCTCTGAAATTAATTAGCATCTATAGTAATAGATTCAGAATCATAGATGATTCAAGAGTTCAGAAAAGGAACAAGCCTTTAACAGGCTTGTTGGAGAGACTCATCGAGTTAACATGCCAGGAGAGACAGCCACCCTTCTCCTATTAATACAGAGACCGAGAAGAGATGAATGAGACTGGGAGATGAAACTTTTTCACCTGAAGTTTATATATCAGTGTTTCTCTGAGTGGGGCCAGACCACTGGCCTTAGGGTCCTTTTGGATGTGGTAGCAATTTTCTAGTGTGCATGCAGTGTATATTAGGAAAGCGATGTCACCTTTAAATGATTTGACAAAGTACTAATAGGAATCTACCATTATCTTGTCTGCTAGAGAAGTCCCCAAAGAAAGTGGAAAATGGTAGAATGGTTATAATAGTGAATACGTATGTACGTACATACATATAAGCAGACATGCGTGCATACATACTCCAGCTAAAATTTTGCTAGCAGACTGTTAGCCTTAATAATTCAGAATTAACCTGTTTGAAATATTTGTAATAATTTCTTAAAATGCACCCACCTCCCCTGCCAACTCACAGGTCTCCCTTTATTCCAGAATTGAGGTAGTTGTTACTTACTTGGAATAATTCATTCATGAAACAGGGGTTGCACACTTCCCTGAGTAAAAACTGCCTACTGTTATGTTTAGAGATGATTGTTTTAAAATTTTGAATGCTTTTATAGGGTAACCTAGAAAAGCTCACCCCTGTTTTTTATACCAGGTGGCCTTATAATCTGTGAAGGTGCTAGGATTTGCAGCCTTTGTCCCAGAATCTCAGAGGTACAGATTAACCTAATCTAATGGTGATCTGCCATGTCTGTCCTTTCTACTATATCCAGCCTCCCTCTGACTAGCACAGTGATGAGAAAGTCATTACATCCAGCAAGCCATGACATTGGTGGAGACTCTTCATCTTGCTGTTGAACCACAGTCTTAAAATTTTTACCTGTATTTCTTAATTTTGTCTTCCAACAGAACAAACTTGCATGTTTCTTCCTATGTACTAAGAGATCTAAAAATTTTACTGCTCAAAAATCATCTGTCTTAGTGATCCTTTTTGTCAGGACAGTGATTATCAGAGTGTGAACAACTATGATTAGCTTCACTTGAAGGGCTGAAAATGTGAATTCCTTTGTCTACAACAGAAGCTCAGGGAGGCTGGACACAGGAAGGTGTATTTTTAATTCTCCAGATGATTCTGATGCATACGAATATCTGAGAACCACTTAGTGAAAATGCTTGTATTTTTGGAACTTGTTAGACACATTGACTCATCATTTTTTATTGTTCTTATATTTTTAGAGACAGGGTCTTACTCTGTCATCTGGGCTTGAGTACAGTGGTATAATCATGGCTCACTGGAGCCTCAACTTCCCAGGCTTAAGCAATACTCCCAACTCAGCCCCCCAAGTAGCTGGGACTACAGGCACGTACCACCACACCAGGCCAATTTTTGTAGAGGCGAGGTTTTGCCATGTTGCCCAGGCTGGCCTCAAATTTCTGGGCTCAAGCAATCTTCCTGCCTCAGCCTCCCAAAGTGCTGGGATTACCAGGCTTGAGCCACCACACCCCACCCTATCCTTTTTTCATTGGACAACTATTAGCCTCTAGTGTGTCAGGCACTGTTGAGAGCATGGTAGATGAAGCTTACCAACAAGATGCATGTTAGATCCAGGTCGTAGAGCTTACAATCTAGGGAAGAGAATGGAGCAATACTTTTAGACCTGGCAACTGCTATTTTTATTGTGAACCAAGCTGTGATTCAACCCTGAAACAAGGAGTTTACACAGTATGGTTTTAGAAAAGTGGGGAGCTGGTGAAGTTATTGCCAAAATGCAACCTCTCTGAGCTGTACAATGCATATTAGCATATTGACAAGTCAGAAATGTCTTATATTAAAGACACCTGTTTAACTCTGTTTATACCTATAGTTTCCCTAACTTCTTTGGCCAATGAAATTTTTTTTTTCCAAGGAGCATCTCTTCACAGTTTGGTGGTGACATGAAAAACATCAACACAATGGTACCCAAAATAGATACTATAATATTATGTATTAATTTTTAACTGTTAAGAGATGCTCCAGGAATAAGTGGTTTATGGTCATACAAGTTAGGGAAAATTTAGAGGTTTAAAGGAAGCTAAACAAACATCTTTAACATATTTCATACCTTTTAATACACTAATATGCATTGTGAAGTGCCAAGAGGTAGGATTTCCATACTAATTTGACCACTCCTCCCCACCAACTCCCCGTTTCTGTTTGTTTGTTTGTTTGATGTGGAGTCTCGCTGTGTTGCCCAGGCTGGAGTGCAGCGATCTCGGCCCACTGCAACCTCTGTCTCCCAGATTCAAGCAATTCTCCTGCCTCAGCCTCCCAAGCAGCTGGGATTACAGGCATCCACCACCACGCCTGGCTAATTTTTTTGTTATTTTTAGTAGAGATGGGGTTTCATCATTTTGGCCAGGCTGGTGTTGAACTCCTCACCTCAGGTGATCTGCCTACCTCAGCCTCCCAAAGTGCCAGAATTACAGGTGTGAGCCACCGTGCCCGGCCCACTCCTCCTCTTTTTGAACCACACTTCCATCAACATCTTGTACCAGGGTTCTGCGGTTCACGCTAAAAGAGCAATTCCTAAGTCTGAGATTATTTGTACTTTACTTGTACCTGGACATGTGTTCCCGTTGGGGAAATGCACCCCTTGCTTAAGAAATTCTAAACCAAGCTCCATTCTTCATGTGAAGATTGATTGAAAAGACATGCAAAAAGTGTCAGTCATATTGCATTTCTGCCCAGCTTTGTAATACATGGGTGAGTTTACCACTGATGAATAACTTCAGTGAAGGCCCAGCTGGCAAGAGTAGTGGACTGCTTTGCTGTTTCTCTTGGATCTTCTGCCCGGTGTCTGATTACCATCCAGCCTTAGCACTGCATCTGATGCTCTGAGTGGAGTATGTACCGTGATCAAGGCTGCCATGAGAACTCCCTCCAGCCTCAATTCCTGATGCATCATCCAATTTTGTCACTCGGTTTCCCCTCGTTTCTCTTTTCTTTGTCCCCAACAATTAAACCGTAAGTGGCGTTTCTCCCCCATGGCTGGCTGCACTAATGTCCCCATTGTATCTTTGTTTTACTGGTGGCCTTTTTTAGACTATGACTGCAGTGACCCATTCTCCAGAGAGCCTGGGTTCTTGCAGAACTTTGGAAACAATTGGATTTCAATAGGCGGTAGGGACGCTTTGATCTCCCCCTTTCAAAAGTATTTTATGACTCAGAAAGCTCAGTCATTGAGTTGTCTGTTGCTGGTCACTGCCTGCCAAACAGTCTTTACAAAGCTGATTTCCATTCATAAAAGGGCTGAAGTTGAATGACCTTCGTCCATGGCGGGCAGAAAGAAACTAGGCTCAGCTGCTTTGGAGGGCCTTGTTAGCTAGTAGGGGTTTGTTGAATTACATACACCCCCTTGGAGCTTTTCGGTCACTTGAGAGGATCATGTGAAGTTAAGGATTAGACTGGGTTGTATTTATGTGTTTTGTGAGACAGACAAACTGAAATCAGTGATGTTTTCTTAGGCTATTACTCATTTCATCAAGAAAGGTTAAAAAGGTTTTTTTTTGTTATTTTGTTCTGGCTTCTCTCCTCTTCAGACATGATTTGTGAAGAGAATTATTTGCTCATAACAAACTTGAAGCAAAATGCCAGATCAAACTTCTTTTTAAAAAGAAGAGCCAAGGTTCTTGCCAGAGAGCAGGACCCCAAGGTGACTAAGGCCAGTTTGAGGGGTCTCACATGGGAGGCTGAAAGGCCAGTCCTTCCTGCCTATGTTGCTTGCTTTTTTTTTTTTTTTTGAGATGGAGTTTCACTCTTGTTGCCCAGGCTGGAGTGCAATGGCATGATCTTGGCTCACTGCAACCTCTGCCTCACGGGTTCGAGCAATTCTCCTGCCTCAGCTTCCTGAGTAGCTAGGATTACAGGCATGCACTGCCATGTCCGGCTAATTTTGTATTTTTAGTTGAAATGGGGTTTCTCCATGTTGGTCAGGCTGGTCTTGAACTCCCAACCTTAGGTGATCTGACTGCCTTGGCCTCCCAAAGTGCTGGGATTACAGGCGTGAGCCACCGCGCCCGGCCTGCCTGCCTGCCTTTTCGGGTATGACCACTAAGGCATCAGGCTCCCCAAGTCCTGTGTTGTAAGTACTGGGCTTCCTTCATGTCTCTGGGCCTTGGTTTTCTCATCTGTAAAGTGGGAACAGTACCTCTTTTTCTCTCATAAGATTGTGAAGATTTATGATTGCTTAGCTTGGTGTTTGGTGGAAGCTCCATGCTTGATTAGTCTTGACTTTGAACTAGGAGAAGGTCTGGGAAGGAAATGGCCATTGAAGTCACCCACAACACACACATATTCTCTCTCTCTCTTTACCAGCTACCATCCCTGTCTTGCCTTAAGGCCTTTTAAAGTTCAACCCTGTCAGAACAGGAAATGAACACTTTGATACTGGCAATTCTGCTTGCGGGAATGTTTGGAGATCTTGTGGGAGTGGAAAGTAACCATTACTTTATAAACTGAAGACATAAAATGAGAGAAAAAGAATCAAAGAGGAGTATCAACAGATAGATAATGATTTGCATCAATTCATGTATGATGAAGCAGCATAGTGTAATGTCTTTGGACTGAGACTCTGAAGTTCCATCTCTTGTCTTTGCTAGCTACGTAACACAGGGAAAACTCTTTATCCTGGCTATGCTTTATTTCTTCATTGATAAGTCGAGGATAATGATAGTACTTCTCTCATGGGGGCTATGGATGCTTAATTGAAAGAAAAATATTCTATGTGCATAGTTAGAATGATATTATTACTATATCATTATCAAAACCGATGTCATTACCTGGCACATAGTAATAATATCAGTTGTGATAATGATATAGTACTAATTATCATTATTGCAGACCTTCCTCTGCAGAGGACTTTTCAAAATTGACTGCTGACAGTTCTTACAATCCACAGGCAGAAAAGAGTTTCAGCCTAGATAAAAACATAACAGTTAATATTTATTAACTACTCTGGCTATTAACACTGGAGCCATTGAGAAGAGATTCAGCTAAAACACACAGGGAGGCCTTTAGAACATTTAACTGCAAGCTGGCGTTATAAGTAGTTAACGTCTGAGGTGTAGGATATTTTTTAGTAAGGCACTTCAAAAGGACCTGAGCACTTGAAAAGAAAAATATGTGTGGGTCCCACCTCTGAACATTCAGTAGGTCCTGGGTAGAGCCTAGGGATTCAAGTTTAATAAAGGAAAGAAAAGCTTCACCTATGGGGGACTCAGAGTCATTGTCCTCAAGGTGTCTGAACAGGACCTTCAGTGGAAACGAGACTGCCTGAACCTCTCTGGGAGAGTTGTTTTTGCTTTGTGGAATGCATCACACCATGTAAGTGTGACTGTCAATGCACAGACTAGCATTACCTGGTAGGTATTCTAAGGAGGGAAGTGGGGTGGCTAGTGTGAATCAAAATGTAGAGATTGTTCTTGTTTATATATTGTAAGACTTTCAGTAGTAAGTAGAAAACTTCATCTCAGGCTATGTTAAGCATAAAAAAATATGCATTTTTTTGGCTCTGGAATAATCTTCCTAATTCATCCTTTCCTTCCTCTATCCCTCCCTCCTTTCTTCTTTCCTTTCTTCCCTTCTTCCTCCTTTTTTCTCTCCTTTCTTCTTTTCCTTCCTCCCTACCTCCTTCCTTTCTTTCTCCCTCCCTTCCTTCCTCTTTTTTTTTCACTCTCCTCTCTTCCCTCCCTCCCCATCTCCCTGCATCTCTTCCTTCCTCCCTTGTACTAGGATTGGCTAGCTTTCAACAAGGCTAGATCCAAGCTATCCAATGATGTCACCACTGTTGTCTTTCTCTTGGCTCTTCTTGCTTCTGCTTGGCTTCCTTCTGCATGTGTGGCCACCTGAGATGAAGATTTCAACACTTCCTTGGGTACCTGGCATCTGCGGTGACTTATTCAGCAATAACTCCACAGGTGGACCCTATATAATACCTGAGAAGAAGTATGTGGGGCTGAGAGCTTTATATGGTCTCTCACCTGTCTGCGGGCCTCAGTGGACCACATTAAATTTGTCTCTGTATCCAAACAAGACTAAACCATATTTTTATTTATGGATTGGTCTGTGAATTAATGCACAGAAGCAGGTCTGGAACGATGCATAGCAAACTGAGGGCTGCATAGTTTTTGGCTGGACACTCTTCATGAAACCAGAGCTTATTATTTCTGGAAGTTGTGTGTGTGGTTAAAACATACATAAATTGCATTAGCCAAACATCTTGTTTGGTGGGGGAAGAGGGATTAATTAAAAACAATGTATATTTTGGAGGTTTTTTTGCATAGATCTATTTTTTGTATAGATCTATCTTATTCTTTTAATTACTGCATATTTATTTTCTTCTGATTAATGTTTATTTCCAGGATTTTTTTGTGATGCTGCTGAAAAATAACATGGAGATATATGACACTTCTTAGTTGCATGCAATTGTATATTTTATGAGGAGGGTAGGGAGAGAGAGACCTACTTTGTGAAAAGCTGACATGTCAAATACATATGGGACATCAGCTATAGCCAGATATGGCTTACCAACAGTGATATTAGCCACCCAGTATCACCATCATTAATACCTGGCTTGTATAACATGCAAAGTTACTGAGAACTCATTTCATCCTTGTTTTCCATGAGCCTAGGGCAGTGCCTTAGAAAGTTCTCTCCAGAAGACCCTAAATGTGGGTGAAATTGCGTGGTTTCCCACCATCAGCAATAAACAGTTTAAGAGAAAGTGGTACTGATAAATATCTGAAGTCTAAATATAAACAGGCCTAATGATAGCACTAAGGCTTTCATGACCAAAAACATTTGCTTGGACTTTGTACACGTCTCTGTGAACAAACCCAGGAGTTCCTCTTCAGTCACATCAAGTTTTTCCCATGAAAGCCCGTTCCCACGGTTTTCTATCCAATTACAGGGCAAAATACACTCAAATACCATAATGCAAGTCTGGTGAGAGTGTTCTGTCTGGACAGCAAGCTCACCTCTCCTGAAGGGATGCTTTTGATGTATCTAAGGATTTCGTTTTCAGCTGAATTCCTTTGATTGCTTTTTCATGCTGCTGAGCTTGGGAATATTTTATCTGCCCCTTATTACCACTACAAGTCAAGGGGGCATGCTTTCTAATATAAATTATGTAGTGCACATCACTAATTTACTACAAGTCAGCTATGTGCACACCCTTATTTGAGAGACGGCACTTGAAAGGGATTGAGATAAGCTGGTAAAAGGAGATTATCTTTCTGCTGATTTACCGAGTTCTGCTATAACAGAGTACTTTTTAGTGTCTATGGGTTCACCCTGTGATTTTACAATTCCTCATCTCCTTTTTCTATTTAACTTTGCCTCTTCTAGGAGGTAAATGAAGTGTTACTCAAAATTAATTTTCTGTGGGTAAATACTGCATGCAGTCTTTTCTTCCCCCTGCCTTAATTATTGAGTCTACGTGTTTTATGCTGTGAAGAGACATAATGGGAAAAAAATATTACCACAATATACTTTCACTCTTTAAATATGCTAATGAATATCTCTACATCTTGTCACAGGGTTTTCCTTTTGTCATTGTTTTCCAGTAAAATGCATTGAAGTAGGATGAATTCCGTCCTTGTAAAAAGTTTCTTTTGTGTGTGAAACAACAAATGTCTGTTTAGTATTACATATTTAACCTCGGTGTGTATGACTAGCACATAAGTCTAGAACAGTGATTCTTAGTGCACGGAGCTTTAAAAAACACAGACGCTTATGCTCAGGTCTCACCCCAGAACAATTAGAGCAGAATGTCTGAGGATGGGGCCCAAACATCTGTGTTATTTTAAAGACTCCCCAGGGTAGTCCTAATGCACAGTTGAGTTTGAGAAACCCTGGGCTAGGTAAATGTTACGGGCTTTAGAGATGCAATCATCTTAGACATGGTGGTGTCACAGCTTAACATGGCAGGATGGTATGTTCAAATGCTAGTTATTTGATCTTGGAGAAATGACTTTTTGAAGACATATTATTTTGAAATAATTAGACTTACTAGTTGCAGCATGTATGCAGAGAGTTTCCACATACCCTTCACCCACCTTTGGGAAATTATCAAATTGTCTGAGAATCTAGTTTGCTCGTCTGTAAAGTGGAGATGGAAGAAAAAAAGGCTTCGAAGGGGTGTTGTGAGAATTGAGATAATGTGTCTAAAATGTAGGAGGTCGATGTCTTTTTTTTTTTTTTTTTTTTTAATCTGCGACAGAGTCTCACACTGTTGCCCGGGCTGGAGTGCAGTGGCGTGATGCGGTTTACTGCAACCTCCGCCTCCTGGGTTCAAGCAATTCTCCTGCCTCGGCCTCCCAAGTAGCTGGGATTACAGGCGCCACTACCATACCCAGCTAATTTTTTCTATTTTTAGTAGAGACGGGGTTTCACCATGTTGGCCAGGCTGGTCTCGAACTCCTGACCTCATGATTCACCTGCCTGTCAAAGTGCTGGGATTACAGGCATGAGTCACCGCACCTGGCGAGGTCAGCTTCTAAGACAGCCCCCAAAATTGCTGGCTCCCAGTGTACCGACACTTTCTCCAAGTATTCAGTCTATTTCTGGGAAGGAGTTTTTGCAGATGTAACCATGACTGCAGATTGGTTAACTTTAAGATAGGAAGATTTTCCAGGTAGGTCTGACCTAATTACGTGATCCCTTTAAATTTGATTGGGTCCAGAGGTCAAAGAGAGGAGAAGAAGTCAGAGAGGTTCATAGCTAGAGGGGTTTAGCATATGAGAAATTCTCCATTGTGGACTTTGGAGATGGAAGAGGCCATGACACAAGGCACATGGGGCTCTAGGGGTGAGAAGGGGGTGTCAGAGAGCTGAGTGACCTCTAGCTGACAGCAGGGAAAGGGGGCTTCAGTCCTACAACCAGAGGGAAGTGAATTCTGCCAACAGCCTGAGTGAGCTTAGCAGTGGAATCTTTCTTGGAGCCTCCAAAAAGGAATGTAGCCTGGGTGACATCCTGAAGACCCTAAGCAGGGAACACAGTCACACTGTACCCACACTTCAGACTTACACAACTGGGAGTTAATAATTGATTTTTTTTCCCCCTGAGATGGAGTCTAGCTCTGTCATCCAGGCTGGAGTGCAGTGGCATGATCTTGGCTCACTGCAGTCTCCGCCTCCTGGATTCAAGCATTTCTCCTGTCTCAGCCTTCTGAGTAGCTGGGATTACAGGCTCCTGCCACCGTGCCCAGCTAATTTTTGTATTTTTAGTAGAGACGGTGTTTCACCACGTTGGCCAGGCTGATCTCGAACTCCTGACCTTGTGATCCACCTGCCTGGACCTCCCAAAGTGCCGGGATTACAGGCGTGAGCTGCCGCACTCGGCGAATAATTGGGTGTTTTTAAGCTGCTGAGTTTGTGGTAATTTGTTAGGCAGCAATAGAAAACAAATACAGAAAATATCTATAGTGCCCACTCTTTGGCAGGTGTTCACCAAATAGTCCCCTTTTCAGATTCATGGCCATCTTAAATTATCCTGTCAATGACTTGTAAGACAGTAAGCCCAAAGAGAAGAAGCAAGTTTTCTTAGATATTCACTATTTAAAATTGCTTAGGAAATTGTTATGTTTAGCTCAGGGTTTCTCAGTCGGGCATTGGTGATGTGTTAGAATGGATAATTCTTTCTAGGGGGAAGCTGTCTGGAGACATATTGGTTTGTTAGGATGGATAATTCTTTCTTGTGCAGGGCATGTCTGTGCATTGTAGGAGGTTTAGCAGCATTCCAGGCCTCTCTACCCTTTAGATTCCAGTAGCAACCCCCAGTTATGTCAGCTAAAAATGTCTCCAGACATAGCCTAGTATCTTTCCTGGGGGCACAGTTGTCCCTAGCTGAGAACTACTCATAGAGCACAATCACAAACTCTATTCTTTACGACAGTGCACTTATATGAGTTTATTTTTTTCAGAGTAACCTGCTGTTTATTTCATTGTCATTATGAATAATGATTTCAGGTAATCTATGTTTGAGGTACTTAGCTGCTGAGACTATGTATGAATGGTGTGTGTGGGCTGGGAGTCGATTGGATGGCAGCAGAAAACCCATCTGGGAATGTTTTAATAGATGTGTATTTGCTTTTGAATTTCACAGCATGACAACCCAGACTCCTGAAAATGACTGGATCTCTAAAGAAACAGAGATGTATTTATAATAAAATTCACCCTTGCATTTTTATGAGGAAAGGGGCCTAACCACGTGGATGTAGATTTGAAATGTGGATTCTGTTTCTGGGCTTTTGCAGTTGACCTAAGACCAAAGTTAAATGTCCTCTATATTCTCTTGACCTGTAAGAATAGGAGCGATGAGCTGTTCTGAAAATGAAATAAGGGATGTTTCCTGTGCTTTGCAAATGTGTGCCCTTGCCTGAGAACCTTGGAAAGGTGTATTAGGTTTTTCTATCTATTGTATGTAGTTGGGCCACTTACACTTTTTTTATTATGATGATGATTATTATTATACTTTAAGTTTTAGCCTAGTGCTAGATGATGAGTTAGTGGGTGCAGCGCACCAGCATGGCACATGTATACATATGCCACTTACACTTTAGTTCTTTTAAAAATAGTCGCCATACTTGAAGAGGCAAAGAGCTCTTTTGCAATTGGATTGTTAGATGTGGAACCTAATTCTTCCATCTGCATAGACTCACCAGCTGACCTAATCATTTAACCTTTCTCTGCCGTCCCTTCGTTGAATAGACCCATCAGCTAACAGTGAGTAGTACACTGGCATTTATATAATTAGCAGCATGTTCTAAATTTCTCAATATCTTTATAAATATATAAGGTAAGCAAAGTCAAAGTCACTTTGGGCTTGTGTTTCTAGCTGCCAGTAACTAACAACTTGACATTTCTTTTTCTTTTCCCTCTATGCCTTCTTCCATTCTCCCATCCATCCACCCACACACCCACTCACCCACCCAGCTATCCACCCACCCACCTATCCTCCCATTCACACTTCTAAAACATTTTTCTCAGCCTACTGTATGTCTTCACATTATGACAGACTATAAGAATGCCAAAATGATAGTTTGATTCCTAAATTCTTGGACATTTCAATGTGAGGGTGAGCAGTAATGATGTCATAAGGATGCTGCAACAAAATTAATATTACAGTTAAGGTATGTGCAAAGGACCCTGGGAACACAAATAAGTGATGAGACTGATTTTTAAAGGGCAAGCAATGTAAGCAACTGCCTCTGTGCCCTTCATGATATATAAATACCGAGTAATCTTATGCTCAAGGCCATGTAAACTTCATTGCTCCCAGGTCAGTTAAAAACATGCGCAATTCTGACCACTTCTTACCACTGCTGCCATCACTGTTCTAAATCATTCTCATCTCTCACCTGGATTCCTGTAGCAGCTTCTTCTCTAATGACTCTTTCATCTCTTCTGTCCCTTTAGTCTATTCTTCTCATAGTGGTGAGATGACTTCATTTTCCTCTTCTCTACCAGCTCATGGCTTTACATTGAGCATAGTATATGTATCAGTCTGTTCTCATGCTGCTAATAGACAAATTACCCAAGACTGGGTAATTTATAAAGGAAAGAGGTTTAATGGATTCACAGTTCCAGATGCCTGGAGAGGTCTCACAATCATGGCTGAAGGCAAAGGAGAAGCAAAAGCACATCTTACATGGTGGCAGGCAAGAGAGCTTGTGCAGGGGAACTCCCATTTATAAAACCATCAGATCTCCTGAGTCTTACTCACTACCATGAGAACAGTATGGGGAAAACCACCCCCATGATTCAGTTATCTCCACCTGGCCCTGCCCTTGACATGTGGGGATTATTACAATTCAAGGTGACATTTGGGTAGGGACATAGCCCAACCGTATCAGTATATAATCCAGATTTCTTACCATGGCCTACAAAGTCCCTTGGATCTAACTTCCTATCTCTTCCATTATTGTGCATGCCACTGAGCTCTTCCACTGGGCTCCACTGCCTTTCAACATCCCCAGATGTCCTACCTCAGTGACTGCACTTGGAATGCTCTTCCCCCAGGTATCCATCTGATTATTTCTTCCCTCAGTTCCCTATGCAAATACTGTCATTCCAGAATGGTCTTCCCTGACACTCCCATCACTCCCCAACCCCCTTCTCTGCTGTAATTTTCTTTATATTATTTATTGCCCAGTGCTTGACTCACTTGTTTATCGCCTAGCATATTCTGCCTTCCACCTTGAATATCAGCTCCATGAGGGCTGAGGCTTTATCTCTGCTATTCACTGCTGTATTTCCAGTGGCTGGAATCATCCCTGGCAAGTAATAGGCACTCAAACGTTTGTTACATGAATGTATGTAATTATCCTGGCAATTTAGAAATAGATAAATTATTTCTATGTTTGAAGTGCTTCATACATTGGATATTTCTCATTTTTTCATCCATTGGGAAAAACATCAATGGCGTGTCTTTTATGTGGGGACTCAAAAATGACAGTGGCCACCTCTGATTTTTTTTTTTTTTTTTGCCTACCCAGCATTCATTACTCCAGTCATCTGATAACGTTGAAGCTTTCCTTAAGGATCTACCCTCCCCACCTCTTCCTCAAGTCCATGCAGTCTGTGGGAAGGTGACATGTTTTACATACTGACTAGTCAGAACATCAGATATCGTTGACCTAGAGTAGTTGGTTCAGAAATAAACAGGCAACAAGATCGGTGCCAATAAAAATCAAATTCTGGGACACCTGGGGTTAGCAAAGAGGATGGAAGATAATCCCAGGGTTGCTGGCAACCATCTTGCCCCCTGAGAGTAGGGTCATCATAGTGGTGATATGCAGCTATGCCTGAAATTAAAGTACTGTGGGTATCTTATGCATAAACCCCTCTCCACTTTTCTGTTAATCTAGTTTAACTTTCATTTCTGACATTTTGAAATGAAAGTCCAAACTATGATAGAAATGAATGAGTTATAGACACTTTCCGCAAAGAGCTCCTAGTCTCATAGAGGAAGCAGGCAAGCATAGTGCAATAAGCGCATTGAGCATATACTGGCTGACAGGTAGACGCAATGGGCAATTTGCCTACACACTTCATGAATCAACATTTATTGGGTGCAGTGCCCACAGCACAGAGTATTATGGCATCTAGCATTGTCAATATTTGTTCCTCACAGTGCATCTTGGATACATTACTGGTCTTGTTGATTCACTACTTTCTATGTCAGTTGTCTTGTTATTACTCACCTCTCTGTGTCTGCCAACAATAACTGCAGATGCTTTTAAAGTAGTAAATACAAGTGAGCACATTATGTGCCTGTCTGAGCAGTTGGAGGGAGACAGAGGCTTCATGGTTGGCTTAGAGGATGACTTCACACTCTATAACCATTTTTAATTGATTTCTTTTATTTGTTTGGATGATGACATGTGGGGTAATGATGTAAACCAAGAATTCTTATTGATGGATTACCATTGCTCAACCTTCATATGCAGTTCATTTGTGTCTTTGAAGATGTTTATTTGAATGAATCTAATTTTAGTATGCAGTAGATCTTTATTTTTAAATAATGACAACAGAAGTTTGTTTTATTCCCCCATGAAATCTCCTATTTCTTTTTTGTGATGTGTGGAACTCTACCATCTCTTTGCTTCAGGCTAGCGCTGTACAGTAGAAATATAATGCAAGTCAACCGATATAATTTTAAATTTTTTAGTAGCCATAGGAAAAAATAAAGCAAAAAGAAATAGGGAAAATTTATGTTGGTATTATATTTTAATCCAATTCCTTAAAACTGGTATTTCAAAATAATAATCGGCAAAAATTAATGAAATACTTTTATTTTTCACATGAGTCTTCAGAGTCCAGTGTGCATTTTATACTTAATGCACTTTCAGTTCAGACGAGCCACATTTCAAGTGTCCACTAAGGGCTGCTGTCTTGGGCAGTACAGGTATAGCCATTTCCTACCCTGAAGTTCCCTAACAGATACAGTGAAAGCAAACAGGTTGAGTAATAGTCCCTTTGTATTGACTGGTTTGCTAAAATTGTTTGTCCTTCAAACAGTAGTTTCAGAGAATATGCAGTTTTCAGCTGAATACTCTGATGTGGACAGGTTGATATTTTGGTTTGGAGGCACTTGGCCATTATATACTTACGTTGGTTCTGTTTCTCTGCAGAATTCTGGCTAATATGCACCCATTATATGGGTCATATAGTTTCTATGCAGAAATTTCTATGTCATCATATTTCTATGTAGTTGTATAGAAAACTGTACAATTCTGATGGCAAAAACTGAATTTAAAATAGAGACTAAATTAAATGTTTCTTTTGAAGATAAATGAAATAGGCCATGTTCTGAACATTTTCAGAACGTACATGTTGATTTTCTTCTAATTATGTTTGGTTAAAACTTGCTAGTTTAATTAACTTTTGCTTTTTTTTTTTTTCAGATGGAAACCTCTTTATTAAGTGTCAGCCTTATGGTTTGTTTTTGTAATAACTTTCTTAGTTATACTAAATAGCTATACTAAATAACATATTTAAGTATACTAAATAACATATTTAAGTATACTAAATAACATATGTAGAAAGCAAAGCAATTATAGTTTTAAAAATATCCATGGTCAGGAAATTAAAACCCAATGTCCCACTATTATAAATTTCCCTCCCTAATAGAGGGGTTGAGTGACAAAAATAATTCAGAGCAGTGGGCATTCAAAAATAAATTGTATCTGACTTGAGGTCACATTTAGTGTATCAGAAATTTTAGTTAACCTGTATTTCTACTCAAATGGATTTGAACAAATTTTCCTTGCTGGTGGCAATGCTAGCACTGAAGCAGATAATTTCCACAGAAAGGCAGGAGAAGTCACCCCAGGAGTAAGGTTTTTCTGCACTCTACCCTAGAGGTGGTTTCTTCCATAGCTGGAGAGTTAGAGCCTGTCTTTAGTTTTAATGTTTTATTCCCTTGCTGAGTCCTGGTTTCCTTAGGCCCAAAAAGTAGGGGAGGGTTTTCTCAGGAATACTTGAAATGAGGAGCAGGTCAGGTGGCCTTTATTCTACAGAAAGAATTATCAGTTTAGGGAAATAGCAGTGGGTGCTCTTCAGGTGTGACTCCTCTGTCTATTCTTGTTGCTAGGATGAGCATGAATGGGTGCATATTAGCCAGAATTCTGCATGGAAACAGAACCAACAAGTTTTTTTTTATACATATAAATGTATATGTGTGTGTGAGTGTGTAAAGAAATGCATTATAAGGGCCAGGCATGGTGTCTCATGCTTGCAATCACAGAGCTTTCAAAGACGGAGGCGGGAGCATTGCTTGAAACCAGGAGTTCAAGACCAGCCTGGGCAACATAGTGAGACCCTGTGATATGGTTTGGCTGTATCCCCACCCAAATCTCACCTTGAACTGTAGCTCCCATAATTTCTATGTGTTGTGGGAGGGACCTGGTGGGAGATAATTGAATCATGGGGGCATTTTCACCCATACTGTTCTTGTGGTAGTGAATAAGTCTCATGTGATCTGATGGTTTCATAAGGGGTTTTCCCTTTCCATTGGTTCTCATTCTCTCTTGCCTGCTGCCATGTAAGACGTGCGTTTCACCTTCCACCATGATTGTGAGACCTTCTCAGCCATGTGGAACTGTGAGCCCCTTAAACTTCTTTTCTTTTATAAATTGCCCTGTGTTGGGTATGTCTTTATTAGCAAAATGAAAACAGACTAATACACCCCATCTCTATAATACATGAAAGAAATAAATCAGCTGGGTATGGTGGCATACTTCTGTAGTACTAGCTACTTGGTAGGCTGAGGCAGGAGGATCGCTTGAGTCCATGAATTGCAGGCTGCCGTGAGTATGATAGTGCCACTGTACTCTAGCCTGAGTTACAGCGAGACCCTGTCTCAAAAAAAGAAATTTATTATACTATTATAATATTATTTGACTCATGCGTTATAAAGACTGAGAAGTCCCAAGACTCGTTGAGAAGATGGAGACCCAGAAAAGCCAATGGTACGAGTTACAGTCTGAGTTAGAAGGCAGCAGAAGATGCATATCCCAGCTCAGAGACAGAGGGATTCTTCCTTACTCAGTCTTTTTGTTCTATTTAGGCCTTCAGTGGATGAATGAGACCCACCTGGTGGATGAATGAGACCCATTGGGGAGGGCCATCTGCTTTACTCAGTCTACTGAATCAAATGTCTGTTTCACCTGGAAACACCCTCACAGACACACCCAGAATGATGCTTAAATCTTTGGGCACTGGCTGGGCTCGGTGGCTCCTGCCTGTAATCCCAGTGCTTTTGGGAGGCTAAGGCAGGTGAAACACGAGGTCAGGAGTTCAAGACCATCCTGGCCAACATGGTGAAACCCCGTCTCTATTAAAAATACCAAAAAATTAGCTGGGCTTGGTGGTGGGCACCTATAATCCCAGCTACTCAGGAGGCTGAGACAGGAGAATCGCTTGAGCCTGAGAGGCAGAGGTTGCAGTGAGCCAAGATTGCGCCACTGCACTCCAGCCCAGGTGACAGGGCAAGACTCTGTCTCAAAAAAAAAAAAAAAAAAAAAAAAAAATTCTGGATACTCTGTGGTCCATCAAGTTGACAAATAAAATTAACCATCACAAGGCCTTTTCACCATTCAATGGTAAAGTTGACTTTGCACCTCTTCATAACACACTCCAATTGTGTTTTCACATTTAGTCATGTGCTTATTTGAATAATGCCTGTCTCCTGTACTAGATGGCTAGTGTCATGAGTGTATGAACTCCAAAATAATGATCTATTATTAAATATTTTTAAAGTCCAAGTCTATCTACTGACTCATGAAATATGTCTCAAGCGCCAAGCAGGTCCAACCAGAGAGTATCCAGAAAGCAATATGGCCCTAGTGGTCCTGCAAAAAGGCGTTGGCATGAGACTGACTCCAGCATGTTCTTTCATACAGAATGCCAGGAAAGGTCTTGCTGATGAATTGACAGAGACCGGGAGATATATATATGTCAGGGAGCCAGCCATGTGGCTATGATCAGGAAGAGCACCCCAGCAGGATGGCAGCGAGTATGAATGCCCTGTGGCAAGGTGGAATGATTGGTATACTCCAGGAACCCAAATACTCAATAAGCATCAAGCATCACAATAAATCATTGCTGCCATACTACTCTGTTCCACTCATCACCTAAAACAGGTAGTCAGTTGATATTCATGTTTCATTGGCATTTGCGGGAAAATGAGGGTTTCAGTTGGAATAAGTGAGCCAATGGAAAAGATGTAATGGTCTTCCAAAACTAGTGAATAAACAGGGAGTATCTGAAAGGCCAGAATGTTATATTTTTTGCCACACTGTGAAGTTTGATGATAAAAAGGAAGGTTTTAGAATGATTTGTCGCACTAAATGCATTTCTGTTGCCATATTGGCTGGGTGCTAGAAGGGGTTCCCAGCTACCTGTACTCAGTCCTGGGTCTGGGTCCAGCTCATTTCTGAAAAGGGACATCCAGTGTTATTAGTTTCTCCTTTCTAATGCTCAATTTTATTGTTCTTATACCATCGGTTTCTCAGCAGGGATTACAACAAGCAAGGGCGGTCTCTGGCTACCTGCCAAGATGGTAGGGGGGTCGAGAGACTTGGTTTTAGTCCCAGGACTCAACAAATATTGTGTTCTTGTGCAAATTATTTCCCGTTTCTAGGCTTCAGTTTACTCATTTGAAGATAGGATTAGGGATGCAGTTCTCAAACTGCCATCTTTAGTGTACCTCCATAGGCCTTATTTGGAGTGCTTGATAAAAATTCAGATTCCTAGGCCCCATTCCAGATCTGTTGAATCTGTATTTTCAATAAGCATGCTAGAGGATCCTCATGCTCACCAAATTTTGAGAATCAGTGAAATTTTTTAAAAAAGATGAGGCCTAGTCATACATTTAAACATTTTTGATTCTTTGTAGGAATTTTTTTTTTTTTTTCAAATTTGGGTTGCAACCAATTCTTGGGTCATAAATCAATTCAGTTGGTTATGACCAACATTAATAAGAAAGAAAATATCATAGAGTAACATAAAATAGAAGAGACTACATCTGATTGTATAATATCTAGGAAGAATGGGTATTCGTAAAACTTTGTAGTGTGTTTGTGCACTGAGCCATGTTATAAAATGTGTGTGGGTGTGTGTGGTAATTCTTAGCCATGGCTTTTAGTCAAAATAGTTTGAGACACTATTATAGAGCATCAAAATTTAATAGATCTATACAGTCCTATATGTAATTGTCCCCCAGGTAAGTAGTATCGGGTGAGTCAATTTGATCCCACCCAGACAAATACTGAGAATTCTAGTACGGTAATATTAGCAGGAGGTATGGAATCACCGAATAAATCTTTTCTAGCACTATAGGTCTTAAAGATTATAAACGTCTCTATACATTGGTGCCTTTTTTTTTCTTTACTCCAAAAGCACAAGAAAGATTTCTATTAAGCATTTGAACCAAAATGGAGCATTTTTCCTCCCATGTTAGTAAATGCTTGCCTTTGATAGCCTAGCTTTTAGCTGAGCTGAGATTCAAGACAAGGCTTGTTTGATGAAGCAGACCCGTCAGAGTGGTTCACCATAAATGCCATAAACCTGTTGATTTAAGGGTTTCAGTGTATACTGTAGGTCATCAAGCCCCGAACAGAGCACATGGTTTTTGATCTCAGGATTCAGTTCTCCATTGTAAATCTGTCAGCCTTGGCTGTTGAGTCAGCTACTGCGAGCAGAATGTCTGTGATACTATTTATCCTGTCATATCAGCTTAGGAGAACAGTTTTTTGTTATTCTCTGTGGAATAAGCCAGTCCCCAGTTAAATGCTACTTTTGACACTAATGCAGTTTCTTATCTCTATTTTCTTCGGTGTCTGTTTCGTAGGACAAGGCTTCAGGCAATGTAGCTTTAGTCTAAAGGTTTTGACTAAAATGTGGCCACTTAGTTTGCAAGGTGCTTCTGCAATCCTACATACCGCTTTCTCTCCTTTGAAGAATATTTCAGTTTCTGCTTTAAAAATAATTAATGGAAATAGCATATATGTTTAGAAAGGTACACAAATAATGAGTACGTAGCCCTCCCATTATCCTCAGAGGATACGTTCCAGTACCTCCGGTGGATGCCTGAAACTGCAGATGGTACTGCACCCAATATTAAACTGTTTTTTCTTTATTTTTATATATATGTGTGTATATATATACACATACTTATGATAAAGTTTAACATAAATTAGGCACAGTAAGAGATTATCAATAATAATAAAATAGAACAAGTGTAACATATACTGTATTAAAAGTTATGTGACTATGGCCTTTCTCTCAATGTATCTTATAATTACTCATCTATTTTAAGACTGTGGTTGACTTTGAGTAACTGAAACCATGGAGAGTGAAATGTGGTTAAGGAGGAACTGTTGTATACAGCTAATTGATTTTCAGAAAGTGGCCACACTCCTCTAACCACCAACCAGATGAAAATATATCATGTCACCATCATTGCAAAAGCCTTCACTCATACCTTCTCTCAGTTCCAAATTGTCTCACTCCACAGACATAATTGCTACCATGACTTCTGTCACTGAAGGTTAGTTTTGCCTTTTTTTGAACTTTGTATACATGCAATCAATAGAGTGCTCTAATTCTCTAATTTGTCGAGTTTCTTTTGCTCAACAGTATGTTCATAATATCCATCCATATTGTTATATGTAGCTGTAGTTTATTCTCGTTTCTTCAAAGTATCTCACCTCATGAATAAACCACTATTTATCTATTTTTTTGTTGACAGACATTTGGGTTGTTTCTGGTTTGGGGATATTACAAATAATGCTGTTGTGACTATTCTTTTTGCAGGTCTTATGGTTCAAATGTACTCATTTCTGTTGGCTATATTTATCTAGAAATGGAATTTCTCGGTCATCTAGCATGTGCAAATTCAGCTTCGGTAGAAAATGTCAGTTTTCTGAAGTGGTTCTACCAATTTACATTCCCACAAACTCTCCACACAAGTTCCACATGTTCCTCATCTTTGCCAGTACTTGGTATTTTTGTGTTTTTAAAGTTTAATCTAGAGTATGCTTGGTATATCATATAGTAAATCTGTGTCTCTCTGATGACTAAAGAAGTTGAGCAAATTTTTCACATTTACTGGACATTTAGATATCCTCTTTTGTCAAATATCTCCCTAAGTTTTTTGCCATTTTTCTATTAGATTTTTCTGGGTATGGCATCTCTTTGGATAATAGTATTTTCTTGTACATCCTGGTATGCCTTTTTATCCTTTTAATGGCTTTTTAATAATGAATCACTTTTTAAATTTTAATTTCTCGCAATTTATCAGTCTCTGGCTTCCTGTATTAAAATGCTTTCTTACATCCAAGATCATGAAAATATTTTCCAATGTAAAATTCTATAAGTTATATTTATTTGCCTTTACATTTAGTTTATAATCTGCTTGGAATTGAGTTTTTGGATGATAGGAAATGCAGGTCTAGCTACCATTTTCTCCCAATTGGAAATTCACCTGATACAGCATTTTATCAGAAAGACACTACAGGCACACTACATTGCTAGCTGATACTTGTCATAGGTGATTGTGTATGTGTTGGTTTGTTTCTGAGTTCTGTATTTTATTTCACTTTTTAAAAAAGTCTTTATTCTAATACCACACCTTATTAATTATGGTAGCTTTGTAACATGTCTTACACGTATTTAGGAGTATAAGTCCCTCATCTTTGTACTTTTGGATTGTCGTGACTATATTGTGTTCTTTGCATTTTAGCGTTAGTTTGCCAATTTCTACCAAAATTCTGCTGGGGTATTTATTTGGACTGCATTGAATTTACAGGCTAATATTTATGTTATTGCTTTTCCGTCTATGAACATGGTACATCTAATTTGGTTAAGTCTTAAATTCTTTTCAGTGGTGTTTTGTAGTTTTCATTATAGAGATCTTGCTCATTCTTAGATTGTTATTCGTGCCTGTTTGATATTTTTATGCTATTTAAAATGGAATAATTGTATTTATTTTCTAATTTTCTGCTACAGATAGGTATAAATAAAGTTGATTTTTGTATATAGACTCTTATTAAGAACACTCTCACTTATCAATTGTAGAAGTTTACTTATAAATTCCTTTCTCTTCAATTTTTATTTAGATTCAGGAGGTATATATGTGCAGGTTTGTTACATGAGTGTTTTGCATGATGTTGAGGTCTGGGGTATGAATAATCCTGTCACCCAGGTAGTGAGCAGAGTACCCAATAGGTAGTTTTTCAGCCCTTTCTCTTCTCCCTTCCTCTCCCTTCTAGTAATCCCCAGTGTCTAATTTTCCTACTTTATATCCATATATACCCAATGTTTAGCTCCCCCTTGTGAGAACATGCAGTATTTGGCTTTCTGTTTCTTTGTTAATTTGCTTAGGATAATGGTGTCCAGTTGCATTCATGTTGCTGCAAAAAAAATGATATTCTTTTTTATGGCTGTGTGTGTATGTACAAAATTTTATTTGTCCAGTTCACTATTGATGGGCTTTTAGGTTGATTCTGCGTCTTTGCTATTGTGTATAGTGCCGTGATGAACATATGAGTGCGTGTGTCTTTTTGGTAGAATGATTTATTTTCCTTTGGGTATATACCTGGTAATGTTATAAATTCTTTTCAGTTTTCTTAATATACAATCATGTTTCCTATGAATAATGACAGTCCTCCCCTTCCCCCAATCTTCATGGATTTATTTGTTTATTTATTTATTGTTTATTGTAGTGTCAAGGACCTCAAGTGTGGTGATAATTACAAGTGATAAAAGCAAGCATCTTTGTTTCAATCGTGATCTTGGAGGGCAAGATTTTATTTCACTATTATACATGATGTTAACTGTGGGTTTCTTTTGAGATACCCTCTATCAGATTGATGATAACACCTTTTATTTGTAATTCTCTAATAATTTATACCTATACATTATATTTTCAGCATCTATTTTGACCATATGATTTTTCTCTTTTTTTCCTCAGTAAATGGATTGGTTTTCCAAATGTTAAGCCAGCTTTGGCTTTCTGGTATAAAACTTACTTGGTTATGATGTAGTGTCACTTTTAGTCATTGCTAGATTTCATTTGTAAATTTTTAAGATTTCACATCTGTATGTTTGTGAGAAAATTTGGTCTGTAATTTTACTGTTGTACCCTTGTCAGGTTTGGGTATCAAAGTTAGACTACCTTCATAAAGTGAATTGAAAAATGTGGATTTTTTTTCTACTGCTTGCTTTGGGTTTAATATTTCTTTCATTTTCTTACATAGATTATTAGATCGTCACTTTCTCATCTTCCAACCCTGATATATTTGGAAGTAGGATCTGTGAGAGTGTAGTGAAGGTTAAATGAGGTCATAAAGAAGGGGCTCTAATCTGATAGGACCAGTGTGTCTTTATAAGAAGAGGGAGAGATACCAGAGATCTCCTTCTCTACCATGTGAGGAAACAGTGAAAAGGTGACCATCTGTAACCTAGGAAGTCAGCCCTCATCAGGAACCATAGTGGCCAGAGCTTCGATATTAGACTTTTTAGCCTCCAGAACTGTAAGAAAATAACTTTCTGTTGTATAAGCCACATGGTGTATGGTATTTTGTTAGGAAAGTCCTGGCAGACAATACAAGAGGTTAATCACTCAAGATCTCCCATCTATTAAAGCAGAGGAATAACTTTTGTAGGCTTAATACTGCTTTCTCACTTAGGAAAAGTTGAAATTAAGAACACACAGGAAGGGATCATTTCCTAAGGTTTATGTCCTCAACATCAAATTGAGTTGAAACTTGACTACAGGCCATCTGCTCATTCAAAGCATTACAATAAATCTGTCCTATTGATGATCAAAATGAGAGCTGAATTGGATGCAGGATTGGACATTGCAAGCTGTTCTCCCAAGTGGGATGGAAAGGTGCTCGAGGTATTGAAAAGGATTCTGCTGTTTCAGTTTGATTTTCATTCAGGATTGAAAAATTTTGAATGCAGTTGACCATGAGCTCCCTGTCTGGACATGAATTTGGATCCACTTAGCTGTCAACATGTGTCTGAGGAGTCCACATTTTCTCTCCCAGTCCCAGCCCAGGGGTGGCCAAGTGCTGCTTCAAGACAAATGCTCCCTTTGTCTGGATTTTAATGTCACCTTTAGTCAGAGCTGATCTGCCCAAAATCACTCTGAATTTTTTCCTCACCAGTGGCTAAGGTAATTAACAGCAGTGCTAAAAACATTCCCCCGCTCTGGGGGCTCTGGCCTTGTTAATTAAGACACTGTTCAAACATCCTTTTCAGCAAAAATTCTTCTGTGATACTCCCAGACTGTGTTAAGGATTCATGCTTTGAGCTCTTGGGGCTTATCTTTGTCATCATGCTGCACTGCAGTTACCAGTTTACTTGGCCATCTTCCTAGTAGATAAGGAACTTCTTGAGGATAGAGAGTGATTATTCTCATCTTTGCAGCTTCAGAGCCTAGCATAGAATCAGTCACCTTAGACGCAAAGGATCACAGAGTGCACTCTGTGAGAAATACATTAGAAAACAAGATGGACAGAATGACGTGGTTTGGGTTTAGGGAAGTTATATCCTTTCATTACACAAACAGAACAGACAAAACAGTCCAGCACTGTTAACTACTCCATCTACTATGTATTTGAGAGTCAAATTATGTTTGCTCTTATTTCCAGTGTTGATTCTTAGATGACATTTAGCCCCATAGTAAATTTTCTAAGATTTCCTTTCTTCTTTCTTGTAATTTTATTATGGCCATTGGTTCTGCAGACTTATAGAGAAGAACTTATAGAGAAATCCTAGGTATGTATGATTATATAGTACAGTGGAATTGAGGTTTGCACTCAAAATCTGTTTCCCCCCTAAATCTAATTTTTTGTGACCCTGAAAAGGTATCCTCCAAATCTATTTGCTTGTTGCCCTGAAAAGTTCCACCTTCCCTTTGGTCATAGGCATCTATTGGCTTGTGGAGTTTGATAATTGTTTTAGCAGAAATGCAGAAGTCAGTTCAAGCTCTTGATTTATTCATTCACGTTTTTTTGCTCCTCCACCTCCTCCTCTTCCTCCTGTTAGGAGACACAGTTGTCTTTAAAGGGCAAAGCTTTTTGTTTCACAAGAATTACCTTCTGAAGAATTTTCATATTGTACTCTGCAGAAAGCAGAGGAAAAGGGAGGAAGGGAGGAAGGGAGGACGGTAGGGAGGGAGGGAGGGAGGGAGGGAGGAAGGGTGGGTTGCTTCCAGTTTAAAACTCCAATTGTCATTCAGATCTCTGCTCCAAGGTCACACTCTTAGGAAAGCCTTCCTTCCCAGCCAACCCTCTTCTCCAACTAGATTCACTCAAGTCCCTTTGTTTTGTACTTGCATGGCATCGTGTCCCTTCCTTTCAAGTTACTTATTTGAAATTGTGTGATTCCTTGGTTATTTGTCTCTCACTAGACTGTAAGTGCTGTGAGGAGGGCTGTGTCTGATTTTTCCCAGCATCTCTGATGTATATGAATATTCAACATATCTATTTTGAATGAATGAATGACTCAGTCTCCCCTAACAGATAGTAAACTGGCTGAGACACACAGGTCATTTAGATGTTGTTCAGAGGACCTGACTAAGCCATCAACAGGCTCTATTCCAGGCAGAGGGGCAGAGATATTCAGAGGGCAGGGAACTATTACTATTGACTTTTAACTACATTGGTCCCTAAACCTTCTCTCCTCCCATTCTCTGATTTTCTATCTTTTCATGTCATATCATAGTGGGATGTGTAGTGAGTTAGAAGCACAGAGTCTGAGGATAGATAATCTTGAGTTCAAATACTGGCTCTGCCACTTGATAAAATTGTTGTGACATTGAGAAAGTTGCTTACTCTTCATACTGCCTACCTCCAAATTTCATTATGTGGATTAAATGAGGTGACTTAAAGGATGCTCAATAAGTGCTGGTCGTTATTATTAACAATTAGCCTAAGGATAAAAAAATTCTTTCTGGACTAATGGTACTAACACTTTCTTAATAATTAATTATTTTCTTTCCCACTTATCTATATGACCCTGGGTAAGTCATTTGACCTCTTTGTGCATCAGTTGCCTTAACTACAAATTTGACATTATTATCTGTCACATCGTTATAGTGAGTATGAAATTGCATTAACACAAGTACAAATGTTTAAACAGTACTTGGCACATAATAAGCGGTTAATATAGTGGCTACTGTTTGTTGTAATTTATGGTAATGGTGAAAAATTATTAATAATGTATCACCATGTGATTGCTGTCCGGCAGTTGCTCCATGTGTATTTGAGAGAGGTTGTGTTTCAGTGACATTTGGGGCATTTCCCATGAGGAAGCTGGACACAAAGGTAAAAAATTCAGGGCATTCAACCTTGGCTGGAGTTCTTGGTCTTGAGCCAGGTACCTTTTAAAAAGGCAGAGAGTTAGAATAATTTTGTAAAGATGAGACCTGGAAGTCAAAACTTTGCTTTTTGGAGGCCAACAGTGCTCATCCAGCCTTCACTTTGTTTTGTGAAAATGTATTTTCTATCATTAGTCTTTAATTATTCAAGTTGATCAAATGAGGGAAGGGAAGGCATGTAAATAAATCTTCTACTTAAAGTTATTTTTAAAAGTTATTTACATTCTGCCTAAATGTGGGACTTAAATTTGCTCGCAGAGTTGAAATCCCCATTAGTGATCTCGGCCACCGCTTACAAGTAGATTCAGTTTTTTCCTTCTCAACCTCAAATGCTCCAGGCCCCACCCAGGGATTTGCAGGAGCCTGGAAAAGCCCTCTCTATGTTAGAACCTAACACACGTAGAAGGGTGTTCCAGGACTATCGGGATAACAGACATTGCTGGCCCCTAGGCCTGCTTCCAGAAGAGGACAGGAGTGCTCAGAGGTGGAGGGACTGGACATCTGCCAGTGGAATATTCCTTTCACTGGGCAGGAAGCAAGTGATGGGTCATATTTTGTGCTGCAGCAGGAAACTTAGGAAATTGAGTATCTCATTATATAACTAAAGTTCTTTGTATACCTGTGTGTTTGCAACGGTTCTAGAAGGAGACCGAGTGTATTAGTCAGCGTTCCGTAGAAAAACAGAACCCATAGGACATACAATTAGGTAGGTAGGTAGCTAGGGAACTTATTATAGGGATTGGCTCGTGCCACTATGGAAGCTGAAAATTTCCACAATATGCTGTCTGCAAACTAGAGAACCAGAAAAGATAGTGATGTGATTTGACCTGAGTCCGAACACCTGAAACCCAAGGGAGCCAAAGGTGTAACTCTTACTCCAAGGCTGACAGCCTGAGAATGTGGGGGCTGCTGATGTAAGTCCTAAACTACAGAAGTCCAAGAACCTGGAGTGTGGATGTCCTAGGGCAGAAGAAGATGGATATCCTTGCTCAAGAAAAGAGAGCGAGAGAGAGATCAAATTCATCCTTCCTCTTCATTTTCGTTCTGTCTAGACCCTCAAGAAATTAGATGATGCTTCTCTGTGTCAGTGAGGGTGAATCCTCTTTAGTCTACTGATTCCCATGCTTTCTCTTCCTTAAATGCCCTCATAGACACACCCAGAAATAACATTTACCAGCTATCTGAGAATCCCTTAGCCCAGTCAATTTGATACATAAAGTTCATCTTCACACAGAACTTGTCAATTCTAGTGTAGAGATGGAGAGCATACTACAGTGACTGAGGCTCTGCAGCCAGAATTCCAAACCTGGCTTCACCATTTGGTGACTGTGGGATTTGGGCAAATTATTTAAATGTTCTGTGCCTTCCTTTCTATATCTCTGAAATGGAATCAGTAATATCATCCATTTCAAAGGAATGATGAATTAATTTCAGTAAAGGTCTGAAAATGGCATCTAGTACACAGTAAACATATTTGCTATTATCTTGGATTATTGTGGCTTGATTTATGTTACAATTTGGTTTCTTTCTTTCTTTTGTTGTTGTTGTTATTGTTGTTGTTTTGAGATGGAGTTTAGCTGTTTTGCCCAGGCTGGAGTGAAGTGGTATGATCTCGGCTCACCGCAACCTCTGTCCCTGGGTTCAAGCAATTCTCCTGCCTCAGACTCCTGAGTAGCTGGTATTATAGGCACCCGCCACCACGCCTGGCTAATTTTGTATTTTTAGTAGAGACGTGGTTTCTCCATGTTGGCCAGGCTGGTCTCAAACTCCTGACCTCAGGTGATCCACCCACCTCAGCCTCCCAAAGTGCTAGAATTACAGGCCTGAGCCACCATGCCTGGCAATTTGGTTTCTTTCAAAATAGAGCCTGAGATAAGAATTTTGGGTGCAGGTAGTTTATTTGGGAGGTGATCCCAGGAAGCAGAAGTGAGCAGACAGAGAGAATGAGATAAGGAAGGAACAACAGCAGTATAAGAATGCTTTCTAGAGGATTCTTCTGAGGGCACTGTGAGTTAAATTCTGCCATAATCTCTTAAGAACCACAGAGAGGCCAGGCGTGGTGGCTCACTCCTGTAATCCCAGCACTTTGGGAGGCCGAGGCAGGCGGATCACGAGGTCAGGAGATCGAGACCACGGTGAAACCCTGTCTCTACTAAAAATACAAAAAATTAGCCGGGTGCGGTGACGGGCGCCTGTAGTCCCAGCTACTTAGGAGGCTGAGGCAGGAGAATGGCGTGAACCCGGGAGGCGGAGCTTGCAGTGAGCTGAGATTGCACCACTGCGCTCCAGCCTGGGCGACAGAGCGAGACTCCGTCTCAAAAAAAAAAAAAACAAAACACACACACACACACACACACACAGACACACACACACACACACACACACACACACAATTCCCCCTGAAATAGGATGTTCACTGGGTTCTACCCTCCATTAATCAGGGGTAGTCCCAGGGGTCTTAACTCACTCCATCCCCAAAGGATGGCTGGAGGCTAAGTAGACTCTGGGATAGAAGAAAAGCATGGGGAACAGGTGCGAAGATATGTAATGCTGGCTCTAGGTGGGATGTGGTCTGCTGGAGGCAAGGCTGAGCTTAGCCTGAACTGTCTACTGCAGCTGGAGCTGAGATGTGAGGAGCCTATAGGGAATGGGTATAAGACCATGGAGGTCTTCTATGAGACCCCAAATTGGGGGGTAGATTTTCAAGTATGCAGGGTCAGAGATTCCATTTTAAATTGTATTAGCTTATTTGAGATATCTGGCTATGGGGCGTTGATTAACCAGTGCCACCATAGAGTTCTTGATCCTTGAAAGCCTTTTTGCTTATTTTAAAGAGCCCATACCTGGCAAGATGTTCATATAAGCCACTCTCTTCCTAAAGATAGACTCCTATAGGATTCCAGATTGTACAGACAAAGCTATCTGTAATTAGTTTATACTAGAGACTATTACTTAGGGACATTACAGTTATAGTTGTAAATATCATCATTAGTAGGAGTGGTAGTAGCAGCAGCAGTAGTGGTAATCAAGTCATGGTTGCATCCTGAATATAAGTCATGGTTGCATCCTGAATAGTAGCTATTGACATGTTTTGAATGCTTAGTGTAACCAAGGCATTTTACTACTTTGTGCTCGGCAGCATATTACTTGCAGCCCCAGACAACTCTATGAAGTGTATAGTGTTTTCTTCTCCATTTCTCGATTGAAACAGCAAAAGGTCAGGGTGATTAAGCAACTTTCTAGAACCCTAATACTAGCAAGTAGTAGTAGAGTCTCTTAATGAAAAGAAACAAAAGACATCACTTAGTTTTATCTTCTAGGGTAGGGAAACAACAACATAAAAACTTAAGTCAGAACTCCTCTAGCTTCTCTGAGGCTTTCTTTTAAGAGATAAATGCTTCATTCACCTGAATTTAAGTGAAAAAGAAGTGTCTAGTTCTAACTCTGGGGGATTGAGGTGCTAAGTGATGTCAGAAGGACTTGGTGTCTCTCCATCTCTCTGGCCTACTTTCCTCCTTGTCTGCTTCATCCTCACCATCCCCCACTGCCTGAAGTGGTACCTAGCCTTACTACCTATCAGTTAACAGTTTCAGACCAAAGACAGCAATGTGCACAGCGCTGGTGCCTTGGCTGGGATTGAGATAGCCTCATCTCTAAGCCTGAGTAAAGTGGCATCCCCCACACCTGGTGGTGGGTCTAGCTTCTAGCTGAATCACATGGAATGAAAGTGGGGTGGGAGGCATTTCCCACAAAGGATTGTTCCTTTTGGCCTGCAAGAAAAGATAGCAGTCAGGTCAGGATGCTGATGGCCACTGAACAGGATCATGTCAGTTCTATTTCTACATACCTAAGTAAATTATTTTTTGTATTTTCAACATCTCCCTGCAGCAGCTACCCTATGACGGTTTTTCTCATCCCACCCAAACATCTAGGTGCATATTTTCAGTCTTCTCTCTCTTTAGGTCTTAAACTTACACTTCTTAACACAGTTTCATCTGTTTTCTACCTACAACAGTAGCTGTCAACCATGGAGAATTTTGTACCCCAGGGGGTATTCAGCAGTGGCTAGAGTTATTTTAGGTTATCATATTTCGGGGTGTGTACTAAGGTCATCAAGTGGGTAGAGGCCAGGAATGCTGCTAAACTTCCTGTAATGAATGCACTGACAGCCCCCAACCCCCAACAGCAAAGACTTACCTGACCCAAAATGTCAACAGTGCAGAGACTGAGAAACCGTGATCTAGACCAATGCCTTAAAATGGTCGTTACCAAAGTTATCACAGCCTCCTCGTTGCAAAGGTGGTGGGTTGCTCTCAGGCTTTAGGTTATCTGACTTTTCTGAAGTGTCTGGCAGCTTTGATCACTGCCTTCTGGAAGCCCTCCGTTTCTCTGTCGTGTGTGATTGTTATACCACTCCCTGGGGTTCCTGCTCTTCTCTCTCTCTTTCTCTTTCTCTCTTTATTTATTTTTGTTGTTGTTGTTGTTGTTGTTGTTGTTTTTGAGACAGAGTGTCTCTCTGTTTCTCAGGCTGTAGTGCAGTGGCGTGATCTTGGCTCACTGCAACCTCTGCCTCTCAGGTTCAAGTGATTCTTCTGCCTCAGGCTCCCAAGCAGCTGGGATTACAGGCATGCATCACCACATCCGGCTAATTTTTGTATTTTTAGTAGAGACGATATTTCATCATGTTGGCCAGGCTGGTCTTGAACTCCTAACCTCAGGTGATCTGCCTGCCTCGGCCTCCCAAAGTGCTGGGATTATAGGTGTGAGCCACCATGCCCGGCCCTTCCTCTTCTTTAGATTACTTCTTCCTGATTTCTTACCCTTACCATCCTTTATATTGGGTGTCCCAAACTCAAATCCTAAGGTCAGGGAGGATACACAAGTAGGTAAAGCAATTTTGCTGTACATAGGACAACACAGAGGACCCTGTGGCAGACAGGGACAGGAGGCTACATCTCAGTAGGGAAGGTGCTTACTGTCTTCAGTTTTTCAGGATCAAGGTCCAAGTGTTGCCTGCTTTGAGTTTTCCAGACAAGCCAACATCTGGATATGATGTGAAATCTTCCAATGTTTAATGTGGGCAACTTACTCAACATTTTTTGTAAGCTCTGCATGGGCAAAACAAAGCACATGTCTGCTACCAGTTTGCAATCATCCTAAATATCAACATTTTCTCTTTTTTTGTATAAATCCTATTTTCTTCTCATGCTCTGTATAGTGGGCAGTTTTACTCAGTTCTTGGAATAGATTAACATCACTGTGTTAATGACTCCAAATTCTATGAGACCTACATAACTATCTAGTTAAGAAGAAACCATTAAACTTGTCAAAAAGAAGAGCATTCCCTTTAGCATGGAGTTATTTCTTTCTTTTAATATAACATCTGCTGAATGATAATGAAAATGTTTGCAGTGGAAAAGTTATATTAATTATAGCATTTTAACATTATAGCCATGGCCTGTGGGAAGTCTAACATCCTTTATATTTGTACTTGGGAAACTTGGAAAAATGAGGACTCTGCCCTTCTTTTGTATACAGTGTATTTCACTTATGTAGGAATAAATACACAAAGTTTCTCCTTTCTACACAGTTGATTTTTCTTCTTTCCCATGTCTAACTTAGATTCTAAAGCTATTTTTTCTTTACTCTACATGTAGAAATAATTGTGTTAGATTTGGGACAGTATGGGTCTCCTAGAAAGCAATCCAGGCCGGCCGTGGTGGCTCACGCCTAAAATTCCAGCACTTTGGGAGGCTGAGGCAGGTGGATCACCTTAGGTCAGGAGTTCGAGACCAGCCTGGCCAACATGGTGAAACCTTAGCTCTACTAAAAATACAAAAAAATTAGCCAGGCGTGGTGGCGGGCGCCTGTAATCCCAGCTACTCAGGAGGCTGAGGCAAGAGAATCGCTTGAATCCAGGGGGCAGAGGTTGCAGTGAGCCAAGATTGTGCCACTGCACTGCAGCCTGGGAGACAGGGTGAGACTGTGTCTCAAAAAATTAAAAAAAAAAAAAAAGGCAATGAAGACTGGCACTTGTTTAGTGAACAAAGCTGGAATAGCGTTTAATGTGCAGCTCTCTGACAACAGTAATGTTTTTGGAATTCACCTGGTCTCTGTGTTTTACAAAACAATCTCCATATCTTACATGCCTTCTTGGAATTTGGATTTCCCCTGTCTGCTGGAATTTTGAACTTCCTCTCTGCAGGTTTTCTCTTGACCAGCTTCAACATTTGTTTTTCGATTAAGATACCTACCTTCAAATATTTCCTGTAGTTTTGGTCTAAAATGATTTTTCAGCCTTGTGTTTCTAATAACGACTTCCTTCAAAAATTATACTACTCATGTGAAACTGGTTCATAACCCATATGGTATCTGGAAATAGTTATTTTTAAATGGCTTTATGCTGAAGTGCAGTCATATTTTTTGTAGAAAGGCTGTGATCTGTTTTAAATTTACAGCAGTTTGAAGCCATATTGATAAATTTCTTTCTGCTGATATTTCAAATTTCCCTTTACGGCAAACACAGTAAGTTGATTAACCTTTTGACTTCCCTTGCAGTCAAGTGGCAATAGTTGTATTTACCCAACTGGAATGTCTAGAGATTAAAAATTCTCTGATTCTAGGTAAAACTTGGGTGGAGTATGATAGGCAGTTATAGATTATGATTTAGTAACAGAGCTTGGTCGTCAATGGCTAGTGAAAATTCTGGCTTTCCCAAAAGAGTTGGGTGCCCTTGGCATGTTGCTAAACTTCTTTTGAGGCTCGATTTTGTCATCTACAAAATATTAATGGTCTTGTCCCTACCCTAGGGTGCTGTTAGGAATACTAAATGACATTGAGTAGCTGGGTACCCTGCCTGACTCATAGTGGTAAATGCTTCAAAAACATTAGAAAATATCATGACTATCATTGAAGCTTGGAGTAGCAGTGGTATTAATAATATCATATCTAACTCATATCCACCACATTTCTCTAGACCTAAAAATACCAAAAGGCTTTTCCAATTCAAATTTCTCGAGGGTCTTATTGCCATTGTCTATTTCCATCCTTTCATTATTACTATTTTTTTTTAAATCCTTAGTGTCAGGGCAGGCGCTAGAGATAAAATGATTGACTTTTTAAAAGGTGTGATCTTTGCCCTTCTGGAATGTATAGCTTAAAACACTGTCAAGGTGAGTGTTTCCATTAAAGAATCATGGAGCTATGTTTTTAAAACTGGGGCAAGTGCTTCAAAAGAAAGGAGCATAGTGCTATGAAGTTATGCTTTATGGGGAGTGAACGCAGCCCTGAGGGAAAAGGTGATTCAGTTGAGAGGTGATAGGAAGATACCTTAACTAGGCAGAGAGGAAACCTCACCAGCAGCCCCAGTGGAGGGAATGACTTGTGCAAGATGCTCTGTAGGAGGAAGAAGTATGGCTGACTTGGGGAACCAATGAGGCTACCATGATGGAGCCACACAGAGTAGAAAGCCAAGTAACAGAGTCCTTGACAGGCTGCAGAGGTTTTCAGAGGCCAGTCCTAAGGACCTTACTGGTTTTCCAGAGAACTTTGGCCTCCCCTACAAACGCTCCCTACCCACCTTCCAACCCCATCTCAGGTCACATTTACTAACTGCTAATTGATTCAGAAAGACCTAAGAAGAGTTTCCAGTTTCCCCAAATGTGAATTTCACCAGCCTTCCTCAGGTCTCTTCTGGTATGGCAGCTTGCTGTATCCTTCCTTAGACCTCCTTGGACCAGAAATAAAGTTGTTGTGAAGCTCTGCTGTTGAGGGAAGATCATCCATAGTCCCACTAGCCACAGGCAAATGCAGCTTCATGTGCCTAGGGTTTTCTGCATGTTGAGAGCCTAGATAGAAATGGTGGAAGGAACATGGACTTGTAACTTACAAGCAGATGGTCATGTTGTCTTGCAGTTTTGCTGTGCACTCAAGAGTGAGGATGGCCCAGTTGGCTCACCCATGGAGCTTGTAAAAACACGGATGCTAAAGGACCATCTCAAGCCTGATGAATTAATGATGGCAATCCTACATTAATGTTTATCAGTTATAGTTTATTATCGGGTTGTAGAATTCCAAAAATATAAGAATTGCCTGCTTTTTATGCTAAATACTTTCTTGAAATTTTCGTGGTAAGTCAAATTTTGGGTGAGAACGCTATTTTATTCTTATTCAAAAAGTAATTTCAAATGCACTTAAGTGTTTATCTTAATCTGTAATAGATTTCCACCCTCCTCTTTCTGTATATTAAGGTATTTTTAAATACTGATCACTTCCTTTTCACACAAATTTCTAATGGTTTAGTTTTTTTTGCTTTCCCTGAAAACTTTCTTCTCCATTAACACTAATAACTAACATTTTTCTGTGTACCAGGTACTAGACAAATAACTAATCCTCATGCCGGCCCCCAAATAAAGCTATTGTCTTTTTCATCTTTTAAATAAGATCCCTGAAGCTCGGAGAGGATATATAACTGAAAAATGTCACCTAGCTAGTAACCAGAAATTAAAACTAGGTCTTATTTCTTACCTGTTCTATGACCACCAGCTGTCTCCAGACACAAAGCAATGAATAGTCCATAAACAAACACACTTAAATGGACTAGACTGCATTTAAAAACCCTTTGGAAATGGGATCATTATCCTCCCCACTTCCACCCCAGCAAATGGCTGCTAAGGATGCATTTTAATGTGCAGTGATATCAAGTTTAATGGATTCCAGGGGATCAATCTTTATAATGAAGCTGATGGTCTTGAAAAACAAATAAAATCGTCATCAATCATGTAATGCCCTGTTAACTTGAATCAAATATCTCAGCAGCAGTAATCCAATTAGACCACATGTATGGTTCATAGCCAGGACCAGCTGAATATGGTGTACATCCCGGCTAAGTAAATCCTACTGGATGGATATGTTCCTCATGCTTGGCTTCTGTTTGTCAAAGGACAGTTGAAGAAAGAATGGACCTACAGCCAAGAGTCGACAGTAGAGGCCTTTGGACCATAATGGGCCCAGCCCACAGAAGTGTTTTGTTTGGATGGTGTCTTAGTCCACTTGGGCTGCCATAACAGGGTAACTTATAAACAGCAGAAATGTATTTCTCACAGTTCTGGAAACTGGACGTCTGAGGGCAGGATGCTAGCATGGTCCAGTTCTGGAGAGGGCCCTCTTCTGGGTTATAGATTGTCACCTTCTTGCTGTGTCTTCACGTGGTGGAAGAAGCAAGGCAGCTCTCTGGGACCTCTTTTATAAGGGCACTCATCTTTCCATCTGCCTTTTGGATCTAATCACTTCCCAGGAGATCCTACCTCCTAAGACCATCATCTTGGTGATTGGGTTTCAACATGTGAATGTTGGAGTGATACAAACATTCAGATCATAGCAGCTAGTCTGTATGTCAGCTCAGGGTTTAGAACCCTGTCCATTCGTTCATGTGTAACAGTGTAAGCAGCCTAGCCCCTGCTGGCTCAAACCAGCCTGCTTCCCTATTGGATGAATGCAAACCCTCAGGCAGCCTTTCATGTTGAGACCACAGTATTAGGGCTATGGCGTAATAATGACTGCCCTGAACTTCGAGTTGTACCCAGGAGGGCTGCACATTGGGTTCTAGGCAGAGCATGGCCACTCCATGACATTGAACAAGTCATGTTCTGCTCTGGACATCTGTTTTCACCTCCATGGTGACCAGATGGTCCCTGGGTACTCTTTCAGTTTTAGAGTGCTTTAAATACGATTCATCAAAATGCAGCTGACTTTCAGTGAAATCATGACCAGCGCATTAACCCTTTGATGGTACCCATCGATTCCTGATTCTGGGTCCTTTTTTTTTCTTTACTGCCTACATTTTCCTGCTTTTTCAGATACCATGAGCTCTCCATACTGTCTAAAAGTTCCCTCTGCCAGCCCACTCATCAAGTCAGCATAGAAAAGGATTTAATAGATGCCATTTACGCCTTCTCATTTATTGCCTGATTAAACTGAAGAGTAAATGAAAGACATTCCTGTAGTGTCAGAAAGATGTAATTTTAGCACTTGATATTTTTGCACAGAGATCTGCCATCTAGGATGTAAATTCCATCAGGACAGAGGCACTCATTTATTCAACCAATATTTACGACGTCTACCCTATGCTAGGAACAGGGCTCGGCACTGGGAATACAGCAGTGCCTGTATCCCTGGTGCCTGCACTCTAGTGTAGAAATGGACCATAGGCAAAGGCATTTAGAATCTATCGAATCTGTTGGGGGTAAAGTGTAATGAAGGAAAGTGAAGCAGGGGGCAGGCATGGGAAGTGATGGGGTGGAGATTTCATACAGGGTGTTCAGGGAAGTTTTCTCTGAGGTGGACACGTGTAGGAGGAAATGAGGGTGTGAACCCAATGGGGAGAAGTGTTTAGGGCAGAATAAGCAGGACTTTAAAATGCTCCACACTGGAGCACCATACTGGGCATATTCCAAGATCAGCCATCAGGCCAGTGTAGCTGGGACTCAGTTAATGAGGGATGGGCACTAGGAAATGAAGTCAAAGAAGAAGGGGTGAGTTCAGGTCATGCAAATCACAAAATTAGCGTGACACCACTACTTGGCCATGATGAGAGCTTCAGCCTTTACTCCGAGCTGAACAGGAGCCAGCCAAGGGTTTGGAGCAGAGGAGTGGATGGTATCACGCGATTCTGTCTTCTGTCCCAGAGCATTATCAGGTGTGCCTGGCACATCTGTGTGGTCAGCAATTGATTACATGATTGTCTTGGTGTTGTTCGATTTTTCTGCACAATGACTGGGCGTCTTCAATGTGGAGAGACTGTTTTTCTGATACTAAAGTTTCTGGGAACATAGGTAATCAATGAAATGCATTTTTTCAATGGCAGTATCAATTACATTTATTAAAGTTAGAGCACCTCTGTCTGTTTCACCAAACCACCTTCTTTCCATGATGTGGATGGATCCCTTTGTGAGGCTCTTTAGAAAACTCAGAAAGTGAAATATCTGTATCACTTGATCTAAAATGAATTCCTGGGTCCCCTTGCCTGACCCCTTCATTAACAAAACAATACCTTTTCTTTCTGTTTAACTTGAAATCGAGTAGAGTTGTAGTTCTTGTTGTCATTTTCAGATATTGTCATTCTGTTTCTAACCCCAGCAGATTATAGGTTATTTACAAATTTCTTTGCAACTATTAAAAGGAAGATGAATTGAATCTCATTAGGATGACTCTTCCCCCTCTTCCTGGCCATTGGTACTCTGTTAGGAATACTCAAACAATTACTTGTTATTTGACATTGACAGGTTCCAGCTCATTTGTCCCAAGCCTCTTGTTTTTTTTTTTTTTGAGACTGAGTCTTGCGCTGTTGCCCAGGCTGGAGTGCAGTGGTGTGATCTCGACTTAACTGCAACTTCCACCTCCCAGGTTCAAGCGATTCTTCTGCTTCAGCCTTCCGAGTAGCTGGGACTACAGGCATGCACCTAATTTTTGTATTTTTAGTAGAGACAGAGTTTCACCATGTTGGCCAGTTTGGTCTTGAACTCCTGACCTCAGGTGATCTGCCCGCTTTGGCCTCCCAAAGTGCTGGGGTTACAGGCATGAGCCATCATGCCTGGCCTGTCTTTTAGTCTTATATAAAACAAAGGACTTATAAAGATTTGGTTTCTAATCTGGCACATTTCTCTTCCAAACTATTTGTGCGTTTAACTTATGCCTTTATGTAGATAGACACTCCTGATTTCAGAAGTGGCTTGATGTCTTTTAGATGAAAAGGAAAAACAAAATGTAAATGTTGAAAGGAGTCATGCACAATTGAGATTGGATAGAGTAGATGGAAGGATGGTGGCATGAGAAATGGCAGCATCACCGACATATTTGGCAATAATTTGCAATGCTGTTCCATAGAACTTTCCAGACTGTTTAGTATGGTAGCTGCCAACCACGTGGCTACTGGGCACTTGAAATATGCCTAGTATAACTGAGGCACTGAATTTCTCATTTTATTTCATTGTAATGGATCAAATTTAAATAACCACATATGGGTAGTGACTACTGTACTGAACAGTGCAGACCAGGTGGGGTAAAGGGAGTGTCTAAAGGAAGCCATCAGGGCTGGGTGATTCTTCTTTTTTTTTTTTTCTTTTTTTTTGAGATGGAGTCTTGCTCTGTCACCCAGGCTGAAGTGCAGTGGTGCGATCTCCACTCACTGCAACCTCCGTCTGCCGGGTTCAGGCAATTCTCCTGCCTCAGCCTGCTGAGTACCTGGGATTACAGGCACACGCCACCATGCCCGGCTAATTTTTGTGTTTTTAGTAGAGACGGCATTTCACCATTTCGGTCAGGCTGGTCTCAAACTCCTGACCTTGTGATCTGCCCGCCTCGGCCTCCGAAAGTACTGGGATTACAGATGTGAGCCATCGCACCTGGCAAGGGCGGGGTGATTCTTTGCAGATGATAAAAAGTGAGACCAATGGCTCTTCTCTGATCTACACAGTTACCTGCAAAAAAGATCTGAGTAACCTCCTTAAATTTTCTTCTCCACATATTACCAGTAGTTGAACCCTGATAAATCTACATTTATTATTATTTTTTAAATTTGTTTACTTTATCTTTACCATCATTGCTTGGTTTCCACTGCCGTTATTTCTTGCAGAAACCCAGGCAATAGCTTCTGATTGATTTCTTGGTCTCAGTTTTTGTCTTTGTTTTAATCCATCCTCCACAGTGCAGCCACAGCCACTCTTCTCTTTAAAATCCCTGAGGAGTCTGCATTTTTCTTAGGGTAAAGCTCAAAGTCCTTAGCATTAATGAGCATAGTAGATTTTGTAGATTTTATTCCAAGTTGTAGAATTCTGGCTATTTCAGTGTTGGCTGAACATCAGTTTTGCTAATATTTTTATTTTGAATCACATGTGGGCACACGTTATCTTATTAATATTTAGGGCTTCTAAAAACAATCTACCACTTTTTACTCCTAACAGCCTATGCATACCAGTGCACAGATCGATTCTATGCTTAAAAAATCAAATAGCTGCAAGCAACTGAGCTCCTGTCTCTATTTCACCTCTGCTCCCTCACATGGAGTTCCTTCCCCCATTCTCTCTTTGTTCACTTGGCTAACCTTAGCCTCTTTAAGGAAGGCAAAGATTCACCTCTTCTAAGAGACCTTTCGAAGAATTTATCAGGTGCCTTGAGTGGTCTTCCAAGTAGGCAGAAAACGGCTGTCTTGTGATGTCGGTGCAGCTAGAGGTCTTCCTGGTAAGAAACTGACTACCCTGAGGGCTTCATTCAGCCCTGCTCCATTACTTATTCGCAGGTCCTACTTCAGTGCCTGGCCCATTATAAATACAAACGTTTGTTGAACGAATTAACCTGACAGACACACACTGTCATGAGAGGAGTTTTCCGTAACACCATGCCACTCCCACAAAACAAAACTGTAACAAACAAAACCTACCCCCTCACTTAAGCTATAATCTTAGATGCATTTTGTGGAATTAGATCATGTAAAGATTGGACTCCTCTTTGTTTTTTGAGATAAAGTCTCACTCTGTCGCCTAGACTGGAGTGCAGTGGCACCATCAAGGCTCACTGAAGACTTGACCTTCCAGGCTCAAGTGATACTCCTGCTTCAGCCTCCTTCTTGACTAGCTGAGACCACAGGTATGTGCAACCATGCCTCGCTAATTTTTTGTATTTTTGGTAGAGATGGGGTTTCGCCATGTTGCCCAGGCTGCTCTCAGACTCCTGAGCTGAAACTATCCACCAACCTTGGCCTCCCAAAGTACTGGGACTACACGTGTGAGCCACTGTGCCCAGCCTACTCTTGTTTTTATTTGTTACTTAATCACATCAGTGATTCTCCACCTAATGACTTCTTCATTTAGTTGACTGCTGCCAGCTTCATTAGAAGTTGCTACCTTGACACAAAAGTACCATTTGGACATTAGTCATTAAATCGACAAACACTTATTCAGAATCTGTTAGGCATGAGATACTACTCCTGGTACCAGGAATCTGGGGATTAAAAAACTGGACCAGAATATACAAGGTTTCTCCTTTCTGCTTCCCTGAACATTGCTGAGGGGAAGAAAACAACCAGTCAATCAAGAAACCCAGTATTTTCAGACCGTGAAGCAGCAAATGAAATGGGCCCACTAGTCACTCACTGTGTGGCAGGCATTATTGTAAGTGATTTATATATATTTATGCCTTCAGTGCTCAGAGCAAGCCTGTATCCTTCATTTATCCTCATTCTGTGTTCAATAAACTGAGGCACAAAAATCAGTAACTCATCCAAGTTCACACGCCTTACAAGCAGTAGAGCCAGAATTTGAACCCACACATTTGGTTCCAGTCTGTGGCGTGATCACGATGTTTTCTGATATTATGACTTAAAGAGAAGTGTTTTTGATGAGATGGTCATAGAAGAGCTTTCTGGCCAGGCACAGTGGCTCATACCTGTAACCCCAGCACTTTGGGAGGCTGAGGCAGGCGGATCACTTGAGGTCATGAGTTCAGACCTAGTCTGGCCAACATGGTGAAACCCCATCTCCAATAAAAATACAAAAATTAGCTGGGCACAGTGGCAGGGACCTATAATCTCAGCGACTCAGGAGGCTGAGGCAGTAGAATCACTTGAACCCAGGAGGCGGAGGTTGCAGTGAGCTGAGATGGTGCCACTGCACTCCAGCCTGGGCAACAGAGTGAGACTGCATCTCAAAAGAAGAAAAGCTTTCTGAGTAGGTGAATCTAGCCTTGCAGAGTGCGTAGTGCCTACAGCTTCTACCAGAGAAAGACAGAAACAGGTTTAGCTGGTTTAAAGAACAGTGGAAAGCTCTGCCATCCTAGGAAGCAGTAAAGGATGGGGGTTGGGAGTAAGTGTAGTGGTGAGAGATAGCGCCATAGAGAATACAGGAGCAGGCACCATCTTTCTCATTCCAGCTTCATGGATGAGTCTGCAGCACCCAAATGGGGGCAGGAGTCATCAGTTAAAAAATAAACTCCTGGATAGAAAAGGTTGCTTTACTCACAGTCTTGTCGATGGACAAATGTAAGACATTGGCTGCCATCTCAGTTCACATGTTATCTTAGCTATGGTTGGAGAATCAAAACTTTTTAAAATTTTTTTGGCAGAAGTTAAAAAACTCAACATCCAGCTGCTGATTTTCTTAATGTGATCATGACAAGCCACTGATACGCAGCTTGTAATCGCCTCATTACAAGAAAGACATGGCAGTGGAAGCAGTTTGCATTCAAATGCTTTACATTAAAATGAAAAGGGATATGGAGTAATTTGCAGTGAAGGAGGTATGAATGGTCAGAGTTAGGACAGAGCTTCCTCTGTGTGTGTACTCTTGAGTAGTGCATTTTGAGATTGTTTCCAAGAAGCTGGTTATCTGCTTTTATTGGTAATCTGGAAGCCTAGACATATTTGGTTTATGAAATATAATTTATCCCGTGACAGCGATGACCTGAGCCATCTTAAATTTTGAAAAACATTGTAAAGTGATCCATGACCCATGACTATCCGACATGAGATGGAAATGAGCCAGAGTTTGGCAAGAAAGCCACTTTTCTTCCTGCCACACTGTACTTGTAACAGGAAGAGAATTTGCATGATGGTTAGGTGAGCCAAGAAAATCGATGACAGCAGGAGGAAAAAGTTGGAAATCACTGCATACATTCCATTTATCTCTCAGTTACATGTAGCGAGTTAACCGCATGTGCATTTGCCTAACACATCTTATCTATGTCCCTCTGCATCTGAATCTGGGTGGGGCATATTAGTATGCAAATAGCCCTCTGCTGTCATCCCCAGCATCTGTTTGGAGTGACATTTTGGATGCTACAGAAGGCAAGCATAGTTCACCCAACAGAAGTGTTTACCCATTTGCAGACTTCTGTAGTTTGTTGCTGTAGGACAGCACCAAGAATTTGCAGACTCACAGATTTCACAAAGTTAAATAAACTATGCTTCTATTCCAACTTTCCTCATGTTTTCTCATATTTGCATGTAATAAGTTACATGCAAATGTAATTACTGAGGAAAAACTATCTTTGGGTATATATGGATTTCTTAGCTTTGTGATAGGTGATCTGACAGCTATAAGAGAAGGAAAAAGAAACGCCCTAGCTAGCAAGATATGACTTTTGCATAAGAAATGCATCAACTATAAGGTTGAATTAGGGCAGGGGTCACAAAGTCAAATGTTCATAGGCACCAGACTAGTAATATAATGAGGGATGCAGAAGGGGTAGGGCTTTGATGAACTGGAGAGCTTATGCCACATCTTTATGGGGCGGCCACTCTCTAGCTGCTGCCCAGCAGTTGTACACACAAAATGGAATTTATGGCTTCTCTTGAAAAATTGGATGAAATGACAATATTGGGCTCAAATTCCTCTAGGGAAAAGTTAGCACAGAGAGGAACAAACAAAACCTGTCGAAGTCCAGGTTGGGCCTGCAGGTATAGGTTTGTAGTCTATTTTATAAAATTGGTTTTAAAACCTTAGAAATTTGGATCCTAAAGTCCAAGTTGGGTATAGGTATTTGCATCTTTAAGCCTGGTGGTCAGCCAGGTTGATGATGAGCTCTGAGCCCCTTAACTGGGCTCTGACAATATGCAGCAGCATCAAAACACTTTTACTGCTGAGTGTACACGAGGCTGTCCAGGGAGCTTGCTGTCTTGCGCAGAAATTGTACTTTGTATCACGGCAAGTTACATACATCCCAAGTGAAAAAGAAATAGAATTTCAGATGTGGAATAACCACTAAGTTACCAAGTCCAATCACTTCATCAAATAGATAGGAAAACTAAATGCTAGCCAGAAATGTTCTGCTACTAATCACTTTTGAGACTTTGGACAGTTCTTTGTTCTCCCCAGATCCCATTTCCTTCCTCTGTAAAATCAGGGGGATGGACTGCACAATTGCTAACATCTCTTAATCCTATGATTATTTTTCTTTGTTTTACCTCAAGGCAGGGGGTGAGGAGGGGCAGGAAAAGATAAATAACTGAGAAAAAATTGGGACCAGCTGTTTCCAACATGGTGGTCATGTCTGGCTCTTCCACCCCACCCCTGGGAGAGCTTGGGAAGTCCTGTCAATCATCCAGCTCCACTGTGCACCTGCCCAATGGGTTGATGCCACGTAGCGTACTTAATCACATCTCTTAACAGCTGATTCCTAGACTTCCAGCTCCAGCTGTCTGTTTAACAAATAAATGCTGTCAGTTCCAAGGGAGGCAGGGCAGGGTTGGGTGGAGAGCTTGACATAACCCATTACCACCACAGAAACAAGTAAAAACACGTGTCTTTCTGATAGTGTGCATCAGCAAGCCAGCAGCCTTGGGAAGGGAGAGCATCACTGATTCCAAAAATTGGAATCCCTGTCTTGCAAATGTGGTAGATGCTATTTATGCAGCACCAGCTTAGTTACAGAATACAAGTCAACTATTCCTTCTCAGAAAGTCACTATTTTCAGCAAACATGCATTGAGAATCAAGTATAAATTCCTTACTATCCAAACTTAGAAACCAAATACATTTGGATAATGATAATTTAAATAGCAAAGGAGTTAGACTTTCGATGACAAGGGATACTAATCTTATATCAAAATATTTATCTATGGCCAGGCATGGTGGCTCACTCCTGTAATCCCAACACTTTGGGAGGCTGAGGTGAGTGGATCGCTTAAGTTCAGGAGTTCGAGACCAGCCTGGTCAACATGGTGAAACCCTGTCTCTACTGAAAATCCAAAAATTAGACAGGCATGGTGGTGCACGTCTGTAATCCCAGCTACTTGGGAGGCTGAGGCAGGAGAATGCTTGAACCTGGGAAGCGGAGGTTGCAGTGAGCTGAGATCATTCCACTGCATTCCAGCTTGGGCAACAGAACAAGACTCTGTCTCAGAAAAAAAAAAAAAAACCTTATCTGAACTGATTTGTTATGGGGAGGTTAGATTTAAATATTTTGATAACTATATATGAAATGTTGAGATTTTTTAAAAAAATCTGAAGCAAAAATGGTATCAGAAGAAGAGCTGATGAACTGGATGTTAGATAATGTAGCTTACTATATACGTTTCTCTTCTTGTCTAAATTTTTGTCATATTTCACAGTAATGCCAGGCAGAATATAAAGGGTTAAATTAGTACAATCTTCACTGCTACAGGCAGTAGAAATGCCCCATAAGTTGGGTGTTAGCCAGGGTTTTCTATAACGTACATTGGTTTTTATGGCTTTTCCATTCAAAACCTTCAGACGTTCCCCAATGTACAGAAGTTCAAACACTACCCTCAGAGATGGTCTGCCCTAACTTTGTCCTCTTAGAGAATTTTGCATATTCCCCTATTCAGTCAGTATGATTTGAGTGTCACGCCAGTACCTTCTGAGTTCTAAGGGCACAAAATCAAATACAACATCAACTCTGCTTTGCCAGGGATTTATGTTACAGGGAAAGAGAGAGAAACTAGAGAAATAATTGTTTCCTTGATATGTGCTGTGAATGGTATGGAAGCCTACGAGGGGGCTGTGTAAATCAGAATGGTGAAATGGGAAAAGGATATAATGTTTCTGATTAATTGGATGTGTTTAGCTCCAGAAGTAGAGGAGTTTCTTAAATGTAGACGTTGAAGTCTTGCTTGTTTTTATGTCTCCCTTAGCACCATACATATTGCTTTATTTTTAGTTGATTAATACCAAAAATATTTACAGAGCTCCTACCAGCTGCCAAACAATGGACATAGGGAAGTCGGCAGAACAGGCACAAAGTCCCAGCCTTTAAGGAGCTAATAGGAGGGATGAACAGTAAACACAGAAGGAAACAGCTGCGTGTGGCACTCTCATGTCATGATAAAGGCTGTTATGGGGGAAAAAAGGCTGACTGAGAAAATGACAAGGTTGGCTTTGTTTCATTTGAAAGGATGCTTTGAACAGGTGACCTTTGAAGCATCCTATTGAAACAAAGCCAACCTTGTTTCCCCAGTCAGCTTTTTGGGCCAGGCACGGTGGCTCCGGTCTATAATCCCAGCGCTTTGGGAGGTCAAGGAGGGCGGATCACGATGTCAGGAGTTCAAGACCAGCCTGACCAAGATGGTGAAACCCCATCTCTACTAAAGTCACAAAAATTAGCCAGGCGTGGTGGTGGGTGCCTGTAATCCCAGCTACTTGGGAGGCTGAGGCAGATAATTGCTTGAACCTGGGAGGTGGAGGTTGCAGTGAGCTGAGATTGCGCCACTGCAATCCAGCCTGGGTGACAGAGGGAGACTCTGTCTCCAACAACAACAACAAAAAAGAGGTCGCCTTTGGACAAAAACCTACATGAAGTGAGATATCTAGGGGAAGAGCATTCTAGGCACAGGAAACAGCAAATGAAAAAAATCTGAGATGGGAACTTGGCTTTTTTATTTATAGAACAGCAATGGAGTGAATGTAGCTGGAATTCAGTTAAAAGAAAAAATAAGAGGTAGAAGATGCTAGAGAAGCTACTAGATGCTGCATTTGGATTGGACGGGGCTGCAAAGTGTCTTGAAATCCATTTCTCTTGGTCAAGAATTCATCTTGTAGTGATAGAGCATGATGGTGAATGACCCGTTAAAAGCGATGCTTTGGAAAAAACAACTCTGGAGCAAGGGAGAAGAGAGATTGTCAACAGGGAGAGGAGATAGGAGACCACTGCTAAGTCTAGGCTTGGGGCAATACATGACCAGACTGGAATGAGAACACAGGAGGGACAGAGAGAGGAGCTCAAGAGATTAGTTGTTCATCGCAATTTGTCAGTATTCTTAACTGCATAATGCCACATTCCATAGGATGTCAGTTTGGAGCAAAGAAGGATTGGAGGAGGGGAACACAACATTGGATCACAAAATTCACATTAAAGCACACAACTTACATGGATATGAGGTAGGATCTTCTCCTCCCAGACATTCAAGCCGCCGCTTTCCAAGGATGCTGACGTGTGAAGAGGAGTGTTATTAGCAGACCCAGCAGCAAAGCCTGGAATGATCCAGGGGGAAGGTTGGCTGCATGTTCCCATGTGAACTTCATGGAAAGTCTGGTTTCCATTAAATCGAGACATGCTAGCTGTCGTCTTGGTCATTCACAGTTCACCAACAGCCTTTGTGGCAGTCATGTGTTTTCCAAATGATAACCTTAAGCTTCCTTTGAAATGATCACATTCATAAGCATGGAGGAAAGAGGATTATGAGGCACAAGGGTGTCAAACAGCTTTCTTTCATCTTCCCTAGATTGAGAAAGTCTTCATGACCAAACCACTTGTAAAGGTCATGTAGCTTCAGTATCTGTCCTTTTAACTGGTTGTTAGGGGCCAGGCACGGTGGCTCACACCTGTAATCCCAGCACTTTGGGAGGCCGAGAGGGGCGGATCACGAGGTCAGGAGATCGAGACCATCCTGGCTAACACGGTGAAACCCCGTCTCTACTAAAAATACAAAAAATTAGCCAGGCGTGGTGGCGGGCGCCTGTAGTCCCAGCTACTCAGGAGGCTGAGGCAGGAGAATGGCATGAACCAGGGCAGCGGAGCTTGCAGTGAGCCGAGATCGCGCCACTGCACTCCAGCCTGGGCAACAGAGCGACTCTGTCTCAAAAAAACAAACAAACAAACAAACAAAAAACCAAAAACTGGTTGTTAGTGTGTATTTGGCTATCTCAGGGGCTGGGAAGATATGGTATCTTTTATTATTGTGGATATGTCTCTCCCAAATATATGTGGAGTATCTCTGGCATTCAGGATGTGGCGCGGCTGTTGCAAGGCAGAGTAGTCCAGTTCTGCCCTGAAAGTACGTAGAATATACCCCACAAAAGAGAGAATAAGAGCATTTCAGGGTGAAATCTGAACTAGATTGGTGATGACCAGTAAGGACACATTCCAGAGAACAATTGAGCCAGGTATGTCTGGATCCATGGGGGAAGCTTTCTCAGTGTCTCCACTAAACACAGGACTTTCTTTTTTCATACTTTTTGGTGTGAAAATTGAGAGGACTCTGATTTGTTTATTTATTATTTATTTTTTTGAGATGGAGTCTCGCTCTGTCACCCAGGGTGGACTGCAGTGGCATGATCTCGGCTCACTGCAACCTCCGCCTCCTGGGTTCAAGTGATTCCCCTGCCTCAGCCTCCTGAGTAGCTGGGATTACAGGCGTGCGTCACTACAGCTGGCTAATTTTTGTATTTTTAGTAGAGACGAGGTTTCACCATGTTGGTCAGGCTGGTCTCGAACTTCTGACCTCGTGATCCACCTGCCGCGGCCTCCCAAAGTGCTGGGATTACAGGCGTGAGCCACCCCACCCAGCCGACTCTCTGATTTTAATGCCACTTAACCTCAGCACTCACTTCTGAGAATGACCTGAGTTTACTTGCATCTCTTTGTTTTTCTGGTCCTTTTGAAGCAGGGAAAGGAACAGCAGGTACTTGGCGGGAGGCTAGGACCTTCTGCCATTATGCCAGCCCAAAACTGGTTTGTTGTTAAAGAGTCATACCTTCAGAGTCCAGCATTTCAGCTGTCCCCCACCCCCACCCTCTCTGGAACCTTTCCTGAATCTGAACAGAATGTGTGTTTTTTAAGAGTGTGGGCAGGCCATGGAGTCAGACAGCCCCCTGATATAGAAGTGTTAATAAAGTACCCATCAGGTAGAGCTGCAAGGCCAGGCATGGTGACTCACGCCTCTAATCCCAGCTCTGTTGGAGGCCAAGGCAGGCGGATTACCTGAGCCCAGGAGTTTGAGACCAGCCTGACCAACATGGTGAAACCCCGTCTCTACTAAAAATACAAAAATTCACCAGGCATGATGGCAGCACTTGTAATCCCAGCTACTCCGGAGGCGGAGGCAGGGAGGGTTGCTTGAACCCAGGAAGTGGAGGTTGCAGTGAGCTGATATCGTGTCACTGTACTCCAGCATGGGTGACAGAGCAAGACCCTGTCTCAATAAATAAAATAAAATATAAAATTAAAACAACAAAAAACAAATAGAGCTGCAGTGAGAGTCAGTTGAAATTCTGCAGATAAAATGCTATGTGCGGTGCCTGGTGCATAGGAACCACTGACCCCCAGATGGGTATGTTAAAGGAAGGCAGGGAGAATAAGAAGGAAGGGGCCATACCAACATCTGTTGATTATGATTAAACCACTGAGATTAATTTATAAATGCTGAAGCATAGGTTATGGCTGCTTATAAACTATATGCATTTTAACATTTTTACATTTAATTTTTTAATATTAAAATGTATGCAGTAGATGTTAAGAATATCAACCATTTTGCTATTAGTACATAGAGCTTAAAAAGAGTTTCTTAGAGGTACATACTCTTTTGAGAATGGGCACAGGCATAACTTGGACAGAATCTGCTTATACTTTCCAAACCAATACAGAGTTTTGAATACAGCCATGACGCTGTATTCTGGTCTCATGGGATTTGAGCTGTTGAAGTCATTAAGTGTTTATTTCAGTAGAGATTATAATTAGCTAAATCAATTTTCATCAATATGTTATTAATATCTATTAAGAGCTGCTAGATGACATTTACATCCGTACAGACGGTTATAGTTGAAGGGCTTTGAAGACAGAGACTGAATCTGTTAATCTTTGTGTCAGGAGCATAAACCACTGCATATAGTCAAAGTCATGTTAGTTAATGTTGTTCTGGAGCCCCAGTGGGTTAGTGAGTAAAGTGAAAGGATAATTCATTTTGAGCCTATTGGAGTATTTGAAGTAGCTGAACATCCCAGGTGAGGGAAGAGAAGAAAGCCAAGCATTTCTGAGGACCTCGGCAGCAAGACTTTTGGAACCTTTTTTCTAGTCTACCGTTATCAGCATGACTCAGAAAGTCACAGAGACTGAGAGTGCATAGACACTGCATGCCAAGATTGGAGATCAGGATTACTTGGACAAATCAACTTTGCCCAGTGATGCAGCTGCGTGAACCACAGGCGGAGAGGACTCAGTGAACATCTGTGAAGTGACCTTGAAGTGCTCAGGTGTTCACTGGGAAGGGGAGGGCCTTTACCTGACTCATCTTAAACAGATAGGGGCAGACACGGTGGCTTACACCTTTAATGCCAGTACTTTGAGAGGCCGAGGTGGGTGGATTACTTGAGGTCAGGAATTTGAGATCACCCTGGCCAACATGCTAAAACCCAGTCTCTACCAAAAAATACAAAATATTAGCCAGGTGTGGTGGCACGCACCTGTAGTTCCAGCTACTCAGGAGGCTGAGGTGGGAGAATCGCTTGAACCTGGGAGGTGGAGGTTGCAGTGAGCCGAAATAGCTCCACTGTACTCCAGCCTGGGTGACAGAGTGAGACTTTGTCTCAAAAAATAAATAAAATAAAAATAAACAGATAGCCAGCATATAAGGTGACACCTCTAGTCCATGGTCACAGTCTATTCTGCCACATTCTCCATAAAGTCCACTTTGCTTAGTTCTCCCAGCAATAGCCATTCATTTACTCTTTAAGGCCAGTAGCAAGCGTTCTTCTCCCCATGATGCTAGCCAAACCAAAAAGAGATTGTTGCTGCTTTTCAGTGGAGCAGGAGGATAAGAGATTGAGCCTTCAGAATGGACGAAGGCTGGAGTTAAACATTTGAATTGGTGAACCTTATGGTGGTGAAGTTAATAGGCCCAAGAAGGCGCCTCATGAGAGAAGCAGCCTCATAATTTCCTTGCCATTGGTCACTTCTCTTTCCCATCCCCACCAAAACACACCAACCAGTCAAAACTAAAACCTAGAGTCCTTGGATTGATCATCTGTCCAAGGTAGAAAAATTTATGGTTTCTCTTCTGTCTTTAAATATCTTCAGTTACTTCTGTAAGAATTTCATCAATATGTGTCTTTTCAGGTCTTCAAACCTTGCTTAGTTCTTTCATTGTTTTTCTCAATAAACTGAAAGAATATTTATGCTACTTCCCAGAATTTCAAGTCCAACTGAAGGGGAAAGTTATAATATAAACACACTGTTAGAAAAAGGCCAGACTTCTTGACTTCTTGTTCCCTCAAATAGTCAAATGTAATAATCATAATGATAATAAATATGTATTGAGTGTTATATATGTCCTGAGCACTATTTTTAGCACTTTTATTTCTTTTTTTATTTTTATTTTTTTGAGACACAGTTTCACTCTGTCACCCAGGTTGGAGTGCAGTGGTGTGATCTGGGCTCACTGCAACCTCCGTCACCTGGGTTCAAGTGATTCTTGTGCCTCAACCTCCCAAGTAGCTGGGATTACAGGCTCACACCGCCATGCTTGGGTAATTTTTGTATTTTCAGTGGAGTCAGGGTTTCGCCATTTTAGCCAGGCTAGTCTTAAACTCCTGACATCAAGTGATCCACCTGCCTCAGCCTCCCAACATGCTGGGATTACAGGTGTGAGCTACCGTGCCCAGCCTGTTTTTAGCACATTAAAAGTATTAACTCATTTAATCCTCTAAAAAATCATCTAAGTAAAGGGCTTGGTTTTTTTTTTTTTTGTTTTTTTTTGTTTTTGTTTTTGTTTTTGAGACAAGGCCTCACTCTGTCACCCACTGGACAGCATTGGTGCAATCACAGCTCACTGCAGCCTCAACCTCTTAGGTTAATGCAATTCTCCTACCTCAATCTCCTGAGTAGCTGGGACTATACCACATGCCACCACACACACCTGGCTAACATTTTATTTTAGTAGAGATGGATCTTGTGGTGTTTCCCAGGCTGATAAACTCCTGAGCTCGAGTGATCCTCCTGCCTTAGACTCACAAAGTGCTGGGATTACAGGCATGTGCTATAACACCTGGCCCATTGCTGCTGAATAAAATCCTAAACATCCTTTTACCAATGGTTTTCCTCAAAGACTTTCTCAGCATTTTCTTTACTTAGTCTTTAATTTTTCTGATGTTTCTTTCCCTCCATCCTCACCCCAGCCCCTGGACTATGAATTTCTATTTCATATTGATTATACTTTAAGTCTTTCCCTTATTCTGAACTGAGATTTCTCATTTGGGGCTATTCTTGTACATGTTGGGCAACAAATCAATGACTTACTCTTTAGTGTTCTTGCTTAGATTTAAAAAAATTTTTAAAGAATGTGACATCTTGACTGAGGTAAGAGCATTTTTTAGTTGTTGCAGATAGATTCAAAATTAAAAAGTGAAAAATAAATTAATTATTGATGACCACAAATATGTCTTTGCTAGTATTTTTCCAGGCAGCCTACTGGGGCTACTTTGTACTATCTGTGAATTAGTCTTTACTAAAAATAAAAACAGAATAATGATACTGCCCATGGGGCTGTTTTTATTATTATTTCAAATACTTCTTTAAGATATGCTTACATCATTCTATTTGAAGTTCTGGCTCTATTGTTACAAACATTATTCGTTCATTAGATCTTTTAAATTTTGATTATTTAATAGGTAGAAATAGTGGGATACAAATCACTTAAGACATGGTCCCTGCCTTCAGGAAGCTTATTTATAGCTTCCTAATTTTCTTGATCTTTAAAGCTCTTCACACTGAACTATTAAAAATTAATTGTGCACTCATCCTAACACTGAATTTGTCAGTTACATCTGGAGGCTGCAGTCTCCCTTTTTCTGTTAAATCTAAAGCCTGTGATGGAATTGAAATATGACCAATGAAGAGTATATTTTAAAGGAAACTTTAGGGAAAATTCATAAAGTGTGATTTATACCTGGCATGAGTCCTTTAAGAATTATTTTGGCCCTTGAGGCCGGATGAGGTGGCTCATGCCTGTAATCCCAGATCTTTGGGAGGCTGAGGCAGATGGATCACTTGAAGTCAGGAGTTCAAGACCAGCCTGGCCAATGTGATGAAACCTCATCTCTACTAAAAATACAAAACCTAGCCGAGAGTGGTGGTGGGCGCTTGTAAGCCCAGCTACTCAGGAGGCTGAGGCAGAAGAATCGCTTGAACCTGGGAGATAGAGGTTTCAGTGAGCTGAGATCACCCCACTGCACTCCAGCCTGGGTGTTGCAGGGAGACCCTGTCTCAAAAAAAAAAAAAAAAAAAAAAAGAATGATTTAGGCCCTTGAAATCTAAAATAGAAAACACCTGTTCACAAATAAAACACTTGTTTTTTTCTCATTTTAAAGAATAAAACATTAAACTATTTAAATAGAATATTGACTCTGGGTCAGAATCAATTTAATTTTTAAGCTTTAGCAGCTAAGTCACATAATGGAATTTCTGTATCTTCTGGAAAAGACAAAACACAATGCAGGAAGAAGCAATGTGAGTTGACCCTGCAGCACACAGAGTCCAGTAGCGGGCGCAACCCAGTCCTTTCCCTCGGCTTGACTCTTGTCTCTTGAGGGGAAGGGGTTGGTTCCCTGGGTGGAGAGTTGGGGCAGCTCTTCCACCACCATCAACCTTTGGCAGCCACATCTAAGTGGACTTGGGGCCTGATATGGTTTGGCTTTGTGTCCCCACCCAAATCTCACGTGGATTTGTAATTCCCAGTGTTGGAGGAAGGGTGGGAGGTGATTGGATCTTGGGGGTGGATTTCCCCCTTGCTATTCTCATGATAGTGAGTTTGCATGAGATCTGGTTGTTTAAAAGTGTGTAGCACATACCCCTTCACTCTCTCTTCCTTCTGCTCCAGCCATGTAAGATGTGTCTGCGGCCGGGTGCAGTGGCTCATGCCTGTAATCCCAGCACTTTGGGAGTCTGAGGCGGGTGGATCACCTGAGATCGGGAGTTCAAGACCAGCCGGATCAACATGGAGAAACCCCGTCTTTACTAAAAATACAAAATTAGCCGGGCGTGGTGGCCCATGCCTGTAATCCCAGCTACTCAGGAGACTGAGGCAGGAGAATCGCTTGAACCCGGGAGGCAGCGGTTGCAGTGAGCCGAGATCGTGCCATTGCAGTCCAAACTGGGCAACAAGAGCCAAACTCCGTCTCAAAAAAAAAAAAAAAAAAAAAAAAAAAAAAGGAAAGAAAGAAAAAACGACATAAAACCCTTTGCCTTCTGCCATGATTGGAAGTTTTGAAAGTTTCCTGAGGCTTCCAGTCATGCTTCTTGTACAGCCTGTGAAAACATGAGCCAATTATACCTCTTTTCTTTATAAATACCCAATTCTCAGGTAGTTCTTTATAGCAATGAGAGAACGATGAATCCAGGCCTTTCCTGTCCTTTATTGTAGGAGGAGCCTAAGGGCGTCCCCAGTCCATCTCCTTCTTAGCAGGCCACTTGGTCTCTGCTTTCTTCCTGTTCTCACCACCCCTTCCGCTCCTTAGCTCTGAGACATCAGTCTCTCAGTTCCATCATGGACTTCCCCATCGTGGACCAGGAGAGGACTTCCGGTCTCACAAGAAATGCCTCCTCAGAAAAGTGTTCCGTTACCTCCCCTCTAAAATTAGCTTCCCCGCTCCTCTCACCCCTTCTATTATTTTATCTCATGGAACTTTGCTCTTTTTCTTCCTACTTATTTTATTTTTTTGAGATGGACTCTCTCTCTTTCACCCAGGCCGGAGTGCGGTGGTGCGATTTTTTGTATTTTTGGTAAAGACGGGTTTTCATGCCTGTAATTCCAGCACTTTGGGAGGCTGAGGTGGGCGGATCCCCTGAGGTCAGGAGTTCGGGATCAGCCTGACCAATGTGGTGAAACCCCGTCTTTTTCTTTACACTTTATACAGAGGAATAATATTTCATTCCCATTTGTGATATTTGCTGGTTTAGCCCCTGGTTCCCCCATTGAATTGGAGGCCACGGGAGACCACAGATCTGTCTCATTCACTGTTACCAAGCCAGACTTTGCTTGTTTTCGATATCTCAAAATGCTTTAAACACTCCACAAATAAACAGATGGTTTCTTTTGGGTGTATTGGGTTTATATTTTTAAGCAATAAAATGTATTTATTTGGTTAGATTCCAAGGTTTTCTATCAAACTAAAGCAGAAAAATAATACTTTTCTTTTTTAATATCTAGCACTGTAAAATTCTTGTTTTGTTATAAAGAATTCTTCTAGATTTTTGTCCTTGTCACTCTGAATAGGAAGATGACAGGCTATGTGAGACAAAGTGTTTGTCTCAATATAGGATGCCCATTATTATTATTTTTTAAATTGCTTTCTCAGTGTGGAAGTTTTCTCTATGCATTTGAGTTGTCTGCAGTTTGCATGTAACAGGGAGAAAATAGAAAGCTTCCAAACCGGTTAGTCCAGTTAAAGCACTTAAGTGGCTTAAGCCTTTGATATTAGTTGAGCCAAGTAAGGAAGTTAGTAAGGCTGGAGGGCTTTCAGGGATAATTCACTTTTTTTTCCTTCTATTCTGTGAGGGACTTTAAATGGTGTTTTTGGTCTGCATGCAGCTTGAAAGAGGTGAGGGCATGGAGAGGGTCCTTCTCAGAGAATGAGGGACCTGAAATTCTGCCTGTGCTTCCTGCTGGGTTTTCCTCCCAGGGAGTTGTAAGGTTAGGTTAAGGTATTGCACTGAATGCTTATGGCTTCACGTCTGAAATATAGACAAGTTCATGTGCATTATAGTCTTGAAATTGTCACTTCCTATGTCTGGTTTCCTTCTCTGATATTGGCATGCCTTCAGCATCACCTCCACTCTGAAAAAAGTCTGGGGATGAAGAAACAATTTTTTTTTTTTTTTTTTGAGATGGAGTCTCACTCTGTTGCCCAGGTTGGAATGTAGTGGTGCAATCTCAGTGCGCTGCAAACTGCTCCTCCTGGGGTCAAGCCATTCTCCTGCCTCAGCCTCCTGAGTAGCTGGGATTACAGGTGCCTGCCACCACGCCGGGCTAATTTTCATATTTTTAGTAGAGATGAGGTTTCACCATGTTGGCTAGGCTGGTCTATAACTCCTGACCTCACGTGATCTGCACTCCTTGGCCTCCTGAAGTGCTGGGATTACAAGTGTGAGCCACCATGCCCTGCCTGGAGAAACAAATATTTACTAGCTGATAACAAGTGGCATGCATCAGAGATACTCAGGTGACCCCTGCTGTCACAGAGTGTGCAATAAAACTGCATATGAGGGATGGTGGGGAGAGGGTTGCATTTTGTTTCCTTATTGAAGATAGACATAAAGCCAGTAAACTGTGACCTGAGATTATTTGGAAGTGAGAGAGGATAATTTTCTTCATGTTATTTTTTTATTTCCATAGGTTTTTGGGGGACAGATGGTGTTTGGTTACATAAGTAAGTTCTTTAGTGGTGATTTGTGAGATTTTGGTGCACCCATCACCACCTGAGCAGTATACACCGCACCCAATTTGTACACTTTTATCCCTCATCTCCACTCCTACTCTTTCTCCCAAGTCTTCATAATCCATTATATCATTCTTATGCCTTTGCATGAGAGAGGATAACTTTTTTTTCTTTTCTTTTCTTTCTTTTTTTTTTTTTTCTTTTTTGAGGCAGGGTCTTGCCCTGCCGCCCAGGCTGGAGTGCAGTGGTGTGATCTCAGCTCACTGCAACCTCCGCCTCCCGTGTTCAAGCGATTGTCCTGCCTCAGCCTCCCGAGTAGCTGGGACTATATGCCTGGCTAGTTTTTGTATTTTTAGTAGAGACAGGGTTTCACTGTGTTAGCCAGGATGTTCTCAATCTCCTGACCTCAGCCTCCCAAAGTGCTGGGATTACAGGCATGAACCACCACACCTGGCTGAGAGGATAATTTTCAATAGGGTCGTGAGTACGGCTTCTCTGAGAAGATGGTGTTTAAATTGAGACATCAGCAATGAGCACCAGAAAGCCAAGTGAATTGATAGGAGAAGACTGTAGGGGAAAGAAAAAAAATGTGTGAAAATGCCATTTAGTATGGAAGAAGTTACTAGGTTCAAAAAGTGAAAGGAGCGTCCTGTTTAGAATGGTGTGAGAAGAGGAAGAGAGGACAGATAAAGCTGGCAGGTTCTGCAGGGAGTTGATTATGCAGAGATTAGTGGGTCAGGAATTTGTGATTAATACCAGAGTGAATGGAAGAAGTTGATTAGTGCTGGACAAGGACTCTGGCTGTTGTGGGGAAACCCTATTGGATAGGACAGGTGGGATTTGGGACGTCAATAGAAAGTGTCCAAATAAGAGACGCGAGCATCTACCAGCATGATGTGTGCTAGATCTGGAAGGGTGGGCTTCTCTGAGGTATATCCTGAAGATATGATGGCTGGGATTTCTCGGGTTGTGAAATCTGAGATTTTACTTATCTTGCCTATTGATTCTCTTGTCCCATAATCTTCATAAGGCCACGAATGTGAACCATTTCATTTACTTGTGTACCATTCTTGTTTATGGCAATGCCTGAAACAGGACCAGGACTCAGGTGCCCAGCATGTGCTTGTGAATGAAGACTCCGTCTTTGATTTCAGGCTCTACACATCATGTCGATGCCACAGCTCCTGAGATGACTATCCTGTGTTACCACAAATTACAAGATTTCATGATCTTAATGGCTGGATAGTATTCCATTGTGTATATATACCACATTTTTATTTGTTTGTTGACAGACACTTAGACTGATTCTGTGTCTTGGCTATTGTGACTAGTGCTGCAATAAACACTGGAGTGCAGATATCTCTTCAACATACTGAGTTCATTTCCTTTGAATAAATACCCGGTAGTGGGATTGCTGGATCATATGGTAGAACTATATTTAATTTTTAAAGGATCCTTCATACCATTTTCCATAATGGCTATACTAATTTACATTCCTGCCCACAATGTGTAGCAGTTCTCATTTCTCCACATCCATGCTAGCATTTATTGTCATTGTGATAATAGTCATTCTAATTGGGGTGAGGTAATATCTCATATGGTTTTGATTTGCATTTCCCTGAAAATTAGTGATGTTGAGCATTTTTTTCATATACCCCTGTTGGCCATGTATATGTCTTTTGAGAAGTATTTATTTAGGTTTTTTGGCCATCTTAAAAATCAGATTATTATTGTTATTTTTTGCTGATGAGTTGTTTGAGTTCCTTACATATTCTGGATATTAACTCTTATCGGGTACATAGTTTACAAATATTTTCTCCATCTGTGGGTTGTCTCCTTAGTCTATTGATTGTTTCCTTTCTTGTACAGAGGCTTTTTAGATTGATACACTTCCATTTCTCTGTTTTTGCTTTTGTTGCCTGTGCTTTTGAGTTTTTCTCCAAAAAATCCTTGCCCAGACCTATGTCATGAAGTATTTTCCCTATGTTTTCTTCTAGTAGTTTCATATCTCTTACTTAAGTCTTTAATCCACTTTGAGTTGATTTTGACATATGGTGAGAGGTAAGAGTCAAATTTCATTCTTCTGTATATGAATATCCAGTTTTTCCAGCATTATTTGTTGAAAAAACTGTCCTTTCCCCACTGTGTTTTTAGTGCCTTTGTTAAAAATTAATAGGCTGTAGATGAGTAGATTTATTTCAGGGTTCTCTTCTGTTCTGTTGTTTTATGTGTCTGTTTTATTCCTATGCCATGTTTTTTTGGTTACTGTAGCTTTCTAGTATATTTCAAAGTTGAGTAATGTGATGTTTCCAGCTGTGTTCCTTTTTGCTCAAGATTGCATTTGCTCTTCAGGGTCTTTTTGTGGTTCCATATGAATATTAGGATTGTGTTTTCTTTTTTCTTTTTCTCCGTTTTTGTTTTTGTTTTTGTTTTTGTTTTTGTTTTTAATTGAGTCAGAGTCTTGCTCTGTCACCCAGACTGGAGTGCAATAGAATGATTTCGGCCCACTGCAGCCTCCACCTTTCAGACTAAGGCAATCCTCCCAGCTCACCCTTCCAAGAAGCTGGTACCACAGGCATGCACCACCACACCTGGCTAATATTTGTAGTTTTTGTAGAGACAGGGTTTCACTATGTTGCCCAGGCTGATCTCAAATCCCAAAGTGCTGGGATTATAGGCATAAGTCACTGCATCCAGCCTTGTATAAACATTTTAAAAATATTCTTTCAATCCATGAACACAGAATATCTTCTTATTTATTTGCATTCTCTTCAATTTGTTTCATCAGTGTTTTATAGTTTTCATTGTAGAGATCTTCACCTCCTTGGTTAAATTGATTTGTGTGTGTGTGTATATGTATATATATATATATATCGTAGCTATTATAAATGGGATTGTTTTCTTGGTTTTTTTTGAGACAGAGTTTTGCTCTTAATGCCCACGCTGGAGTGCAGTGGCATGATCTCTGCTCACTGTAACCTCCGCCTCCTGAGTTCAAGCGATTCTCCTGTCTCAGCCTCCTGAGTAGTTGCGACTACAGATGCCCACCATCATGCCCGGCTAATTTTTGTATTTTTAGTAGAGACATGGTTTCACCATGTTGGCCAGGCTGGTCTCAGACTCCTGACCTCAAGTGATCCACCCACCTCGGCCTCCCAAAGTCCTGAGATTACAGGTGTGAGCCACTGCACTTGGCCACCTTCTTGATTTCTTTTTCAGATAGCTCACTGTTGGCATATAGAAATGCTACTGATGTTTTGTGTTGATTTTTGCGTCCTACAACTCTACTGTGTTCCTCTATTCTAATAGTTTTTTGATTGTTTCTTTAGAGTTTTCTCTTTATAAGATCATGTTATCTGAAAACAGGGACAATTTGGCTTCTTCCTTTCTAAGTTGAATGCCCTTTATTTCTTTCTCTTGCCTAATTGCTCTACCCAGGACTTCCAGTACTATGTAGAATAGAAGTGGTGAAAGTGGGCATCTTTGTCTTGTTCTGGATCTTAGAGGAAAGGCTTTCTTTCAACTTTTCCCCATTCTGTAGGATGTTAGCTGGGAGTTTGTCATATATGGCCTTTATTGTGTTGAGATGCACTTTTTCTATACCTAATTTGTTGAGAGTTTTTATCATGAAGAGATGTTAAATTTTATCAAATGCATTTTTTTGCATCTATTAAAATTATGTTTTTCGTTGTTGATTCTGTTAATGTGATATATCATGTTTGTTGATTAATGTATGTTAAACTATTGCAACCCTGAGATGAATTCCACTCGATCATGGTGAATGATCTGTTTAATGTGCTGTTGAATTTGGTTTGCTAGTATTTTGTTGAGGATTTCCACATCTGTGTTCATCAGGTATACTGACCCGTAGATTTCTTTTTGTTCTTGTCTGATTTGGGTATCAGGGTGATGCAGGCCATGTAGAATGAGTTTGGAAAACTACCCCCTCTTCAATTTGTTTTCAATAGTTTGCAAAGGATTGGTATTAGTTCTTCCTTAAATTTGATAGAAATCATCAGGGAAGCCATCTGGCCCTGGGCTTTTCTTTGATGGGAGACTTTTTATTACAGATTAAATCTCCTTAACTCGTTATTGGTTTGTTCAGATTTTCTGTTTCTTCATGTTTCAGTTTTGGTAGACTGTGTTTGTCCAGGATTTCTCTGTTCTTTCTTAGTTTTCAAATTCATTGGCGTTAACCACCTACATCCAAAATTAGATCCCAAAAATAACCCAACTTAATATTGCACCTCAAGGAATTTGAAAAATAACAACAAACTAAACCCAAAATTAATTAAAGGAAAGAAATAATAAAGATCCAAGCAGTAATAAATGAAATTTAGACTGAAAAAAGAATGTAAAAGTTCATGAAACAAAAAGTTGGTTTTTTAAAAAGATAAAATTGACAAATCTTTAGCTTAGACTATGAAAAAAAGATTAAAATAAAGTCAGAAATGAAAAATGTGACATAACTGATACCACAGAAATAAAAAGGATCCCATAAACATGTGAGGATATCAATAAAGCATAGACTTTGATCCAGCAGGTTTGGGGTGAGGCCCACGATTCTGAATCCCACAGGTTCCTGGGTGAGGCTGAAGCTACTAGTCTGCAGATTACACTTTCCCCAGCAGGGTCTTGGGTATCAGGGAACTCTGATATCTAGAGAAGATAGAGTACAACATTTGCTGAAAGAAAGACAAGGGTGCATCTTGGCTGCAAAATCAGGTACGAAGATATCCATACTGTGCCATCAACTTGGTAAATGAAATTGTGATTAAATGGGCTTCCCAGGGTCTCCCCTTTCTTCTTGATTTGGTAAATATGTCTCTTCATTATAGCACCACTCATCAGATTCTCTAGACCCCCACTTAGAGATCACATCACTCATGCCTTTCTCTGCCATCCTTGCTGATTTTTTTTAAAAACATTGATTTAGCAACTGTGAATCAAGATGGGCCAGAACTGGTGGCTCACACCTGTAATCTGAGCACTTTAGGAGGCTGAGGTAGGAGGATCACTTGAAGCCAGGAGTTTGAGACGAGCCTGGGCAATATAGACCGCATTTCTGAGCATAGTGGTGTGTACCTGTAGTCCCAGCTATTCAGGAGGCTGAGGCAGGAGGATTGCTTGAGACCAGTAGGTCAAGGCTACAGTGAGCCATGATAGTGCTATTGTACTCCAACCTAAGGGACAGAATGAAACCTAATCTCAAAAAAAAAAAAAAAAAGAAAAAAAGAAAAATCAAGTGTGAACCACTTGAGAATGAGTGGGGGTATTTTTATATTCATCACTCTATCCAGTGGTGAACATGGCATCTGCCAGGTCATAAATGCAATGCAGCAGAATGTCCATGGCTCAGCCCTTCAGGCACAAACATCAGGGCTGGCAGCCCAGTGGTTGTGAGCCCTGCCTCTGAAAGTAGAGAACTCTGGGTGCCCATGCTAGCTTTCCTACTTACTATCTTAGCTTCAATTTTCTCCTTTGTAAATGGGGGTGGTGATAATAGCAACTTGTCCAGCCAGGTACGGTGACTCATACCTGTAGTCCCAGCATTTTGGGAGGCCAAGAGTTCAAAACCAGCTTGGGCCACATTGACCCTGTTTCTATAAAAAGTGTAAAAGTGATTTGGCCGTGGTAGCACGTGCCTGTAGTCTCAGCTACTCCAGAGGCTGAGCTGGGAGGATCACTTGAGCCCAGGAGGTCAAGGCTGCAGTGGGCCATGTTTGTGCCACTGCTCTCCAGCTTTGGTTTTAAAGTGAGACCTGTCTCAATAATAATAGCAACTCGTTGTAATGGTGCAGATAAAAATGAGGCAATATGTGTGAAGCTTTTAGCTCCTGTGCCCACATACAGGAATTAGTCAGAAGCAGTTGTTGAAAACCAACCCTTGGCACAGGGATGCATGGAATCATGACTGTTTGCTTTGTGTTTGGCTTTTTAGTCAGGTTTAATAAGGACACGAAAAAATGAATTCCTCATCTCGCCATTACCTCAGCTTCTGGCCCAGGAACACAACTACAGCTCCCCTGCGGGTCACCATCCTCACGTACTGTACAAAAGGACAGCAGAGGAGAAGATCCAGCGGTACCGTGGCTACCCCGGCTCTGGCCGGAATTATCCTGGTTACTCCCCAAGTCACATTCCCCATGCATCTCAGAGTCGAGAGACAGAGTATCACCATCGAAGGTTGCAAAAGCAGCATTTTTGTGGACGACGCAAGAAATGTATGTAAGGAAACTTTTTCTTTTTCTGTTCTTATGTGGGCCTCGACAGGTTTTCCTGAGTGCTGTTGGGTGTACAAGCTTTGCAAGTCAAAATGGGGCTACCCTGAGCATCTGTCTTGGTGTAGGACCAGTAATTATCTCTCTCAGGCAAATGCTGGATGATCAATTATTCTAGGTTAAACTAGGAAAGATTTAGATAAGGTTTCTTTTTTACTCTTTTAGTATCTCCTACTTTCATGCCATAGGTCCCAGTCTTGATTTCTGTGCTTCCGAGAAAAGTACCTAGATTTCCAATGACAAAAGAAGACAGAGGTAAATGTCTAGGTGTGGTTGGATGTCTCCTTTGAGGACACAAAGGAGAGACTTCCAGAAACAAGAACATTAGCATGTGAGGGAGGTAGCTGTGAAACACAGGTATCCTTGAGCATGGTTTGTGACTTAGTTACAACCTTCGGCCGTTTCCAGACCAGCGATGTCCAATAGAAATGTAACACGAGCCTTAAATACAATTTTACATTTTCTAATAGCCACAAGTTTTAAAAGTTAAAAAAAAGGGTAAATGAATTTTAATAACATTTTATTTAACCCAACATGTACAAAATATTATCTCAACATGTAATCAGGATAACAAATTATTAGAGAGTTACATTATTTTTTCCTGTTAAGTTTTGGAAATCCAGCGTTTATTTTAAACTTACAGCACTTAAACCAGTCGATTCAGATGATAAATTTTTATTGGAAATACTTAATCTGCATTTAACTTGTATAAAATTAAGGTCAAAAAAGTAGATTTACATACTCAAGTTGTTTGGGACATACTTAAAACATTTAAAACATTTTCTTTTTGCTTGTTTTTTTGTTTTTGTTTTTGTTTTGTTTTGTTTGAGACAGTTTCACTCTTTCGCCCAGGCTGGAGTGAAGTGGCGCGATCTCTGCTCACTGCAACCTCCACCCCACCAGGTTCAAGCAATTCTCCTGCCTCAGACTCCCTACTAGGTGGAATTATAGGCGCACGCCAGCACGCCAAGCTAATTTTTGTATTTTTAGTAGAGATGGGGTTTCCCTGTGTTGGCCAGGCTGGTCTCAAACTCCTGACCTCAGGTGATCCACCCGCCTCGGTCTCCCAATTGTTAGCATTAAAGGCATGAGCCACTGCGCCCAGCCAAAAGATTTTCAATAGCTGAATCAAGTATTGCTTTTTAAACTTTTAAATTCTTCTGTGGCTCAGTAGCTGTGCATGGAAACTGTGCGCCAAGTTGGATACCACAGCCAGAAGAAGTTTATTCTCATGGAGAAGAGGAACTGGTATCACTAAGATATTAATCAGGAGGAATAATGAAAGAGTTTCTACCATTTTAACTGGTTTTTGAGTTTTTGGTATTATTGAAATATCCCCATTAAGGGGCATCCATTTAGCATATATAGAGTAATGATTTAGCCTGTATTAATGATAGTAATGATGTTTATAGTGGTAAGACATGTTTGATATGAGACATCAAAGCAAATCTTTACAACAACCTTATAAACAAGTGTCACCTGTTTTCATAGATAAGGAAACTGAGGCTCAACGTCACTGTGCTCATAAGTGGCCAACCTGAGTTTTTAAATCTAACTCTAAATAATTTTATCTTTTAATTTTACTCTGTAGGGAGCTAGTTTCACTATTACGGCTGGACCAGTGTTACAGTACTAAACTATTTCTGTACTAGTTAGTACACAGTTACTTCCCTGAGCTTTCCAGGTGCCATTTTTCTTCCCAGGAATGCTCGTAGTTGTGGCTGTCCATTAACTAAAGGCATCATGTCTGGCCGAGCAGGCACTTCTAGGTCTCTGCTCAATGGCTATGGCCAGTATCCATTCTGTTAACTTGGTGCGCACCCTTTGCCAGTTATGAAAAGTGTTTAATACAGTTTTTAATATCATCCCCAACTATGCTGTTTCCCTAATAACTAAGTCATTGTCACATCAAAGAGTTCTTACTGAGTGCTTCTTATGTGCTATGTTAAAGTCTGTGTTGATGAAATGAGAGTTTAAGACATGCCCACTATTTTAGAGCTGTTTACATTTTATTTAGAAAATAATGTATAAAGTGGTATATTTAATGAATTCAAAAATAATAAATTTAGATCCAAAGGATTAACACTATTTCTGCAGTTTTTGAGTAGTAAAATGAGCATTTTCTGCTTTCAAAATTTCTCCCCACAAAATTGATTTTTGTTGATCCATTCTACTAACTAGAATTATAGCTTGTTTTTGTTGTTTGAGATGAAATCTCACTCTGTCACCCAGAGACTCTATCTTAAAGGTAAATGCGTAGGTGTGGTTGGGTGTTTCTTTTGAGGACATAAAGGAGAGACTTCCTTATGGACTGCAGTGGGGTGATCTTGGCTCACTGCAACTTCTGCCTGCTGGGTTCAAGTGATCCGCCTGCCTCAGCCTCCCAAGTAGCTAGGATTACAAGCATGCACCACCATGCATGACTAATTTTTGTAATTTTAGTAGAGATGGGGTTTCACCATGTTGGCCAGGCTGGTGTCAAACTCCTGACCTCAAGTGATCCACCCACCTTTGCGTCTCAAATTGCTGGGATTACGGGCGTGAGCCACCACGCCTGGCCTAGAGCTCTTTTCTCTTCTTTTCTTTCCTTTGCTTTGCTTTGCTTTCCTTTGCTTTCCTTTTCTTTCTTCTTTTCTTTTCTTTCTTTCTTTTTTTTTCCTTTTAGAGCATTTTTGAGTTACTAAGTTCATCCATTATCCATTTATTTCTACCCACCTACCCATTTATCCATCCACCATCCATCCATCCACTCATCCATCCATCTATCCTGTCCATTCCATCCATCTACCCATCTGTGCATCCAAACATTTATTGAGTAGGCCCTTCTTGACCACATACTAGATGCAAGGCACCTGGGCAGGCACTGATAGCATCACTTGTTAGTGGATTGGTGGTGTGTTGGTTACATAGTTTCTCTTCTTCCCTTGTTTCAGTTTCTCTCTCAACTGTCTTATCCAGATATTCTCTAATATCCCTTCCAAATGCTCTTCTGTTCATCGTAGATGCTCCCAAGCCTCCCACAGAGGACACCTATCTAAGGTTTGATGAATATGGGAGCTCTGGGCGACCCAGAAGATCAGCTGGAAAATCACAAAAGGGCCTCAATGTGGAAACCCTCGTGGTGGCAGACAAGAAAATGGTGGAAAAGCATGGCAAGGGAAATGTCACCACATACATTCTCACAGTAATGAACATGGTAAGCGGGGGTGTCACAAACCTTCTGGCTCTCCAAAGAAAATAAATGTCATGGAATTCTCTTGCATGGGTTGAATAGCAGGTGTATTAGGTCGGTGCAAATGTAATTGCAGTTTCTGCCATTACTTTTAATAGCTACATATGTGGTTTTATTTTTTTAAGTTGAGTTTTGAGGAAATTGTATTTATATGTACATATATTTGGTAAAATTAAAGCCTGCGTACTTCAGTCAATATGTCTGATTGATTCCCCCTAAGGTTTTGAAAATTTTGAGATTTTGTTTGATTTCCATTGTTCCAACAGGTTTCTGGCCTATTTAAAGATGGGACTATTGGAAGTGACATAAACGTGGTTGTGGTGAGCCTAATTCTTCTGGAACAAGAACCTGTAAGTGGCAAACTTCATTTATGTCTTCATTCAGTCTGCCGTTCAGAATACATTTCTTGAACACCTACTGTGTTCACTAATCCATGTACTAGTCGTTAGCTGCTCAAATTTGAAACTAGGCTGACTCTCCTCAAAGTACAATTTTAAAAGATTGTGTAATCACACAATTAAACTAAAGCACCAGAAAAATATTTATATTTAAATATATTTATATATGCATATGTATACATAAATAATGGTACATAAGTACTAAATAATATACAAATAGATAATATAAATAAAAATATGAAATATAAATATGTTACATAAAATAAATCTTATGTAGGCTTCGCAAAGCAGGTGAATTTGGTCATAGATTTAAGGATTAGCTAGATTTTGCAAGTTTGATATGCTGAGTGATTGCTGGTAGATGCAGAAGGATATTTCAAAAATATACTGAAAATAAGACATCAGAAAATTATTGTAGTAAACCTACTGTATCCCCAGTACCATCTTAGGTAATACAGGGAATAAACAAGGGATATTTAACTGTCCTTGGATTGATCACAGTAAGATGCAAGACACAAACATGGGGCAAATTATGAAAACCAGAACATGTAATAAAGTGTTAAATTACATGGTACTCACTGCTTTGTAGTGTTTTGATGTTTAAACTCTGTTTCTCTGAGATAGCGATTACCATTCAAATGGCTATTTTTTAAGTCCCCCGAGGCTTTTCCTCTTCTTCTGTAACGCCAGTAAAAAACATAAAAAGCAGGAAGACACAGACAAGACAAAAGTTGATCTAATTGCCCAGGTGTGGAGAGCTACAGAAGTTAACAGCTTGTCAAATGGTTTTTGGAATTTTAGAAAGACAGAAAAGGCGTGTGCTGGTTAGGAGACACTTTTGTCTTTAGCCTACTAATAGGTTGCCCAAGGACCTTGAAGCCAGCCACATCCTAATTAACTGATAATTAAAGATCTTGTCTAAAAACCTTCAACTTGGCCAAGTCAACAGCTTTGACCAAGCAAACATTTGACAAATGATTATTTTAAGGGTAGGTCCTCTCTTATCCTTTGGAATCATATCATCATTTGTTTATTCATTCAGTGAATTTTCATTATATTGATTGATTGATTGTAATCTATGATGTGCCAGACGCTTTGCTGGGAATTTTGACATCTATGGAAATAATGATGAGGCTTTATGGAAAAGCCATTGAACTTCATCATTAATTTATTATCATGTTTTAAAAGTTGTAACGGTTTTATAAAGGTAGTACTAGGTAAGATGAACAAAGGTGTTCTAACTGATGCTAGGTTATTTTTTGTAGAACTATGATCAATCATAAATCACACTACAGAAACTTTGTAGTTGCTTTAAATATTGTGAGCATTTACCTAAAATAGAGATTTTCCTGTCTCCTACCTTAGCTCAAGTGTTTACTGATCTTTTTCCCTAGAAATATGTTTCTGTGTTTGCCTGTACAAATGGAATGATTCAGCATTCTCATCTCTGTGACAAATTCACACTTTGATTTGTGTGGGTTTCCCATAGGGAGGATTATTGATCAACCATCATGCAGACCAGTCTCTGAATAGTTTTTGTCAATGGCAGTCTGCCCTCATTGGAAAGAATGGCAAGAGACATGATCATGCCATCTTACTAACAGGATTTGATATTTGTTCTTGGAAGAATGAACCATGTGACACTCTAGGTATGGTATGAACAGATCCTTCACACACACCTGTTAGCTGAAAACACAGTATGGAAACTTTCTATGGATGATGGATAGCCCTTATGTTCCTTAATAAACAGACATAATATTTAAATTATGGAGTAACCTAATGTACCCTGTGGTGACTATTGTTCTTTTTAACTGAACTTAGAATGTGGGGAGCCCACTTAGTTTATTCATTTTGTATTTTTTTTAATTTGAGATGGAGTTTCACTCTTGTTGCCCAGGCTGGAGTGTAATGGCACAATCTCGGTTCACTACAACCTCCGCCTCCTGGGTTCAAGCAATTCTTCTGCCTCAGCCTCCCAAGTAGCTGGGATTACAGGCACCTGCCACCATGCCTGGCTAATTTTTGTATTTTTAGTAGAGACGGGTTTCCACCATGTTGGCCAGGCTGGTCTCGAACTCCTGACCTCAGGTGTTCCGCCCGCCTTGGTCTCCCAAAGTCCTGGGACTACAGGCATGAGCCACCTCACCTGGCTTGTATTTTTCTTTATTGATCCTACTGATGATCATTGAGGTGTGAGATACATTATTTAACTAGAAACTTGTAGGTTATTCTGTAAGCATCATGACCACAGAATCAGGTAGCTGAAGAGGATTTTACTGGGCTCCATGGTACCTAACTGTGCCACTAGGTAACAGTGCCTTTTTTAGAAGTTACTTGACTTTGAAGTACTCATTTCTTCCATATTTGTACAAGACAGTGATAGCAAGAATTGCATCTTTTATATCTATACTATATTCTAGTATATTCCATTGCACATAATAGGAATTCAACATTTTTTAAAAGTTGATGGATGGCTGTCTAAATCAGGAGTCAGCAAACTTTCTCTGTGAAGGGCCAGACAGTCAATATGTTAAGCTATGCAGGCCACAGGTCTCTGTGGCAGCTAGTCATTTCAGCTGTATTGTTCAAAAGCAGCCACAAGTAATATGTAAATAAATGAATGCAGATGTGTTTTAATAAAACTTTATGAATTTTTTTTATTTTTTTGAGATGGTGTCTTGTTCTTGTCACTCAGGCTGGAGTGCAGTGGCGTGATTTCGGCTCACTGCAACCTCTGCCTCCCATGTTCAAGTGATTCTCCTGCCTCAGCCTCCAGAGTAGCTGGGTTTACAGGCACCCACCACCACACCTGGCTAATTTTTGTATTTTTAGTAGAGACGGGTTTCACCATGTTGGCCAGGCTGGTCTCGAACTCCTGACCTCAAATGATCCACCCACCTCAGCCTCCCAGAGTGCTGGGATTACGGGCATGAGCCACTGTGCCAGGGCAGAAATTTTATTTTTTATGTTTCTCAAATTCTCTGCAGTTTCTCTGTTATGTCCTATAAATAAGTTTATTTTAACAATTAACCATTAATCACAGTCTTCAAAAACACAATGATTTTGGGAATTGTTCCATAGAAAGGGTTTTTGTAATGAAAGATGGTATATATCCATTCATATTCTGAATTTGGAATGTGCAAAGTGACATATGATAATCCAGTGCATTGTTTTCAAGAGAGATTCTGAGAAGCAGACAGTGTTATCTGTTATCCAGAGACCAAAATGTACTAAAAGGCTTGGAAAAAACAAAACACCAGAAATTCTATCAACTGTGGAAAAGGTCACTTACTTTAAGCAGTGTGTCCTAATGCAAAGGGCATGGGCTTTGACTTCCCATATGTCTGTGGTTGATTCCTGAGTGTAGAATTTATGACTCTGAGATCTTGAACAAGTTAATTCACCTCTCTGAGCTTTGGTTTCCTAAGCTATAAATACATACACACACAGATATATAATAGACATATAGCACAGTGTGTGAATTTGCAACCATTTATTTAGTGACGATGACGATGGTAGTAATGATAATGATCCCACCCCTTATTTGTGCCTTTGTATTAGATTTCCCAGCTGATCTCACTTCCGTCTTGACAATGAAGTGGGTACAATCCATTCACAAGCATGCATTTAATATTAGATGGGTACATAGATTTGTTCTACTGATTATTAGGACCCAAAACTGGAAAGAAAGATGTTCGCACACACTGTATTGTATTTGAAGATAGACTTAAGGGCTGGCCGGGATGCTTTTATAATGGCTCTTAGAGGGAAGTAACTTTGGGAACAGAAGCACTTACCACATTATAAAGAACCAGAGAAAAATGAATTTAATCTGCACATGTTGCTTAGACATTTTCATGTTTTCTGCTCTAGTAAAAGACCAGGATATGTGTTTTTCCTTGGAAAATACACCCTGAGCTGTGACGTTAATGCCACTGTTCAGTGAGCATTTTGCATTGGTTTTGCTATCATTCTATCCGTTGCTCTGACCTGAATGATAAACTCAGACAAGGCATATAAATATTCTGTGACTTACTAAACTAAATGTAAAATGGGAATTACAGTACTCATACTGACCTTACAGGGCTCTTACAAGGATCAATTGATAACAATATGTAACAAAAGCAAGAAAATAGGAAATGTTGCATTTATACATTATCATTACACAGGACAAAGAACTATAGATCTTTTTTTTTTTTTTTTTCCAAAAACACTGAATGCATTGATCTATTAAACTAAAACTGTGTAGAACATTTTGAGGACATAAATCATCATCATGTATCTGTGTGTGCAACCTTTGGATTCACATTTGAAACTGCTCTTTCAATAGGGTTTGCCCCCATCAGTGGAATGTGCTCTAAGTACCGAAGTTGTACCATCAATGAGGACACAGGACTTGGCCTTGCCTTCACCATCGCTCATGAGTCAGGGCACAAGTAAGTGCCTCTTTGAACCACTACTTTATGTGAAAACTAGTTGGGTGATTCATTGGTGTTCCTCTAACCGTTGTTGTTGACTTAGGCAGAACAAAGAGGATCAGTCTTGTGTAAAGCTTAGAATAGTTTCTGACTATACAAAGGGCTCACTAAAGGCTAGCTGTTGTTGATTTCATTCTCTTTAAACAGCAGCACTTAATAGCCACACAGTACTCCTTCGTGTGCACAGATGGGGTCTCTGGGCTGCTAGGCATTTGTTTATTTTTGTTCATGTTTTGCAGCAATGAAGACACTTCTAGCTGATTCTTTATGCACAGGAAGTAATCATGGAGAAAAATTAATTCCCAAAGTATAATGGCATGCTGCTTTTTAAAAAAACTTTTGCTGCATGTACTGAATATTCTTTTAGTTGGCAACATTGCATGTACTTAATATTCTTTTGATTGGTGTCACTAAATCTTCCTTTTATGATGGAGACAACGCTATAGAGAATTTTCAAACATTAGAGCAATAGCAGCTGCATTGGAACAAGTATAATACTTTACAAAATAATTATTTCAATGTGTAGTACTCTTCAGATATACCAGTTTAGGATGTTTGTGTGTGTGTACTTGTGTGTATATTTTATTCAACATACAGGAAATAACTCATATATTTTCAAAGCATCTAGTTAATTTTTGACTTAAAAGCAAACATCATTCAGTAACCATAGTTGGTATTTTTATATGTTGGTGCTGCTATCTTTTTTCTTTTTTTGAGACAGAGTCTCCGTCTGTCGCCCCGGCTGGAGTGCAGTGGCACGATCTCGGCTCGCTGCAACCTCCGCCTCCCGGGTTCAAGTGATTCTCCTGCCTCTGCCTCCTGAGTAGCTGGGATTACCAGTGCCCACTACCATGCCTGGCTAATTTTTATAGTTTTAGTACAGATGAGGTTTCACCATGTTGGTCATGCTGACTACAGGTGATCTGCCGACCTCGGTTTCCCAAAGTGCTGAGATTACAGGTGTGAGCCACCACGCCCGGACAGTGCCAGTATCTTCTATGAGCTACATTTATTATCTTTAGGAAATTTAAACCTTGATCATTGTTGTTATTGTTATCCAACAAATTTCCAACATTATTATACACACACACACACATTTAGACACACATGCACACTTTCCTAGATATGAATAAGCCAATTTTTAAAATTGTAAATGGAGAAGCGAAAATGCTCACTAAGAACAATGCTTCTCATACAAAGCAGGAAACAAAATATGTGTGCATATCAAATGTATGTCTAAGTTTGTTTTACCAGCATGAAGTCCAACCGAACAGGTGTCACTTTTCAAAATACTGGTCATTGAAAAATTTCATTATCTTTGCATATGTGTTAAAATTATCCAAAATCAAAATCCAACATTTTAGATAAGGAAAAGCAGAACATATTCTTCAGGTAGGATTCAGGAGAGAAGTCAGAGGTTGGGGGAAGGACAGATGGTAAAATAAAATACATACCTAAGTTCTAAATAACATGGACTTAAGAAGTTCTGAAACAGACAATTCCTGAGATATTTATATGGCATTTGGCATGTGCTAAAGAAAATATGTTATCATCTTCTAAAATGCTATTAAATTAAATTTAAGATTGTTAAGTTCAAAATTAAATTCCGACTTGATTTTCTTACGCACATAAAATTCCACTGAAGTTCTAAGTAAGTTCTTTTCCTCTAGCGTAATGGCTTCAATCTCTCCTACCCCATCTCTGTTTCTGGGATTCTTGCTGTTTCTTCTCGTGCTTTATTTATAGGTTTCTTTCTGTTTTTTACTTTCACAAATATATTTAGAAAGGGTGTCTCCCAAAGAAATCCCCTTAACGTCTTGGTTAGGTGAGAAGAAGAATTAAATTGGGAAAAGCTGAGGATAAGAAAATGCTTTCACTGAGTATACATTGACGTTAGTCAATACCTATTTTTGAGTGGTCACCTCTGAATACCTAAGGAAGTCACTGATAGGATAGCATACAGTTGCCCTGCTACTATTTTCCTGACAAAGTGGAAGGAATGCTGGAAAAATGGCCATATTATAGACATGGGTCACAAAAAAAGTCATATCTTTTATCGTAACATATTTATTTGGTATAGACTACTTTCAAAGGCGAACTCTATAAATGAAATTATATCAGGATAACATTTATTTACATAGGAGTCATATCTGCCTTATAAATATATGGTCTAAGACACAAGTTTTATTCTTTTAAATAATGAGATTAAGAACAATTTAAATTAATGATGAAATTCATATTTATATCCTTCCGTCCTCTGCATCCCTAAAAAAAAAAAAAAAAAAAAAAATTTCAGAAAAGACTTTTCTCTGTGCTGAATTTTTTAGAGAAGATCAAAGACTCTTATTTCCCCATCTTCTACCACTTTAACATCGCCTGAAGTAAGCTTTGTCTTTATGGTATGTATCCTATGTGGGTATGCACATTAATGTCACATTTATTCTTCCTGTCAGGAAATTTGAGAATTCTTCAGGTATAATGTGCATGATTTCTAGACAGTAGACCACCTAAAGTTTTTCTTCTATAATTACTAGACCCTTCTGTGATGAAACAAATTAAAGTTTTCTCATATAATACATCTGAAAGATAACAGTAATGGTCAAGATTTAATAGCCTTCAATAAAGGGGTTCAAGCATGTTAAAAAAATGTTTATTATAAGAGAGTTTAATTACAATTAGAGTTTGTGATTTCAGCTAATAAATTGATCATAGTTGGAGAGAAGTTTTTATACCATGCTAGCCTTATATATGAACAGTTCATAAACAACTTATAATCATCATCTCTCTGTACTTACTTCCTACTGACTCTGAACTTCTTTACCATAGTTCCGTGGTTGGTGACAAGATAAGAATTCTACTGTTTGAAACTAAATAATTTGGCTGTTCCATCACTTTGGCTTAGCTTATACCTAAATTTTAACTTGAGCAAAATTTTCCAGCCCATAAAACATGTAGCAGCTAGACCATTCTTTGATTCTGTGGTCAGGAAATAATATAACAAAGCCCTCAGCATTTTTAAAGTTTTCTGTGTGAATTTTATAACAATCTATAGTAATTTGCCTTTCTCTTTTCCAGTTTTAATAACTCTGTCTCTCACTTGGTTTTGTTGATGATCAATACATCTTTATTCTTCCTCAGATTATCCTTCAAAAAAATGGGTTCACAAAGCAGGATTTTGTTTTCTTCATTCTGTTTCAGCTTTGGTATGATTCACGATGGAGAAGGGAATCCCTGCAGAAAGGCTGAAGGCAATATCATGTCTCCCACACTGACCGGAAACAATGGAGTGTTTTCATGGTCTTCCTGCAGCCGCCAGTATCTCAAGAAATTCCTCAGGTATGACAGGTTAAATCCTGGGGTGCTCCTAGGTTTGGAGTGATGACAGAATTGTGCTCCATAGACCTGCAAACGAATACTCAGTGGAAATACCTTTTGACCTGTCAATAAACAGAAAGACAAATGATGATGATAATGATGATGGTGATGATGACATTGTTGAAAAAAATAGATTGAAGCCTAATGTTGTGCTAAATGTTCTCCACATATTTCCTCCTTCAATCCTCACAGCGATACTATTATCCTCAATCTAGAGTTGAGAAATCAAGTCTTAGGTTAATTGTGTTGCATAAGGTACTATCGCTGGTAAGTTGCAGACAGAAGACTCACACTTAGATCTGTTCTGACTCTAGGATCTCTACTCAACCATCTCTCCCCTGTGACTTCCAGAGGCTGCTAGGTATATTGTCTTTTTACTGTGACTAATTATTTCAATGTTATCGATCAATGTGTCATAGAGTATTTTAAAAATGCTCAAATGGTATGAGTGTGTGTTTGTGTTTTAATGAATAGAGCATTTTCTTCTTTGACTATTATGTTTGAAATGGCCAGGAGCTAGCTTTATGTCCAAATGATAGCCAAAGAAGATGGTAGCTATATAAAATGCTTTTAATAACACAGAAACCTTAAGTTGCATTAGTAAAAGTAGGAGTTTGGAAAGTTGTACTATTTAATTCATATTAAACAATTAACCCAAAGTTGAAATACACACACACACACACACACACACACACACAATCCTACCTTTATAATCTATATTGACCCACAAGGACACTTAGATGCTAATCCCATATCTCTTTGAACAGATGTTAGTGAAATTTCTTTGGGAATTGACACTTTTGATACTTTATTTTTAACCTGTACCACTGTGTATTATTTGCAAATGTTTAAAGAATTAGTAAGATCTATACACAAAGCATATTAAACGTGAAGATATCTAACCACATATGCCCAAAGGGTGGTAAAAAATCAACAGACTTTTTGTTAGTAAGCTTTGCCATGAAGATTTTCCTATTAGTTTTAAATTCATGGTTTGGTGACTAAAATTATTTTTTCCAACTCATGTAAGAATGCAATTAATAAGTATTAAAATCAAGATCAACTTAACATAGGCTGAATTTCCGTTAGTATGTAGTTAAATGCTTTTGTAGTTAAATGTTATAATAATGATAACAGCAGCAGCTAACTTTGCTTATTATGCTTTATGAAGCATGTTATATTTTCTCATTTGAACTGTGTAACAACCTTTATGAGAGTCATTGTCACTCATGAGCTGTGTAAGAGCTACATAACTTGGTCTTGGTTGCATGGTTGATTAGGACCCCCATCTGTCTCACTACAAAATTACACTTAACCACCATGATAATTAACTTCTCGGTGGTACCACATTTTAATTATTTAAGTAAGTGGAGATAAGGTGCTAAGAATATCCATGCCATCAGGACTGATTTTTGCTCTCAACAAGTCACAGTCAAACATATCTGAAGGAAATTTTTCTGCCTCATCCCCCAGTTCATTATTCCTCTTGATTCTTTAGGAATGTTATTTATTTTTGTCTGTAAGGCTTATTGTGAGTTAAAGTACATCTTTGACCTCTGCTCCATTATCTGTTTAAAAAAAGAAAATACTTGATTTAAAACTCCATGAAGACAGGTACTGTGTCTGTCTGGTTTATTTTGTACCTTTAGTGCTTTGTCTAAGGTTTGCCACAGAGTAGGGACTCAGTACAAATTGTCAAATATTGTTGAATAAGATTGTTGATGGGAGTTTTCAAATGTATTAACCTTTCCTGTCTCCTGTCAAATCCCAAGCCAAATCACTTGGATGACTAGAATTTTCAGCATCCTGTAAAACCCTTCCTGGCTGTGTACATTCCATCCTCTTAGACAGGACTCACTCTTTGGCATAAACATAGATTTGAACTTTAAACATATACCTGTTTCTAGAACCATGCTATATTTTTCTTTGCATGAATGCATTCAGAAGTGTGTTGTCGTAAATGGAAAGATCACAGATCAACAGAGTAATTAATAAGCATGTATTGTCATTACAGCACACCTCAGGCGGGGTGTCTAGTGGATGAGCCCAAGCAAGCAGGACAGTATAAATATCCGGACAAACTACCAGGACAGATTTATGATGCTGACACACAGTGTAAATGGCAATTTGGAGCAAAAGCCAAGTTATGCAGCCTTGGTTTTGTGAAGGTATGTTTGCTTGTGATTTCAAACTTACATTAAGACTCTGCAATGTGTCTGTGTCCCTAACAGAAGTGTAAACATTTGGTTTGCCAAGGCCAAGGGTTAGGTTCTGGGTTATCTCTACCGTGTCAGTTGTTTGGCATGATAATTAAGTGGCAATTTTACTGTCAATGAATTATCCAGGCCTATCCACATAGACCATGCCTGGTTTAAATACTGCTTGGTAGAAAATTCTTTCTCTTTAAATGAAGACTTTATCCCTACTAGTAAACCTGGGAACAATAGTTTGTACCTGCTGCTAATCACTGCTTTTGTTCTCTATATGATCCTATTCCCTGTTAATTTAATTCGTTTCAAATCATCACCATACCCAAATACATTATATGCCTTTTATAATATGGGATAACTATTAGCAGCTAGCTTTTTTAATATTGTCTATAAATTCAAGGTACATCTTTAGTAATATTAATAAGATTTTTGTGTCATCTTTTCTTCAAAGAATTATAAAAAAGATAATTGGGAAAGTACAAAAGTCCAGGTTATAGAAATGAGAGACACGTTGTTACACTTGGTCAAGAATGACATTTTACTGACAGTATTACAATCTCAACTTTACCAGAAAGTAAATTTGTTGTTGTTGTTGTCGTTGTTGTTGTTTTGAGACAGAGTCTCACTGTGTTGCCCAGGCTTGAGGGCAGTGGCACGATCTTGGCTCACTGCAAGCTCCGCCTCCCAGGTTCATGCCATTCTCCCGCCTCAGCCTCCTGAGTAGCCACCATGCTCGGCTAATTTTTTGTGTTTTTTTCAGTAGAGAAGGGATTTCACCGTGGTCTTGATCTCCTGACCTCGTGATCTCCCACCTCGGCCTCCCAAGTGCTGGGATTACAGGCATGAGCCACCCCGCCCGGCCCATACTAAAAAGTAGAATCATTTTTAAGTTGGTTTATTCCCAATATCCAAAGAGAAATATGGAAGTTCTAAGTAACTGAAAAATGCATGGAAATTATGGAGGTTTATAGCTCCTCTTTCCCCCTCTACTCCTGTTCCTCTTCTTCCTCCTCTTTCTCTCCCTATTCCTCCTTCTCTGCCACCACCACCACCATCACCATCACTATCACCATTTACTATCATCTTCAGCAGTTGCTAAGTGAGCCTGTGCCCCACATAAGGCATTCTACTTAAAGATTTATTTTACTTTACCTCAATCTTCACAAAAACCCTTCAAGGAAGAATTATTACCGCTTTTGACCTGGAGCTCAGAAAATATTTTCAACTTGCCCAAAGCCACAAACTTTTAAATGGTGGAATTTAACAAAACAAGTCACACACATTGATGTGAAATTTCCTCTTCTTCACCGGTGACTGGTACCAGTCACTATTACTAGTGTTTCCTAAACTTCAGTCATTAATATTCAGTCATTAATAACTACCTTCTTTATTTTAGTTGTGTTATCTCTATATTATTATTCATTTATTGCTTTTCTAGAAACCAATTCACATTCAAAACATAACTCCAGTCCGAAGAAATAATATTCATCAAATCATAGGTTTGAGATGGGATTACATTTTTTTTCTATTACAGTTTCAATGCATAACTATTAAAAAATTTTCCGGATGTCATTCACATTTTTTTGGTGTATCCTTCATGACACATGGAGCTTACTTTCAGAAATGCTGGTGAGCCTTCTGTAAAAACTAACAAATTGGCTGGGTGTAGTGGCTTATACTTATAATGTCAAGATTTGGGGAGGCCAAGGTGGGAGGATCACTTGAGGCCAGCAGTTTGAGAACAACCTGGGCAACAAAGTTAGACCCTCTCTTTACAAAAAATAAAAAAGTTAGCTGGGCTAGTGGCACGTACCTGTAGTTCCAACTACTAGGGAGGCTGAGGCAGGGGGATCACTTGAGCCCAGGAGTTTGAGGCTGAAGTGAAGGATGATAGCACTACTGTACTCCAGTCAGTACAGTCAGGCAACAGACTGAGACCCTATTTCTAAGAAAAAAAAAATTAACAGACTGTTCTATTTTCCTGTTAAGTTGATGGTTTTGGCAGAAGTTAAGTAGCCATTCACTTTGTTGAAAAAGTTTGTATTCTAATTTGCCTCTTGTTCACTTCATTCTAAAGGATTCATTATGTTATTTATTAATCACAAATTTATTACATACTATGCAGCAAAAGCACAGTTGGTAATAAGTATAATTTTCTTCAGAAATACAAAGGAGGTTCCTAAAATTACTATCATTCCTTCAGAACCATGTATTTGTGGGGTACCTGGTCTGTGTCAGGCAGTGTGCAGGGCTTAAACAACCTTTTTAAATTATAGATTGCTTTCTGGGACCTCACTATATTTTTAAAAGACAGCTTCTCATTCTGATGGTCTTTCATGGGAAGCAGAGCAAAGAGAAATGAAAATTCCAAAATAAAAGATTGAGTCAAACAAGGACAGGGAAGGTGAGAAAGACTTGCTTAAGAGAGAAATGATTTAAGATGGTGATGAGGTTAATGGAGAAGGTAGGGTGGTTTGATAGATTCTGAAGCTTGTTTTCCCCACACCTTAGCTTTTGGTATTGTTTTTAAACCTACTTATAACTTGAACCCATGGCCACACCTCTGAGGATCATAAATATTGCCAGGCTCTAGCCAGGAGGGATTTCCAAAGCAACAAAATCTCTTATTCATCCTGTCTAGTAGAAACAGTTTAGACCCGCTCTGGCAACGCAGGAAAGAGGTGAAGTTTGTCTTCAGGGCTTTTATTGTCCCATTATTACTTTCTAATCTTTTCCCCTCACTTTACTTTTTTTTTTCCTCCATGCCTCCTAGAAAGCATTGCATAGTGAAAGGGTTGCATAGTGATTAGAAGAACAACAACGAAAAGGAACTAATTATCAAAGTGTCCTCTCAGACCAGCAGATGCAGTGTATCGGCAAGACCTGAAACTTGTGAGAAATGTCTCGTCCCAGGCCTAAGGAATGAGAAATTTTGGGGCTAGGACCCAGAAACCCATATTCTAACAAAAGCTCTAGATGACCCTGATGCTCAGTCAAGATTGAGGGTCGCTGAGTTAGACAGTCTTCAATTTTGAACGTTCACACATACACATTTGCACACACAAATCTCTGGATTTGGGAGTCACAAAGACCTAGCTTTAAAATTTTGTTCCGAGATTTCCTATAAGCTTGGGGAAATGACTCAACCTCCCTTAGCCTTAGAGTTCACCTTTGAAAGGTGAAGATTACAATAGTTCCTCCATGGCTCATTGGTGAGGATTCATCTCTTGGTACAGTCGCATCACTTGATAAACAATACGGTTTCTTCTAACTCTCTTCCTTATGTCTTCAGCATCATCACCACCATCACATTTGACTCTTCTTCCCCAGTGGCTGCCCTGGTAAAGGCTCTGGGGCTGGCTCTTTTGGATCACTCATCCCCATCCTCCCCTCCTTTCCCAACCACGAGTTTTCTGTGTCTTCAGCATGCCAGACTTGATCTCTGTTCTCATCCAAAGTGTTGAAGAAAATGAGTTACGAATCTTTCTAATGGTTCTGTTATCTGGAAAGACTCAAAGCAGGATTCCCTCTGTAACAAGTGGAGAGAGCGCCCATTTGATTATTCTGCACTTTAGAAATGCTTACTGACTCCATGAGTGAGCTGATGCTGTTTGTCAGAGGGTCCCAAGCGCTGTCACAGACTGATCGAGACTTCTGTGCTGGTTATTTTACTAAGCTAGAAGTGAGCAGCTGAACAAATGCATCCTCTTTAGCTGACCCTGTACCTCAGTAGCCAGCACAGTTACTGTCACATAGCAGGAGCTCAGTTTTAATGTTTATTCATAGACCCACTGAGAGTTTGAAGCTGAGTAGAAATCGTGGGGAAGATATTTAAATTCTTGTGAATGTTCTCAGGCCTATCATTCTAGAGAGCATTGTATTGGAAGGATAGCAGGATCGGTGTATATTTCTTCTGTCAATCAAGAAAAATGACGAGACAAGTCTCAAGCATTTTAGGATATGTATCTGCCAAAGTTAAGGATGCACCCGGGAGACAGGTCTATGCCTTTTCCTGAAGATGATTTTGAGGGCTCCAACTTTAAAGGGGAAATGGCGGGAAATTGAGAAGTACACGATTTTCATGTAAGAGCAGGGTAGGGAACAATAGTTATTCATGACTTTGTCTGGCTCAGTGAACCGGCTTTTTTTTTTTTTTTTTTTTTTTTACATAAGATGACATAAACAAATGGGGCAGAGGAAAAATGCAGTGAAACTGCATTTTACATAAGATAAATATAGACACAGTGGGGCAGGGGAACAATCAGATATGCATTTGTGTCTGGTGGGCTGGGGTGACTGCACCTGTAAAGATAAGCTATCAATTTCCATTGCCATGGTGAAATTTTAACAGCTCACTAGGAATCTCCTTGTGGGCAAAATATGGGGGAGGTGTGTAGTTTTTCATCTTGTAGCCATCTTATTTAGGAACCGAAAGGGGGAGACAGGTTTGTGTGACCGAGTTCCCAGCTTGACTTTTCTATTTGGCTTAATGAGTTTGGGGTTCCAACATTTAACTTCCTTTCACACTTCTTTAAGAATTTGACATCAGGATTAATGAATGGAGAATAATTAGAAACTTCCTAGCATGGAATCATACTATTTGATACTATTATACTATTACTTTGTAACATACCAAGTTTACTGCATGCCATTTTAACTTCTATTAACTTTCCCCCATGCACTTACGCTCCAGTGATGTTGATCTTCTTGTGTGTTTTCCAAATATTTCCTTTTCCGTGTCTACAAGCCTTTGTATATGTTTGTTATTCTAGTATGCTGTGTGGCCACCCAGTGACACTTAATCATTTTTTTATTGTTGTTAAAGATTCAATTCAAGTGTTACCTCCTTATTTCCTCAGGGAGATTTAAACATTTATTTCTCTGGGCTCCAATTCCAGCTTATGTGTCCCTTTTATAAACTTGTGATACATTTTAACTGTGTATACACATCTCTTGCCTCTATTGGTAGAGAGTATCTGCCATGCCTAGCATGTGCTGGATGTCATATCAGATACTCAGTGTTATTTATTGGGCTTACAGTGATAACCAAAGCTCACATGTTTTAGCACTCCCACTTCCATAAAGTGGAAGATGTCCCCTCTGCCTCTTCTCTCATCCCTCCTCAAAGCAGCAGGAGTGACTTACCTGATTGACCAGTTTAAGACTATATCTGAGCAGGCATGCCACAGTACTGTCTCAGCATCTTCTCTCTTGTGCTGCCTGTCTGCAGGATGCACACTTCTCTTCTGCCACCCTGGAGGTTGCCTGCCTCGGATGGGAGACTTGTGTTTGCCTCCTCTACCTGCAAGTGTGAAGGGATAGTTGGTCTAATGCAGTGGAGATAGTGTTGGAAGACCTATTTGGCCACAGATCTCAGCCACATTCCCCAATTCATGATTATCAGTAATAAGGTTATTATCTAGATTTCCATTTCTTGGACTCCAGTGTCTTATTTATCTAGTGGTGGAAGAGACAGGAACATTATTTATTGTCCCCCCTGAATCCAGCAGAAAGGAAATTGAAGTTAAATAATCTGAGCAAGATTAGTCAGAAAGTGCTAGTATACAGGAAAACAAAAGGCCCTGGTTTTAGAGTCAAAATTGTAGTGATATCTATATGTGAATGAACTCTTAGAAAATTGAGGGTAAGATACTCTTTCCATCCTATAATAATAACTAATATTTATTCAGTGCTTATTATGTATCAGATAGTACTTTAAGCACACGATACATATTAATACTTCCATATCTTTGGGGGATGTGCTATTATTAACATTTTCTAGATAAGAAATCTAAAGTACATAAAAATAAATGTTTTACTAAGCTTTATATGAGCAAATGGCAGAATTAAAATTGGATCTGGGTAGCACATTCTATTAACCATTATACTATACTGCCTCTCATATTATCTACCTAGAAAAAATATAAAATGGTACCAGTGCCAATCCCCTTACCAAAAAAGGAGGGGAGGAGCAAAATACTAAATTAATATATCACAGAAGGAGACATACACATAGTCAATAAATGCATGAAATGGTACTCAATATCAATTGCTCTCAGGAATATATCAAATAATATATCAGAGAAGGAGACATACACATAGTCAATAAATGCATGAAATGGTACTCAATATCAATTGCTCTCAGGAATATATAAAAGAAATTATAATGGGGCACCACTGCACACTGACTGGAATGGAGAATATTAAAAAGATTGACAATACCAAATGATACCGAAGACCAGAAGCAACTGGAACTCTGCATATTGCTGATGAGTGTGTCAAGTGGTATAATCATTTTGGAAATGGTTTGACCGAGTTGTTTCAATGTAGAAAGTTAAACCTACCTTTACCCTTTGACCCAGCAAATGTACTCCATGGTATCTACCTGAAATAAATAAAGGACTGTGTTCATAAAAAGGCTTGTCCAAGAACATTCTCAGCTACTATTTGATTCATAGAAGCCAAAGACTAGATACTATTTAAACGTCCTGCAAAAGGTGAATGTGCAAGCAGATTAGATTTTGCTGTATTCATACAATGGAACTCCATTCATCAATAAAGAAGAATGAACTATTGATACACACAAAAACATGGATGACTGAAAAACATGCCGAACAAAAGAGTACATTCTGTATGGTTCCATTTATATGAAATTTAAGAGAATAGGCAACACTCACCTATTGGTGACCGAAATCAGAATGGTGGTTGCCCTAAGAAGGGAATTGACTGCAAAAGGGGACAGGGGAACTTTTTGGAGTGATGGAAATATTCTGCCTTGAATGTGGTGGTGTTTATAGTGGTGTATATATCTGCCAAAATGCATGGAACAGTACACTTAAAATGAATGCATATTATTGTATAAATCATACCTCTGTAAAGTTGATTTTTAAAATGGCATCGGGGCAATTCTTGGTGACTCCTACTTGTTAATTGTTATTTGTTACTTTTAAATTATTGCTTAGCTTAAAAACTTGGGCAATAAACTCAGGCATACATGGGCTTAAATCCAGGCCAACTAGAGACTTAACTGCTAAAAGAAGTTGGAAGAAGTTTCTTAATTTCTCTGAGTCTCAATTTTCTCATGAGCATGTTGAGGAGATAGTCATACTTTCGTCATGTGGCCACAATGATGATACAATGAAATAATTTATGCAAAACTCATTATCCAGTTTTTTTTAGCATATACTGTTTGCCAGGTTCTTTCATGTTATTATTTTTTTTAATTCTTGAAAGCTCTTAAAAATTCCAGAGTCTTTATTACAAATGAAGACTATTTTAAAATACAAAGTCTGTCATTTTTATTCATATATTGATTTACTGAAGCCTACTTTGTACCAGGCACTGTTTTGGGTGCTTGGGATACATCAGAGAGAAAACACAGTTCTGTACTCTCGTGGCTAGTGGGGGAGAAAACAAAACACAATAAACGTTATAAATAAGTCAATGATGTTGTAAATGAAGCCACAAGTGCTAAGTAAGTTTGGAATAAGATAAGGAAAATTGGAAGACTGACTGGTTGGTGGCTGATTAAATTTTTTAATATCGAGGTCACAGGAGGTGAAATTTAGGCAAAGACTTGAAGGAGGTAAGAGAGAGATGCAGATAGTTGAAGAAGTGGAACAGCCAGTGTAAAGACCCGCTTTGGGAGCAAAATTTGAGTGTTGGCAGAGCATCAGGGAGCCAGTGTGGCTAAACCAGAGTGAGCAAGACCTAAACTGGTAGGATACAGTGTCAGGGAGATACAGGGGGCTTGAGTGCATATGACTTTGTGGATGACAGTTAGGACTTTGGATTTTTCTCGTGATGAATTGACAAGACATAACAGGGTTTTGAGCAGAAAAGTGCCATGAGCTGACTGACACTGAGTTGATTTGGAAGGCTCTCCCTAACTGAGTGCCATCCAGCAGAACTCTCCATAATGATGCAAATGTTCTCTGTTATCCAATATGGTAGGTACTTACTACACATGAACCTGAAATGTGACCAGTGTGCCTGAGGAAGTGAATTCTTATTTTGATTTTAAGTAATGTAAATTCAGGTTTAACAAGCCACATGTAGAAAGTAACTATCATATTGGATAATACAGCTCTAGTCACTGTGTTGAGAATAAACTGGGCAAGGGTGCGGGTAAAAGCCTTTGAGGCTTGTGAGGAGGATCTGGCAGTGAGCTCCATGTCGGGTGGCTTGGAACAGGGTAGTAGAAATGGAAGGTGGCCATAATTGTTCAGATTCTGGAAATATTTTGAAGGCAAAGCCAATATGATTTCATGATCTGGTGGGGGTTTTCTTGATAGAATGTGAAAGAAACAGAAGAGTCAAAGATGACTCTAGGATTTTTTACCAGAACCAATGGGAATATAGAGGTGTCTTAGAGTGAGATGGGGACAGTGAAACATGGGACAGGTTTGGAGGAGCCAATGAAGAACTTTTATTTTGGATGTGTTCAGTTTGTAATGCTTCATAAAATTTGGTTTGCAAAAGCCATTAACATTTTCAGCATGTCAGGTTTTACTTGAAGGGGTATCCAGCCTATAGAATACAACTGGAGGACACAGCAAGTGACAGGACAGAATAATGGATAGCATTGGGACTCTTTCCTTTAAAATGTTGCCTAGTTTAAAAAAATCATATGCAGGCAACATGAGACCTTGGAGTCTCTGTGGTTATTTCTTTTTTTCCCTTAAATTATGACTTAAGTCCAGGGAATTATAGATAAGGGAAAGTTATTTGAATATGCTGGTAAAAAGAGGGGGGAGGTACAAGCAAAAAAAGTGCAAACTCTGATTTGCGTTTCCTTTGAAAGGGAGCCTTCTCAAGGGGCTTTCATGGTCGTCAGAGTATGTAGTTGGCTATAATTACCCTTGACTTCTGTACTCCACCGCAGAAGAAATAACATGTTCATGCAGCCTGTCTTATTTCACTCTGGAATCCCTGTGTTTTTTTTTTTGTTTTGCTTTGTTTTCCTGGTTCTCTCCAGCTGCCCCTTCTCTTGGTTCTGTGGCTTGGCATTGGCTACGACAGCTAGCCCTCCTTTTCTTTGGTCTGCCCTAGGGCCATTTTGGTGGCTGCCACATAGGCACTGGGTGTGGGTTATGGCTTTTTCCTGGCTGTAAGAAGAAAAACAATTTAGTTCTGAAAGCCTTTCTAAGTGTAGGTTTAATCATTTCAGTGCTATCTCTCATGCCTCCCATTTCACATAGGCGGCTCTCTTACCCACATTGATTGATTTCCCTCAAACTGAGGGTGACTCAATACGACAACACGTAGCGATGATGACTGTGATTCAGTTTGCTGGGAGGCTGCCTCATGCTTTCTGCTAATGTCAGTGGCAGGTTCACGGGAATATGTATATATTCTAGCTTAGGAGCTGTTTTGAGATTTGGGAATGGTACACGTGCCCACATCTGGGGCAGCTGGTGGTGTTGGTGTTTCTAAGTAGTGTCCTCAATATTCTTCCATTCTCCTTTTAGGGGAAGAATTTTATGGTCTACAAGACCAAAATTACTGTATGTGTATATATATATATATATATATACACACACACATACATATATATGTATGTATACATACATATATATATATACATCTGGTTTCCCTATGTTTTCTCAGTCCCATGGAAAGCTTTTTTTTTTGAGTGTTTGTGTAATATTTCTAAGCATATTCTTGCCATATTTTCTAACTGTAAAATCTACATGAAATGGAGTGTTTGGGGAATTAGGTGCCTGGTTCATTGAATTTTCAGGATTACAACAAGTAATGACAAAAATTATTTTTCTCCTCTCTGGTTGCTTATATTTTCTCCAAAATGTCCATCTTCACATTTTTATCTTTGGAAATAGAATGTGCCCACCAAAATGGGGTCACTTTGACCTTTCACAATGTTTCACAACATTCCATTAGTGCTATAATTGTAAATATCAACTTTAACTGTTAGAACGGAAAGTAATCTGGTTCTGTTTCTTTATAGACTAGAAAACTGAGGCCTGGAGAATTTGAGAGCCTTCCAATATCCATCAGTGGCAAATCCAGGCCTAGTGTAGTGGTTGTTACTAGACTCAGAAATCAGGCCAGCTTGAGGCCTGCCTTTGTTCCTGGCCAGCTGTGTGATTTTAAAAGTTCAACAGCATCAGAAGCTTGCTCAGTTTTTTCAGCTAAATGAGTTTAGATGAAGAATTAGTTCAGTTTCCACCACTAAAATGGTAGTAAAAGTATTAGTTCCCTATCTAAATAAATTTCCACAAACTTAGTGTGACTTAAGGCAACACACATTTATTATCTTATAGTTCTGGAAGTAGATATTTGAAAGGGCTAAAATCAGGCCAGGCAAGGTGGCTCATGTGAGCAATCCTAGCACTTTGGGAGGCCAAGGCGGGCAGATCACCTGAGGTTGGGAGTTCGAGACCAGCCTGGCCAACGTGGTGAAACCACGTCTCTACTAAAAATACAAAAAGTGGCCGGACATGGTGGTGCGTGCTTGTAATCCCAGTTACTCAGGAGGCTGAGGCAGGGATAATTGCTTGAACCCAGGAGGCGGGGGTTGCAGTGAGCCGAGATGGTGCCATTGCACTCCAGGCTGGGTGACAAGAGTGAAACTCACTCTCAAAAAAAAAAAAAAAGAAAGTAAGGTCTAAAATCAGTGCATTAGCAGGGTTTTGAAGGCCTTAGGGGAGAAGTCATTTTCATGCCTTTTTCAGCTTCTGGAAGCTGCCTGCATTCCTTGGCTCATGGCCCCTCCTTCATCTTCAAAGCCAGCAACATTCTCCTAGGTCTTTCTCAAGCTGTCATCTCTCTGGTTCTCTTCTAAGCTCCTCTTTCCCATATAAGGACTCTTGTGACTATGTTAGGCCCACCTGGAAAATTTAGGACAGTCTCTGCCTCTCCATTTCAATTGATGATGACCTCAATTGCATCTGTAACTTTAATTCTCCTTTGCTACACAACTTCACATATTCACAGGATCCCAGGATTAGTATGCGAACATCTTTGGGGGCCATTATTCTGTGTACCACAGTCTAGCATGAGAATGAAATTATTTCATAGGCCTGGTTTGAGAGTTAAATTGTCTACATATTTGAAAACTGCAATAGAGACGAAGAAGGTGGCCAGGCCTGGTGGCTCATGCTTGTAATCCCAACAGTTTGGGAGACTGAGGTGGGAGGATCACTTTAGGTTAGGAGTTTGAGATGAGACTGGGCCACAAAGCAAGAATCTGTCTCTACAGTCAGTCAGTCAATAAACTATAAACAGCACTCATAGAAAATGCTTCAGGTAAGCACATATAGGACCTTGAAAAAGCAACTGTAGAACATTTTTTAAAAAGATGAAAAAGGTAGTAATGATAGGCAGTATTTTTGAGAACTGCATGTGCCAGGCAAAACCATCACTTTACATGTAGTTCCTCATTTATCCTTGAGAATAAGTCTATAGAGTCAAGTGCTCATTTGATCGCTATTGTACAGGTGAGAAAACTGCAACTGAAAGGGATTCCATAACATGTCCATAGGGCATGAAACCAGGCATTTCAGGATGAAGACTTGAATCCGACTTGCTTTATTCCAATCTTGATGTATTCTGCTACGACGGTTATCATCATCACTATCATGAGAAACCAGATCTATCACTTCCAAGCCAAGTGTTCTCTAAATTAACTGTTGCTACCTACCAGCTGTTACAAAACACACATGAATATCTGGATACTGTAGAAACCCCCCACTTATATAGTTACTAAAACATATTAACTTTGGTGTTGCCAACTTCACTGGCCTCTACTTTCTGAATAATTGCTCTGATTTCAGCTACCCCAAAATATAATATTATATACAACATCTTTGAATATTTTTGTTTTTATTGTATATCACCATTAACAGCACCCCCCTTTTTTTTTATTTCAGGATATTTGCAAATCACTTTGGTGCCACCGAGTAGGCCACAGGTGTGAGACCAAGTTTATGCCCGCAGCAGAAGGGACCGTTTGTGGCTTGAGTATGGTAAACTGCATACTTGTTAGTTTTTAGCTCCAGAAATTTGATAAGGCATAGAATTCAAACTGTTTGTATTGTGACCTTAGGGTGAATGCTTTGGTAGTTTATATTCTCTGACTTCTCTTCATATTAACAACATTATATAGCAGCAATTACAAAGCTTAATGCTAATATAACCCAGGTAGCTCAATTGTTTAAGAAGATTTTTTTTTTCTTTTTTGTCTTCCTGTTTTAGATGGTGGCTTGGCTCAAAATATCTCTATTTCAATGAGCTTACAGGTTTCATTGCATACCATTTTCCTTTTAAACTTGTGGTATTTAAAAAGTCTCAGGGATCAGATGTCTTGTTAGTCAAGAAATGACTGTCCCTCCAGACCAAGGCTTCGGCTACTCAGCTCAACTCACAGGAGCTGTCATTGAGCTTTTGACATGCCCTATAGATTCCCATCATGTACAGTGACTTTCCTATTGAAGGGTAAGAGACGCCTCCACCTAGTGTGTACCTAAGGTCCTTTTGCTGGTGAGCATCTCCTACCCAGAGAACCACCTCCATTTTGAAAGATTATAGGAGATCTCAATATTTTTAATGAAGAACTCTCATATATTTCTATTTTTCTTCCTCTTTCTCAATAGAGTCTGGAGGGAGGGCAGGTTGCATTTGGGCTACTAGTAAATGATCCAGATTTGGGAAGTTCATTTGAAAGGCCAATCAAAGAGGAGCTATGAATGACAAGAGATAATGAGATGTTACAGGTTTGCTGATCTTAATTATTGACTCTGTCTCAAGGCAGTATAAACCTATACAGAAAAAAATGGTCATTGGTCCTTTAAAGTTATGTCAAGGCTGGGTGTGATAGCTCATACCTGTAATCCCAACACTTTGGGAGGCTGAGCAGGGAGGATTGCTTGAAGCCAGGAGTTCAAGAACAGGTAACACAGCGAGACCCTATCTCTACAAAAGCTTAAACAGGCTTGGTGGTGCGTGCCTGTAGTCCCAGCACTTTGGGAGGTTGAAGGAGGAGGATCGCTTCAACCCAGGAGTTTGAGGCTGTAGTGTGCTGTGATTATGCCACTGCACTCCATCCTGGGCCACAGAGCTAGGCCCTGTCTCTAAAAAAGAAAAAGTTATTTCATTCCACAATAATTTATTCATTACTAGATATGGGGAACAGGAGACTCTGGGGATGTAGAGATAAATAAACCAGAGTTGTATTTCTTTAAAAATTTACAGTCCAGGCGGGGCACAGTGGCTCATGCCTGTAATCCCATCACTTTGAGAGGCCAAGGTGGGTGGATCCCTTGAGGTCAGAAGTTCAAGACTAGCCTGGCCAACGTGGTGAAACCTTGGGACTACTAAAAATACAAAAATTTGCTGGGCGTGGTGGCACACACCTGAAATCCCAGCTACTTGGGAGGCTGAGGTATGAGAATCACTTGCATCCTGGAGGCAGAGGTTGCAGGAAGTGGAGATTGTGCCACTGAATTCCAGCCTGGGTGACAGAGCAAGACTCTCTCAAAAATAAATTAAAAATATAAAAATTTACAGTCTAGCAGGGGAAACATATACAGAAGGAAATAACTAATTCTCTCTTTAAAGACACCTTCTCTAAGCAGTAGTTGCTGTCGGGGCCCAGATGAAATGAGAGCTGAATCTTGCTTGAGATTAGCTATGCACTTAGAATAAACCACAACAAGTACATGCATCAAGATGGTTGTTGGGTTGTGGGTTAAAGTTCTTCAGTTAGATGATAAAAAGGACTTTTCAGAGAGAGGCCAACATCAGAGGCAAAGGCACAGATTTCTGATATTTGTTAGGACATTTATTCACTATCTCTTAAAAAGACTTGTAATTTTTAACTCTTTGTTTTAAAGAAAATGAACATTTTAAAAATTGAGGAGTTATGTGCAATTTTTAATCCGATAGTGGTCTTAGGGATTCCCAATGAGGACTGTTCTTGAAAATGTTAATAGAAATGTTGGGGCCATGATGATACAAAACAATGAATTAGTGGAATAATTTAAAATATAAATAGTGCTCAAGTCCTTTTTACTTTTGAGGCATCACAACTTAGAACTTGTGACTTGAGGATTAGTGTTTTGTTTTTTTTTTTAATTGAAAAAGCAACATCGTTACCTATAAGGGATACACAGGAAAATATTTATATAATGAATGAGAAAAATAAGTGATACATCACCTAGGTCTAAAGATTTATTACATAAGCACTTCAGGTATCTAAGTTCCAAGGGGGATAAAACGTACTTGTGTTAGGCTTCAGTAAACAGAACACGAGATAAATAAAGTCAGAAGTGGGAAAACAAATGTCTTGATACAACTGCCACACCACGTTATTTTAAAACACCAGGCTATAGTTATATACTGGTGAAAAGCCCTTAAGTGTAATGTCACCCTCAACAGAAAGCATCTTAATAAGTTCCATCCATCATCACTCCCGTGTAATGATTATTACATTCATATACGGTTTCCTCAGATTCTTCCTTCACCAGGGGATATCACTGGCTGCTTGTTAGACTGTAAATTTCATGAGGGCCAGTGCCCTGGTTTTACTTGTTTCATCTGGAGTGTCTGACACACAGTAGCAGGTACTCAATGTTTTGTTTGTTTCTCTGTAACTGGAACCCAACTCTGTCCTTCCTCTTTCTTCTCCAGTCCCTTGTCCTTCAGCGATATTTGTACTGTGAATACTCAGCCAACATGAGGCAGTATGAAAGTCACTTACTTTTTTTTTTTTTTTTTTGAGATGGAGTCTTGCTCTGTCGCCCAGGCTGGAGTGCAGTGGCATGATCTTGGCTCACTGCAGGCTCCATCTCCCGGGTTCACGCCATTCTCCTGCCTCAGCCTCCCGAGTAGCTGGAACTACAGGTGCCCGCCACCACGCCCGGCTAATTTTTTCTATTTTTTATTAGAGATGAGGTTTCACCGTATTAGCCAGGATGCTCTCGGTCTCCTGACCATGTGATCCATCCGCCTTGGCCTCCCAAAGTGCTGGGATTACAGGCCTGAGCCACCGCGCCCGGCCAAGCCACTTACTTTTATCTAGAAATATGTGTGCACGGAAAGAAAGGTTTGTACATGCTGTCTATAAAAAGATAATGGCCTAAGTCATGGCCATTCAATTGGAAATTAGATGTAGTGCCAGAAATATGTATGCTGGGCCTGGACGTGGTGGCTCATGCCTGTAATCTCAGCACTTTGGGGGGCCTCGGCGGGCATATCACTTTAGGCCAGGAGTTCGAGACTACACTGGTCAACATGGTGAAATTCCATCTCTACTAAAAATACAAAAAATTACCTGAGCATGCTGGTGCACGCCAGTAATCCCAGCTACTCCGGAAGCTGAGGCCCAAGAATTACTTAAATCCGGGAGGTGGAGGCTACAGTGTGCCAAGATCGTGCCACTGCACTTCAGCCTGGGTGACAGGGTGATAACCTGTCTAAAAACAACAACAACAACAACAAAGAAAAATATGTATGTATGAAAAGATGGAGCCAGGCGCGGTGGCTCACGCCTATAATCCCAGCACTTTCGGAGGCCAAGGTGGGTGGATCGCCTGATGTCAGGAGTTCAAGACCAGCCTGGCCAACGTGGTGAAACCCTGTCTCTGCTAAAAATACAAAAATTAGCTGGGTGTAGTGGCAGGCGCCTATAATCCCAGCTACTTGGAAGGCTGAGGCAGGAGAATCGCTTGAACCTGGGAGGCGGAGGTTGCAGTGAGCCGAGATCGCACCACTGCATTCCAGCATGGGCAACAAGAGTGAAACTTTGTCAAAAAAAAAAAAAAGAAAAGAAAAGAAAAGATGGATAAAATTACAGGTGTATATATTCTAAATTTGCATTTTCTATGTAGAATTTTACCTATTCATGTGAATGTGTGCAGGTCTGTGTGTACATTCCTTTATATTCCTGATTTCTACACTGATTAAAAGGCCAAATGGAGACAGTGTGATAGCAGCCTAACGTAATACTAGAACAAATACTGAAGTAATAGAACATCAAGTTAATTGAATGACTGGAAGAGATCTAAAAAACACATTTTCCAAAAAGAAATTAGATTAGAATTAAGGTACATTGGTCAGTAATTTGCCTCCAAGATGAGAAGTAGAAGTGTCCTGCTTAGGAGTTCTGGCTACTGAGTTAAATCCAGTCTCTTATACTTGCATAGTTATTTGAATAGATCTGTTTGGGTAGTTTGTGTCACTCTGAGCAAGTTAGCTAGTATTTCTTTGCTAAATTTCTCCTACTGAGGAAAACGGCTTTTAATTCAGTGCTTTGCAAGGATTAGATGAGATACTGCATGTGAAGCTCTCTGCATCATTTTTGGCACATAGAAGCAGCTTGATAACCTGTGGCTGCTGCTGCTGTTACTGTTATTGGCTATTGTAATTTTGTCTCAGCCACTGAACTCAGTCCAGTAGAGTCCTCGTGATTCCCGGTAGAAAAGATGCATGCTTATGGTAGGCAAAATCCTCAAATGACCGATAGCCTTCCCCAAAAACTTCTCAATAGTGTTATATGGTTTCATGCAAACTCTGAAATGGCAATTAATCCAGGGAAAAGAAAAATTAAAAACAGAAGAATTAATCAGCACATGGCAAGAATTTGAAGAAAGGAAGCAATATCTTAACCTAGATAGAGTGCGCTAGCAACCAAGCCACACAGTAAACAGTCATGAAGCCAAATGTATCGCAGGGGATAAGTGAAGATTTGAAAGTCAAACAACCTTCCCATAATTCTGTAACCGATCCCCCAATTCCTCAGCAAAACCTGGCATGGTCCAAACCCCAACCCTTTGGATCTAATTGCAGAGGCTTTTAGAAAAGAGCAGTTATGCTAAGTCATGCAGAACTTTCTCATAATCAAAGCACTGCAGGGGTTGGGGATTGGGGGTAGGCAACAAAAACAAAAAATAAAACAAAAACAAAAGAAACACTACCAGAGGCTAATGCATCCCCTAGGGAGAGATGACCAGCAAAGCCAGGAATTTGTTACAAAAAGGAGAACTAAAATGGAAAGGTTAATACAGAAAAAAGCTCTCCATCTAGCTTGTACAGATCATGGGCAAATGAAAGACCCTGGGCTAATTCATCAAAGACACTGCAAGAGCTCAAAGTCATCAGAGCATCTGAAGTGGGCACCTTTTATGTAGACAAAGGAAAAAGGATGCTATCTGAAGAGAACAATTTGTACAGACTGAGTTGTTCAGCTTTGTAAGAAATGCTCTATAGTGACGGGTTTGGAATAAGCAAAAATATAATGTATGTGTAATTGTATCTATTTTATGATAAGATAATCATTCAGAATGATAAATCGTGTTAATATCTTAACTGTTACTTCATGAATGAGTGATCCCAATTGTTCTTTCAGAATGATAAATTGTGTTAATATCTTAACTGTTTCTTCCTGAATGAGTGATCCGAATTGTTCTTTAAGTAGTGTTGTCTCTCAGTGGCAAGGCAGGCTTCCTTGTAACTTTATACTGACTCCCTTGGCTGTTAGGTGGAATCTTATCTGAACATGTCACCTCCACAGTTCACAAAGCCTATCATACTCAGCCTGTTGGTGAACAATGCCACTTCTCTCTAGATGTCAGCCTTTCAAAATGGATGTGGTCAATGCAGAGTAGTTGAGTGTTTTTAGAGCACAGCAGAGGAATTTATCAAGGTATCAGGCATTTTCCTTTTCTCCCAACAGACCTGTTTTTCCTGTTACTGTGCAGGTGTTGGCAACTCCCTGCGCTTTCCCAGGTGGTCTCTGACGGGAACCATCTTACACGTTCTTTTCACAGTGGTGTCGGCAAGGCCAGTGCGTAAAGTTTGGGGAGCTCGGGCCCCGGCCCATCCACGGCCAGTGGTCCGCCTGGTCGAAGTGGTCAGAATGTTCCCGGACATGTGGTGGAGGAGTCAAGTTCCAGGAGAGACACTGCAATAACCCCAAGTAAGCCTCCAGCAGAAAGTTAGTCTTTGCAAGGCCTTAACCTTCAGCCTGTAACACGCTGGTTTTTCTTGTTCATACTTTAAGTTTATTTTTTTATTTTTAATTATTATGGCTACATAATGGTTATACATATTTATGGGGTACATGTGATGTGTTGATACAACTATACAATGTGGAATGATCAAATCAGCATAATGAGGTATCCATCACTTCAAGCCTTTATTGTTTCTTTATTAAAAAAATTCCAATGTCATTTCTTTATTAGGCCCATTCCACTGTTTTAGTTATTTTAAGATATACAATGAATTGTTAACTATAGTCACCCTATTTGTGCTACTGAATACTAGATCTTACTCATTCTAACTATATTTTTGTACCCATTAACCATGCTGACATTACCATTCTCCCTCCCCACTACCCTTCCCAGCTCTGTCAATGCACTCTCTAGCTCTAGCTCTGTGAGTTCAATTTTTTTTTTTTTTTTTAGCTCTCACATGGGAGAAGATACAATATTTGTCTTTCTCCATTTGGCTTATTTCACTTAATATGATGTCCTCCAGTTCCATTCATGTTGCTGCAAATAACAGGATTTCATTTTTATAATGGCTGAATAGTATTAAATAGGATTCATAGTATTAAGTAGGATTAATACTATCATAATAGGCTGAATACCATTAATTCAAATAATACTATTATACTACATTATATATAATTACTATTAATATATAGTATATATACTACTATATACTATTAATATACAGTATATATACTACTATATACTATAATATACAGTATATATACTACTATATACTATAAAATACAGTATATATACTATATACTATAATGTACAGTATATATACTGTATATTATAATATATAGTGCATATACTGTACATTATAGTATATTATATATACTGTATACTATAGTATATAGTATATATACTGTATACTATAGTATATAGTATATTTACTGTATACTATAGTATATATACTGTATACTATAGTATACAGTATATATACTATAGTATATAGTAGTATACTATAGTATACAGTATATATATACTATATATATATACTATAGTATATGCACTATATACAGTATATAGTGTATATACACTATATACTATAGTATATATACTATATACTATAGTAGTATATATATACTATATACTATAATATATACTATATATACTACTATATAATATATACTATAATATCCAGTATATATACTATATAATATATACTATAATATACAGTATATATACTATATAATATATACTATAATATACAGTATATATACTATATAATATATACTATAATATACAGTATATATACTATATAATATATACTATAATATACAGTATATATATAATATATATACTATATATAATATAAATATGTAGTATATATAATAGTATAATATATGTAGTATTATTTATACTTTATATTATATATAGCATATATACTATATATTATATATAATATATAACACTATATATTATATGTAATATATAACACTATATATTATATATAATATATAACACTGTATATTATATGTAATATATAACACTATATATTATATATAATATATAACACTGTATATTATATATAATATATAACACTATATATTATATATAATATATAACACTATATATTATATATAATATATAACACTGTATATTATATATAGCATATATAGCACTGTATATTATATATAGCATATATTGCACTGTATATTATATATAGCATATATTGCACTGTATATTATATATAGCATATATGACACTATATTATATATAGTATATATGACACTATATATTACAGTATTTATATTTAGTATATAGGACACTATATATTATACTATTAATATACTAATATACTATATATAATATAGTATAATAGTATACTATATTATACTATTAATATATACTATTAATATATAGTATCTGTACTATACTATCTAGCAGCATTAGTAGGATGAATGGATAAAGAAAACATGGCACACTGTTCAATTATGGATATGTGCCATATTTTCTTTACTTATTCATCCACTGAGGGACTCTTAGGTTACTTCCATGTCTTGGTTATTGTGAATAATGCTGAATTGAACATGGGAATACAGATATCTCTATACACTGATTTCCCTTCTTTGGGGTATTCCTTCCTTTTGGGATTTTTTTGGGATGGCTTTTAGTTTTTTGAGGAACCACCGTGCTGATTTACATTCCCACCAACAGAACACACTGTTTTATTTTTTTTTTTTTGGTATTTCTTTTTTCATTATTATTTTACTTTAAGTTCCAAGATACATGTGCAGAATGTGCAGGTTTGTTATATAGGTATATAGCGCCATGGTGGTTTGCTGCACCTATCAACCCATCATCTAAGCTTTAAGCCCCACGTGCATTAGGTATTTGTTGTAAAGCTCTCCCTCCCCTTGCTCCCCACCATGCGACAGGCCCTAGTGTGAGAAAACACTGTTTTAAAGTGCCATTTTCTTCCCTCCGGTTAGTAACAATCAACCAGAGTTTTACTGTTTGCATATAAAGTCCATGTGCACCGAGGGAAGGTATGGTGGGCAGAAACCAAAACACAGCAGAGGAGTCATTCTCTACGGGACTGTGATGATCCAGTAAGACTCTGAGCTACTCTGTTCATCTAAACTAGGGTTCTACAGTCATATAATTAAATACTTGTGCTATCGTAGAACAGAAAAGTTTGGCCGGCAAACCTTGTGAGTGTCTCTCAAACTGGTGAACTGCAGAAAGTATGCTGATTTGCCTTGCAGGAATGTACATCAACACGTGTTGACAGATCTGCCTGACTTTTCAAGAGAAACCAGAAATACGGAAAAATGCTGATGTGAAATTTCCCAATTTTAAAAATATTGACAGCAAATTCAATTTTCTTCAAACACAGAAAGTCCCACTGTGACAACTAGTCAAATCAGCTGTGGATTGCAATTGGCCTGTGGTCACCTGTGGGCACTCTTTGGTCTGGTCATACTGGAGTCTGAACTGCAGTTTGTGCTCTGTGCACATGAAGGTGGTTTTATGTTACTTTTATATGCTCTAACTCCCACATGAAACATGTGTGAGATGTAGATTTTCCAGTTGGCAGAATGATGTAGACAGAGCCCAGATTTTGGCGATAGATAGAAAGACTCTAAACCCTGTGTCTGCCACTTCTAAACTCTGTGGCTTTGTAAAAGTCATTTGACTTGGGTTTATGTATAAAAAAATGTAGAAGATAACCTTGGAAGGTTGGAGGAGGATTAGAAATTGCATCTTTAGAATGCCTGACAGACTGGGGAACATTCAGTGGGCATTCACCAAAAGGTTCTGGGATCTGTGTGGTTTTCATCATCCTCATCCCAAGCTCACCAGGAGGACGGGGTCACAGAGGGTCAGCCCACCGAAGCAGGGTGGAGAGGCAGAGCCTTTACTGACGAAACTGACTTTTGAAGAATGTGATGGAGTGAGAAGAATGTGATGGAAACTTGGAAAACAGATTTAATTTACAACATAATTTAAGTTGGTAGCATAGTGCAGAGGATGAGAACATAGACTCTGAAGTTTGACAGACCATTTCTGCATCCTGACCCTAACACTTCTGATCTATGACCACAGACAACTTAGTCTTCCTGCTCCAGATTCCTCACTTATAAAAACGGGATAACGATAGTACCTATGTCAACTGAGTTAACATTTGTGAAGTGCTTTAGAAGAGGGTCTGACATGTCATTAGCATTGCGTAACTATTTGGTGAATTGAGAAATAATGACACTAGAGCAAAAGGACATTTTAAAAAAGATGAATGGTACTTCATTTGAGTCAGCAGTCTGAGTTAGATAAAAATTCTATTTTTTCCCCAAAATATAAAGCAGAGTTTGGAGACACTTTGCCCATCACGTGTTAGGTGCTGCTTCGAATATCGCAGGCTAAAATAGAGCTTTTCAATGTCAGCACTATTGACATGGGCTGGCAAATTCTTTGTTTTGGAGATTTGTCCTGTACATGGTAAGATGTCTAGCAGCATCCCTGCCCTTGACCTACTAGTACCAGTAGGATGCACTCTTCTTCCCACCACCCACCAAACTGTGACAACCAAAAATGTCTCCAGACATTGCCAAATGTCCTATATGGGACAAAATAATCTCTGATTGGGACTCACAGATGTAATCAGGCCCAGTGACTGAATATAATGATAAGGAGGCTGGTGATGCATTTGCAACTTATACCAGGTTATTGTTTTAATAACAGTATTAAAACAATGATGTTGTTTTAGTATCTCCTGGTTTAAGCAGGAGGGTAGTTATTTAACCTCCTGATACTTTGAATGCAGCCATGTCTTAAGTTGAGTTGTTAAAATCATCATATTACTTTACATTTGTGAAGTATAGTTCATGGATCTGGTTTTCATCCATTACAACATTTTACAATCTCAATATTTTCCCAAGAAAGACATAGATTACCTAATTCAATAGCTCTGCTGGTAAAGTGCATGAATGATGCCCCTGAGATTTAAATTAAAACCTCTCTCATATCTGTAGGATTGAGAGCTCTCATTATAATAGGGCATTGTTCATGGAAACAACATATTGTAATTTAGAGATGCCTAATAGAATAATTAATCACTAAAGTATTTTCATTCAGTGCAGTTTTATCATTTAAAACAAGATGAAAAATAAATCAGGATACTGTTTACTTTAACTCTGCATGAAGCCATAAATAAAACAAGTAGATGATAGGCTCTCCCAAGACAACTGAATTAATTGTTCTGTCTCTGTTCTTATTTCACTCTGTTGCAGTAATGCTGTTTTTTCTCCCTATTTCAAGTTATGGATTTCTTTCTTGCTTCAGTTTAAGCATTTGGTTCTATTCACATCACTCAGTGTAGCCATTTTCATTGTCTCATCCGAGAAGCAGTGTGAGGTTTCTGTTTCATATAAAGGTGTTTTTCCCAGAACAGACTTTATTTCTTGAAAAATGAATGATTCTTGGCTGATTCATAGATTTACCAGTTTTTTTTTGTTGACTGCTATCTGGCTCTGGAATGGCCAATGCCAGGCACACAGGGACATCCTTTGTCCCATGTAAGTGGTAAATAGTTTTAACTGACGGAAGCCCTGTTTTTCATTGAGCCCTCCTATGCCTCAGGGACCTTCCCAATGTCCTTCTTCAGGCATTTGTTCTCAATCGGGTTAGAACTGACACGTGAGTTGAAACCTGCTGCCTAATCCAATTATTTCACAGATGAGTAACCAGGGGAGGAAGAGGGCCCCATTCACGGTAGCAACTCTTGCTCAAGTCCCCATGCTGGTAATGGCAGAGTCAGATTAAGTTCCCATAGTCTTAATCCTTTGACATTTTTCATTTTTTCTGGTTCCTTGTTTGTTAAACTATCACCCCATAAGGGATCCTAGTGAAATTCCTATAAACTCTCCAAGAAAATTATTAGTGATATGCTAAGGTGTTCTAGAACTTTTCTAAAACCTGAGTCTATTTGAGAAAGAATTGTCTGCTAACTCTAACACAACTTAGCTCATGGAGTTAGGAGGAAAATCATGGCCCCAGAAGAATAATTGAATCTAATTGGTGGTGTATTTTCCCACCAGTAATATCACGGCTCAGCTGGTTATCAGAATCACCAGGTGTGTTTTTAAAAATACTGATTTCTGAATCTTCCATATCTCATATTCTTATTGAGAAAGTGGGTGGAGGTCCTCAGGAATCTGTATATGTATATAGTTTAACAGAGCTCTCCAAGTGATTCTAATACTCTTCCAAGCAACACCATTGTAACTATTTGTAGTCAGGACTTGATAAATGATGCAGAAGCAAATGATGGTATGCTCTTTATAGTTGTCTAATATAAGGACAAAATCATGTGCCTAGGTTTTTGTTTTCTATTTCTATATTTCTTTTTAATATTAAACAACTTCTTACACCAAGACATATCATGATAGAATTGTCTGTTAGGCTAACACTTATGTTCAAAGCTGCAGAAAAATATTGCCTATATTTTTATGGAAATGGCCAAATGCTTGCTAGCAATTACTTTTGATCACTTTGACCATATCCCATAATTAAAAATGAAATGTATTAGTATATAAAAATCAGATCACATAATACTCAGCACAGGGTGGGTACTCAATACAAAAGCATAAGGCATTTAAAAATAGTTATAATTTATTTATTCTGACTCTGCCCTAGATACTGCCCTACATTCTTTACAAAGGTTGGATCAGTTAATTGTCACAACTGTTCCTATTTTGCAAATGAGGAGGTTAAATAAGATCACCTAAATTTAAGCTGGGAGGAGGCAGAGAATACTGTATTTAAATCAGGGTCTGGCCATGTTTGATGGATCATGCTTGTAATTCCAGCACTTGGGAAGGCCAAGGCAGAAGGATTGCTTGAGGCCAGGAGTTTGAGACCAGCCTGGGCAACACAGCCCCTCATCTGTATAAAAATTTTAAAAATTTGCCAGGCATGGTGGCACATGCCTGTAGTCCTAACTACTCAGGAGGCTGAGGCAGGAGGATTACTTGAGTTCAGGAATTTGAGGCTGCAGTGAGCCATGATTGTGCCAGTTCACTCCAGCCTGGGTGATAGAGCAAGACTCTGTCTCAAAATTAAAAAAAAAAAAAGAGAGAATCTCCCTCATTGTAAAAGGCCAGCTCCCTAAACATTGCACCTTACTGTCTATTCTTTCTTTCCATACCCGGCCCCATGGCCTAAGAACTCAGTTAAATGCAGGCATAGTTAAGTATGAAAAAAATCCTGGACTGAGTCCACAGGCCTGAGCTTGAGCTCGTCTCTGTTTCTTTCTAGCTGTGTGACCCTCTTTCAACAAGTTTTGTAAGCTCTTGTCAGCTGGTTCTCACTTCATCTATGAAAGGAGGACAATGGCTGTATGAATTTGGTGGTCTTTTCCACGTTACAAGTTCTATAAGTCGATAAAGTAACACCTTGCAGTCCTCTTTCACTTCATTAACTACATAGAGCCCAAATGAGGTTTATTCGTTAAATCACAGAAAGTCTTAAACTGAGAAATTAGTTTTAAATATGCCTTGTAAAGATGACCGGAATATTGAGGCTATGATATAGCACTTAAAGATTTTTCTAAGTGCTTTTCAGATAATCATTTAAGAAGTCTTCAGGGATTTGATTTATCACAATGGCTGCAGCATGTTTAAGTAGTTGCTCCAGAGTGTTTTAAAATAGCATAAAAATCTCATTCTGGCCGCGTGACATTTCCCGTTTCTGTTGAATCCATTTTAGCGTGCAGTTATAGGAGGATGGGATAAATTAATTACGCTGAAGCAACTCCAGGGCTGTTTTAGAGCATGCTTGTGCCTCCTAAAGAGACAAGGAATTTTAATCACATAAATTTATTAACCTGGAGCCGCCTTTCATGTTATACAAGATGATCCATAGTTGAGTTTTGGCCTTCAGAGAAAACCTCAAAATGGGAGGAGTGACAAGAAGCCACATCTTTGTGCACGGAGTAAGCTGGGTACGATGTTATGCGTAATTTTCAATGTGGTGGTGCTCTTTTTCCTTTATTTTGCTTTCTGGTTTTTGCAGATTAGAATCTGCCTACCAAGATCTTAAAGAGCTTGCCTTTACATCGTCATTATTTATGTTCTAATGGAATTGTCTACTCTGGAAATCCATTTCCCATTGTGCTTGGCAGGAAAGGAGTAGGCCACCTGCAAAGCTGAAAAGTGACTATGCTGATGAAAACAAGAGAATGTTTTCCCTCTGGTTTCAGAATCAATCAGAAGAAACACACAACAGTCATATTATACTCAAAATATCTCTATGACTGACAGCTGGATTGGGGAGAGCAGCAAATGGTGCTTTCTGTTCCTTCTCCCCAGTGTGCTGACGTTCTATGTAATAGGTGCATGGCAAAGTGTGGGAAGATACTGAGAGTATTAGGAAATGGGAGAAAGCTGGAGAGGTAGCTTGGGTCCATGTTTGAACAGCTTCTGATGCCAAGAGATAGGGTATGTGCATGTAGCAGACGAGCACACATATACAGTAAAAGAACATTTAGGTGTGTTTACAGATTTCCTTAACACAGGGGCTAATATGATGAGGGTCAGGAATATCCCTTCAGTTAGAATAACGGTCTCCAGTTTTATCCAGGTTGCTGTGAATGCCATTATTTCATTACTTTTTTACGGCTGGGTAGTAGTCCATGGTCTATATACACCACATTTTCTTTACTCGTTGATTGATGGGCATTTGGGCTGGTTCCATATTTTTGCAATTGCAAATTGTGCTGCCATAAACTCAGGAATGGAAAACCAAACATTGTATGTTCTCATTCATATGTGGGAGCTAAGGTATGAGGATGCAAAGGCATAAGAATGATACATTGGACTTTGGGAACTCAAGGGAAAGGGTAGGGGGTGGCAAGGGATAAAAGACTACACAATGGGTCCAGGGTACACTGATCGGGTGAGGGGTGCACAAAAATCTCAGAAATGACTACTAAAGAACTTTTTTATGTAACCAAACAACCTATTGAAATAAAAAAATCAAAAATTAAAAAATTGTTCTACCATAAAGACACATGCAGGTATATGTTCATTGTAGCACTAGTCGTGATAGCAAAGGCATGGAATCAACCTGAATGCCCATCAACAGCAGACTGGATAAAGAAATGTGGTACATATGCACCATGGAATACTATGCAGCCAAAACAAAAGAATGAGATCATGTCCTTTGCTGTCAGATGGATAGAGCTGGAGGTCATTCTTGTAAGCCAACTAAGGCGGGAACAGAAAACCAAATGTCACATATTCTTCCTTATAAGTGGGAGCTAAACATTGAGTACATATGGACCCAAAGATTGAGAGTGGAGGGTTGGAGGAGGAAGAGGATTGAAAAACTACATATCAGATATTATGCTTATTACCTGGGTGATGAAACAGTCTGTATACCAAACCCCTGCGAGACGCAATTTAACTGTATAACAAAACTTTACATGTACCCCTGAACCTAAAATAAAAGTTTTAAAAAATTTAAAAAATTTAAAAACAAAAGAATATCCTTTCAGGCTGGGTGCATTGGTTCACACCTGTAATCCCCACACTTTGGGAGCCTGATGGGGGTGGATCACTTGAACCGAGGAGTTTGAGACTGGCCTGGGCAACATGGCGAAACCACATCTCAACAAAAAGTACAAGAATTAGCCAGGTGTAGTGGTGCATGCCTCCAGTCCCAGCTACTTGGGAGGCTGAGGTAGGAGGCTAACCTGAGCCAGAGAGGTGGAGGCAGCAGTGAGCCAAGATCACGCCACTGCATTCCAGACTGGGCAACAGTGTGAGACCCTATCTCAAAAATAATAATAAAATAAAAAGTAAAACTTCTTTCATCAGTGTTTAAGGAAATGAACAGAATGTAAATATTGGATTGGTGATGGCAAATAAATTTGATTTAGCATGCCAATTTTAATGAGTGAACAGTGGTAATGAAAAGAACTAGAAAAAAATCCCCTGATTGATTAGTTATGTCTAGCCTAGATTCAAGAAGGAAGGTGTTAAGTTGTATGCTATGTACTTCCATTCCTGTAATAGACTGTATGCCTTTGCATACACTGTGGCAGTGCTCATCTTCATTGCCTCTCTTCATATTATTGCATGTGACTAATAATGAGCCCTTTGATTACTAACATTAAAGTTCATTAATTTCATTTTCAGGCCTCAGTATGGTGGCTTATTCTGTCCAGGTTCTAGCCGTATTTATCAGCTGTGCAATATTAACCCTTGCAATGAAAATAGCTTGGATTTTCGGGCTCAACAGTGTGCAGAATATAACAGCAAACCTTTCCGTGGATGGTTCTACCAGTGGAAACCCTATACAAAAGTGGAAGGTAATTTGGTCTCTATGACATTCAAATAAGTCTCTATGTGGATAATAATGTGATTGACCAATACAGAAGAAATTGCTGCTTGTATCAAAGAGTTTGAATGTTTACCTTTCACTCCCCAGACCCATCCTGGCTCAGTGTTTCATTCCATGGGTTTTGTTTATTTTTCCACTGTTGTTTTTTTTTTTTTCCCCCTATAAGATACCTCTTGTCTCCCACATCTGTAAACCCAAGGTTTCATATGTTTGGAATGAACTCATGTTTCTCAACTTACCTTTGACATTTTGGCAATTAAGTCTCCCAGGGATCTTAATTGAAATTGGTATGAACTGTCCAGACCAAAAACTCATGAAACCATATATACCCCATAGAGGCACCGTACACAGTAACTGACATGTCAGTTGATTACAAGCATGGGAAGGCCTGTGTGTAGAGTGTGTGCATGCACGCAGACACACACACAGAATCATAAATAAAAATTATACTAGGTTCTTGGTACTTACTATACTTAAAGTTATGGCTTATATTTTACTTTTTAAATTAATGTGTCTTTATTTTGACTGAATAATAAAACATTAGTTACAGCAGAAGAGTTTAATGTAGTTGCTCTTACCTATGTAGAATAAGCTGTCATCATCCTAGTTGTTTCATTACTTCCATCCATTAGATTTATCAAAACTGTTACGCTGTCTTGAAACAGGGTTATATGTGAATCCCAACTGCCCATGTGTAGAATGGAAAGAGACTAAGTTTAATGACAATCCATGGGCTGTTCTGTGCAAAAGCGCAACATGAACCTATATTAATCAGTGATCATAAAGGAAGCTAATATAATTACAGGCATCACTATAACAAGTAGAGCCTCCAAATCGAAAGAGAGGATTGTGCAGCTTTGCTCAGTATCAGCCTAGCCATTTCAGGAGCACTGATGTGGTTTTGGGTCATGACTGTTTGCCAGGAAGTATAGATAGAGACAGACATGACAATTCCAAAGCTGTGTCTTAGGAGGAAGTAATGAGGTACCTATAGAGGTTTACTGTACATGAGAAACGACTTACATTCAAAACTTCAAAGAGCTATTGAATAGGAAGGATGTTCAATTTATTTCAAATTGCTTTAGATAACAGAATTAATTCAAGGGCTGAGAACATTCTAGCCATATTGTCTCCTCAGAGAGACCTTCCTTAACAGCCTGTCAACATATTCTTCCTTCATATTGTTTTCTGAACCCTTTACCCCGTTTTATTCTTCATAGCTCTTCTCAGTGCATGGATGTATTTTTATGTGGTCATTTATCTGTTATCTTCCTCCCCACAAGAATTTAGGTTCCACAAGGACTAAGCCTTTGTCTATCTTGAGCTTGCTTATATCTCCAGCATCCAAGAACAGCACTTGGTATATATTTATGTAATGGTTATAACTTTTGAAATGAATGAATAAGTAAATAAATATTAACTGTCCAAAATGAAAATATACTCCCTCTGTAAGTAACAAGGTCCCCATCACTAGAGGCATTCTACCAGGAGCTGAGTGATTTCGTAGGAAGCATGCTGCACAGCAGGTCCCAGCGGATGCTGCAGTTGCTTCCTATTCCAGACTTGGAAGATTTCCTTTCTGTTGGTTGTATACTCTTGAGGTCCCATGCTTCCTACCTGTGGTTCTTTCTCCATGACTCTGTTGTCCCTCCTTTTACTTCCTCTTCTGTTCTTTGCTTTTGGTTTGGCTTCGTGGATATTCCTTGGCCTTTATCACATTACATCTTTCATTCAAACATAGTGTTTATGAAATCAGTCCTGTTATCGCCCTTAAAGAAATTCTGTGTTGAAGATATAAGGAGAAAGTTAAACAAATAAATTTTGCAATTTAGAAAATGCTTGCTGGTGTCAAAGTTCTTTCACTAATTTTATTGCAGTTTCCACTGAGTAGGGAGCATGCAATTTCATTCATGCATGCAACAGATGTTTACTGAACTCTTTTTGTGTAGGAGACACTTTGCTAGATGCAGAGCAGAATGCACTGAATCAAACATAGACTCCCTGCCTTAGGATCTTACCTCTCAGTGGAGGGAGACAGAAACGTTAAGGCTTTCTAGTCTCTCCTTGTCTCCTTTTGATACTTATATCAGAGGAGACTGACCATGACTTGAATGTCTTGTGACATTCCTGCAATTTAGAAGAACAAGGGAAGACTTTTTCATAAATGTGGACAATCTCTGTGCTACAGGAGTGAGGTTTTTTCCCGTCTTTCCTCTGTGTTTTTAATGGACTCATAAACTCACCCAGGAATCTGTGCTTTTAAAAAAAAAAAAAAAGGAACTTTCTAAAACTTGTTAATTTCTGGAAATGATAGAGAAAAGAAAGGGCATATATGTCATCCAACTCCCTAATCTCATGTGCAAAAATTACGCATTAAATAAAGCTGCTATTAAAAAAAATTATAGATGGGAGAGAACCTTTTAACCCACCCACGCATGTGCATATTTGGACTGTGATAATTTAACTCCTTTCACGTTTGAGTTTTTAGTTTGTCTTTTATTGAGAGGTTTTATGAAGCACAACTATTTGCAAACTGTTTACACGTTTGTAAAACTGTTGTTAGGGATATCGCTCAATATCACCCACAGAAGGTCTCCTGTGAGAAACGTTATCTGGAATTCCTGGCCAAGAAGAGCTCTTTCTATTTGAGAAATTGGCATAGGAACTCCTTTCTGATAACAAGAGCTCTATAAATATAATTTTTTTTTAATTTTTGCCTTTGATATCAGAAACATCTCAGGGACTTAAGGGCCAAGAGAAGTTACCTTTTTGTAGCCTTCAGGACGAGTTTATTTGCTTTCTCTTCATTTTTATGACATGGTTTTTTTTCTCTATATGTTTTACAAACATGACTAACCGTATGCCTTTTCTCCCTGGTGCCTGAAACCTTTTCTCTTAACAGACTGAGTAAATATCTAAAGTAATCCATGCTCTAAATCAGGGTCATCAAACTATGGGCTGCTGGCCAAATCTGGTGTGTATTTGTTTCATCAGATTTTATTAGAACACAGCCACACTACTTCATTTCTGTATTGTCAGTGGCTGACCATCAGGCCTTTGAAACCTGAAAGGTTTACTATCCAGGGAGGCTGGATAGTAACCCATCGATCATGTGTATGGTGACTATCCCTAAGGATGAGAAAAATAAAATTGTTACGTATTACTCTTAAATTAGTTTTATATGGATTGTTACATGGGACTCATGCTTCGAAAGCCACATCATATGGGCTTATATGTGCAAACACACACATTTTCCATATTCATCATGATAGCTTTCTAAGTAAATTTAATTCATTCTTTTGACAATCCTATCATTTTTCCTTAGTTTCCTCTTGACCATTTCCTATCTTGATCTCTTTGTTTCTAGAGGAAGATCGATGCAAACTGTACTGCAAGGCTGAGAACTTTGAATTTTTTTTTGCAATGTCCGGCAAAGTGAAAGATGGAACTCCCTGCTCCCCAAACAAAAATGATGTTTGTATTGACGGGGTTTGTGAAGTAAGAGAACGTTTCTGCTTTGGAGTGTATGAGCATGCTTGTGTTTTATCATATCGTGTGTACCGTGAACAGTGGTGTGAGAGATTGTGTGTCTGGAGAAGAGCAGGTGGCATGGAGCGAAAGAGCAAAGTGTTTCACTGGATTCGAGCACCATATCTTTTTTTTTTTTTTTTTTTTTTTTGAGATGAAATTTCACTCTGTCACCCAGGCTGGAGTGCAATGGTGCGATCTTAGCTCACTGTAACCTCTGCCTCCTGGGTTCAAGTGATTCTCCTGCCTCAGCCTCCTGAGTAGCTGGGATTACAGGTGCATGCCACCACACCTGGCTAATTTTGTATTTTTAGTAGAGACGGGATTTCGCCATGTTGGCCCGACTGGTCTTGAACTCCTGACTTCAGGTGATCTGCCCGCTTCAGCCTCCCAAAGTGCTGGGATTATAGGCGTGAGCCACCACGCCTGGCCGAGCACCATATCTACGTTCCTCATTTACTTGTTGCATGAGCCTTGTCCAATTATTTTAGTTTATTTTTTACTCTACTTGCACATATATAGAATGGAGATGATGCTATATCCTGCTTTGCACAGGAGTTGTAAAAATGAAATAAGAATGTAAATAATAAACTTTTATTGCATGTGTACTAAGTACCTTTACTATATGATTAGAATCTCACAAATGTATTTTGAAATACTATTTTTCCCCAGTTATTTTTCCTTTCACTTTGAGTGCTCATTTTCTCTTCCATTTTAATTTTAGTTTGAGCCCTTTGATCTTTTAAGGGTGTATGTTTGTACACATGCATGCATGTGTATTGTCCAGCATTTTCATATTTGAGTTACACAGCTGGCCTGAATAATCTCAGCTGGTATTAGTAGCAATAGTGACTTTTTATTCCAGTTTCATTGATGAAGAGTCTAAGCCTTAGATGAGTTATACAACTTGCTCAGTCATCTAATAATGTCAGGGGAGGGATTTGAACCCCAAGTGAGTCCAACTTGAGGCTGTGATTTTTAACCATAAGCTGTACTGCTTCCCTAATGTTCTGTAAATACAGAGAACCATATACCTCTTAATTATTCCCAGCCTCTGGCTTCTCTGATCTTTTATTTTCTCACGTTTTTTGTTTTTGTCACAGCTAGTGGGATGTGATCATGAACTAGGCTCTAAAGCAGTTTCAGATGCTTGTGGCGTTTGCAAAGGTGATAATTCAACTTGCAAGTTTTATAAAGGCCTGTACCTCAACCAGCATAAAGCAAATGGTGAGAGATGCTGCTGTTTGTTATTGTTAATGAGATACAACTTTTGCTACCAAACAAGTTTGAGTCACGCCAAATGTGGTTGAGCCTTTTACTAGTTCACTGGACACACTAGTGATGGTGGCATTTTTCACTTGTGCAAGAGTAAGGGAGATAGTTGTGAGGAATTTCGTCGATACATTACCTCGTAGAAACATGCCAAATAAATGCCTTTCTGCTTTGCATTTTTAGTATGCCGACCAGGCCCCATGTATGTCCAAGTGCATTTGTTAAGCAAAGAAACATTGTGAAACTTATGTGATCTCTACTCACAGTGCTAAATGAATATTTGAAGCAGTTATCTAAATATGTTGAGTGAAATTAAACTTTTGATCCCTGTTTTCTGAATTTCATCACTGAAGATACATGGTTCTAAGCTTCTTCCAGACAGATTTTTTTTTTTTGAGACAGAGTCTTGCTCTGTCACCCAGGCTGGAGTGCAGTAGTGTGATCTCAGCTCACTGCAACCTCCACATCCCAGGTTCAAGCAATTCTCCTGCCTCACCCTCTTGAGTAGCTGGGATTACAGGCACCTGCCACCATGTCCAGCTAATTTTTGTATTTTTAGTAAAGGTAGGGTTTCACCACACTGGCCAGGCTGGTCTCAAACTCCTGACCTTGGGTGATCCGCCCACTTTGGTCTTAGATTTTTGAAAAGTCTTCTTGAATTTTGTGGCCTTTTGTGGTCTGGGAAGGAGAAGAGTGTATTTGTTCTCCACAGAAAACATAGTTGGAAGGCTTTGGGAAGCCACATACATTTTCTCTAGTGTTCTTACTATTTGGACAATGAAATCATTGATCATGTTTACTTCATAGAGTAAGAATGAATTTAGATAATGATTTAAAAACCTCACTCTATAAAACTGAACACTACATGTCGGGCCATTTCTAGTCCCTTTTCTCCAATGCATGGGGTGGAATTCAGACATGTTCTCTTCTTTCCATTTAGAATATTATCCGGTGGTCCTCATTCCAGCTGGCGCCCGAAGCATCGAAATCCAGGAGCTGCAGGTTTCCTCCAGTTACCTCGCAGTTCGAAGCCTCAGTCAAAAGTATTACCTCACCGGGGGCTGGAGCATCGACTGGCCTGGGGAGTTCCCCTTCGCTGGGACCACGTTTGAATACCAGCGCTCTTTCAACCGCCCGGAACGTCTGTACGCGCCAGGGCCCACAAATGAGACGCTGGTCTTTGAAGTAAGCCCCTTCTGTGTATTCAGTTCTCAGTGCTTCTTGCTACATTTATATCGTTGACTGCAATTTGAGCCAGAACTCCAGTCCTTCTAGTTCAAAGGTGTTTCCTGGCCGGGCATGGTGGCTCATGCCTGTAATCCCAGCACTTTGGGAGGCTGAGGTGGGCGGATCAGCTGAGGGCAGGAGTTGGAGACCACCCTAGCCAACGTGGTGAAAACCCATCTCTATTAAAAATACAAAAATTAGCCAGGTGTGGTGGCACGCGCCTGTAATCCCAGCTATTAGTGGGGGCTGAGGCGGGAGAATTGCTTGAACCTAGGAGGCGGAAGTTGCAGTGAGCCAAGATGTGCCACTGCACTCCAGCCTGGGCAACAGAGCAAGACTGTTTCAAAACAACAACAACAACAAAAGGTGTTTCCTAATAGGCTAAATTTCAAAGTGTAAAGGGGAGAAGACAGTGATTCCATTTGGGGGAAGAGGACAGGAACCCAAATGGCCTCCAAGAGAATGGGTTGATTTTCATATTTAGAGGTCAACCTTTCACCAATATGCTTGGGTTTCAAGAACGCCAAAGAATGTAGCAAGAATACTTTTTATATTATGCTGGTTTGTCTATGTCTGCCATTTGGATGCTCCATTGTAGCTATTCATAACATAGGTCAACTGGCCTAGGAGAAGGGGTTAATAGTAGAGAAAATGCTTGCCTGGGTGTCAGCAGAGTTTCATCATACTAAACTACCATGATTTTGTAGTTTGTAGCTTCCCCACAGGTAAGAAAAGGGAAAAAAGGTAAAAAAAATGATAATTAAAAGAACCAACATATCTGGAAATGACTCTGCAAGGCTGTTATCATAGAAACATTTTCTTTAGTCCTCATGATGTCTCTGAGTGCTTTTTCTCCATTTGTAAAATGGGGCTGACTGTTGGCTCTTACAAGCAAGCGATTTGCTTCAGTTTGTATAGAAATGATACTGAGCACTTGCATATCCAGCTACTCTTAGGAGTCATGTTAAGTTTCAGTTTGTTACCTGTGAAACTAAGGTAGAAAATGGACTTCACTAACCAGAAAAATAAGGAATCAAGTGTGAAAAAAAAAGATTAAAAGACTTGCCTATCTCATACAGCTAGGGAAAAAAACAGAGCTGAACTGGAGTCAGAGTCTTTTCCACCCAGGAGTATGAGATCTATGTAACACTCAGATTACTGTTCTCTTCTCAAATAAACACAGGATCAGTGTAACTGTTATTATTATTATCGTTGTTATCATGACTGTAATAGAGTAGGTTCAGGCATTCTGTGATCAGTTTCATGCATTCATTTCCTGAATGCCCACAACCACCTTAGGAAGGTAGGTATTGTTACTTAATCCCCATTGTACAGATGAGAAAACCGAGCCTTAAACAGACTGTGTTACATGTAAGTGGTAGGACTGAGGTTTGAACGTAAGTCTTCCTGGCTCACTTGGCCACACCATTATCTTAATATAGCACCAATACTGGCAAGGCTCAGCTACTTGTCATTATATGGTTTTTCTCATTGTGAAATGGTTGCCTCTGTGGGAGGTACAAAGCCTACTAGAGGTGGGAAATAGATAGTTTGCTCTTTGGAGACATCTGTCATCCAGATTTGAATGCATAAAACACTGAGAACATACCCATGTATTTTGACCAATACTGACATAGATCTGTGGTAACTAGAGGGTTGATCTGAAAACTGACTATTAGGAAGATTGTGTTCATAAACTTGTCCGATGATTTTTACTTAAAATAATTTATTTTCCTCTATCTTATATATGTTAATTCACATAAGACTATTGGCACTTACTGTGTTCTTGGTGCTGAGGAAAGCGACATAGTGCTTGTTTTCTGGGCTGACAGCATGCTGTGTCCTCAATCATCTCAGGGTATTTTGGTCAGATTAGTGATGAATAAGGCAATTTTTCAGAGGTAGCTACTTCTTCTGTCTAAACTGAAGCACTCAATTTATCATCTTTCTCAGTTCCATGCACAGCGGGCCTGGATAATTCTTTGAACAAATACCGTGCTACCATGATATTGGTAATGACCTTCTGCAGCTCACAGTGGTTCATGGGGAAAGCAATAGAAATGAATTTCTCTTACCCAGTGTGTGGGAGTTTGTGTTCTGTGTGTTGAGTTATGGTGGGTGAAATTAGATGACATCTTGAAATTTCCCTCATGGATTCTTAGATTTGCTAGAACTTCAGAAAGCAGAATAGTGAAAATGTCCACACATTAGGAAATCACCCGAGGCAGGTGGATCACTTGAGGCCAGGAGTTCGAGACCAGCTGGGCCAACGTGGCGGAACCCCATCTCTACTAAAAATACAAAAATTAGCTGGGTGTGGTGGCGCATGCCTGTAATCCCAGCTAGTCGGGAGGCTGAGGCAGGAGAATCACTTGAACCTGGGAGGCACAGGTTGCAGTGAGCCGAGATTGCATCACTGCACTCTAGCCTGGGCAAAAGAGTGAGTGAGACTCCATCTCAAACAAAAGAAATCACTGCGTTCCTCTGTGTCACATGCACTGAGCTGCTCTTGAGTTTCACATTGACAGTAAACTGGGTATAGAGTAGTGGATAAACAGAAAAGAAAATCCTCCTGCTATAATGAAACTTAGAGTGTTGGAGGGTACAGTACAGCACTACACAAATGAATATATAAATGAAGGCAGATGTACAGATTGTGGTAGGTTCTTTGAGAGAAAATAAAGTATGAGATAAAAAAACAGACTTTTTGAATTAGAGAGTTGGTGAGGAATTATCTGAGAATTACCATGTGAGGTGAAACTTGAAGGATGAGAAGACCCAACCAGGTAAAGAGCAGAGGAAATTCACGCGGAGGAAGCAACAATTTAAAACTCCATGTGGGCTGGGTATGGTGGCTCACCCCTGTAATCCCAGCACTTTGGGATGCTGAGGTAGGTGGATTGCTTGAGACCAGGAGTATGAGACCAGACTGGCCTACATGGTGAAGTCCTGTTTCTACTAAAACAAAAATTAGCCAGGCGTGGTGGTGCATGCCTGTAGTCCCAGCTACTTGGGAGGATGAGGCAGGAGAATCATTTGAGCTTGGGAGGCAGAGGCTGCAATAAGCCGAGATCGCACCACTGCACTCCAGCCTGGGTGGCAGAGTGAGACTCTCTCCAAATAAATAAATAAAACCTGATGTGGAGAATCAACTTAATATTTTATAAGAACTAAAAAATAGGAGAATCTAGCTATAGTGTAGTCAGAAAAGAAAGTATTGAGGTGTGAGATGGGTATAGTCAGGGGGTGGCCCACACATAATACAAACCATGGTAAGGAGTTTGGATTTCATCCCATTAACAACATCAGGATGTCAAGGAAGAGGGTGGTTTACACCATCCTGGCCAATATGGTGAAACCTCATCTCTACTGAAAAATACAAAAATTAGCTGGGTATGGTGGCGCATGCCTATAGTCCCAGCTACTCAACAGGCTGAGGCAGAAGAAGCACTTGAACCCAGGAGGCAGAGGTTGCAGTGAGCCGAGATTGCACTACTGCACTCCAGCCTGGCATCACAGCGAGACTCTGTCTCAAAAAAAAAAAAAATTCAACCAGGCTGCTATGTAAATAAGTGATTGGAGAGGCAAGAAGTAAACTGGGGAAATAGGAAAATGGTTCTTGAATTCCAGGTAAGGAGTAATAGACGCTGAAACAGATGGTGACTGTGAAGGTGGCAGGAAGTGGATCTGTTTGCAGTGTATTATGGTAGAGAACTGGAAGCTAGAAAAGTTACTAGACATGTATAAGAAATGAACTCTGAGGGAGAAAGATGTGAGAGAGTCTCAGGTTTCTTCCCTGAGCATCTGGAGGATGGTTTTACCACTATCATTGTCTTGAGGATGACTGGAAACAGGTTTAGGGATGGGGAAAAATTCCATTTTAGCCACCATATATTTGCAATGTACCTTAGATATTCAAGAGTAGCTGTCAAGTAGGCGGTTGAGTGTGTGTTTAAAATGCATGAAAAAAGCCTTGGAATGAATATGCAAATCAGTTCCTAAAAATACCTAAAGTGTAGTATAGTAGTATATCATTTGTTAACTGAGCAGGGCACTTGGATCCAAGTTTTCTTTGATAAGCTGCCTCTTGGGAGTAGCCAAATAATTGCAATATCCAGAATGTGCCTTGTGAAGAAATGTTGAGCCTTGGTTGACACCACCAATAAAGAGGAGCATGCACCTGTCACGGAGAGGCGTGCTTGTGCTGGAAACAGGATCTTCACAGATATCATGGAATTTGTATATAGATGCAAATCTCTCATCACGCTGGCATCTTGTCATGTATTTTTGCCCTGCACCTGCACACCCACAGGCGTGAGTGGAGATGCCCTCATTCATGGCAACAGGGATGGCATCCTAGCTGTTCTTCCTGCTGTTGCTCCAATCGTATATGTTTCTATCCAGATTTTAAGGTATTTAAAATCCGTCTGAATCTCATACGCAAGAGCTATGCAAATTCAGTTTACAATAGGCTTTGCTACTTTATTCCCTTGATGACATTTGAGACCCTCTGTGGAGGCAATCAGAGAAACCCACTAAGTGCCAGTTTCATAGTTTTAAGACCATGCAATCTATTATTCAGATTTCAAAAGCATCGCATTTTCCATAATGTCAAAGGACTATTAGTAGATGATACAGAAATTTTTTTTTAGGCCATGATGGTAGAAAATGAAGGATTAGTCTCCAAGAGTAGTGATTAAGTAGCACTAGCCTTAAATATTTACTAAGGAAGAACAGTAGCAGACAGTTAAAAATAAAACACATAACCTTAAATTCCAAGATGTTCTACACACAGAATGGCTGAGAGTACAGACTCTTAACTAGCTACATAACTTAGGCAAGTTTCTTAATCTCTGTGTCACTTAATGTCTATATTTGTAAAATGGGCAAACAATACCAGCTAATTATTAGGGCCATGATGAGGATAACTGAAGATAAGTTCAGTGCCTACAAAATACTTAGCCCATAATGTTAATTACTATTGCCATTATTTTGCCTTCTGAGCATATCACATATATTTTATATATATATATATATATATATATATATATATGAAACCTGAGACCATATTTAGCAAACTGGTGATCACAAGTCAAGTTCAGCCTTAGGCCCGCACTATCTATCAATCGTATGTATATATGTACATATATATATATACACACACACACACATACACACACATTTTTTTTTTTTTGAGACAGAGTTTTGCTCTTGTTGCCCAGGCTGGAGTGCAATGGCACAATCTTGGCTCACTGCAACCTCCGCCTACTGGGTCCAAGCGATTCTTCTGCCTCAGCCTCCCAAGTAGCTGGGATTACAGGCGTGCACTACCATGCCCAGCTAATTTTGTATATGTTTTTTAGTAGAGATGGGGTTTCACCATGTTGGTCACGCTGGTCTGGAACTCCTGACCTCAAGTAATCCACCCGCCTCGGCCTCCCAAAGTGCTGGGATTACTGGTGTGCACCACGCCCAGCCATGTATAATATTAAAATGGAGAAAATAGATTAAAGCTTTAATATCAGGTGACTTATACATATGAATTTTTGAAACTCTTAAGAAAACCTCTAGTCCCAGGAGATACTTGAGTTTGCAGCCTTGATCGTTGAGTTAACTCCCATCATCTTCCTAACTGGAGATACCCAGTCCCATCAGTCCATCTGTTTGGTGGACGTCCCTCAAAGATCTCATACCACCTACTCAAGAGAAGCTGTTATTAGGAAATGTTCTTCCAGCCCCCTCAGCATTTTTATTTGAGAGGAAGATACTAGCATTTCCCAATCAAAATAGACTATGGCCAGGATAGTTTGGAGCTCAACAGTGAATCCAGCCCCTGATATTATACTTTAATTAAACCTAAGGCATAGAAATTGAACTCTCTTATTAAAGATTTCTGGATTTTTTAAGTCCTTTTTTAGATACATTGTGTTACCTGTTTCTTTTCTACTAAGCATCTGAGCAGCAGACTTCTTTTTCTTTTGAGGGGCTTTTTCGGCTTGAAGGTATCAGTTTTAGAGAGCAGGACTTCATTAATTTTTGCCAAGAGGCCTTCGATCCACCTCAAAGCAAATGTACACAAACCAAGTTCTGTAGCTGAAAGTGAACCTGAATAGGGAAACAGGGGTACATGCATCTGACAGTCTCAGCCGTGTGCAGTCAGAGCAAAGTGCAAATCACTCCTGATGAGAAATACGTTTTTTACCGCTTCATGACAAGCAACCATTTTTTCTGTTGTTCGTCTCTCCAGTTTTGGTCATAAACACAGAACCATTCCAGCAGTCTTCCACAATTCTGTTTGTAATTTAAGTTTTTTTTTTTTTAAACCTTGAGTCATTTATTTATTTATTTATTTATTTTATTTTTATTATACTTTAAGTTCTAGGGCACATGTGCACAATGTACAGGTTTGTTACATATGTATACATGTGCCATGTTGGTGTGCTGTACCCATTAACTCGTCATTTACGTTAGGTATATCTCCTAATGCTATCCTTCCCCCCTGCCCCCACCCGACGACAGGCCCCGGTGTGTGTTCTTCCCCTTCCTGTGTCCAAGTATTCTCATTGTTCAATTCCCACCTATGAGTGAGAACATGTGGTGTTTGATTTTTTGTCCTTGTGATAGTTTGCTGAGAATGATGGTTTCCAGCTCCATCCATGTTCCTGCAAAGGACATGAACTCAACATTTTTTATGGCTGCATAGTATTCCATGGTGCATATGTGCCACATTTTCTTAATCCAGTCCATCATTCTTGGACATTTGGGTTGGTTCCGAGTCTTTGCTATTGTGAATAGTGCCGCAATAAATATACGTGTGTGTGTGTCTTTATAGCAGCATGATTTATAATCCTTTGGGTATATACCCAGTAATGGGATTGCGGGGTCAAATGGTATTTCTAGTTCAAGATCCCTGAGGAATCGCCACACTGTCTTCCACAATGGTTGAACTAGTTTACAGTCCCACCAACGGTGTAAAAGTGTTCCTATTTCTCCACATCCTCTCCAGCACCTGTTGTTTCCTGACTTTTTAATGATCGCCATTCTAACTGGTATGAGATGGTATCTTATTGTGGTTTTGATTTGCATGTCTCTGATGGCCAGTGATGATGAGCATTTTTTCATATTTGGCTGCATATTCGTACTTTATTTAATCCATGCATAGCTCTGTATGTCATTCATCAACATGATTTAGCCCTGACAAAAAGTAAACTTTAAGATTTTTCACCAGGTGTAAGATTTTTCCTGATAGTTAGAAGTTTTTTTTGAGACGGCCGAGTGCGGTGGCTCACGCCTGCAATCCCAGCACTTTGGGAGGCCAAGGCGGGTAGATCACCTGAGGTCAGGAGTTCGAGACCAGCCCAGCCAACATGGTGAACCCTTGTCTCTATTAAAAATACAAAAATTAGCTGGGCATGGTGGCGGGCGCCTATAATCCTAGGTACTGGGGAGGCTGAGGCAGGGAGAATTTCTTGAACCCAGGAGGCAGAGGTTGCGGTGAGCCAAGACCGTGCCATTGCACTCCAGCCTGGGCGACGAGAACAAAACTCCGTCTCAAAAAAAACAAAAAAAAAAAGAAAAGTTTTTTTTGAGGAATGGAAGATTGGCCTCCACTGGTGATAGAGTTCTCTCGAATTGATCCGGTTCATCAATCTATCTCTTTGTAAATAATACGGACAGCACCTTGAGTGACAACAACAACAAAAATAAGATGTAAGGACAAATGTTGAGTAGATCTAAATAAAATCATAAAAACGAAGTCTTCCCCAGGTTCAATTGGATATGTATAATATGTTTTTAAAAATAATTATTTACTACTACATAAAAGAATAAGAACTACAGCAATATCTCCAGTAATACAAAATTGTCGTTTCACCACAGTGGAATAAGGTCATGTTTGCCTGGCTATTGTTTTCCAAAATCTTTCTTTATGCACTCATTCTACCAATAGATTCAAGAAAAACTTAATGTCCAAGGAATTTGACCTATCTGAAAGCAATCTAAATGGAAACTTGTATGATTAATTGGACGTGCCTTGCTTGTATTTTTAAAGGAGTTATGGTTTCATTCAAAAGTTGCAAATATATTCAAAGCAAAAAAAAAAGAAAACTCCAGTAATCTAGTATTTTGTCTATGATATCTTTTCAAATAATTTAGGTTAATGCCTTTGGTATTTAAATTACACTTTATTGTTCTCTAGAGAACATCATCAAATTGCTGGTCAGTTTTTAGCACATGCTTGTATCTCTCTAAAATGGATGGAACACAGATATTCTAAAAACATAAAATTATAATAAGCAATAAATTATATTTTCCCAAAAGTGGACTGTATATTGATATCCAAGTGATCCATGGCTGTATTCTTTAAAGGAAGTTGAATAAAGTTCATAGGCCTTTCCATACAACAGCTATGAAGAGCCAAAATGAATACTTTTGGAGCCAAACATATATTTACTCCAATACAAAAATATTAAATCTATTTTATAATCTTGTGAAATGCTAAAATCACTGTGGGAACCTACTAAAATGAAAAATGCTGTTCCATCCACAGAAAGAATAAATCTATGAATGAAAGCACCATCTCTTTTGGCCACCTAAAATTATTGTATATTCACTAAGTCCTTATGATGATGTAAAATTCAGCAGAAGTGTATGTTTTCCACAACACGTGAGGATGCCACTGTGAGAGTAATGTTCCTCTTTTTTTTCCCTTTCATATGTATGACATCATATTCTTCCCATATCTTAGCTAAATTTCATTTTCATCTGCCTTCATGTGTATCAATGTAGGTAATTACCATCAAAACAATTTTCTTCTGTTCACTTCCTCTCATTGTCTGGTTTAAAAAACATTCAGTGTCCAGCCCTGTGTTAGATATTGGAGATGCACAATCAGGCCAGGTGCAAAAATTCCAGCACTTTGGGAGGCTGAGGCAGGTGGATTGCTTGAGCATGGGTGTTTGAGACCAGCCTGGGAAACATGAAAAAACCCCCGTCTCCATGAGAATACAAAAATTAGCTGGGAGTTGTGGTGCATGCTGCTAGTCCCAGCTATTCCAGAGGCTGAGGAGGGAGGATCCCTTGAACCCAGGAGGCTGAGACTGCAGTAAGCTGTGATTGTGCCACTGTACTCCAGCCTGGGCAACAGAGACCCTGTCTCCAAAAAAAAAAGAAAAAAAGGTTAAGACATAAATCTTTTCACCAAAACTTTACAGCCTTAAGTCTTTAAATAATGTAAAAAACAAGCATTGGTACGTGGATTCCATTCTTTTGGGAAGCAACATGGGTTAGACAAGAAGCATCTGCATAAATAGCTGGGATATAGGTTGCTCTGCTACAAACTATGTGACTTTGGAAAAATCACTGAAATGATCAGGGTCCCAGTTTCCTCATTTCAGAAATGATTTCCCCAGACTGAACTAATGTCTTCTACTGTGTCTATACTACTGTCCTGAAGTACTTTTAGAGCACCCCCAAACCCTATGTTATCAGACAATGACTCATTTATACTTGTAGCTTCCACAATTGGCACAGTGTCTGGAACATCGTGGGATGTTTAAGAAAATGTATGGAGTGAACAACATCCAATGATAAAATTCATTCGTTGCAATCTTCTTTCAAATTGAAAAATTTTACATGGAAGCAAAACATAAAAGGAGAGCTTCTTTCACTGAAGCCAGGAGTGAAGGGACCAGAACCCAGCCTGTCCTTGCCCCATTTCAGCACTGAAATCCTCTGAAGATCCTGAGGCTTCTGTAACACACATTTTAAAAACCACTGTATCTGATCATCTCTTGAGACTGGCCTTGACAACCACATGGTTTAAAGTTAAGTACAGCAAATAGCATTTAAAGTAATGAAATTTGATCTCCTAAAATGCATTTGAGGAATCAATGTGCTTCCTAAAACACTTGCTTTCCTGAAGTGAATAACTTACACCTAGGAAGTCACTGACCAGTTAGTTCACAGTGGACTTACCTCAATCTAGATGAATAGCAATTTGCCCTTTCAAGGTGTTGAGTTTGCCAATCATTCCACTTATTTCTTGGTGTTTTGTAGTACAAGGCAGGATAATGCGATCCTGGAAATAATTGACTGCTGTCAGTTAACCCCAAGAAATAAGTGCATGGTTTGATGCCAAATAAAAGTGTCTTCTGCTTCTGGTTATTTTTATATGTCAAAACTTTATAGGATGTCTTCCTGGGAAGCTAAAAATTTAAGCTAAATAGAAAACAGACCTTCACTTTTATCACTAAGTCACATGCCAGTCCAATTTTAAAATGCAGTCTGTATTACAGACATCCATTCTCCTTGGGTCCTTGGTTCTAGATGGTTTCAACATGTGCAACAGGTGGATGACAATTTATACAGTGCTGGCCCCATTGATTTCCTTGGTGTCAAAGGGATATACCTCAGGGTAATCAAGGATTTGTATGATTGTCTTAGGTCTTAAATTTCTTAGGCATTATTTAAATCAATCAAGTTTTTGATCTTGAAATACGTACACATATATGCATATAAGTGACTTGGAGAAAAGGAGATAATTTTCTTGACCAAGTGTTATATTTCTGTATTTCCCAGAAAAAAAAAAACTAGCCAGCTACATGCGCACGTTAGCATAAAAATAAATATTGATTTAGCAGTCACATAGTTTCTGAGATCACTATGAATATAGTTAATATAAAACTAAATAATTTCCATGTATTTCAACTTATTTTCTACAACATAAGTCTGGCATAAAGACTAAGGGATGTCTCACTGAACTAGTGTACTTGTTAGTCATCCAGAAGATTTAAAAGGTAGCTTTTATTTTAATAGAGTTTAGGATATTATGTATCAGTGACTGCATTATGTTTATTTTATTGGGTTTGGGAATACTGAGAAAAACTAAATCTATTTTAATTCTCCACTCCTGAATATCTAAATTAAGTGTGTGTGTGTTGTAAGAAATTAAATTTTCAAGTGATTGAATTGTGAAAACTGAAGATCAGAGTGAAACTTTACACAAGGCTTTGTTGACAGTTCATCTGAAGTAGACACATACATATGCTGGGCTTTTTGAGTATGCCTGAAAACAATGTTTTTCCATCTTGAGGTTTAGGTGTAGGTAATTTAAGGTCACTGACTTTGTCCTTTGTTTAAGCAATATGGAAAAGGCCTGTTTCATACACAGTTTTAGGAGACCTTGGCAATAAGGATTAAAATGTACACAAGTTTTTTTTTTTTTTTTTCATGATTAGCTAAGGTATCCACTTAGAGATGACACATTCTCTAGAAGTGACTAGAGATGAGGTATCTTACTAGTTCATGCTCCTCCTTTCTCTCCTCTTCCTTTTCCCCCATTTCAATCTTTCTCTGTCTCTTTGTCTGTATCTCTCTCACCCACATACACACACACAACAATGAATGAGTCACATTCTCTATCAAGCTGTCATGCAGTTGGAGTGGAGGTGAGGAAATTCATCATGAGTGTTTCATTATGAAGTAACTTCATCCCTGTCTGATAAACAAAGTGATTCAGTATGACATGATAATACAGGTTGCTATTGTATGGCTGAAATATGACCACCTGTGTTTTCACAGCATTCCTTTTTTAAAAAGTTTTAAAAAATAGAAAAGCTCTCGTTTATGTTAGGAATTTTTTTCTCTATGTTTAGCAGAAGAAGAGGGCGTTTAACTCTTTGAAAGCCCATTCCTAGTGTAATAAGGGAGAATCCTGAAGCTGAAAACGACAGCAGCCTTTCTCATGATAGTAAGTGAGAAATAGGTTAACCACAGCCTAGTTTCAAGGCAAGAAGAGACATCTAAAGAAAATTACTATAATAAACAACTTCCTGCACTCTTTGGCCAAAGGAGATGACAGGGTGGTGGGGACCAGGTGGACAGGCACATTGATCAATGAGATGACAGTGTGAGCACCACTGACGAAGTATTACCTTGTCATCCAGCTCCTTTGTGACCCTGCCTGCTGAATTCTCCCCAAGGTAAAGGGGCTGAAATGAGTAAGGAAGTGCCTCAAGATACAATCAGTGTAAGGGAAGGGAGATTAGCCAAGTAGCATGGACTGAGTGAAGACACAAGACACAAAAGAAGCAGAGAAGTAATGGAGAATTAATTCAGAACAGATGATAGAATAGTCAGGCTCGAGAGGACGATTCAGAGGTACTTTTGCGATGGCACGTCATTTGTCTAGAGATTGCCATTTGCTATTTGAAGTGGGGGCCTCCAGTTAATTCATGGCAAATACTTTTGTGACGGGTTAGAGAACACTATTTCTCCCCACTACACTCTGAGGAATGTTGATGAGTTGAATTAGAACTGTAGTCAAGGTTCAATGTGTCAGCCCACACCTTTGAAGCTGCCTAACAGATGCATTTCCAAATCCCTGATCAGGGTCTTTGTATTACTGTCTCTTGTCAAATTCAATCACTCACACATAATAGCAATGATGATACCTGGTCATGTTCTTCCAGCTTTGAAGCAAATAAGTCAAAGAAAATGGGCTGAATTCTAACACAAGTTTCCAAAAATCACATGAGCTTACAAAAACATGAATCCACACCACAAAACCATTCTTTCCGTGAGACACAGGAGTGTAAGGTGCAATTTGGGCTTTATCAAGAAAAGGCCAACCAATAAAGTCTATTATATTTCAGTTGTTAAAACAATGATTATAAATAAATCCAGGGGAAAATTGATTGAGGAGATCAAGTATTCTTAAATTAGATGCCAGTATGTTCAAGAAATAAAATTCTTAGGTTCAAACCCAGTGTCACAAAGTAAATGTCACAGCACACCAGGGAGGCCCAGTGTTGTCTTTCCAGCAGTTAACACAGTTTTTAGAATTTTAAATTAGAATCCTGGGCTTGGTGTTTCAAAGCTTGAGAGGCAATGTTGTGAGAGTGAAGATGTGAGGTTTTAGGGTTAAACAAGACCAGAGACTTGAGTCCCATTGCTGTGACTTATTAGCTATGTGACTTTGAGTATTGGTTTATTAGTCTACACTATTGGAATTAATAGCACCTTCTTCTTAATGTCGTTATCAATTTTAAATGAGATAATGCATGTACAATGCTTTGCCTGGCACATAATAAGCACTCAATAGGCATTGTTAATTTTAAAGCAATCGAATACATTATTGAGGACAGGAATTGAGTTTCCTAGCATGCATTAAATAAAAAGCTAGTCTTTAAAATTTATCCATAACCTTTATGGTAAAATGAGGACAACTTCTTGAAGAAGAAGAAAAAAAGAGGCCTTAAATAATGAAACAAATACAAAGCTGACTGAAGGAATTTTAAAAAGTTTTAACATTAAAAATTAAAAGTGGGGACGAAAGAAAGAGAATCATTTACCCGTGATTATTGAAGATATCCTTTGTTTTAATTTTATGTGCCTTAAACAGAAACTGCATCCCCTTCCTTCAGAGAGTTGTTGGTAGATTCCAGCCCCTGTCTGTGGTTTTCCAACTTAAGAAGCTGTAAATTTTATAACTCTGCACCCTGCGGTTAGAGCTGCTGAGTGTTGTGTCTGAAGTCAGGTGGTTTGTGTGTTAAAGGTAGACATTAAACATCTCTATGGAGGACCTGGAAGCATTTAAGGAGGTTGCTTGCCAGCTGTAAATTGGAGACTCCATGCCAGTTGGCTGGAAAATTCTCTGGACTAAGTCCAGTTAAGTAGATTGAATCACTGGCGGTCTTTCCAAATTTGTGCATTTAACAGCTTGGCTATACACTCCGACATGCGGCACGGGGTTGTAAGCAATGGCATTATTGTGATGTGGTGCCATTACGGGAGGGATGCGGTGCTCCTGTACCCTGAGCATGTTTGTGTTCTCCAGGAATGCTGAGAAAAGCAATGGACTACTCTTGACATGGTCACCGAAAATGTTCTAAAATGTGAACAATGGGAATGATCATTTTCAAGTTACATATTGCCCAAGATGTGTTCCCTGGCATTCGTAGAGGAAGTTAGCATCTTAGGTGGTTCTATGCACACCTCTCCAGGGTTGTCCTGTTTCCCCACATCAGTGGGAGAGGCTGTCTGTGGTTTGGTTGATGGTGATGGACACACTAAAGCACGTGCTGAGATATAATCAAGGCCACCAAATTGGGGGCTATATTCTCCAACCATGAAACGAGAGAGAAGTCATTGTCAGATTGCAGGGTCATTTCGAATTTGAAAAATTTTTAATTGTGTCTTAAAACTGATCCAGGTGAGAAAACCTGGATTTAGCTGGGCAGGACTAGCTTCATGGGCATGGGACCTGCCCAGCTGCAGAGGACGTTGTGCTTAGAAGCGCCCTTTGGTTTAATGCTTCACTGTCACTGTCTTGAAATTCTTAATTTTTTCAAACAATGACTGTTGAATTTTCATTTTGCACTGGGCTTTAGAAATTATGTAGCAGTTTTTGAGGGTGGATTTGATTTGAGAAAATTCTGATTTTTTTTTAAGAACAGGGTGAAAGAGAAACTTTCCCACAGAGATTCTATGAGACAAGTGGACAATAATCTCCAAAGGTTTAAGTATTTGCAGGCATCAAACAGTAAGAGATAAGAGGATTTCTAGGATACTCTTGGTCACTGTTCTTCTCAACACAGAATAAAGATGGGGGCAAAGAGCATCTTACTTATTGAGAAGCAAATAATATGCTACAATTGGCACATACTTATCTTTTATATATTTGTCTTGGTACTTATTTGTTTAAGTTTTTACTTCCTTTACAAGGCCTTTACGAGCTGATGTTAAGTAAATTCTTACATCAGCTTTCTGCTGGTTTGTACAAATATTGTCTTTCGGTCTACATGATAACACATTGAACTCTGCATGTGAATTTATAGCTACACATACATTAAAGGCAAACCTTGAGTCATTTGATTTTTGTAAAGTTAAGAGGCCTTCATTTATGTATTCATTGAATGCATTAATATGTTAAGGAAATAAACTATAAACAATATGCTCTATATGCTACTGGCCATAAAACTGTAATAGTAACACACATACACAGGCATACAAATAGCTACTATGTATTTTATGAGTTAATTTAAAGCTGCACGTTCCTAAGAACATGTACAGCAAATTGTGTAAGTTATTTCTCTTTTTCTTTTGGCCAGATACATGAGTTTTGTATTACCATGATATTATGAAATGGATTTGTTCCCTTACTGCTGTTTAATATTCTGATCATTGCTGGTCTTACCTTTAGTTCAAGGATTTTACTTTGCTGAGGATCCTCATTTTCAAGTTTAGGAAAAGGGATGTGGGAAACACAGTGTAACAGTTTGTCTTTTTCAGAGGGGGGAATAGAAATCTTCAAAGAAAACAGAAGTATTTGATTGTTTTTGTTTTTGAGACAGTGTCTCACTCTATGGCCCAGGCTGGAGTGCAGTGGTGTGACTATAGCTCACTGCAGCTTCCAACTCCTGAGCTCAAGCAGCCCCCTGCCTCAGCCTCCCAAGTAGCTGGGACTATAGGCACACACTACAACACCTAGCTAGTTTTTTAAAATTTTATTTTAGAAATGGGGTCTTGCTGTGTTGCCCAGGCTGATATTGAACTTCTGAGCTCAAAAGATCCTACTGCCTCAGCTTCCCAAAGTGCCTGGCCAGAAACTCAAATTTTGTTGCTTTGTGTCTTCTTCGCTATAATCATCACCGAGATTTGTTATTAATAAGTGATAGCTACAAAGCTTCTTTAGATGATAATGTGATTTCCTCCCCCACCTCAGATTTACTAAAACATTTCAATTCCTTTTATAGGATCTGTAGCACTTGATTTTTTGAGATGGAGTGTTGCTCTGTCGCCCAGGCTGGAGGGCAGTTGCGTGATCTCGGCTCACTGCAAGCTCCGCCTCCTGAGTTCACGCCCTTCTCCTGCCTCAGCCTCCCGAGTAGGTGGGACTACAGGTGCCCACCACCAGGCCTGGCTTGTTTTTTAATATTTTTAGTAGAGATGGGGTTTCACCATGTTAGAATGGTCTCGATCTCCTAACCTCGTGATCCACCCACCTCGGCCTCCCAAAGTACTGGGATTACAGGCGCGAGCCCCCGCGTCCGGCCCTAGCACTTGATTTTTAACCCAAATAACTGTGACTGTGTTTTTTTAATATATGAATCTGTCTCATCTTCTCCACTGGGGGATATCACTTCTCCCCCTCCCGAAAGTCATTTTTTTTTTTATTGTCTTGACCGTGGAGGTCACAAGAGACATGATGGTGGCTTAGATCAGGGCAGGAGCAACAACATATGAGGTGGTAAGATATGAGAGAGGATAAAAGTTAAAGTAACACCATTTCTGATCTATTAAATATGAGTGTCTGTCAGAAAAAGAGAAGTCTAAAATGGCTCCAAGTTTTTATTTTGGCCTAAACAACTGGAAGGGTATTCCCTATGAGCAGCCTTTCAGGGAGGCAGAAAAAAGTTAGACATTGATATACTCTTAAGCATTCAAGTGGAGATGCCAAGTAGACAATGTAGTATGGAAGATGGGTGTCAGAGGCGGGGTGTCATCCGTAGCCATGCATCCAGTATGGTAGCCATTAGTCACACATGGTTATTTAAATTAAAAGGCTTTTGACTTCAACCACACGAGTGCATTTCAAGCACTCAGTAGCCATACGTGGGGCAACTACGGTGGTCACATCCTGGTGGAGATGAGGGGAGATGGAATCAGTGTGTAGTAAAGAACTTGGACTTGGAGCCAGGACAGGGCATCCTGAGTGACAGCAGGGGAGGAAGAGGAGGATACGGATACAGACACAGAGAAACATTTGACAATGGGAGATTGTGTGAGTTCCCTTCTTGTTGGTTGCATTGATAATTTTGTATGGTTGGCTTGAGTGAAGGTCTGGGGAAGCTTGACATGTGGTTGTTTTTGCTTAATACTGGTGACACTTTTATCATCACAGTCTTTTTCTTAAACACATTTTTTTTTCTTGAACACATCCTGCTGTTCACAGCAACATTTAAAAATGTTTTGCAGTGAAACCACAGGCCATGTATGGCTTAGGCTCTAGAATCTGTCTAAAAGGTGAAAGGGGAATATATTTCAAATGTCTGTTGAAAATTTGTCAAACTACTTTTTTAATCAGCAGAACATAAGTCCTAGAAGCTCAAAAGGCAAGAACTAATGTTCTTTTATATTTTCTTTGCGTTTTTATTGGGGATCTGTTCCCCTATGGCAGAAAATATTAGGATCTAGTTTGAATGGGAGGAATGGGGTGATACTAGAAAGTGCAGTTGAGTAAGTTAATTTCTTTCTGTATAGCATTTATACTTAAGCTTGCCCCTACTATGTGCGTATGTGTGTGATGCGACCTCTTTGTACTGCAATACCATTCTGCCTTGTGGGCCTTAGCGCACTGTAACTCTTATGCATTGCACTCACATTGTATTGCCACACAAGTAAATACGGTACAGTGCATAATTTTCTGTGGTACAAGGTCTCTGCATTTTTGTTGCATAAAAAAAAGGCAAAATAAGTGCTACATTTGAAATACTGCTTTAACCGAATATGAAATTGAATTATTAACCAGCATCAGGATCATCTTCTGAATGTAAAACTGCTCTCACAATTCTAGTTTGACCATGAATAAAACTGTAAAGTTTCTGTATTTACTTAATATCAGATGAAAACATTAACAGAAACACTGCAGGAAAGCATACTATTTATTCAAAAATACTGTGGAAATAAGGAAAGCATAGTATTTATTCAACATGTGTGAAATGTTGTGTTAAGTTGAACACAGGGTTCCAAGAACAGCTGTATGACTTAGCTGCGAAAGTTAAAAAAAAAAAAAAAAAAAAAGCAAAGACTAGAAAGATCTTCAAAATAAAAGACTCCTAAGACTTTGATTTCAAGATTTTTTTTTATTGGCAACTGATAACTGGGCATTTGTTCATGTAATGGTACTACCTGTTGTGTTTTGTATTGATTTGGTTTTGGATGGGGGAACACAGATCCATCTATTAACATTTGATTATTTCTAGGAGGCATCGAGATTTGTTTTGTTGCTCTACAAACTGATGTGTACACCATGGAATCTTAAGAGTTAGTCATAATACTCCTGGAGACATTTAAGCCAGTAGCAAAATAGAAGTCATTTTGTACCATCCTAAAGAGTGATCTGGTGAAATGAAGGGCCTTGAACAGCTGCCACCCACCAAACTCTAATGGAGGTGGGATCCCACCCGAGGGAGACAGAGCCAGGGGTTCCTATTTTTTAACTGGCAATCAGCTTTGCCTCTTGGGCATGAATGCCCAGTTCTAGTGGTAAAGAATTTTCCACAAGATTCATGGAGTGGGAAAGAACCAGCTATTTATATTCATGCTTTCAGCTTGGAAAAGAAAAAAGAAGAAAGAGGAGTAGTTAAGAGGGCATTAAGAAGGCAGACAGATGCTTTTCCTACATCAAAAACAAGGTGATACATTGCATTGTGTAGGCACATTTTGGTTGGTGGCTTTACTTAAGCTCAGTCCCTAGTCACTTGTGTGATCTTGCACAAGTTCTTTCTCTCCAGTTTTTTTTTTTTTCAATGAAAATATAGGCAGCTACATTATAGAGTTGTTAGAAGAATGTTTTATGATGCATTAAGAATGGCTGCAGAGTGCTTGGCACTTGGGAAGTGCCCAATATGTGATTGCTCTTATTTTAGTAGTCAGACTTTATGGGATCAGATTTATCCTAAGTTGTTGCCTTTTTGGAGGTTAAGTCTATTCTAATGCATGTATTCCAATTGCTGATTCTGAACATGTTTCTTTTCTTCTTATCTGCTCATCCTAGCACACAGTTAACAAATTCTCTTTGGGAAAATTTTCTATGGAAAGTATATTGGAAACACATTTGGATTCTGAAGTTGATGATAGCAACTCTAAGTGGGGGTATTCTGTGGGTTTTGGAGTGTTTCCCTTGTTTCAACTTCCACTAGCACCCAGGAGAGAGCTTGTAAATTGTGACCTAGGATAGATCATAAAAATATATATATGTAGATTCAGTTTTAACTATTTTCTGTAGGGTACGACTATGTGTGTTCACCATGCTAGGTTTTTAAGTTAGGGTTTAGACCCAACAGTATAACCTTTCTTTCTTCTTTATGATACATATATGTGTGTGAGTGTGTGTGTGTATGTATGTGTTTGTGTATACGTTATGGGCTTATGGCAAATGTCAATCGTGTTTTGCTCTTTAGCATCTACCTAAATCACAGTTTTGATAACATGAAGGGACACATTTTAAAGTGTCCTGGGAAAGCTTTAAGTCAACATAAAACATACTTGGGAACAATGAAGTATACCAATGTTAAGGTCAAAATGTCATGTAAATATCTTTAAAATGTTCAGTAAGATTTCTGGAATTCCAGGGTCTGACCTGTATCTTGATCTCTGATTTTTATCTTACACTGTCCAGATTCTGATGCAAGGCAAAAATCCAGGGATAGCTTGGAAGTATGCACTTCCCAAGGTCATGAATGGAACTCCACCAGCCACAAAAAGACCTGCCTATACCTGGAGTATCGTGCAGTCAGAGTGCTCCGTCTCCTGTGGTGGAGGTAGATGATTTTCTCATTCTGTCTCCAAAGTCTGTCTCTCTTAAAACAGGTTCTTTCACTCCAGGCGTCTTTAACATAATATGGTTTAAATAAGCCACCCAAGAACTGTCTTTTATGAGAACCATCACCATAAAAGCAAATATTATGGCATTAGTTAAGGGTTTTCCTATGTGGTAAGGAATCAACTCTCACAAAGCTCAAATCAACCACAACCAAGGCTCAAAAGTTACACATCTAAAACTTATGGGAAAAACATATAAAATATATTGAATTATTTACAAATAGAAGCATATTTATATTATATATATATGTTTAATTTTCAGCTTTTAGTTTCCGCCAGTCTTGGCTTTTCTGTCATTATTAACCTTCCATTTGGAAGTTATAAAAGCTAGGGTCAAGGCAAGTGAGGACGCATACATGGCAAACTTAAGATGTCTATCTGAAACATGGATATCCCCTCAGGGGTAAGGTCAGCAAAGGTTCTCTCACTAGAGGAATGGATTAAATCTGAGACAACCCTTGCAAGGAAGGAACAACAGCAACCATCTACTGGGTGAGTAGAAGGAAGGCGTTTTATTTAGATGTGAACAATGTCACATATTTGGGGGTTAAACCATTGTCACACTTGCTCATTTGGGAGGAAGAACAAGTGCCCAAAATAAGTTCCTGAAACCACAGCATGAATGTTGGTCTCTCATTTCCTATTATTCAGAGCACCTGGTGACAGTGAGACTTCCTACTGGTTCCATCCCACTAAGCATAATAAGGCTTAGAATCAGAGACAGAGCAAAGATACAGAAAATGAAGAAATTCTTATGTCTGAAAGGCCTATCTGTAGGTCCATGCTAATTAACAAAGTATGAAAAAATACTTTTTTAGGATACATATATAAAATAATTAAAAGGTAATACATTTTCTAGTAATACCCATTTTAAAAGCAATGGGCTATTAAGAAGAAAGGTAATCCCCATAATTTGTAAACAGGCAATAGCCAATGTTAATATTTTGATCTATATCATTTGTTTCCCTAGGCACATGTAAGCAAACATGTGTTTGACAGACTCACATACCGTGAGTATCATTTTGTATCCCTCTGTACTGAAATCATGTTATAGACATCTCTTCACACTGTTTCATTTAGTCACAGATTATGAGGTCTTTCTCATATCCAGTGTTTCTTGAGAACATTTCCAATAGCTTTCTGGTATTCCAGGGAGAGCACAGTGCCTTGGGAAGGAGAGAAGTTTGATTTGCTTTCCACTTACAGAATCTAAATCCAGCCAAGAGGAGGATGCAGAGGAAGCCAGTTGTGAAATTCTCGCCTTGCCCTGCCTTAGCAACCCCTTCGCATGACTCACAGACCCTGGTGTGTCCTGTGTCCAAGAGAAAAAGAATTCAGATGAATAAGTCCTATTAAAGTCAACGGTTAACTTCAAGGAATGTTGATTTTTTGTTTTTGTTATTTTTTCTTGAGATAGGATCTCACTCTGTCACCCAGGCTGGAATGCAGTAGCACAATTACGGCTCACTGCTGCCTCGACCTCTGGGGCTCAAGCCATCCTCCTACCTCACCGTCCTAAGTAGCTTGGACTGCAGGTGCCTGCCACTATGCCTGGCCCGTTTTTTTCTTTTTTATAGAGATGGGGTTTTGCCATGTTGCCCAGGCTGGTGTCAAACTCCTGGCCTCAAGCAGTCCGCCTTCCTTGACCTCCCAAAGTGCTGGGATTATCAGTGTGAGCCATCGTGCCCGGCCTTGATGTGGTTTTCGTAAGTGCCTCCTGAAAGCAAACCTGCTTCAGCCCCAGGAGCTGGACTAACTGCTAATCATTATAGCAGGAGTGACTTATTCTTTCTCAGATTATATTTGAAGACAAAGTTCCAATGTAAATAAAAAACACAATTCAAAGGGGAGGCAGCATCTCTATTTGGGGAACTAAAAAATACAATTATTCACACATTTTTAAAAAAATATATGCCCCTGATAAGAAGTCCTGAAATTAATGTTGAAAGCAAGGCAGTGGGATGCCACTAAGGAAGCAAAAGCAGAGGCCGGGTGCAGTGGCTCATGACTATAATACCAGCACTTTGGGGGCTGAGGCCGGTGAATCACTGAGGTCAGGAGTTCAAGACCAGCCTGACTAACATGGCCGTCTCTACTAAAAATACAAAAATTAGCTGGGTATGGTGTCACACACCTGTAATCCCAGGTATCTGGGAGGCTGAGGCAGGAGAATCGCTTGAACCCGGGAGGCAGAGGTTGCAGTGAGCCAAGATCACGCCACTGCACTCCAGCCTGGGCGACAGAATGAGACTCCATCTCAAAAAAAAAAAAAAAAAAAAAAAAAAGCAAAAGCAGAGCCCTGGCTGATAGGTTTTAATACATATTTAGTGAGTTCTACTCTTTGCTTTTATGTGCCCCATGCTCTTAAGAAGTATGAGATATTTCATGTTAAGGCAAAATCTTAGGGTTTCCATATATAACTCACGAATGGTTTTTCTTTGAAGAACATTAATCTGATAATAAAGTTTGCCTGGGATGTTACCCTTTATAGTCATTCTGTTTTCAAAAGGTTGTATTTATCAATTTATGGTTCTAGTATCCACATCAGTCTTGAAAACCAATAATCTACATGTTACAATTATTAAAATATAAAATATATTATTTTAGGGAGGGGAATGGAATTCAAATTAGTTGCAAATTTCATCAAAAGGAAGCGTTCCACAAAATATTTGGATTCCATATCTGAAATAAAATATCACAATGCTGGTAAATCAGAAGCTAAACTTAGAACCAAATTGAAATAATAATCTGTAATTTTCACTTTGTCACTTCTGATGTCTTACCAGGTTACATAAATGTAAAGGCCATTTGCTTGCGAGATCAAAATACTCAAGTCAATTCCTCATTCTGCAGTGCAAAAACCAAGCCAGTAACTGAGCCCAAAATCTGCAACGCTTTCTCCTGCCCGGCTTAGTAAGTCATTTGGAAGTGTCTTTTTGTTTAGTTTTGTACTTGTATGCCTTCATTGTTGTTATGAGATGATGAAAGCTCACTGTGAATACTGCTAATGGAAAGTGATTCAAAGGTAGACGCAATACTTTAAAAAGTAATAGAAGATGATGAGCTAGGCATGGTGGCACGTGTGTGGTCCTAGCTACTTGGGAGGCTGAAGAGGGAAGATCAGTAGAACCCAGGAGTTCCAGGCTCCAGTGAGTCATGATTGTGCCACTTACATATTAGCCTGGGTGAAAGAGTGAGATCTTGTCTCTAAAAGAAATTTTTTTAAAAAAGATGGTTGAAGTTTACATTTGAGTTGAAAAATACAAATTTACTTTTGGTACTCACTTGACTTTGGCTTGATAGCCAGGAATAAATTTACTGGCTATTTAAAAGCAAGCTTGCTTGGGATATGAAGACCTCTTTTTTTTTGGAGGGGAGGAGGAACAAGGAGTCTCACTCTGTTGCCCAGGCTGGAGTACAGTGGCCTCATGATAGCTCACTGCCACCTCTGCCTACTGGATTCAAGCAATTATTGTGCCTCAGCCACCTTAGTAGCTGGGATTACAGGTGCACGTCACCACACCTAGCTAATTGTTGTATTTTTAGTAGAGACGGGGTTTTGCCATGTTGGCCAGGCTGGCCTCAAGTGATCTGCCTGTTTTCAGCATCCCAAAGTTCTGGCATTACAGGCGTGAGGTGCTTTTTTCTTTTAACCTTTGCATAGGGATTCCTCTTCTCTGAATGGAATCAGACAGATATTTAAATAACACAGAATCCTAAATTAGTTCAATTTGCGTGCGGTTGTGTGCCTAACTTTTTTGTAAATGGTCCAAGAATTTAAAAATCATAATATTATGCGGGCCATGAAACCCCAAATGCAAAATTACACAGTAGCAAGACACAAAATAAAAAGAATGGGGTATAGGCCAAGTGGTAACTCCACCGCTGATGATGGCAGCCTTGGAGGGGCTCAGTGAGTTTGTTCTTGGATTGACTTTAGCCACACTATTGTTTGAAGACTAATTTTAAGTAATCTTCCCAGTTAAAGGGAGTCTCTTTCATGTGATTTATCTTCTGCCAAATATATTTATATAAAATGGATGGGAGTTTCTTCTAAAGCAGTGTTGCATTCACCAATGTTTTAGATCATCTTCATAAGTAGTGTTTGGTTTGTGGTGATGCAATCGTATTACACAATCTTTATATATAAAGATGTGCGTATATGTGTGTGTATATATATATACACACACACACTTTTTTTTTTCTTGTAAATAATAGTGCATTTGTCATAATCTGAGGCTGAGGCAGGAGAATCACTTGAGCCTGGGAGGCAGAGGTTGCAGTGAGCTGAGATCGAGCCATTGCACTCCAGCCTGGGCAACAAGAGCAAGACTCCATCTCAAAAACAAAAAAAGTTTCAATTGATAACCGTTCAAATATATACCAAGTCTCAGACAGATAGCTATTAAAAAAAAACTGGTCTGGCAAATTTTAAAGAAAATGAAGGTAGGTATTTAACCTATCACTAAATTCAGGTGTAATCAGAAAAGTAATTTGGGGAAGTACCCACTTAAAAATATCCTCTGTGAGACCTTCTCTAAATGTACCCCTCTCTCCTGCACAAACCTCCCTCTCTTTCTCTCTCATTGATGACTGTTCCATGAGCCTCCTCATTGTATTTTATGTTGACTTCCATTGCAGCACTTATCAGAAAGTACTGTCTTTATTTGTTCACATATCCACCTCTTTACTGTGTTATAGGCTCCTTAATGGAAAGAAGGCTGCTGCCTTAATTTTTCTAATCCTAATGCTTAGGAGAGTCCCTGACACATAGTTAAAATCCCAACAAATTTGGCTCAATGAATTGTGCAGATTTTAAAGTGGCATGTATTTCTTCTCATGCAGAGGCGGGAGTATATTTGTAGAACTGTGGGATGATTAAATGTGATTATTTATATCTCAATCACATTAGTATAAGCCTCTGGATCCCTCAAAGAACAATTAGAATAACTTATCTTATTGGTTCTGAAATTGATTCATGGCTTCCATAGGTGGTTTACCTTTCACAGTAACTGCTTTGGAAGTTATCATACAAAGTTTGGCTTCATTGGTAATGTTTGTTTTGCACTGAAAGCTGGATGCCAGGTGAATGGAGTACATGCAGCAAGGCCTGTGCTGGAGGCCAGCAGAGCCGAAAGATCCAGTGTGTGCAAAAGAAGCCCTTCCAAAAGGAGGAAGCAGTGTTGCATTCTCTCTGTCCAGTGAGCACACCCACTCAGGTCCAAGCCTGCAACAGCCATGCCTGCCCTCCACAATGGAGCCTTGGACCCTGGTCTCAGGTAACAGGAGAAAACTTGGGAGTTACTATTCTCGGTCCCCATGAAGGCAAAAGTAGAGGTGTCTTTGCTCTCCACTGGGCTCTTGGCAGTTTACATGTTCATGGAAATCACCCTGAGTTCATGTGCCTGGGAATCTGCATTTTAACTAATGTTCTTTAGGAAATCTGAAGTTTTGGCACCCCTCTCCCAGAGCTTAGAATCCTCCTTAGAGGAACAGAAATTGGAGTGTGGGGGCCATTTAGGCCAGACTCGTGAGCACAGCTAGAAAGGATTCCAGTATCAGAAGACTGGCTACTGAATTCTCCAAAGCAAATGGGAAACGCAAATACAAAGAATGAAGCATCGAAGAGATATTTAACTCTTGCTTCAATGGGAAAGAGGTAAAGTTAGAAGAATACAGAGAAAAGTAGGGCATAAAGTTTGCTATGGTCACAAATTCCCAGTGAAAGCCATAAAATTTTAAAGTTAGAAGGGACAGAGAGCTACCTTGTCGTTCACAGCTCAGAATTCCCTCTAAAGCAAAGGTTCTCAACCGTGGGTAAGTTTGCCTACCAGGAGACATTTTGATGTCACAACTTGGGGAGATGAGTGCTCCTGGCATCTAGTGGGTAGAGGTGAATGTCCTACACAGCCCAGGCCAGCTCCTCACCACAAAGAATTATCTGATCCAAAATGTCAGTGGTGCTGAAGGGAAGAAGCCCTTCCCTACAGCTTCCCTTGCAGATGATAGCTCAACCACTGCTCAATCACTGCTGGCAAACAAATTATGGGGAAGAATGAAAAAACGGCAAGAGTTTTACCACCTGAACCATGGGGCCAGGTAGCAGCCACTGATGACAGTTCTTCTGTGTTTTCCTTTAGCGTATATTACATGCTGGAGGGTGCTGCTTTCTGATTAATTTCAGCAATACACTACCAGAGGTCAGAGTAGGGCTTTATTTTTTAATGTTAGGACATATCTGTTAGCACAAGGGTCCCCAACCCCCAGGTCATGAACAAGTACCTGTTTGTGGTCTGTAAGGAACTGGGCTGCCCAGCAGGAGATGAGCAGCAGGCCAGCATCACAGACTAAACTCCACCTCCTGTCAAATCAGTGGCAGCGTTAGGTTCTCAGAGGAGTTTGAACCCTGTTGTGAACTGCACAGGTGACGGATCTAGGATGCATGTTACTTATGAGAATCTCATGCGTGATGATCTGAGGTGGAACAGTTTTATCCCCAAAGCACCACCCTGCCCGTCCATGGAAATACAGTGTTCTGCAAAAGCCGACCCTGGTGCCAAAGAAATTGGAGACTGATACGTTAGGGAATTAGGGGTCAGGAGGGAGAGAGAATATTTTTGAGCTTGTTTAGGGGTTCTTTCAAATGAGAGAATATATTCCTTTATAGCAGAGGGTAAATCTAAATAGTACATGGTGTTGAGTCTAGTCTCTTTCTTTGCAGTTAGCAATATAATTTACAGAAAGAATTCAAATAATTGTTTTAGCCAGATATGTATGGTGGGTAATGGGAATGGGGGTGGTTAAGTAGATCTCGTAAAAAGAGCTTTAGTTCATGGAGTTTATCCCACCTTTCACAGGAATATATTTAGTGTGTTGTTTTTTTTTTTAATGTGGCTACTGAAACCTAATGGGAATGCAAATAGAACTTTTTTGTCTTCTCAAGTGTTCCAAGACCTGTGGACGAGGGGTGAGGAAGCGTGAACTCCTCTGCAAGGGCTCTGCCGCAGAAACCCTCCCCGAGAGCCAGTGTACCAGTCTCCCCAGACCTGAGCTGCAGGAGGGCTGTGTGCTTGGACGATGCCCCAAGAACAGCCGGCTACAGTGGGTCGCTTCTTCGTGGAGCGAGGTATGGATTAGAAGTCACTGCTGGGTCAGGAGATTGAGACCATCCTGGCTAACACAGTGAAACCCTGTCTCTACTAAAAATACAAAAAATTAGCCAGGCAAGGTGGCAGGCGCCTGTAGTCTGATCTACTGGGGAGGCTGAGGCAGGAGCATGGCGTGAACCCAGGAGGCGGAGTTTGCAGTGAGCTGAGATTGCGCCACTGCACTCCAGCCTGGGCGACAGAGTGAGACTCTGTCTCAAAAAAAAAAGTCACTGCTGGAGGTTTCTTGAGATGCTCAGCTGACCTGCTAGCATCTAGGCTCACAAAACTCCTTTGTGTTGCACACATTGATACCAAATGCCTGCTACTTCCCAGTTCTCTCCTGATTTCTTCACGAAACATTGCTAAAGCACCCCCACATTGATCAAGCCTATGTCTGGGCAGTAGGGGCGCAAGACTTCATAAAGCACACGCAGAGAAAGCACACGTCAAGTGACTTGATAGAAGTCTGTCATTTTATGGGAGAGCTCAAGCTTCACCCAAGCCGGTCTTTGGGAAGAACCCTTGTCAGAAGAGACTTTCTAGGGAGCATGGCCTGAAAAATGAGCAGGAATCAAAGCAAAAGGGGATTTGGGGCAAGGTTGTCCCAGACAGAGGGTGCAGCCTCTACACAGGAGTGATGACAGGGGACTGCACATTTAGTAAAGAAGGGACATGGGATGGGGTGGAAAAATCATGAGGGCCTTGGGTGACACACTAGAAATATCTCTCACAAATACTGGGGAGTAAATTTTTTATTTTTGAGACAGGGTCTTGCTCTGTTGTCCTAGAGTGCAGTGGCAAAATCTCAGCTCACTGCAGCCTCCACCTCCCTCGCTCAGGTAATCTGCTGCCTCGGACTAGAGGCATGCACCACTATACCTGGCTAATTTTTATAGAGATGTGGTTTCACCATGTTGCTGAGGCTTCACCATGTTGCTGAGGCTGGTCTTGAACTCCTGGGCTCAAGTGATCCACCTGCCCCAGACTTCCAAACTGCTGTGATTACAGGCCTGAGCCACTGCACCCAGCCTAAAAGGATATTTTTCCTAAAAGGATACTTTTGACCCTCATCATGTTACCTCCTGTGTGTGAGAGGTTGGGTATATTTAAAGAGCAATTATTTGCTGTACAGTGGTTTTTCCCATTAAGCTCTGAATCCTTTTCTCTGGCCCTTACCCTCTTCAACTCAGATTCCTAACTCCTCAGGCCTTAGGTAGACCTGGACCTGTAAGTGTGTAACCCTAAACCTGGAAATTCTTTTGCCCATCTTGCCTTTCTCCTGGACTCCATCTCACACCCATGTGGCATCCCAAGGTTCCTTTTTTACTTTATGAGGCTAATGATCTGTGTGATTTTGGGAAAGTCAGTTCCGTTCTCTGAACTTTGGTTTCCTTACCTATAGCATGAGGTACTTGGCTGCTGTATCTGTAAGATCCTCGAGTGAGTGTGGTTGACCTTGTGTAATCCCATCCCTCCTATTTCATGTGGATGGTGCAACCTTATGTCAAACTGCCTCTGTCCAGAAGATGTGATCCTGGCAGTCTTCACTTTTACACATCCTGTCTTGGCTCCTAGTGTTCTGCAACCTGTGGTTTGGGTGTGAGGAAGAGGGAGATGAAGTGCAGCGAGAAGGGCTTCCAGGGAAAGCTGATAACTTTCCCAGAGCGAAGATGCCGTAATATTAAGAAACCAAATCTGGACTTGGAAGAGACCTGCAACCGACGGGCTTGCCCAGCCCATCCAGTGTACAACATGGTAGCTGGATGGTATTCATTGCCGTGGCAGCAGGTGGGTACAGGCCGATTGAGGAGGTGTCTATTCAAGTGAGATGTCGAAAAATGAGGCGTTCTGCAAACAGTTGCTCTTAGTCTGTTAATGGTTGTCTAAGTAAAAACAACTAAGGGCTCAAGTTCTGAAGGCAGAATGGGTTTTGTTCTTTGGCCCTGGGCAGGTAACAATCTGTAAACCTCAGTTTTCACATCTAGAAAATCATTATCTGGGAGAGTTGATTTGTTTTTGTTCATCAGAAAATGTATGTAAAACACTTACCACCAGGCCAGTTATACACTGCTAATGTTGGTCATTGCTGTTGCTACGGAAACTACCACTCGAGTCTTTCTGTTTTAGAAATGCTGCTCACAGCCTTTACTCATTTGGTTCTTACATCATGTTTCTGAACAATGTAATAGCTAATATTTGTCAAGCTATTACTATGCACGGTGCTAAGTACTCCTATTCAGGGGTAGTATGGTCCCTAAAGCTCAGAATGTCAGGCAATTCAGCCAAGGATACTTCGCTTTTAAACTTATCAGATGCTAGAGGCACCCTTCTTTTCAGAAGACTTGGGTGAAACTTTAGCTAGGATTGGTGTGTGACGCGGTCCTTCCAGCATTCCACCCAGCAGATGTTGCTGCACAGCTGTTCAGTTCAGAGGACTCGGGTGCTCCCCACCTCACCATTAATCACAGAGTCCGGGTAGAGGTATCAATATGTACGTACGTTATCTATCTGGGAGGATCTGGAAACCAACACATGGATGAGAGGAAAGGAAATTAGCCTGATTTTCTCTGGCCAGGCATTGTGCTAGGTGTTACACATATTGCTGGGGATTTCTTTTTAAAATTGACTCTAATAAGTTTATTTAGATTAAGGGGTCAGCAAACAGTTGCCACCCAGCCAAATCTGCTCCCCCAATACCTGCCTGTTTTTATAAAGTTTAACTGGAATGTAGCCATGTTCATTTGCTTAATATATTGACCACAGCTGCTTTAGTGCTACAACGGCAGTGAGGAGTACTTGCAACAGAGGCCGTATGCCTATACAGCCTGAAATATTTACTATCTATCTTCCCCTTTAAAGGAAAAGTTTACAAACTCCTAGTTTAGATAATTTGATAACAAGACTTGCCCTTAAATTTTAATTGAGACAGAAACTACAGTCAATTATAATGCATATGTACATTTAAGAAAAATTAATGTAGTAACTTTTTAAAATAAGAAAAATCCATTTAAAGGGCTACATTTTTCCCTGGTTTTCCTTTTGTTATGAAGTATCTTTATAAATTTTTCATATGGCTGTCTGGAAGAAAGACAGTTGAGTTGTCTACTTTTGAAAATTTTTAATTGCACACTGAAATCAGCGACTCCTAAGAAGCACCAACTCTGTCATGCCAACTCAGAATGTGGCTGGGCACCGAGGACCTAATTCCAGAGCTGTCTCTGACCATTTCTTTTTCTGTCCCAGTTTTGAACTATGTCCTCCACTACTGCAGCTGCACAGATTGTCTGGAATTCTTTAAATCCTGTGATTAACTCCCTAGGTGTGTCTGTATTTGTTTCTGCATTCTTAGAGCAGCTTCTGTATTTCTGGAGCTTCTCTTCTTTATGAGTGAGTCACTTAACTGGGAGACACACACTCTTGGGCTAGATAGATAGCATTTGCCTAAAACCCTTCTAATCAGATCAAAGGGATCACACTTGTTAGGATAGATGCTGTGGACTGTAAGCACATGTGCCTGGCTCCAGCCAATCTGTTTCATCAGCAGGCATCTTGTTAATGTCATGAAGCATGGGAATTCCTTCTGTTTGATGTCACTGACCTCAGTAGAGTGTTTCTGACTCCTTCCTCTTCTCTCTGCTGCAGTGCACAGTCACCTGTGGGGGAGGGGTCCAGACCCGGTCAGTCCACTGTGTTCAGCAAGGCCGGCCTTCCTCAAGTTGTCTGCTCCATCAGAAACCTCCGGTGCTACGAGCCTGTAATACAAACTTCTGTCCAGCTCCTGAAAAGAGAGGTAAAAAGGCACCATGCTCCAGTCAACTTTACTAGTCTTTAGATAATTTTTTCAAAGGCTACTTTGTTAGTAGTGCAGCCTGTGACATTGTACAACTCTAGGGTAAGCCATTCACCCGAAGTCTATGTGACAGTGCTCCCTGGAGTTGTATAAGGCACCACTCTGGGGAAGTTGCTGTCCAAATAATCTTTTTCAGACAGTCTCAGTCTGTCATGCAGGTGGGAGTACACAGCTCACTGTAACCTCTGCCTCCCGGGTTCATGCCATTCTCCTGCCTCAGCCTCCTGAGTAGCTGGGATTATAGGTGTGCACCACCACGCCTGGCTAATTTTTGAATTTTTAGTAGAGACAGGGTTTCACCATGTTGGCCAGGCTGATCTCGAACTCCTGGCCTCAAGTTCTGGGTTTACTGTCACAAGCCACATGCCCAGCCTATCCTAGTGATCTTGTTTGCATGGGTCTGAAGGGAATATTTAATTGCTACAATAATGCTTTTTAACCATTATTAATTTGAAAATGGGAACATAAAGGTGAACAACAATAGCCCTCAAGGAGCTCATATTTTAATGGAGGAGACAACTATAATCCATATATAAAGATGTTCATGTTTGTTGAAGATATAAAAAATTCAGAAATCAAAAGTAATAGTCATCAGTGAATATGTATTGCCCTAGGACTATACCTAAATGTTTTCTTAAAGTTAGTTCAAGGGAAGTGCAGTGAGTACTGATAGGAAAATGGAAAGTCTGAGTAAACTGTACCATTCTTCACTATTTGAAGTAATCTGACAAATGCCAGGAAATATCTTTCAGCCTAATCTGCTTGCCTCGTGCTAAAGAATCTTGCACAAGACCAAAAAAAAAATAGCTCTGTAGCAGTTACTCAGAGCCAGATCATCCTAGTCCATGCTGGGATACTACATAGGGAAGAAATGAGCAAGCGGTCATGTTCTTCCAGACTATCAGTGATTTCTCATTTCCACCCTTAATTACCAAAGAAAGATTCAGCCTAGAAGGCCACCAGCACCCCCAACGACAATGACCAATTATGAAATTGCCCAACAGTATCTCCTGGAAGGATGGGGAAAGTCAACATGCACGTATGGTCCAAGGAGGCCATTTGTCTTGTTATTTTTGGCTCACCCAGCACCTAATACCACAATGGGCACGCAACAGGTACTCAATAAGTCTTAAATGAATAAATGCATGAGTGTAGGGCTACATGAAAGATCATGTGAAAAGTGCTGTGAGGTCCTCGATCTTGTTCAAAGCCAAGTCACCAAGCACCTTATATACCTCCAGCACTCTTCTAGGGATGAAAGAATACAGCTGGGTCCTATTCTTAAAAGGTCCTGTTCTTAAAAGAAAGCTACAACAACAAATAAGTGGTGGAATATTCACAGTGTTACAGTGATGGTCAGTTCTACCTGTGGTGCTGGAATGAGGGGAGTCATAGGGTGCATATGAGAAATGGCTTATTAAAAGAGGAGCTTGGCTGAGTGCTGTGGCTCACACCTGTAATCCCAACACTTTGGGAGGCTGAGGCGGGTGGATCACCTGAGGTCCGGAGTTTGAGACCAGCCTGGCTAATATGGTGAAACCCCGTCTCTACTAAGAATATAAAAACTAGCTGGGTGTGGTGGCAGGTGCCCGTAGGCCTAGCTACTGGGGAGGTGGGAGGATCTCTTGAACCCAGGAGGTGAAGGTTGCAGTGACCCGAGATTGCACCACTGCACTCCAGCCTGGGCTTTTTTTGAGACCCTGTCTCAAAAAGAGGAGTTTCTCTCTGTGCCTCATGGCTGAGTCAGGTGGCTTTTGGAAGAATAAAGGATACGAGCCCACGTGTTTGTTCTGACCCAAAAATGTGGCCTACAGTTTACTAAGTTGAGGATTTTCTCCCATTCCCATCCCAAGTATAGGGATGATTACATGCTTGGCAGGGTGACTACTATGAATGTCGTTTGAGTGTATTTTCTGGCTGTGAGTTTTCAGAAAACATTAGTGAGCAGTAAGGAGGCGCATGGTGACGGAAGAAGATTCCGTTCTTTGCCTCTTCTCTGAGCCCCCCACTGTGGACCAGGTACGGTACTCTGCTAGGCACTGTGAGAGTTTCCTCCCCTTATGGAGCTTCCACTTGGGTAGAAGTTTCTACCCATTGTAGTCACTTAAACTAGACCCTAGAGAAGACCATTCTGCCCATGGCTGCATCCTCCTGTCATCCAGTGTCACCAAACAGCTTTGTTGTCCCCCAGATCCCTGCCCATACTGAGTGCCAGTCTAGGGGCAGTCATTGTATATCATCATCAGTGTGTGATGCCTTATCTGGGTATCTTGGTTGGATCTCCACCTTGGGGAAGCCATCCTTATGGTTGCACTGTACATATTATACATAAAATTCTCTTCAGAAAAGAGAGAAGGCCCTAAAGCAGTCATACCACCCAGAGACTTGTGTCACACTGCATTGAAACTGGGTGTTTACGTGTCTGGAAGCTACCTGGGCTGCAGACTAGTCATATTAAGTTAAGGATGAGCAGGCACTCAATACTAATAAGCTGCTCCTCATGGAATCCCACATCTTCAGATGGGGGCAGGCAGCATTGTACAGTGGAAGGAGCAAGGACCCTAAAATCATAAAAATAGAGTTGAATCCACACTGACTTGACACTCAGTAGCTATGGAGCTAGCTATGGAGCTTTGAGCAAGTTTTGAACTTTCTGAGCATTCATAAAACTGGGAAATAATGCTTACTTCGAAAGACTGTTTTGAGTATTAAAGAAGGTAATTCCATTTTTCACACATGTCTTTAGTGCTTACTGTGAACCAGAAACTGTTCTGGGGTCTGATTACAAAATAAACAGGCACGGCTCCCACCTTCTGACAAGCTTGCTTCAAAATGGAAACGGACAACAAATCAACCAATTAGCACACAGTGTCAGAAAGTAAAGTAGCAGGGGTGAAGGGGTGAGGAAATAGGAAAACACCTTCAGATTATAATGATCAGGCACGACCACTTGATTATTTAGCACTTAAACAGAGACCTCAAGGAAGGTGAACCACATATGGCTCTAGGAGAGTGTTCCTGGCAGAGAGACCCCAAAGTCCCCGAGGCAGGAATATACTAATCTAATTGAGGAATGGCACGATGCTTGGAGTACAAGAAACAAGGTGAAGAGTGGTTAAGCAATACATGAAAAGTGGGACTGGAGGCCTTGTCAGTCAGTGTAAGGATTTCAGATTTAACGCTGAGTACGATGGAAGCCAATGGAGAACTTTGAGCAGAAGAGAAGAGCAATAGGATCTAGCTTTAGGAAGATTACTGGCAGTTAAGGTGAAAGGAGTGCAGGTTGTCTCGAGTAGAACAAGGACTTGTCAACTCTGCCAGGAAGCGGTTGGAGGAGGTTCCACTAGAGCAGTGGCAGTACTGAAGAGGTTGGATGCTGGGTGCATTTTAAAGATTGAGCCAAGAGTATCTGCTGATTGCATGGAGAACGTGAAGCAAAGAAATGATTCCAAGGTCATCTTCAATAGTGTAAATGAAATACCTGACTCACAGTAGAAGCTCAAACAACCAGCTGTTAGTAATTATAATCAAAAAAAGCACTTATACTGACAGAATAGTAATACATCTCACTTCTCCTGCCTGACTTACTTACATGAAGGGGATGTATAAAAAGGAATTTTAGGCAGAAAAATCAAGGCTTGAAGAAGGAACTCTAAGCATTTCTGAATTATGTGTAGTGTATACTCTAAATATTTTTAAAGTCAAAACTGTGCCTTAAAAATACAGTAAAATGGCCGGGGGTGTGCCTCACACCTGTAATTCCAGCACTTTGGGAGGCTGAGGCAGACGGATCACCCGAGGTCAGGAGTTCGAGACCAGCGTGACCAACATGGTGAAACCCCATCTCTACTAAAAATACAAAAATTAACTGGGCGTGGTGGTGGGTGCCTGTAATCCCAGCTACCCAGGAGGCTTACGCAGGAGAACCATTTGAATACATGAGGCGGAGGATGCAGTGAGCCGAGATTATACCATTGCACTCCAGCCTGGGCAACAAGAGCAAAATTCCATCTCAAACAAAACAGTGAAATGACTGGGCCCTTGCTCCTACAACATGCACTTATGTTTACATACCCATTCACTTGCATTTCCTATCTCCTGAGGCCCATCTGAGTAAGAATTCTTGATGTACAGTGAAATAATCACATCTGTCCTGCTCATTGAACAACTAAAGAAATTAGAAAGGACTGGTGTTGACTTAAATTTATTTACTTGCAAACTGGTTGAGATTGACTTAAACCTACACAGACTGTTGGAGACCCGGCTTTTTCAGTTAATCTCAACCCATTTGCAGGCAAATAAGGTGGCTTGACTCCCAATACATCAGGCTTCTTGCTCCTGAAATTATAGTTCGTGGACCAGCAGCACACCCTCCCTTAATGCTCCCCTCTGACAGCCCTTCTCAATCAGAACCAGCGGTACTAGTGGTACAACAATATCCTTAGGGGATCCCTAAAGCACCATTTTAGGGTATTTCCCTGGACACTGAATTCCATGGTAGCTCCCAGGCTACATAGGGAGGATCAGACATTGATCTTGGATTAGATGTGACATTTTTTAAAAACAAATCATTTAATTTTGCTAATGGTCAGAGTCTTTTCTTGGCATCTAAATCCTGCCCCTACCTCACCCCCCTACCAAAGTCCCAATGTTTAATGGGAAAAACCACATAGAGGCACAAGGGAGGTGGGCCCAAGACCTTTGTTCTGTAGGCCCTCACCTTAAGAAAAAGGTGCTATGTTAATATTAATAAATCATAATATGCAAATCACCAAAGGCTGGGCCCGGTGGATCACACCTGTAATCCCAGTACTTTGGGAGGCCGAAGCAGGCAGATCACTTGAGCTCAGGAATTTGAGACCAGCCTGGCCAGCATGGTGGAAAACCCCGTCTCTACTAAAAATACAAAAATTAGCTGGGCTTGGTGGCACTTGCCTATAGTCCCTGCTACTTGGGAAGCTTAGGCAGGAGAATCGTTTGAACCTGGGCAGCAGAGATTGCAGTGAGCGGAGATCACACCACACCACTGCACTCCAGCCTAGGTAACAGAGTGAGACTCCATCTCAAAAAAAAAAAAAAAGAAAAAGGATAGACACCCTAGCCAACATGCTAAATATATTTTCTTATTTTAGAGGATCCATCCTGCGTAGATTTCTTCAACTGGTGTCACCTAGTTCCTCAGCATGGTGTCTGCAACCACAAGTTTTACGGAAAACAATGCTGCAAGTCATGCACAAGGAAGATCTGATCTTGGTGTCCTCCCCAGCACCTTAGGGCCAGGGGCTTACCTTTCAACCTCTAGAGAGACCAGCTGCCTTTGAGACCAGGAGCTGAGCACCGAGAACCATCTGTGAGCTGCCGCTGTGATGAAGGAGCCTGCTCTGAGGAACAGACAGGTTGCCAGTAGGCTTCTAGCTCAATTCCCTGAAGCACGTGGTACTCTGAAGCACTTGAAAATGGGAAGCGATGACAAATCTGACTTTAAAAAAAATCTTTGATTTGCACTGTTATATGCAAGAAGTGGTGAATCACACTGAGATACGTCGATTTGGGGAGAGACCCCCTTTTGAACTTCAAAGGGTTCAAGGGCAAAGACATCTGTTTTAAAAAGGTCCTTTATGACTTCAGGTCAAAGACTGAGACTCAGAACTTTCAAATCTGGATGGAATACCTTGCCTAACTGTTGCGTGGAGTTCACAGTTCGACTAACCCTGTGAACACCCAAGCCAGGAGTTCTATGAGAAGCCAAATGGTGCTCGCAATTGTGCTTGCTGCTGGACTGGCAAGCTTCATGTTATGTTTATTTGGTGTGCGTGTGTCTTTATTATTTTGTGTAAACTATATTCTGCTTATAGAGAGTCTCTGAGACTAAAATTGACAACTTGAAAAGTATTCCAAGGAATATTATGAAAATAGGGCAACATGGACTGTTTAAGATCTCCATGTAATTGAAATTCATGCAAGGAAACAACTCATAGAAAAGATAAATATGGATGCCCTTCACATGTTATCAACCTCGTAACTTTTGGTGCTTGCTGAATCAGTCCATGAAAAGCTACAGCCCGCTCTTTGGGAATGCTACATACCCATTTCTGGTATTTAAAAAATATCTAGGAGGAGCTAAATGACAAAACACAGCAGTGTTTTGAGGGAGAAAGGACCATCATTTATAATGCTCTGTACATACTACCAGAGCTGCTTGGAAAATTAAAGGCCACTTGTGGCTTTTTCCTACCAACTGATACGTTTAAATTTGCCCTAGGATTGAGCTAACAGCAAAAAAAAAAAAAAAAAAAAGAGAGAAAGAAAGGAGTAAACAGTGGTAATAAAAAAATCCATCTGTCTTCTTGCTATGTTAATATTAATAAATCATAATATGACAAGACCCTCACTGAATAAGAGTATTTTCAGTCATCAGAAGCCAGCTGTTGGTAGGCATTAATGAGTTTAAAATTGTTCTCAATTGAAAAAACATCACACTATTTTGCCAAAACCAAAGTAATTATAATACTGTGTCCTCCTGTAATTTTTTGAGAAGTGGTTATAAAGGGCATATTTACATAAATTCTACTTTATTCCTCAACTTCTTTGATGAATGTAACCCAATTTTACTTCTTTAAAAAGTCTCAATTCAAGCTGGATTAGCCAGCTCAGCATAATCAACTAGACAGTGGTTTGTTAAATTTAGCAGCATACTTCGTTCCCATTCTAATTAAAGTCATGAGTTCTTGAATCCCAGAGAAATAATGCTTAGGAACTTCTCTCAATCTGCTTGGCTTGGCCTAGAGAAGTGGCCATTTTATCAACAGGAAAAAAAAAAATTTTCTCTACTACAACCCCGTTGCCTTCTGAAAAACAGCAAGTTATTTCTTTATATAATTATCATTTTATTATTTTATGGAAAATTAATTTATTAATTAATAGCCTATTATGTGTTCTCACTTGCTTCTCTAAGTAATATTTTGAGATAAAATGTTGAATAAAACCATGGATTATAGAGAAAAGTCAAAATATATGTGTAATATTTAATTATTTTATAAGTTTTATAATAAAGTATTCCATTTCTTTATCTTTGACAGCTTGTTAAGTTCTTGAATAAGTTAGTGAAAAGTCCATAATTTCAAAGGTAATTTAACTGTATAAATGTCACTCAGGACTCTTAGAGAATGGTTGGGTGCAGCGGTTCACCTCGGTAATCCCAGCACTTCGGGAGGCCAAGGCAGACGGATCACCTGAGTCCAGGAGTTCGAAACCAGCCTGGCCAACATGGCAAAACCCTGTCTCTATTGAAAATACAAAAAAAGTAGCCAGCTGTGGTGGCACACAGCTGTAGTCCTAGCTACTTGGGAGGCTGAGGCTGCAGTGAGAGGAGATTGGGCCACACCACTCCCCGCTGGGTGACAGACAGAGACTCTGTCTCAACAACAACAAATCTACAGAGTAACTTCATTGAGAAGAGGAAAGATAGATAAGCTATTCAACAACTAGTGATTTTTCTTGTTTGCCTTTGAAGAAATCAAAGTATGAAATGCTAGGATGAAACAGATGACACATTTACCCTCTTGAGGACACACTATTTTGTTCCCCTGTAATTGTCATGAGAACATTTGTGGAAATCATCTAAGATAAAACTACCATAAATGTATTTTTACATTTAAAAGTCATTCTAGTAAAATATTTTTGTAAAAATAAAGAGGGGGAAGGGAAGGATGGGCAGGAAAACATGAAAAAAATAAAAAGTAATTGTTCTTGGCTTTTTGAAATTTTGAATCATTAAACCAGTGGAGAATAAGAACTGGGCAAAGTTATGTCCAATTGATCTGAAAATACTGTATTTTTCCCTGCATCTGTGATTACATGTGTGTCTACATAAGTTCATATGCGTATCTTTATAGTTAAGAGAATTTTTATATAATTTATTGCTATTTAGCAAACAAAAAATTATGATTAAGAATGGAAAATGGAATAGATGCAGATAAAATACGTGACAGAAAAAAAGATATTTTGTTCTTTTTTTGAGACAGAGTTTCACTCTTGTTGCCCAGGCTGGAGTGCAATGATAGGATCTCAACACCCTGCAACCTCCGCCTCCCAGGTTCAAGCGATTTTCCTGCCTCAGCCTCCCAAGTAGCTGGGATTACAGGTGCCCACCACCACGCCCAGAAAAAAAAATTGTCTTTATACCTTTTGGTAATAAGCAACCACATATTAGTGTTTAATGGGAATCAGGTATTGTACTGAACTATTTATATATGTTATCTCATTTAATCCTAACAATAGCCCACTTAGGAAGATACTATTGTTCTTTGTTGGCAGGTGACAACTCGGATTCAGAGACATTACGTATTTAGCCCTAGTACACAGTCACTGAGTGATGGGGTCAGGACTCAAACCCAAATCCATTGGGGTTCTCGTGACTGTGTTGCGTTACCCTGGGATAGAGAAAGAAAAAGAAGGGCATGCAGGCCTTAGAACTCTACTTTTTGCCCCCTGAGATGCATGTGAATGGAGTTTGACAATAAGTGATTTAACAATGATAAATTACGGGCAGAGCTGGGAATTTCATATGGGGAACTGGGGTTGAGAAATAATAAATCCTTACCTAGTCTTTTCAACAAAGTATACTTAAAGACTTGTTGCATATCTAAGTCTTTATCTGTAATAATTGCTTTGCTCTGGGATGATAGTATTTCCTGGGCAATCACACCAGAGTATCTGGAGCCTGCAACTCCAAGTCCATTAAGATGGAGGGAAAGCATGAGCGAGAATTCTCTTGGCATGGGTTCTATATGCTAACGGTAGAAAGACGATACCACACCAGGAAAAAAAAAAAGTTGTCTTTCTTTATAGCTTTTGGTAATAAGCAACCACATATTAGTGTTTAATGGGAATCAGATATTGTAATAAACTATTTATATATGTTATCTCATTTAATCCTCACAATAGCCCAATACACCACAATACCTCACAATACACCAGCATGTATTATGTAAGACATGGTTTATGAAAATTTATAACACAGAACCCATTATTGCTAAGTGTGATGTGGAAAAGGTCATCTAATTATGTGCTATATGGTTTTATCTTTGAAAATGTAAAAATATGCATAAGGATTCCATGCTTTGTCTGTTTTACCTTATCTTTCCCCTAAGATCTTAATTCCTTGAATACCTCTATGGTCTCCACTGGTGCTGAGGGTCAACACCTAAGACGGTTTTCGTCAGTCACCCCTGGATCTGGGTGACTGACACCTTCTTCCTCCTGAGAGGACCACAGACTCCTGAGAGGTGATTCTCAAACTGTTGTCACTCAATTGCTATCATCATGAGTTTTCCCCATAAGCACGTATCACCTCTACCAACTTTTAAATCTATTTAAGTAAAAATATGATTTGCTGTAAAAAATATTTCAGCCAGGCACGGCGGCTCATGCCTATAATCCCAGCACTTTGGGAGGCTGAGGCAGGCCGATCACCTGAGGTCAGGAATTCAAGACCACCCTGGCCAACGTGGTGAAACCCTGTCTCTACTAAAAATACAAAAATCAGCCGGGCTTGGTGGTGGCACCTGTAGTCCCAGATACTCGGGATGTTGAGGCAGGAGAATCACTTGAACCCAGGAGGCAGAGGCTGCAGTGAGCTGAGATCGCATCATTGCACTCCAACCGCGGGGGATAGAGTGAGACTCCATCTGGAAACCATCGTTCTCAGCAAACTAACACAAGAACAGAAAACCAAACACTGCATGTTCTCACTCATAAGTGGGAGTTGCACAATGAGAACACATGGACACAGGGAGGGGAGCATCACACACCAGGGCCTGTCAGGGGGCGGGGGGTGGCTAGGGGAGGGATAACATTAGCAGAAATACCTAATGTAGGTGATGGGTAGGTGGGTGCAGCAAACAACCATGGCATGTGTATGTAACAAAACTGCATGATTTGCACGTGTACCCGAGAGCTTAAAGTATAATTTAAAAAAAAAAAGTAAAAGAAATTATTTTCTCTAAAAAAAGAAATTATTTTAAAATCAACTGTTTTATAACTCCTTTAAACATAGAATCGATAGAACATGGCATAAAGGGTAGCCGCAAAAGCCAAATATTTACATTTGTTAATTTTAATTACAAAATAAAATACAGTCACTACAAATGGTTTACAAAACTCATCTGAAAATAAAAGAATTCCTCAATGACACTAAGTGACCTGTTCATAGTTTCTCAAGAATAGTCAGCTTAATATCACTAAGTTTAGAATAAAGATGGGATGTTATGTAAGATTATCTTGAATCCCAATTCACAATTGCACAGAGAAAAAGCAAATTATGTCCACTTAATTGTGCCTTTGCTGATAGAGCTCGACATTGAGGATCATGATGTAAGTGACATTTGCTCAACCAATTTTTGTAGAAAAGGCTTCAAAAGCAATATCTACAGTGTGTTTCTCTGAATCTGCCCAGCTATTTGTTAGTTTCCACAGTGGCATAGTGCCTTACTCATCTACAACCACCATATTGTTTGAACGTCATGAAGAGATACTTGCAGAGTGTCCTAAGTGTTTCCTTATACTATTATTTTTTTCTTGAGTCAGAATCTTGCTCTGTCATTCAGGCTGGGGTGCAGTGGCACAATCTCGGTTCACTGCAACCTCTGCCTCCCAGGCTCAAGAGATTCTCCTGCCTCAGCCTCCCAAGTAGCTGGGACAACAGGCGTATACCACCATGCCCAGCTAATTTTCTATTTTTAGTAGAGACAGGGTTTCGCCATGTTGGCCAGGCTAGTCTCGAACTCCTGGCCTCAAGCTATCTGCCTGCCTTGGTCTCTCAAAGTGCTGGTATTACAGGTATGAACCACTGTGCTCGGCGCTCTTAAACTTTGTTTAATGAGGGACACAGTCAAGTGTGTAATCAGTTCATTCAATAACAAAAAGTCATTTTTGTAATTGTTGGTTGGTTTTATGAACAAATTAGGTTTAAAAATTGTTCCCAACATTATAATTGGGATTAAAATGAGACACCAATATCTAGGAAAAGGAGATCCTGCATGTCTCTTCTTCCCACCCCTGTTTCATTCAACCCCTGTTCTTCTCTTCTTCACACAGCCTTGGCCTACCCATTAAGGCCATCTCTGCCCCATACAGGTTAGGAGATCGCTTGACATTGTCTCATGTTGCACTGCAATGCCCATGCCACACAATGGAAAATGCTATTCTAGATCAAACCACGTGGTCTTCCTCAACCCTCCATTCTGATGGCAAATAGACTTTTTAAAACTGGTGTGCAGTACAAGGAGTGGTCCATTAACAGTCACAGCACTTGGGGAGATGATCTCTGAAGATGAACCAGAGACATGGGCTGTTCCTCATGGAGACAAGGCCCAGGCCCAGTTCCCCCTTTGTCTCTTCCTATCCCTTCTTTCATGTGGCTGGACTACAGGAAGGAGCGGGCAGCGCCCACTTGGCAGAAGGCCTAGCTCTACTGTTCTTCAGTGTGTCCCTCAGTTCCTGCAGACTCTCCATATCCTAGCAGCTGAGAGTCTCCTCTTCCTAGAAAGGAGGTCTTCTCTCCCCTGTCCCCATGCCTTTTGAAAGCCAAGCTGGCTGCAGAGTAAGATGCAGGACAATGGTTTCTAAGTAACTAGCTGCATCACTATCACCTAAAGTTATTTTATACAAAAACTTTCCAGGTCCCTTTCAAGAAACAGAATTCATTAAGCCTGAGGGTGGGGCCTGGGAATTTATATTTTAAAAGGCACTCAAGTTTTTCTCAAGAATAGCTAGGTTTGGAACCACCGGTCTGAGGCCAAAAAATAAAATAGGAAGTGCTTGGATGTGTTTTCTTAGACAAAGGAGTGCCTGTGGTTGCATGCCATCCCATGCAGCTGTGCAGTGGTTGGGCCAAATTTAGCTAATAATCAAGTGACCCTTTGCCTCTCTCATCTTCTGCATGTACATTTTACCTGCATGTACATTTCACCAGTAAAGTATTAGTTGGTCAAGATAAGAATTCACAGGCAGAGACCCCACGTGCTGGTGATCTTAGTTTATTCTCATTCTCAGGCAAGCCAGGAGCACCTGCACTCACTCAGGTTTGGAGGGTGGGGAGCAGAAACATTGAAAACAATTGACCATTTTTCTCAGTAAAGCACCCACATGCAAGAGCTAGATTACTGTGCTTTAAAAAAATACTTTTTTTAAAAAAAGAGTGTATAATAGAAAAGCTGAAGAAATACCCATTGGAATATGCCTTTCGCAAGCTACTCCCAAGGCTTCATGTGTGAGTGTTTACAGAGAAATGTGCAGTCAAGACAGAATGACAGCTGCTATCCTATTTCCTGCTTGGTCATTAGGTGCCAAGAGGTGAATTAATCATTTTTTAATGGATGGTGCCAACTGTCAACATCCTTATAAATTGCGAGAAATGCATTGGTTGCCTTGACTAAATGAAATGGTAACTTCAGGTTTTGTACAACAGAAAACCAAAAAAACAAAAAAAAACAAAAAAACAAAAAAAAAGTTATATAGGGAAAAGCCACTAGAATGATGTTTTTGGCCCAGCTCAAGAAGTTAGGTTCATTGTTTGTGCTTTACTTGGCCTCTGATTTCTGTTTAATGGCTAATTTTATTAATTCACAGTCTTTGTATTTTTTAAGATTGATTCCAGATATTTAAATATTAACGTGTTGTTTATGTATATATCCACATAGTCTGAAACCAATAAAGAAATAACTGTTATTGTTTTCAGCAAATTTCTTTCTTTGTTATGATGCCCATATTGTGAGGGCTTTTATTACTCACAGCTAGGCCTGCTGAGAAGATAGACATTTCACATTTTCTTAGACGTTATATTTGTTTTAGTGCTATAAGTCCCTCTGACATGCAGAGTCACCCTTTCATAGTTTGGTCTGCCTTAACTAATGTTTTTCTTGCATTTTTGCTAACTAAAATGCATTTATTCTTTTGACGAGTATGTATTGAGTGTCAACTGCAATGTGAGCTCCAAGCACAGAAAAATATCTTGTTCCTGACCCAAATGGACTTTACTTAAAAATACAGAAGGCAATGTTACAAGGTCATATAGTCCTAATATTAAAAACAAAAACAAAAACAAAAAGAACCTCACTTTTACATTGATCCGGTTAGCATTTGAAAATGCTTGTTTCAGTCTGTAATTGTGAATATCATATATGCACAGCAGGATCATGCAAAAGTGTTTTTAACCTCCTCCACAATAATAGTATCACAAAATTATGGCATTAAGCAGAAAGGAGTCCACTTGAAAACTGATAGAAATGAAGAACTGGAAGAGAATTTAGAGCTCATTTATCTCCCCCATTTCACAGGTATAGAAACTGACACCCAAATATCTTACAGCCTTTCCTAAGATTACTCAGTGATTTAAAAGTTAGGTCAATTAAGGGACAATTTTTAGGTAAGCATACTTTTTGCTGTATTATAAAAATATTGATTTTTGCCTGACAGGTAGATATTTTTGTTGAGCTTAAGGACAAGTTTGATGAGTAGTGAGTTTAAAATAAAAGCCTAGTAAGAAACATTTCTTAATTCATATATGTGATATTATCTGAAGTTCCCTTTCCCCCCAAAAAAATGCTCTGCTACCATAAAAAACACAAGAATATTGTCATCCTCCCTCTGTGTAGGGAAAAGGTGACATTATGAAATCTATCATCCTCCCTCTGTGTAGGGAAAAGGTGACATTATGAAATCTATCATCCTCCCTCTGTGTAGGGAAAAGGTGACATTATGAAATTATCCATTTTTAAAACTATCTGACCCATTCCCTTTCCAAAAGTCAAATATCTTCAGGGAACTGAACTATTGCTTACTCTGCTTTGAACCATGAATTAAGAATAACGTTGAATGCTGCGAACTTTATACTAAAACCACTAGACACTCAATGGGTGAATTTTATGGTATGTAAGTTATATCTCAATAAAACTGTTTAAATAAAAAGAATATGCTTGCAATGAGGACTATCTATTCTCACACCTATTGTTGTTGTGATGTCAATGACAGGGTCCTCAAAGGAGCAAGCCTGTTTCTGTGGACAAGAGTTCAAGATTCTGAACTCAGGTTACATAAAACAGTCGCAGTGATGGGGCTCTGCCATTGGCATTACACGTGACTTGTTCAACCTACTTTTAAGAGTTTGGCAGGAGCAGCAACATCTGTTTTTGCAGTCATCTCTATCCCAAGAGGGAAAAATATCCATGATAAGGCTAGGGTTGGAGAGGGCAGAAGGTAGGAAAAACTAATTTGGTATTATCCCCTTCTTTCTATCCTACTGGTTAATAGGAAAAAATACTTAGAGGAAAGAATTGTGGACACACTGTTCTTTCATGTCTTGTGGATTTTATGAAATATTTTTTAAAATCTGCTTTAAGAATCATCTGATGAAGTTTTAATGTTTTGCTTATTTTCAGAAAATTTTCCTAGGACTTGTCTGTTAAACCAAGAATAACAATGTATTAAGATGTTAGAGTTCCCAAAGACTAGCAACAGAAGTAGGCAGAACAGAAAGAAGCAATGATGATATAATGATAACAACTGACATCAATGCTCATCTGCTATGAGCAAGGGATATACTTTGTATTTTCCACATATTAATCTGAATTTTTGTAATTATCTGCATCTTAAGACATGAAATAATTACTGACTCTCCTAATTATGCACGTGAACCAAGACTCACAGACATTTCATACAATGGCACGGGATTCGTAAAGAGCCTATTATGTTGACTAAGAGCAAGGCATTTGCATCCCTACGAACCTCAAGTTCATATCCTGAGTTCCCCCAAAGAATCCATCTGGTCAACAGCAATGCCATTTCATTTATTTGAGCCTTAATTTCTTCATTTAGGAATAGGCATTTAATCATTTATTCAATGAAAGTTAGCGCCATTTATACTGGATTCTACAAAGTTTAATAGATATACACAAGTTTTCTGCCCTCACTGGGCTCATGACTCACAGATGTGGACCATCACTAACCAAGGAATCCTACAAAATTACAACCAAGAGAAGCCTAAGCAGAAAAGATGTATGATTGCAGCAGAAGCTACATGGTGCTCTCAACGTATCTGCTTGGTTCACTTAGCCATTTTCTTGCATCAGCCTGTGGTGTAATTCTACTCCCAAAGCTAGCACCTGCATTTCTTCTTCCATGGGCAGGCTCACACTGCCAGCACTCACTTTGGCTGCAAGCACAGAAAACCACAAGTGCGTGGAAATTTACTCTCCCATCCAGCTGGGTGCAGGCTTGCAACCAATGTGTCATTCATTCGTTGGCAATTGACCTAGTCAGGAGTAACTTTAGTAACCAGAATTGTTTTGAATTTTTTATAAGGTTTTGTTTTCTAAAGGGATGTAGCTGGTACCTAGTAATACTCAACAAATGGTAACTATAAAATGACAAGAGAAAGGAAGACAGTTACTGAAGAAGGCAACAGATGCTCTAGCAACAACAAAGGATATTTTGAGGGTAAAAGAAGGGTTTATGCACAGGGGTAGAGAAGACTTCTTAACATTGGTAAGAATAGTATTTTTGATATGACCCCCAAAGCACAGGCAACAAAAGCAAAAATAGACATGGGGGGTTGTATCCAACTTAAGAGCTTCTTCACAAATGAAATAGTCAATAGAATAAAAAAGTCAACCTAAAGAATGACAGAAAATATCTGTGAATCATCTATCTGCTAAGGGGTTAATATCCAAAATATATAAGGAACTCATATAACTCAATAGAAAAAAAAGAAATCAACACTTATAATTTAATTTTAAAATGTGCACAGGACCTGAATAGACATTTCTCAAAAGAAGATATACAAATGGCTAACAGGTATGTAAAAATGTGATCAACATCACCAATTATCAGGGAAACACAAACCCACAATGAGGGTTTGATACCTCATACCTATTAGAATGGCTGTGAAAAAGACAAAACAGTAAGTGTTAGGATATGGAGAAAAGGAATCCTTGTACACTATTGATTAAAAGGTAAAGTAATACAACCATCATAGAAAACGATATACAGGTTCTTCAAAAAACTAAAAATAGAATTAAATATTTGATCCAGCAATCCCACTTCTGTGCATATATCCAAAGGAAATGGAATCAGTATGTTGAAGAGATATCTGCATTCCAGTATTCATTGCAGCATTATTCACAAAGCAAAGTTATAGAAGCAAACTAAGTGGCCATTGATGGATGCATGGATAAAGAAAATGTGTTTATATATACCATGGAATATTCTTTACTCCTAAAGAAATCGTGCTATTTGTGACAGCATGGATGAACCTAGAAGACATTGTGCTAAGTAAAATAAGCCAGATAGAGAAAGGCAAATACTGCATGCTCTCACTTATGTATAAAATCTAAAGTACTCGGATACATAGAAGCAAAGAGTAAAATGGTTGGGGTGAGGGACAAGGGGAAATTGGGAGATGTTAGTCGAAGTATCCAAAGTTTCAGTTATAAGATGAAGTTATAAGTTCCGGAGATCTAGCATACAACATGGTGATCAAGTCTACAGTTTATGTTATAGACTTGAAATTTGCTAAGAGGGCAGATCTTAAATATTTTCACCACATAAAAGAAGAAAAGGAAAAAAAGAAAGGGAAGGAGGGAGGGAAAAAGGTAGGAAAGAAGAAAAGAAAAAGGGAAGAGAGAGGTAACTAGATGGGTGATGGATATGTTATTAGCTTAATTGTGCTGATCATTTCACAGTGTATACATACATCAAGAAGTCAAGTCATACATGTTAAATATATACAATTCCTATTTGTCAATGATACCTCAATAAAGCTGAGAAAGAAAGAATTTTATGGTTTTGAAGTTTTGCAGGAAATAACGATAAGCAGGTTGATTCGTGGATGAGATTTTGTGAGGCCTTGGATCATCGAACCTCAGCTGCCAACCTCTTGGCACAGGTGCATGGCTGAGGTCCTCAAAGGACTGAGAGCTGGCAGCCTGAGGAGTGGTCAGCTGCCAACCCTTTCCTCTCTGCCGAGTGGGAAGAAGTTGGTTCCTGTGCAACCATTAATTAAATCCTGAATGGGTGGGCACTTTTAACGTCTTTTCCAGTGTCACGGTCTTGCTAGCAGAGTTCATAACTGAACTGCAGCCAACCTCAGTCAGGGAACAGGAAACAAAATGTGGCTAGGGCCAAAGTACTTGTTCTCCATCCAAATGTAGTCACCCAGGTAGAGGTCTCAGTTGGAGGTCAGCCTGTAATTCTCAATGGATCCATTGTTTCCACCCATCTCCCCTCTGCAATGTCCGGAAGACATGAAATAGGATTTGGGGCAAGATTAATATGCTGCTTTACTATATTGTCTCTCTGGAAGGCACACTTTGGGTATTGTTTGCTAGCACAAAGAGTCTTTCAGAGTCGCCTTGTAAAGGATTGCTTTTTGGAAGATTATATTTGAGAGTTAGGTGTCTCAGTATCAACAGGATAAAGTGGCAGGGAGATTTAGCAGTGATCTAGATAATCTTATCAACCCAGATAATTCAGACTTTGGTTTTACTGCCTTCAAATGCAGTAGCCAAATAATCACCAGCTAGCTTAATTCCTTTCCACACAAAAAAAGAGGGCTGACACTTACTAAGCCCCAATTATGGGCCCAGATACTCTCCTAGGCACTTTATCTGTACTCTTTCCTTTAATTCTCATATCAAATCCCTTATTATAATTTCCTCCCTTTTAAGTAGGAGGAAAATGAAGTTCAGTAAAGTTAAATAATTCACTTAAAATCACACAGAAAATAAATGATGTAACTAGGTTTAGAATTTAGTTTTTCAGGCTAAAGTAAAGGTCTTTCTACTTAGAAAGGAAGTAGAAGAAGCCAACTTTTAAAATAACAAGTCAATAATATGATCTATTTAGATATTGTCTGTGGCTGCTACTTACTATTTGATGGTAGAAGCTTCCTGCAAACCTACTCCTAAACAGATAAAGTTTAGCTAAAACATGGGGGGGGGGAAGAAACCTACCTAAAAATTCTAGAAAGTAAATATAAGCAGAAATGTTGAGAAAAGTCAAGTGTGGAGAAGTAAAGTGCAAAAAGTTTTCTTTCTTCTCTCTTTTCTTTTTTCTTATTTATGGCTTTATCTTGAGGGCAGTTTATACACACAGCACAGCATCTGGATGAGAGGGGCTAGAATCCCCATAGAATTTCTGGATGAAAGAACTAAGGAAAGGAACCCCAAATATCAGGTCAGGCTCCCAGATAAAAAGGGAGGAATCCCACCTAAATGGGCGATGTAAAAAAAGGGCATTTCCTAATCCTGAATATGAATTTCGTATAAATCTCTGACCTGGAGAACACCATGCATGTGTGGGAAAACTCAAAGCATCACAGCAAAGCCTTAAAGAATTAAATTGAAATTTGAACTAATAACCACAGTAAATGAAACAGAGCTTATACTTTGGGTCTGATCTAATGAATTATCTGCTAAAATAAAATCATTGTTCCTCAGAGGAATGTAACAGAACCCAGAGGCCTTCACATTATAACAGTATGCCCAGGATCCAATCCAAAATTACTCAACAAAGAACTGACTAATATGAATCATTTCTATAGGAAAAGATGATCAACATATGCCAACCCCAAAATGACCCAGATGGTAGGAGAATCCATGTGTTTAAAGTTACATAAGAACTTTAGAGCAGATCATAGAACCATCCTTGATAATAACAAGAATGCGTTCAAAATGAAAAAAGGATAGAAATATTATCAGGGAAATATAAAATATAAAGAACCAAATGAATATTTTAGAATTGAAAAATATTAACAATAAAAATTTACTGCCTGAGTTTAATGAAATAATAGATATGACAAACGAAAGAAACAGTGAACTTGAAGATAGATTAATAGAACATATCCAATCTGTAGACAGAAAGATAAATGATTTAAAAAAACAAGGAGCTGGGATAATGGTGGGGTAAGGACCTCCAAAAATCACTCCCTCCATAAAAGCAATGAGTGGGGAGGGGCCAAGATGGACGAGTAGAAGCAGCTGCGGGCTGTGGCTCTCCCTGAGAGGAAGGAAAATGTCAAATAAATTCTCCACCTTCACCTGAGGTATCCAGGTTCTGGCATTGGGACTGAATAGGCAGTTGGTACCACCCACAGACAGTGAGGAAAAGTAAGGTGGGGTGACAGCCCACCTGGGGGTGGCATAGGGTAAGGGGAGATCTCCCTCCCCCAGCTAAAGGAGGCAGTGAGTGAGTGTGCTACCCCACCTGGGAAAGCACACATTTCCCATGCATCTTTGCAACTCGTTGATCAGGAGATCCCCTCCTGAGCCCATGCCACCAGGGCCTTGGGTCCCAAACACAGAGCTGTGCAGACTCTCAGTGGCTGCTCGGGCAGCCAATGAGACAGGGGAGTTGTTTTGGATACTCCAGCCCTGGGACTTCTGGTGAGGCAAGAAGGCAGCTGAAGCCAGGGAGCCAAGTGGCATCATTCAACAGGCCCTGCTCCCACAGAACCTTACCAGCTAAGATCCACTGGCTTGGAATCCCTGGCTGGCCAGTAGCAGCAGGCTGGAGACTGCCTAAGATAACCAATTTCCAGGGGGAGGGGTGGCTGCCATCTCTGCAGCTCCAGTCAACTGTTTTCCCCCACCGGTGCCAAGGAAACTGGGTGGTTTGGATGGAGAGGAATTCCCCACAGTGCAGCACAGTGGCTGTGCCAGATTTGGCCAGACTGCTACTTTAAGTGGGACCCTGATCCATCCCTCATCATCAGGAGGGGCTTCCCCACCAGAATTTCAGCAACTCCAGCCAGGGATTCATGGACAGATCTTTGATCTCCCTGGGACAGAGCCCCTATTCAGAGGAATGGCTGCAATCTTCGTGGTTCAGCCTATTTAATCTTTCCTGCCAGCTGGCTCTGGAGAGTCTGGACAGCACAGAGCACCCACTCTGCCAAGGGGCAGCAAGACTGCTTCTTTAAGTGGGTCCCTGATCTCATTTCTCCTGTCTGGGTGAGACCTCCCAACAGGGGTCTCCAGATACCTCATACAGGAACGTTCCAGCCAGCATCAGGTAGGTGCGCATATGGGACAGAGCTCCCAGAGGAAGGAGCAGGTGGCCATCTTTGCTGTTTTGTAGCCTCCACTGGTGATACCTCCAGGTGTGGGAGGGCCCCAGGTGAATAGGGTCTGGAGTGAACCCCCAGCAAACTGCAGGAGCTCTACACAAGAGGAGCCTGAATGTTAGAAGAAAAAACAAAGCAACAAAACAAAACATCAACAAAAAAAGACCTCACAAAAAAACCCATCCAAAGGCCAGCAGGCCTCACAGATTGAAGGTAGATAAGCCCACAAAGATGAGGAAAAAAATCAACACAAAAATGCTGAAAACTCAAAAAGCCAGAGTGCCTCTTCTCCTCCAAATGATCGCAACACCTCTCCAGCAAGGACACAGAACTGGGCTGAGACTGGGGTGGATTAATTGACAGAAGCAGGCTTCAGAAGGTGGGTAATAGTGAACTTCACTAAGCTAAAGGAGCATGTTCTAACCCAATGCAAAGAAGCTAAGAACCATGATAAAACATTACAGGAGCCGATAACCAGAATAAACAGTTTATGGAAGAAAATAAATGCCCTGATAGAGTTGAAAAAACACAACATGAGAACTTTGCAATGCAATCACAAGTGTCAAGAACCAAATAGAACAAGCAGAAGAAAGAATCTCAGAGCTTCAAGACTATTTTCCTGAAAAAAAACAGGCACACAACATTAGAGAAAAAGGAATGAAAAGGAATGAACAAAACCTTTGAGAAATGTGAGGTTATGTAAAAAGACCAAACCTACGACTGACTGGGGTACCTGAAAGAGATGGGAAAAACAGAACCAACTTAGAAAATATACCATCCAGGAGGACTTCCCCAACCTAAAAAGACAGGCCCACACTCAAATTCAGGAAATCCAGAGAACCCCAGTATAATATTCCCTGAGAAAATCAACCCCAAGACATATAATCATCAGATTCTCTAAGGTTGAAATGGAAGAAAAAATGTTAAGGGCAGCCAGAGAGAAAGGCCAGGTAACCTACAAAGGGAAGTCCATTAGACTAATAGCAGACCTCTCAGCAGAAATCCTTCAAGCCAGAAGAGATTGGGGGCCAATATTCAACATTCTTCAAAGAATTTCCAACCAAGAATTTCATATCTGGACAAACTAAGCTTCATAAGCAAAGGAGAAATAAAATACTTTTCAGGCAAGCAAATGCTGAGGGAATGCATCACCACCAGGCCTGCCTTGCAAGAGCTCCTTAAGGAAGCACTAAATATAGAAAGGAAAAACCATTACCAGCCACTACAAAAACACACTGAAGTTCACAGACCAATGACACCATGAAGCAACTACATAAACATGTCTGCAAAATAACCAGCTAGCATCATGATGACAGAATCAAATTCACACATAACAATATTAACTTTAAATATAAATGGCCTAAATGTTCCAATTAAAAGACACAGAATGGCAGGCTGGATAAAGACCCACCAGTGTGCCATATTCAAGAGACCCATCTTACGTGCAAAGACACACATAGGCTCAAAATAAAGGGATGAAGGAAAATTTACCAAGCAAATGGAAAACAGAAAACAGTAGGGTTTGCAATCCTAGTTGCTGACAAAAGACTTTAAACAAAAAAAAAATCAAAAACGACAAATACATTTATTACTAATCATAAAGAGATCAATTCAACAAGAAGTGCTAACTATCCTAAATGTAAATGCACCCAACACAGGAGAATCCAGATTCATAAAACAAGTTTTTAGAGACCTACAAATAGACTCCCACACAATAATAGTAGAAGAACACCCTACTGTCAATTTTAGACCGATCACTGAGACAAAATTAACTAAGATATTCAGGACCTAAACTCAGCTCTGGATCAAGTGGACCTGATAGGTATCTACAGAACTCTCCACCTAAAAACAACGGAATATACATTCTTCTCAGGCCACATGGCACTTACTTTAAAATTGATCACTTAATTGGAAGTAAAACACTCCTCAGCAAATGCAAAAGAACTGAAATTATAACAGTTTCTCAGACCAGCGCAATCAAATTAGAACTCAAGATTAAGAAACTCACTCAAAACCACACTACTACATGGAAATTGAACAGCCTGCTCCTGAATGACTCCTGGGTAAATAATGAAATTAAAGCAGAAATCAAGAAGTTCTTTGAAACTAATGAGAACAAAAAGACAACATACCAAAATCTCTGGGAAGCAGCTAAAACTATGTTAAGCGGGAAACTTACAGCACTAATTGCCCACATCAAAAAGCTAGAAAGATCTCAAATTAACACTTAACATCACAGCTAAAAGAACTACAGAACCAAAAGCAAACAAACCCCAAAGCTTGCAGAAGACAAGAAATAACCAAGATCAGAACAGAATGGAAGGAGATAAAGACAAAAAAAAAAACCTTCAAAAAAATAAATAAATAAACGCATCCAGGAGCCGGTTTTTTTTTTTTTTTTTAAAAATTAATAAAATAGATAGACCACAAGCTGACTAATAACAAGAAAAGAGAAAAGAGTTAAATAGACACAATCAGAAATGATAAAGAGGATATCACCACTGACCCCACAGAAATACAAACAACCATCAGAAAATACTATAAACACCTCTATGCAAATAAACTAGAAAATCTAAAATGAACTGATAAATTCCTGGATACATACACCCTCCCAAGACTGAACCAGGAAGAAGTTGAATCCCTGAATAGACCAATAACGAGTTCTGAAATTAAGACAGTAATAAATAGTCTACTAAGCAAAAAAAAGCCTAGGACCAACAGATTTACAACTGAATTCTACCAGAGGTACAAAGAGGAGCTGGTAGCATTTCTTCTGAAACTATTCAAACAATTGAAAAGAAGGGACTCCTCCCTAATTCACTTTATGAGGCTGGCATCATCCTGATACTAAAACAGGGCAGAGATAAAACAACAAAAAAAGAGAACTTCAGGCCAATATCCCTCATGAACATTGATGTAAAAATCCTCAATAAAATACTGGCAAACCAAATCCAGTAGCACATCAAAAAGCTTATCCACCGTAATCAAGTCAGCTTAATCCCTGGGATGCAAGGTTGGTTCAACACATGCAAATCAATAAATGTAATTCATCACATAAACAGAACTAAAGACAAAAACCACGATTAACTCAATAGATGCACAAAAGGGCTTTGATAAAATTCAACCTCCCTTAATGTTAAAAACTCTCAAACTAGGTATTGAAGGAATATAACTCAAAATAATAAGAGCCACTTACGATAAACCCACAGCCAATATCATACTGAATGGGCAAAGGCTGGAAACATTCCCTTTGAAAACCAACACGCAACAAGAATGCCCTCTCTCACCAATCCTACTCAAAACAGTATTAGAAATTCTGGCCATGAGACAAGAGAAAGAAATAAGGGGTATTAAAATAGGAATAGAGAAAGTCAAATTGTCTTTGTTTGCAGATGACATGATCCTTTATGTAGAAAACCTTATCGTCTCAGCCCAAAAGCTTAAGCTGATAAGCAACTTCATCAAATCTAAGGATACAAAATCAGTGTCCAAAAATCACAAGCATTCCTATATACCAACAACAGACAAGCAGTGAGCCAAATCATGAATGAACTCCCACTCACAATTGCTACAAAGAGAATAAAATACACAGGATTACAGCTAACAAGAGAAGTAAAGGACCGCTTCAAGGAGAACTATTGCTGAAGGAAATCAGCGAGGACACAAACAAATAGAAAAACATTCCATGCTCATGGATAGGAAGAATCAGTATTGTGAAAATGGCCACAATGCCCAAAGTAATTTATAGATGCAATGCTATTTCCATTCAAACTACCATTGATATTCTTCACAGAATTAGAAAAAAACTATTTCAAAATTCATATGGGACCAAAATAGACCCTGTGTAACCAAGACAATCATAAGTAAAAAGAGCAAAGCTGGAGGCGTCATGCTACCCAACTTCAAACCATACTGTAAGGCTATAGTAACCAAAACAACGTGGTACTGGTACAAAAACAGACACATAGACAAATGAAACAGATTAGAGAACTCAGAAATAAGACTGCACATCTACAACCATCTGATCTTCAACAAACCTGACAAAAGCAAGCAATGAGGAAAATATTCCCTATTTAATAAATATTTAATAACTGGCTAGCCATATCCAGAAAATTGAAAGTGGACCCCTTCCTTACACCTTATACAAAAATTAACTCAAGATGGATTAAGGAATTAAATGTAAAACCCAAAACTATAAAAATCCTAGAAAAAATCCAGGCAATAAATAGACACAGGACATAGGCACGGGCAAAGATTTCATGAGAAAAATGCCAAAAGCAATTGCAACAAAAGCAAAAATTGACAAATAGGATCCAATTAAAGAGCTACTGCACAGCAAAAGAAACTATCATCAGAGTGAACAGATGACCTACAGAATGGGAGAAAATTTTTGCAATCTATCCATCTGACAAAGGTCTAATATCCAGAATCTACAAGAAACTTGAATTTACAAGAAAACAACCCCATTAAAAACTAGCCAAAGGACATGAACAGACACTTCTCAAAAGAAGTCATTTACACAGCCAACAAACACATGAAAAAAGCTCAACATCACTGACTATTAAAGAAACACAAATCAAAACCACAATGCGATAACATCTCACACAGTCAGAATGGCAATTATTTAAAAATCAAGGAACAACAGATGCTGGCATGGCTGTGAAGAAATAGGAATGCTTTTACACTGTTGGTGGGAACATAAATTAATTCAGTCATTGTGAAAGACTGTGGCAATTCCTCAAAGGTCTAGAATCAGAAATGCCATTTGACCCAGCAATCCCATTACTGGGTATATACCCAAAGGAATAAAAATCATTCTATTATAAACATACATGCATGCATATGTTCACTGCAGCACTATTCACAATAGCAATGTTATGGAATTAACCCAAATGCCCATCAATGATAGACTAGATAAAGAAAATGTGGTATGTATACACCATGGAATACTATGCAGCCATAAAAAGGAATGAAATAATGTCATTTGCAGGGACATGGATGGACCTGGAAGCCATTAACCTCAGCAAACTAACACAGGAACAGAAAACCAAACACCGCATGTTCTCACTTATAAATGGGAGCTGAACGATGAGAACACATGGACACTGGGAGAGGAACAACACACACTGGGGCCTGTGTGGGGGTGGGGAGGAGGGAGGGAGAGCATCAGGAGAAATAGCTAATGCATGTTGGGCTTAATACCTAGGTGATGGGTTGATAGGTGCAGCAAACCACCATGGCATGTGTTTACCTTTGTAACAAACCTGCACATCCTGCACATGTATCCCAGAACTTAATATTTCAAAAATTTTTAAAAAGCAAAGAGAACATTGGAAAAAAAATGGAATCAATCTTTTCAGAACTCAAAATTAACCAAAGACTTGCAGCAATCCAGTGGCCATTTTGTTCAAGAACAATAGCTGAATATTTTTAAGAACAGTGAGTTCTGTAGCGTTTGACTTGTTCTATTCCTACTTTTCTCTCCCCAGCAACACGGTAGCCTTGAAAACCAAGAGTCTGCAATCATAATGAAAACCAACAACCTGGTCACTGGAGGGAACAGAATGGCACTGGGGATCCTTCCAAGCACAATTCTCAGAATTGTTATCTTTTGACCTGTCTAGGGTGCCTTGGAAAACCCCATTCACAAGACTTGTCTCTAATTGACCTGACTCAGATCATTCAATGCAGACTTTTTCTTGGAGACACTTGTAAAAAAAAAAAAACAATCATTAGCAATTAGTTAACACTGTGGCTGCCTGAGATGTTGGATAACATTTGGGGAAAACGATTGGCTAATCAAAAGTCTTAAAAGAAAATTTATGAGGAATGAGAGGTCCATAGGAGCTTTGAAAAGTTCTAACATATTCCTGGAATTCAAGAAGGCCATGTACACGTGTAGGGCTGAGCACATGCCCACAGCTGCACATGTTCAGGAAATACCTAAAAATCCATACCTAGACTGACATGGAGGCTCTGCATAGGCAGCAAGCAAAGGCTAAGGCAGAGTTGTAAACTGCCTTGCTGAGTACGGAAAGCATACTGCAACATGAAAACAGAGCTCTTGGCAAAAACAGATATTTGTATTTATTGTTTACATGCATTTAAGAAAATCTCTGTCGAAACATTATCTGACCACTAAACAGTGCAGAGACTTCAGTGGCCACACATGAGAAAAAATACAGTCTTACAGAGTTAGTTCAGAAAAGTTATTAAAGCAAATACCAAGAGCAACAAAAACAAATAGGAAGAGCAGAAAAACAAACCATGGAAAGTGGGAGAAATATGATTTTCAGACTGCCATACTATATTTTTTAAGTTGTAAAGTTTCCAATGACAGCAACAACAAAATACAAAACATTTAAAGAGCAAAAAAATATAGTTGTTGCACTGGGGAAAAAAAAGAATAAAAATTGTTCATGTGCACATATTGAGCTTAGTAAAAAAAGTCTTTAAATCGGCAATTTCAAGTATTTCAAAAATGAAAAAAATTATATCAATAAACAAAAGTATGAGAACTATAGTAAAATATGAGAATGATGTCTCACCAAATAAAGAGATCACAATTATTTAAAAATAGAAATAAAAATTCTAGAGTTTAAAAAGTCCAATAAAAATTTACTAGAAAGACTAGATAGCAGAGTTGATCAGGCAGGATAAGAATCAGCAAACTTCAGTTGAACATAAATCAACTGAAATTATTTAGTCTGAGAACAGAAAGAAAAAAGAAAAAAAATTAACAGAGCCTCAGAGACTTATGGGATACCGTCAAGCATACCAATGAACCCATAATGGAAATCCCAGATGGACAGGAGAAAAAAAGAAAGAATATTTAAACAAATGATAGCTGAAAACTCTCCAAATTTGGTTTAGAAAAGTAATTTACACCTTCAAGAATCTCAATGAACTCCAGGTAGGAAAAACATCTATATACTTAATAATAACATTTCATAGTTAAAGCCAAACATAGGATCTTAAAAACAGCAAAAAGGAAGTAACTCGTCACATACAAGTGATCTTGAATAAGATGAATAGCTGATTTCTCTCTAGGAGTTATAGATTTCAGAAGGCAGTATGAAGGCATATTCAAAGTCCTGAAAGAAAAGACTGTCAACCAAAAGTCTACACCCAGAAAGACTATTCATCAATAATAAAGGAGAAATTAAGGCACTCACAAATAATAAAAAACAAACATATTTTGTCACTAGCAGACCTATTCAACATGAAATATTAAAGGAAGTACTTTAGGCTAAAATGAAAGGACACTAGATAGTAACCCCAACTCTTAAGAAGAAGAGTGCCATAGAAACATATAGGCAAATGCAGAAGACTACTACACACTTTTGAAGTTAAACTGATATAAATCCAGACTAGATTGTTAAGATCTTAATTACAATCTCCAAACCCCTAAGAAAATTATTCATAAAATATAGTGAAAGAAATTACAGGAGAAATAAAATGGCACACTAGAAAATATATGTTAAACACAAAAGGAGGAATTAATAGAGGAATAGAGGAATACAATAATACATAAGCTACACAAAAAATAAACAGCAAAAAAGGCAGCTATAAATCATACCTAATAATTACATTAAATATAAATTGATTAAATAGCCAAGTAAAAGGAGAGATTGGCTGAATAGATTTAAAAAAATAATGCAACTACAAGCTGTCTACAAGAGACACATTTTAGATTCAAAGATACAAATAAGTTGAAATTAAGAGGGTAGGAAAAATATTCAAAGGGTAACAAATGAGAGTTGGAGTGGCTGTACTAAAATTAAATAAACAGACTTTAAGAACAAAAAATGTTACTAGACACAAAGAACATTTTTTAATAATAATGGATATGTCCACCAACAAGATATGAACACTGAAATCGTACAGAGTATGTTCTCTTACAAAAATGTATTACATTAAGGTAGAGAACCATAAGATATCTATGAAAATCCCAAATATTTAATAATTAAGCAACACAATTCTAAATAATACTGGTCAAAGAACAAACCACACGAAACATTAAAACACATTTTGTGTTGAGTTGCATTGCTAAACCAATGCTTAAAAGGAAACCAATGGCATTGAATGTTCATATCAAAAAGAAGAAAGGTATAAAATCATAAACCAGAGATTACATTCTGGGAAGCTAGATGAAAGAGAACAAAGTGATCCTACAGTACAAGCCATGAATACAGTATGAAATAAAAAGCAGAAATCAACAAAATAGAAAACAAGTAATTAAGAAAATTTAAAAAGCCAAAATCTAGTTATATTAAACAACAAAACTAACAACCCCCCTAGACAAGCTGATTAAGAAACAAAAGAGAAACACGAATCACAACTGGCAGAACTAAAAGGAGGGATTATCACTACAGATGCTAAAGAACACTGAAGGATAATAAGGTCATATTTTTGACCGACTTTACTCCAAAAACCCAATAACCTAGATAAAATTTCTAAATTCCTTGAAAAACACAACCTACCAAAATTATCACAAATAGCCTTTATCTTTTAAACTGATTTAATTTATTAGCAAAAGCCTTCCCACAAAGAAAACTTGAGGCCCAAGGAGTTTTACTGGTGAATTCTAGCAAACTTTCAAGGAAGAAATAACACTAATAGTACACATTTTAAAAAAATAGAAGAGGCTGAGACATTGACCAATTTGTTTGAGGAAACTTACAGCAATAAACACCTATGTCAAAAAAGCAAGAAAGATCTCAAACAACCTAGTACCTCAGATGAACTAGAAAAACAAATTAAGCTCAAAATTAGAAGAAATAAATCAATAAAATTAGAACAAATAAATGGAGACTAGAAAAATAATTTAAAAATTAACTAAGAGTTAGATTTTTGAAAAGATAAAATCAGCAAACCTTTAACTAGACTGCTTTAATAAAAGAGATGACTCAATACATACAATCAGAAGTGAAATAGGAAACATTACAAGTGATACCACAAAAATACAAAAGACTGTAAGAGATTACTGTGAACAACTGTATGCCAATCAACTGGACAGCCTAAAAGAAATGGATAAATTACCAGACACAAGTAACCTAGCAAGACTGAATAATGAAGAAACATAAAATCTGAACAAATCAATAATGAAGAAAAAGATTTAATCAGTAATAAAAAGTCTTCCATCAAAGAAAAGCCTAGGACATGATGACTTTACAGGTGAATTCTACCAAACATTTAAAGGAAAACTAACACTACTCTTTCTGAAATTCTTTCAAAAAATTGAAGAGGAAGAAATACAGGTTGTGTGTCCCTTATCTAAAGTGTTTGGAGGCCGGGCACAGTGGCTCACTCCTGTAATCCCAGCGCTTGGGGAAGCTGAGGCAGGTGGATCGCCTGAGGCCAGGAGTTCAGGACCAGCCTGGCCAACATGGTGAAACCCTGTCTCTACTAAAAATACAAAAATGAGCCAGACATGGTGGTGTGTGCCTGTAATCCCAGCTACTCGGCAGGCTGAGGCAGGAGAATGTCTTGAACCCGGGAGGCAGAGGTTGCAGTGAGCCAAGATCATGCCACTGCACTCCAGCCTGGGCGATAGAGTGAGACTCTGTCTAAAAATAAAATAAAATAAAATGTTTGGGACCAGTAGTATTTCAGATTTTAGTTTAAGAATTTGGAATATTTGCATTATACTTAGCAGTTGAGCACCCCAAATCAGAAAATTCAAAATTTATAATGTTCCAATAAGCATTCTTAGAGCATCATATTGGCGCTCAAAAAGTTTCAGATTTTGGGGCACTCAACCTGCACTTTAAAACTCATAGTACAATACCAGCATTACCCTGATACCAAAGCCAGACAAGGACATTACAAGAAAATGATAGGCCAAAATCCATGATGAACATAGATGCAAAAATTCTCAACAAAATACTAGTAAACTAAATTCAACATCATGCTAAAAAGATCATTCACCATGATCAAATGGAACTTATCCCAGGGTTGCAAGGATGGTTTAACGTACATGAATCAACAAACATGATATGTCACATTAAGAGAATCAAGGACAAACATAGTAAGTCACATTAATAGAATCAAGGACAAACACCATATGATAATTTCAATAGATGCAGAAAATGCATTTAATAAAATTCTTCTGCTGAGCAGTTGTATTACTCTGTTCTCATGCCGCTATGAAGAAATACCCAAGACTGGGTAACTTATAAAGGAGAGAGGTTTAATCAACTTGCAGGGCTGGAGAGGCCTCAGAAAACTTACAATCATGGCAGAAGGGGAAGCAAACACATCCTTCTTCACATGGTGGCAGGAAGGAGAAGAATGAGAGCAAGCGAAGGGGAGAAGCCCCTTATAAAACCATCAGATCTCAGGAGAACTTACTCACTATTATAAGAATAACTTGGGGAAAACCACCGCCATTATTCAATTACCTCCCACCGGATCCCTCCCACCAGATGTGAGGATTATGGGAACTACAGTTCAAGATGAGATTTGGGTGGGGACACAACCAAACCATATTAGCAGTCTAGGAAAAAAAAGAAAAAAAACCCTCAACATGTCTTCATAAAAACTCTCAACAAATTAAGTATAGAAAAAACACACCTCAACACAATAAAGGCTGTATATGACAAAACCCCAGCTAACATCATAAACAATGGGGAAAAGTTGAACACTTTTCCTGTAAGACCAGGAACAAGTGTAGGATGCACATGCTTTCCACTTCCATGCAACATAGTATTGGAAGTCCTTGACTAGAATAGTTAGACAAGAGAAAGGAAAAAAAAAGACATTTAAATAGGAGAGAAAGAAGTAAAATTGTCTGTTTGCTGATATCATGACATGATGATCTTTTTTATAGAAAATCCTACAGATTCCACAAAAATATGTGAGAATAAATGAATAAAGTTCCAAGATATAAAACCAACATAAAAAATCAATAGCATTTCTAAGCAAAAAAAAAAAAAAAAACCAGGGGTTTCAATCCTAGTCTCTGATAAAACAGACTTTAAACCAACAAAGATCAAAAGAGACAAAGAAGGCCAATACATAATGATAAAGGGATCAATTCAACAAGAAGAGCTATCCTAAATATATATGCAGCCAATACAGGAGCACCCAGATTCCATAAAGCAAGAACTTAGAGACCTACAAAGAGACTGAGACTTCCACACAATAATAATGGGAGAATTTAACACCCCACTGTCAATATAAAACAGATCAAGGAGACAGAAGATTAACAAGAATATCCAGGACTTGAGTTCAGCTCTGCACTAAATGGACCTAACAGACATCTACAGAACTCTCCATCCCAAATCAACAGAATATACATTCTTCTCAGCACCGCATCACACTTGTTCCAAAATTGACCACATAGTTGGAAGTAAAGCACTCCTCAGCAAATGTAAAAGAACAGAAATCACAACAAACTGTCTCTCAGACCACAGTGCAATCAAATTAGAACTCAGGATTAAGAAACTCACTCAAACCGCACAACTACATGGAAACTCAACAACCTGCTCCTGAATTACTACTGTGTAAATAATGAAATGAAGGCAGAAATAAAGATGTTCTTTGAAACCAATGAGAACAAAGACACAACACACCAGAATCTCTAGGACACATTTAAAGCAGTGTGTAGAGGGAAATTTATAGCACTAAATGCCCACAAGAGAAAGCAGAAAAGATCAAAATCGACACCCTAACATCACAATTAAAAGAACTAGAGAAGCAAGAGCAAACACATTCAAAAGCTAGCAGAAGGCAAGAAATAACTAAGATCAGAGCAGGAATGAAGGAGATAGAGACACAAAAACCCTTCAAAAAATCAATGAATCCAGGAGCTGGTTTTTTGAAAAGATCAACAAAATTGATAGCGCTAGCAAGACTAATAAAGAAGAAAAGAGAGAAGAATCAAATAGATGCCATAAAAAATGACAAAGGGGATATCACCACCAATCCCACAAAAGTACAAACTACCATCAGAGAATACTATAAACACCTCTAGGCAAATAAACTAGAAAATCTAGAAGAAATGGATACATTCCTGGACATATACACCCTCCTGAGACTAAACCAGGAAGAAGTTGAATCTCTGAATAGACAAATAATAGGCTCTGAAATTAAGGCAATAACCAATGGCCTACCAACTAAAATAAGTCCAGGACCAGACAGATTCACAGCCGAATTCTACCAGATCTACAAAGAGGAGCCGGTACCATTCCTTCTGAAACTATTCCAATCAATAGAAAAAGAGGGAATCCTCCCTAACTCATTTTATGAGGCCAGCATCATCCTGATATCAAAGCCGGGCAGAGACACACACACAAAAAAGAGAATTTTAGACCAATATCCCTGATGAACATTGATGCAAAAATCCTCAATAAAATACTGGCAAACCGAATCCAGCAGCACATCAAAAAACTTATCCACCATGATCAAGTTGGCTTCATCCCTGGGATGCAAGGCTGGTTCAACATATGCAAATCAATAAATGTAATCAATCACATAAACAGAACCAACAACAAAAACCACATGATTATCTCAATAGATGCAGAAAAGGCCTTTGACAAAATTCAACAGCCTTTCATGCTAAAAACTCTCAATAAGCTAGGTATTGTTGGAACCTATCTCAAAATAATAAGAGCTATTTATGACAAACCCACAGCCAATATCATACTGAATGGGCAAAAACTGGAAGCATTCCCTTTGAAAACCGGCACAAGACAGGGATGTCCTCTCTCACCACTCCTATTCAACATAGTGTTGGAAGTTCTGGGCAGGGCAATCAGGCAAGAGAAAGAAATAAAGGATATTCAATTAGGAAAAGAGGAAGTCAAATTGTCCCTGTTTGCAGATGACATGATTGTATATATAGAAAACCCCATCATCTCAGCCCAAAATCTCCTTAAGGTGATAAGCAACTTCGGCAGTCTGAGGATACAAAATCAATGTGTAAAAATCACAAGCATTCCTATACACCAATAACAGACAAACAGCCAAATCATGAGTGAACTCCCATTCACAATTGCTACAAAGAGAATAAAATACCTAGGAATCCAACTTGCAAGGGATGTGAAGGACCTCTTCAAGAACTACAAACCACTGCTCAATGAAATAGAGGAGGACACAAACAAATGGAAGAACATTCCATTCTCATGGATAGGAAGAATCAATATTGTGAAAATGGCCATACTGCCCAAGGTAATTTGTAGATTCAATGCCATCCCCATCAAGCTACCAATGACTTTCTTCACAGAATTGGAAAAAACTACTTTAAAGTTCACATGGAACCCAAAAAGAGACCACAATGCCAAGACAATCCTAAGCAAAAAGAATAAAGCTGGAGGCATCATGCTACCTGACTTCAAACTATACTACAAGGCTACAGTAACCAAAACAGCATGGTACTGGTACTAAAAGAGAGATATAGACCAATGGAACAGAACAGAGGCCTCAGAAATGCACCACACATCTACAACCAACTGATCTTTGACAAACCTGACAAAAACAAGAAATGGAGAAAAGATTCCCTATTTAATAAATGGTGCTGGGAAAACTGGCTAGCCATATGTAGAAAGCTAAAACTCGATCCCTTCCTTACACCTTATACAAAAATTAATTCAAGATGGATTAAAGACTTAAATGTCAGACCTAAAACCATTCAAACCCTGGAAGAAAACCTAGGCAATACCATTCAGGACATAGGCATGGGCAAGGACTTCATGTCTCAAACACCAAAAGCAATGGGAACAAAAGCCAAAATTGACAAATGGGATCTAATTAAACTAAAGAGCTTCTGCACAACAAAAGAAACTACCATCAGAGTGAACAGACAACCTACAGAATGGGAGAAAATTTTTGCAATCTACTCATCTGACAAAGGGCTAATATCCAGAATCTACAAAGAACTTAAATTTACAAGAAGAAAACAAGCCCATCAAAAAGTGGGCAAAGGATATAAACAGACACTTCTCAAAAGAAGACATTTATGCAGCCAACAGACACATGAAAAAATGCGCATCATCACTGGTCATCAGAGAAATGCAAATCAAAACCACAGTGAGATACCATCTCGCACCAGTTAGAATGGCGATCATTAAAAAGTGAGGAAACAACAGATGCTGGAGAGGATATAGAGAAATAGTAACACTTTTTACACTTTTGGTGGGAGTGTAAACTAGTTCAACCATTGGGGAAGACAGTGTGGCAATTCCTCAAGGATCTAGAACTAGAAATACCATTTGACCCAGTGATCCCATTACTGGGTATATACCCAAAGGATTATAAATCATGCTACTATAAAGACACATACACACGTATGTTTATTATGGCACTATTCACAATAGCAAAGACTTGGAACCAACCCATATATCCAGCAATGATAGACTGGATTAAGAAAATGTGGCACATATACACCATGGAATACTAAGCAGACATAAAAAAGGATGAGTTCATGTCCTTTGTGGGGACATGGATGATGCTGGAAACCATCATTCTCAGCAAACTATCCCAAGGACAGAAAACCAAACACTGCATGTTCTCACTCAAAGGTGGGAATTGAAAAATGAGAACACTTGGACACAGGGCAGGGAACATCACACACCAGGGCCTGTCATAGGGTGGGGACTGGGGGAGGGACAGCATTAGAAGAAATATCTAATGTAAATGACGAGTTGATGGGTGCAGCAAACCAACAAGGCACATGTATACCTATGTAACAAACCTGCACGTTGTGCACATGTACCCTAGAACTTAAAGTATAATTTTTAAAAAAATCAATAGCATTTCTAGACACTAAAAATGAACTATTAGAAAAAGAAATCAAGAAAATAATTCCATTTACAATAGTTACAAAAAATAAAATACTTAGAAATAAATTTAACCAAAGAGGTGAAATAGATCTACAATGAAAACTATAAAACATTGATGAAGAAGTTAAAAAAGATACAAATAAATATCAAAATATTCCACGTTCATTGATTGGAAAAATTAATATTGTTAAAATGTACACACATACCCAAAGTGATACACGGATTTAATGCAATCTCTACGAAAATTCTAATGTCATTTTTCACAGAAATAGAAAAAAAAAATCCTAAAACTTGTATGAAATCACACACACAAAAAACACCCTAAGCAGCCAAGGCAACCTTAAGGAAAAAGAACAAAGCTGGAGGCATCATACTATCTGAATTCAAAATATAATACAAAACTAAAGTAATTAAAATAGCATGGTACTGTCATCAAAATACACACATTTAACCAATGGAACACAATACAGAGCCCAGAAATGAACCCATATATTTATGGCTAATTGATTTTTGAACACACACAATGGGGTAAGGACAGTCTCTTCAATAAAGAGTTGGGAAAACTTGAAATTCACCTGCAGATGAATGAAATTGGACCCTATTTCACACCCTATTAAAAAAAATCAACTCAAAACAGATTAAAGACTTAAATGTAAGTCCTGAAATTATCATACTAGAGGAAAAAAGGGAGAAAGTTACATTACATTTGTCTAGGCAAAGATCTTTTGGATTGACCCCAAAAGCTTTGGCAACAAAAGTAAAAATAGGGAAATGTGATTACATCAAACTAAAAAGCGCTACACATCAAAGAAAACAATCAAGAGTAAAGAGATGGCCAGGCATGGTGGCTCATGTCTGTAATCCCAGCACTTTGGGAAGCTGAGGTGGATCACATGAGGTCAGGAGTTTGAGACCACCCTGGCCAACATGGTGAAACCCCATCTCTACTAAAAATACAAAAATTAGCTGGGTGTAGTGGCATGTGCCTGTCATCCCAGCTACTTGGGAGGCTGAGGCAGGAGAAATGCTTGAACCTGGGAGGCGGAAGTTGCAGTAAGCTGAAATCAAGCCACTGTACTCCAGCCTAGGTGACACAGTGAGACTCTGTCTCAAAAAAAAAAAAAAAAAAAAAAAAAAGAATAAAGAGATAACTTACAGAAAGAGAAAAATTATTTGCAAGCCATACATCTAATAACAGTTTAACATCTAAAATATATAAGGAACTATAAAAACTCAATAGCAAATAATCCAATAACCCAATTTAAATTACTGAATAGACATTACTCAAAAGGTGACATAAAAATGGCCAACAGACATACAAAAACACACTCAACAGTACTGTTCATTAGAGAAATGCAAATTAAAACCACAATAATCTATCACCGCACACCTGTCAGAATGGTTATTATCAAAAAAGATGAAAGATAGGTGTTGATGAGGATGTGGAGACAAAGGAACTGTTGCATACTGTTGGTGGGAATGTAAATTAGTACAATCAATATAAAAAACTATATAGTGGTTCTTCAAAAAACTAAAAATAGAATGATCATGAAGTCCAGCAATCCCACTTCTGGGTATATATCTGAAGAAATTAAAATCAGTATGTTGAAGAGATATCTACACACCCATGTCATTGCAGCATTATTCACAATGAGCCAAGACCTGGAATCAACCTAAGCATCCATCAATGGTTGATATTATACAAGAAAATATGGTATTATACACAATGAAATATTATTCAGCCATTAAAAGAAGGAAATTCTGTCATTTGTGGCAATATGAATAAACTTGGAGGACATTATGCTAAGTTAAGTGAGAGACACAGAAAGACAAAAACTACATGGTCTTACGTATATGCAGAATCTAAAACCAGTGAAGTCATAGAAATAGACAACAGAATAATGGTTACCAGAGGCTGGGGGAAGGTGGAATGGGGAGATGGTTCAAGGTACAAAGTTTCAGTTAGGAGAAATAAGGTTTTTTGAAATCTACTGCATAGCATATTAACTGCAGTTGATAATAATGTATAGTTCAAAGTTGCTAAGTAGATTTTAAATGTTCTCATTACAAAAATGATAAGTATTTGAGGTGGATATATGTATCGGCTTGACTGAATCATTACACATTATACACACATATCATATTACTTTGTAATCCACAAATATATATAACTTATTTTATGATAAAATAAAAAGATTACTGACACATGCTACAACATGTATGAATTTTTAAAACATTTTGCAAAGTGAAAGAAGCCACATATCATTTCATTCCTATAAAATGTCCAAAATATTGAAACCTATAGACTCAAAGTCGATTAGTGGTTTCCTAGGGATAAGAAGAGCCTAGGGGTCACGGGGTTGATAAAGTGTACAGAGTTTCTTGCTGGGTGATGAAATGTTCTCAAATTGAGTTTGAAGATGGTTGTGAATGTATCAGAATCATAGAATTTTGCACTTTAAATGGGTGAATTGTGTTTTTAAAAAAAGGGGTCTCTGGAGATCGCTAGTACAGGGGTTTTCATCTAGGGGTGCATATTGGAATCACTTGAAAATCTTCTAAAATACATGTTCGTAGGCCAGTGTACATTTTCTACACTTGATCTTAGCCAAAAGGCGGAGAAGTGATCCAATGCAGATTTTCTAAATACAAGTATCTGGGAGTGAGGTCAGAGTTTTTGACTCTTTTAAGCATACAAAGGTAATTCTAGTATGCAGTCAGGATAGAGAACCCTGGCCCCAACCGAATGCCATTCAACGTAAGTTGCCTGGCTAGCCTAAGGCAAAGCTGACACTAGAACCTGATTTTCCATGACTTCTAGTCTGATGGCTTTCTATGGACTACGCTGTCTCTCAAAAATCATCAATTCAGCCCAATTCTCAACAAGTAATGGAGCCCAATATTTTGTTGTCTGAGGATCTTGGATGTCTGAGGGTCATTACTCAAAGAAAAAGATCTTAAGATTTACTGTCTCGGTAGGGCACAGCGGCTCAAGCCTGTAATCCCAACACTTTGGGAGGCTGAGGTTGGAGGATAGCTTGAGGCCAGGAGTTCGAAACCTGCCTGGTCACCAAAGTGAGATCCCATCTCTACAAGAGAAATTTAAAAAAATAGCTGGGCATTGTGATGTGCACCTGTAGTCCTAGCTACTCAGGAGACTGAGGCAGAGGATTGCTTCAGCGCAGGAGTTCAAGGCTACAAGTGAGCCATGATCCTACCATTGTACTCCAGCCTGAGCAGAGTGACACCTTACCTCAAAAAATGAAAACAAAAATCATCTCTACTTTCTGAATTGAGTAGATATAATTAAGTACAGTAATTACCAGGTACATAACCATGGTACATTGGAAAGAAGACCATAATGGAAGCCAAGAAACCTAGAGTTTAGACTTTGCACTAATTCTCTGTGAATTTGATTCATTCTCATACCCTTTTTGAGCCCTGGATATCATTAGAGCTTGTGCTTCTCAACCCCAAATGTATATTATGATAACCTGAAGATAACGTAAAAAATATGCCCATGCCCCACCGCCAGAGACTCTGATTCCTCTGATTTGGGATAGAGCTGTAAATTCCCCAGGTTATTCTAATACTCAGTAAGGCTGAGAATCTTTGGTTTGGTTCCAACAACATTGTAGATGAGTCATTTAAGGGCTCTCCCAAGCCCCTGAATCTTCGATAATTCTATGATGATTTCCATTCTCACTGAAAATCTTAGAATGACTTCAGCCTATTGTGTAAGTAGCCTTAAAGTGCAATAGCTAAAGCTATTATTTATCCGCATTGGGTGGGTTCAGCAAGCAAAGATTGAAAACATCTGTGCTCAGTATTAGTTGCTGCAGTGACTTGGGACACAATGAGGATGAGCAGAAGTGTTCTTCAGGGAACTTGTTGGCCAACTCAGACTAAACCTTTTAGATGTCACTGATGCCATGCTAGCAGCAAATGCCCTGCCTACACCTTGGTGGTGAGTTTGGTGCAATGAGGCTGACTGCAGTAAAGTTCTCTTAATCCACAGATAGCTTATTTTCCTTCTCCTCACTCAGGAACATCTGAAAACCCATGCTGATACTGGCACAACTGCCAACAATGAGAACTACTTGCACCAATTTTAGACGGTGATGGTCATAGACAAATGAGACTGGGGACTTCAGTGAGCCCTGATCTACACAGATTAAAAAAAAATACAGCTTAAATTCAAGGTTGAATTTTAAAAAGTCATTGTTCTCTCTCTGTCCACTTTCCAATTCCATTTCTCACTCCTAGTTTTATTTTATTATTTTGAGATGGAGTCTCACTCTGTCACCCAGGCTGGAGTGCAATGGCACGATCTTGGCTGACTGCAACCTCTGCCTCCCGGGTTCAAGCAATTATCCCGCCTCAGCCTCCCAAGTAGCTGGGATTTCAGGCACCCGCCACCACGCCCATCTAATTTTTGTACTTTTAGTAGAGACAGGGTTTCACCACGTTGGCTAGGCTGGTCTCAAACTCCTGACCTCAGGTGATCCACCCACCTCGGCCTTCCAAAGTACTGAGATTATAGGCATGAGCCACTGCGCCCAGCCTCACTCCTAGTTTTATAATAGAATATTGATCTTCAGCCCTCAGCAAAGCCTTTGCCATTGCATTTATTTTTCCTTCTCCAGGAAATATACACCCCTCTCTGGAAGTTAGGATCTTGCGTGGAGAATAGAAAACACTGGAGTTCAGCAAGTAATGAGGCTTCCTCCAAGTGTTCCCTTTTTTTAAAGAGCTCTTGTCTACCCATACCTGGTACCAAATGCCTGAGTCTTGTTTTAGTGTTTCGAAGTCAACACAGGAAGGGCGCGGTGGCTCACGCCTGTAACCCCAGCACTTTGGGAGGCAGAGGCGGGCGTATCACCTGAGGTTGGGAGGTCAAGACCAGCCTGGCCAACATGGAGAAACCCCATCTCTACTAAAAATACAAAATTAGCCGGACGTGATGGTGCATGCCTGTAATCCCAGCTACTCGGGAGGCTGAAGAAGGAGAATAGCTTGAAGCAGGAGAATCGCTTGAACCCCGGAGGGAGAGGTTGCAGTGAACCAAGATCGCACCACTGTACTCCAGCCCGGGTGACGAGCAAAACTCCATCCAAAAAAATATATATGTAATATACATATATTTATATTTATATTAGGAAAGCACACATATATGTGTGTGTGTGTGTGTGTGTGTATGCACACACACACAGGTGCTTTCCTAGTCACTTCTGACCCATTTAAGCCATTCATTCTATATTGTTATTCTTCAAGAAAGACGTGAATGATGAGGGTAGAGATTGAAGATTATTAAAGTGACAAAAGAATAAAAAGAAAAATATACTCAAGCGATTTAATTCTCTTGTTTTTATCAAGGTTTATTAACTCTCTTATCTAGTGTCTTCCATGAAAAGTATGTGTTAAAATGAGGCCTCAGTTTTTCCCATTTGCTAAACACTAAATTTGGGCACCATAATTTCCAGTGCTTTTTACTGTTCTAATAGTTGTAACTTCCATCTTATCCCAAGTTTTTCCTATAGAAAAGTATTCTTTTCAATTTCCTATTAAAAGTATACTTATTTTAGTGTTTAATTTAAAAATATATATATGATGCCTTTTACTCTATCTTAGGTGCTGTTTCTACTTTGGTTTTTATTAGTATCGATTTTGGCCCCGAAACAAGGTTAGGGATAATGAGATGAGAAAAGTGAGATTAATTCATTAAAATATTCCTTAAGTACCTGTTATTTGCCAAAATTTAGAATTAAAAACAGTAGAGAAGATGTGGCCCTTTCTTTTACATACCTCTTGGTAGAGAGATAGACTTTGTACTTTACAATAAAAATGCATCTTTTTATAAGAGTATATACAAAATGCTCTAGGAAAACAAAAAGAAAATGATTAGTTCTGTTTATAGATTCAGAGAAGGCTCCACAAAGTTGGTTGCATTTGAGATGATTCTGCAAGGAGGGACAGGATATTTCTTGGTAGAGGAGAGGCAAGAACAATCAAGGCAAAAGGAACAGCGTGTTCCAAGTTATGGGCATCACAACTGGCTTCCAGAAACTCCCTCAGTGACCTCTGTCTCCTGGTATTCATGCCTTTGTGTAAGTTCCCTCTCACACTGAAAAAAGCTGACCTGTATAACTTATAAAATATTGCTGAAATAATTGTGATTTCCAAGGCTAGGCCATAACAAATATTGGGCTTTGGCCTTGCTCCCTCTTGGACTTTAGATTCTGCAGGAAGCCAGTTACCATGTTGTGATGGTCCTCAAGCAGTCCATGAAGAAGGACTGAGGTTTCCTGACAACCACTGGGCTATGTGAGAAAGCCTTCCAGAAGCAGATTCCCCAGCCCAGCCGAGTATTCAGATAACTACAGCCCCACCTCCAATCTTTCTTGCAGCCTGATGAGAGACCTCAAGCCAGAACCACACAGCTAACCATTTCTGAATTTCCATGCAATAAATGCATAATGTTATAAGCCACTATGTTTTGGGTTAATTTGTTACACAGCAATAAATAGCTAATATAGGTGGCATCTAAGTTTATGTCATGCTCTAACATAAGGAGGAGGATGAAAAGGAGCGGGGTCTAAAGGGAAAGAGGAAGATCATGTTGGAAAGGTTTCGTAGTTGGAATGAATCACAATAACTATAAAAAAAGCCATTGTTGATTCTGGCAATTAAGTGATACAATCATACGTATGAGTTAGAAAATAAATGCCTAGACATGACAGCATAATCTGAAGAAAGGTGCTGGCAAATGTGGAATTATGAATAAATTATAATGAAGTTTTTTTCTCTTGGATTCTTTGTGCCTACCTTAAGGTCAACCTTAAAAGTTACAAGGAAATGTATAGATTCCCACCTCCTTTTCTCTACAAGACTCTCATCCACAGCCTGCTTGAGTGATTACTTTCTTGCCTTTTTCAGCAGCTCCAGGGATGGGAGTTCACCACCAGTTGAACCAGCCACCAACATGTTAATTTCAAGAGCTATATTACTCCCTATAATTATAACAGACTACCAGACTGGATTTTAGGCTTGTCTGTTCCACTAAAGAACTGGTGACTCTGGGACTAGAATTTGTAAGATCAGTGTAGACTAGGATGGGATTTACAATTCTGGTGCCAGCTACTAATCTTCTTGTTCTTTTGAGACAATCATCATCTTCATCTTTATTATATCTGTAATAATGTAATTATTCTGAGCTCAATCTCGACAGATACTTATTAGCTCTAGGCTGGTGTCTGAGAAATAGAGTAATTGAGACTATTTTTACCACCATTTCTAAATCTGGCTTTACAAAATTGAGCACTATATGGCCAGGTGCGATGGCTCATGTCTGTAATCCCAGCACCTTGGGGGGCCGAGGTCGGTGGATCACATGAGGTCAGTAGTTTGAGACAAGCCTAGCCAACGTGGTGAAAACCCATCTCTACTAAAAATACAAAAATTAGCCAGGTGTGGTGGTGGGCACTTGTAATCCTAGCTTCTTGGGTGGCTGAGGCAGGAGAATCACTTGAACTTGAGAGGCATAGGCTGCAGTGAACTGAGAGAGCACCACTGCGCTCTATCCTGGGTGACAGAGTGAGACTGTGTCTGAAAAAAAAAAAATCAGCACTATAATCATCAAAACTCATCTCAGTCTCCCTCTACTTGACATCTTTTTTGCAGCTTTTAAAAAGATTTGAGAGAGCATTGGATTGAAAGGAGAAGTTCGGTATTGATTTGTAGTTTTCTGAATACTCCAGAGAATTTATACTGTGCCAGATCCCATGTCATTCCATCCTGATAGCCCTCAAGTGGCCATCAATGGAGGAGGTTGAAAGGGTGCAGTCCCAGGATGTCTATGATGAAGATGAGGTCACGGCTAATCAAGACTTGGCTTAGACCAAGCCCCGCTAGAGGAAGCAGAAGCAGCAATCCAGCTTGTATTAATGCCTTGCCTCTCTAGCCTAGGGTTACAATACTTGGCAACCATGAGAGCCTGTTAAGTAATTTGGAGGTCCATACAGTTGCTTAATCAGTGGGTCCAATCATCTGGGATTTTAATAACTGTTAATCATTCAGTGTATTATATGATCCTTGTAGGTCCTGCCAAGACAATTTCATGAGAGAGGAAACAGTAATGGAACCAAGACTAGAAGGTCACCTTGTATCTTGTTTTACAAAGGACCTTAAGCTTAATGTCGTATTTATGTTGGTATTATGCTAAACTTGGTCATGCATTTGATCATTAAAACTTTATTTCAGAATATATAACAGGAGGCCCTTTAAGCTTCAAAACTGTAGTAGAAAATGGGCTTTAAAGTCAGACTGACCTACCTTCAAATCAGGCATTTGTTGGAACATCTAGATTAAATGTGGCAAGGAATACATTGAACTGACAACTTCCAGCTGCAAGGCCTTCAGAACACACCTCAGCTTCTGACCTCCCCGCATGATCCTGGATACTGGAGCATGACTATTCTGCCCAGTTTCAGGCACTTCTAATGGGCACTTTTTCCTCTGGAGATCCCTGTTGTATTGGCCAACACTTCCTCAGATGTGCATCATGTTTCTGTGGCTATCCTCGCCAAATCCTGTATCCTCATCTCTTTCTCTTTATATGTATCAGATCCACATTGCAGTCTGAAGGATTTTGTGCTTAATTCTGGTTCCTTCCTGCTTTATCTTTCAAAAGCATCACTTATGCAAACAATAAACCACTTGCACTCCTGACTCTGTCTGGGTGTCTGCTTCCCAAAAGACCCAACTGACCACAGTAAGTTACTTATACTCTGAGAGTCAATTTCTTCCTCTTTCAAACTGCATTGCTACCATATACATCATTCAAATTAGAAGAGGTTAAATGAGGTAAAATGCCTAAAGTGTCCTGGCTCATAGTAGATCATCATCAAGTTTTTTGGGTTTCTTTCCTGCACTCAGTTCACTAGTGGCATCTTTTTTTCTGGTTTTTGTTTTATAACCACTTATATTAAAATAAGATACATTCTTCACTTTCGTTCACCAACTATAATATTCCTAGAAGAGCATTTGCCAACAAACAGAGTATGCGATGCTGGAAACACACAATTACAGAAGAGTCCGTAAGCATTTTGAGGGTGGGGCTTTGGGTTTTCCAAGTGCTATGATGAATGTAAATGCAGGGCATCTGAGGGCCATGGAAGAGTGGCATCTATCCTGCCATGTCAAGAAAAACCACCTGGGATGAAAACACTTGGTTTGAATGTGGAAGAAGGAGTGTAAGTTCATCAATCAAAATAATAGGTTGTCACCAGAAACAGGAGCACCCTTTGCCAATCCTCAAGGACACTGGAGAACAAGGTGAGCCAGAGAAAGCCAAGATTGCCCACAGATGTTTTAGGGCAAATTGGGGAGGGGAGAAAAGGTGTCCCAGCTGAGCAGTCCTAAGAGAGGTTCATGACTGGAGTTATTGGCCTCATTTCACAGAAGGAAGCTGAGTGGTACCCAGGGGGGCAAAACACTTGGCCCAAGTTCACAGAGTAGTAAAGTCACTGAGCCACCCTGAGACACAGTGCAGGTGTTTGATGGTCCTTTACCTGCAAGTGTATGGACCCCTTTTCCCCAAAAAGGGGGTTACTGATGTGATTCAGACACATCACAAATGGGTCCTAATTAGCTGATCCCACATGGGAACAGGGAGATGAGTGCAGTAAATAACCTCAAAATCAATGCTTAAAGCTTTTTATGGGGAGAGATTCCCTGTGCTCAATAGTTCAGGGAATTGGAGCTGCTTTAAAACACTTCTGGAGCAACAGAAGCCAATGTACACATTCACAGCTTTCAGTTCCCCCAAATCAATTATGCTTAAGTGATGTTAAGGGCCTGACAGAGCCACAAAAGCAAAAACAGTCTTTAGCCCCAAAATGGAAGCTGATCCTCGTGCCTTAATCTATGCCAGTGTGACTGGCCCTATTTGCAGGCCCAGGTCTGATTCTCATGGCTCTTGAGGATTTAAGTAAAATCCTTCACATAATGTAAATTAGGGTTTATGTCAATGCTATTTATTTTAATATAAGAAAAAGAAAGAAAATACCCAAATCCCTAGAATCCAGGACACAAGGCTGCCTCAGCAGTAAGAGTATTTTCCCGAAGAATGAGGGTGACATTGATGTTGGCATGAGGGGTGAAGTGCAGCCCCATTAAAAGAGCCAGATGGGTTTGGGCTACTTCCAACCCCTGATGGTGTTCATTGGTGCAAGGAAGCTAATGCAAACCATACAAGACCAGAGGCTACTACAAGAGGCTGCAGGCCGGGCAAGGTGGCTCATGCTCATAATCCCAGCACTTTTGGAGGCCTGAGACAGGCAGATCACCTTCAGCTGTTTGAGACCAGCCTGGCCAACATGGTGAATCTCCATCCCTACTAAAAATATAAAAATTAGCTGGGTGTGGTGGCACATGCCTGTAGTCCCAGCTATTTGGGAGGCTGAGGCAAGAGGATCTTGAACCCGGGAGGTGGAGGTTGCAGTGAGCCAAGATCGCACCACTACACTCCAGCCTAGGTGACAGAGCAAGACTCTCTCCGCCAAAAAAGGAGGCTACAGTGATAAACTATGGAACTACTGCAGGATTAAAAGCAGGTACTAGATTACTGGATGCTATTCGTCTAAAAAGAAACATCATCTCATGCTGGGTAAGAACACAGAGACCAATCTAGCTTCACTCTTCTTTCTTTCTTTCTAGATGGAGAAATGCAGGCAGAATTAGATTCCAAACTTTCTGGTTTCCAGACCATCAGTCTTATTTGGTTCCCCTACTCAGAGGGCAATGAAAGGCTTCTGCTTCCAAGTTTTTCTCTCCATTTAGGTGGCAAAAATGGGATACAATACCCGAAAAAAAGGCTGCCCTGTGAACAGAAGGAAAATATGGCATTGGCAGCAATAAAAATGTTGCAAAGCACATTTTAGATTTTGCAGATCATCATCTTCTTTGCTCATATGAGGATGGGTATTTTACTCACATGGCTTTATGTAAATGTAGATCTGTCAGTTGTTCATGCCAGGGGGCTTAAAATTGACAGGTGTAGCCTCTTATCAACAAAGGGAGCACCGCCCCTTATATGTGATGCTGAAACTACAGAAAGAAACACTGAACACAGTTGACGTGAGTAGAGAGAAAAAAAAAGATTTTCAAAGTGGAAAAGTCTCTTGGGAGATCACCTAGTTCAGTATGTTCCAAAGAATATTCCAGGGGATGGTGATTTGCTACTATAGCGGGAAATTTTAGTTTAATCCAAATTAAACAAGTTTCTTCACTGCAGGACTTCTCAGGGTCTTTACTATAGTATGTATTGAAGATTTCCACAAAAAAAGAACATAAGATGCAAAGTTTCCCAGACTTCCGTGTCCACTGACACCCTTTTCATATTGAGGACAATCTCATGGGCCTAATAATGTTGATCTTCTCCAAAATCAGATGAAAACACAAAACAAAACAACGTGCACGTGTATGATCATTGTAGCACTATTTACAACAGCAAAGACATGGAATCAACCCAAATGCCCATCAATGATAGACTAGATAAAGAAAATGTGGTTACACATATACCACGGAATACTATGCAGCCATAAAAAGGAATGAGATCATGTCCTTTGCAGGAACATGGATGGAGCTGGATGCTGTTATCCTCGGCAAAGTAATGCAGGTACAGAAAACCATACACTGCATGTTCTCACTTATAAGTGAAAGGTGAACCATGAGAACACATGGACACAGGGAGGGAACAACACACACTGGGGCCTGTGTGGGGGAGAGAGGCAGCGGGAGGGAGAGCATCAGGAAGAATAGCCAATGGATGCTGGGCTTAATACCTAGGTAATGGAATGGTTTGTGCAGCCAACCACCATGGAACACTTTTACCTATGTAACAAACCCACACATCCTGCTCATGTACCCTTGAACTTAAAAGCTGAAGAAAAAAAAACTAAAAAGGTCTGAAAGAAAAAGTTACTTTTCCCAGATCACAAAACTCATCAGTAACAGAACCAGGACTCAAACTCAGACCTCCAGGCTATAACCAAAGAACCAAATCCCGTTCTTCCTGCTATATCCCTAATACTGTATCTCGAATAGAGTTATCAATAAGTAGTAAAGCAGTGACTAGTAAATAATTGGCAAGTGCTTTATCTACATTATCTTATATGAACTCAGTTAAAATCCCAAGAAAATACTTTATTTAGGAGGAATAGATACATTGTTACCCATTTTACAGATAAGGAAATGGAATCTTAACACAAATAGCCATTTGACCTCAGTCAAGTGGTAGTGCCAGAAAAGAGTGAATGGGGCCCGGCGCGGTGGCTCACGCCTGTAATCCCAGCACTTTGGGAGGCCCAGGCAGATCACGAGGTCAGGAGTTTGAGACCAGCCTGGCCAATAGGGTGAAACCCCGTCTCTACTAAAAATACTAAAATTAGCTGGGCGTGGTGGCATCTGCCTGTAGTCCCAGCTACCTGGGAGGCTGAGGCAGAAGAATCGCTCGAACCCAGGAGGCTGAGGTTGCAGTGAGCCAAGATCATGCCACTGCACTCCAGCCTGGACGACAGAGCGAGACTCTATCTCAAAAAAAAAAAGAAAGAAGCAAAAAGAGTGAATGATACAGAAGACACTTTTTACTACACATACAAATGACTACCCCCAGTAATTCCTGAAAAGAGGCGGCTACAGAGATAAAGGAAGGAAAATAAAGTAACATGGCTTCCTTGTGGCTATGGCAGAGATTCCTCTATCAAACTTGAGCTGAAGACAGACCCTGCCATTCACACCCAGACCCAATAGCTTCATAACTCAGTCCGTGACCAACACAGTTTGTGCACAGACTAGAAAAGCTATGCAGGTCTTGCAACGTAACCTCATTCTGAGACTGTCTGATTAAAGCCTGAGAGGTCGCATCTTGGCCACATGGAAGGCATTAGCCCAGCCCTCCCAGGCTTCCATTGTCTCTTGAAAGTTGCTCAAGTCTCTTCTGCCATCACAGAAATCTCGTGTCTTGGAACTTCAAATTGTTTACCATCCTTGCCCTTAATTCTGTGCTGTAGTCTCTACTGTTTTTTTTTTTCTTTTTTCTTTGTTTTTGAAATGGGGTTTCACTTTGTTGCCCACGCTGGAGTGCAGTGGCACGATCATGGTTCACTGAAGCCTCGACCTCCTGGGCTCAAGCAGTTCTCCCACCTCAGCCTCCCAAGTAGCTGGAACTATAGGTGCCTGCCACCACGTTCAGCTAATTTTTGTATTTTTTATACAGGTGGGGGTTTTGCCATGTTGCCCAGGCTGGTCTCAAACTCCTGAGCTCAAGTCATCTACCCACCTTTGCCTCCCAAAGTGCTGGGATTGCAGGAATGAACCACTGTACTCGGCCTGTGCTCTAGTCTCACCATAGAAAATCCTCAGAATTTAAATCCAGAAGACCTGGCACTGGAACCGGGCCCTGGGCTTTACACGCTCTGTGACCTGGGATAGATCCCGCGAGGGTTAAGAGAACCATTATTATCATCTTCATTTAAGTGCTTATTGTTGGCTTTCCCTACCATTACCAATTTCAAGTTTCACAATAAACTACTAGGGCAGCTGTTATTCTTCACTTTATTTATTTATTTATTTATTTATTTATTTATTTATTTAGAGACGGAGTCTTGCTCTGTTGCCCAGGCTGGAGTGCAGTGGCGCAATCTCAGCTCACTGCAAACTCTGCCTCCCAGGTTCAAGCAATTCTCCTGTCTCAGCCACCCAAGTAGCTAGGATTACAGGCACATACCACCACGTCCGGCTAATTTTTGTATTTGTAGTAGAGACAGGGTTTCACCACTTTGGTCAAGCTGGTCTCGAACTCCTGACCTTAAGTGATCCACCCACCTCGACCTCCCAAAGTGCTAGGATTATTATAGGCGTGAGCCATCGTGCCCAGCCATTGTCCACATTTTATAAATCAGGCAATATGGCACAGGTTTTAAATGTCTGACCTTTGGCAGGCAGCAGAGACAGACTTTGAACATAAGCAGTCCGACCTCAGGCCCACTGCTTAACCACCACTGATAACACTGCTGAGGCGCCAGGCATTGTTGGTGGGTGCAGGTGTGAATGAATTCTTCTCTGTTGTCACAAGTCTATGACGTAGGTAGTATCATCCCCATTATAAGAAGACTGAGTCTCGAAGAGATTTGAGGTTTAAAAACCTGCTGAACGTCACACTGCAAATGGATGGTGGAGGTGGAATTGGTGCTGAGAGCTGGACGTCCACAAAACCCAAGCTCTACTGACTCTTATTCTGAGGTTTCCAAGCCAGTTTCCTTGTTTGCAGAAGAAGGTAATAATAATGCCTCCCTCTCAATGCCTGCAGTGAGGATCAAAGAAAATCATGGTATGTGAAAGATCTCATCAACTGTTTGTCCCATTGTGGTAACCTAGTCTCATCTTTATGCAAACCAAAATGAGGAGTCTCTCTGGCTGGGTGCTGTCTGCTGACTCTGGGTTCATGTGTTGGCTGGACATTTACAGTCACTCACCTAATTTTTTAGGGCCTTGTAAAATATATGAGATAATTTGTCTTTGTTAGTGAAAAGATTCAGGATGAATCCACCCTGCAGCAATAATTAGCCCCAGGCCTGTCTGTCCCTGAGGGGATCCTTCCTATCTTAGCAAAATACAGGCAACCTGACGCTCAGGGGCATGTCATTTTACAGAGCCTAGCTGATCTAACACAAAATGCGTTGAATCAACAGATCTTTATTCCTGCCACCTCAAAGAGACTCCAGTTCTCCCCAAAGCAAAACAAAGGAATAGTTTTTGCCAGCATTAAGGTTGATTAAATAACACAAATTCCGACTCATAACTATGAAGAATTGCTGGACTCTTGATTTGTATGTCTACAGTTGCTTCTTTGGGTTAAAGGAACAAAGAGGTACCCTTAGGAAGCGGAAGATACTTGTTATGCTTGGTATGGCTTCAGGAACATGCTTCTACTTGATTTCCAAAAGACTTTCGAGCACAAAGGAGAGGGGGTTGTCGGTTCACCTCAAAATGACAGAAGGATTTGCTTAAAAGAGAGCTTGCAAACTTATTTGAGACTGAGTCTTGCTCCATCACCCAGGGTGGAGTACGGTTGCATGACCTCAGCTCACTACAACCTTCTCCTCCCAGGTTCAAGCAATTCTCTTGCCTCAGCCTCCCGGGTAGCTGGGATTACAGATATGCACCACCATGCCCGGCTAATGTTTGTACTTTTTAGTAGAGACAGGGTTTCCTCTTGTTGGCCAGGCTGTTCTTGAACTCCTGAGCTCAAGTGAGCTGCCTTGTATGTGAGTTTTATGACCCGGGCCCCCAAATACCTTGAAGCACCCTCCGTTACCCTTTTGAAATGCTCCCCTGAGACCACGATAAAACAAACTGTCTAGTCTACTGGAGGATAAGAGGCCAGGTGGAGAAGAATGAAGGTGACTCAGAGAATGCCAGCATCCACTGCCAGAAACTTGACACCATCTGGACCATTTACCCAACCTGACCTAACATATTATGACAGCCCTACGTGGGGCCCCAGGTAAGCCAAGAGAGGAACCACCCAGACCCAGCCCAAGCTTCAGAATCATCAACAAATACATGATCGTGGTTTTCAATCACAAAACTTTGGGATAGTTTGTTAGGACATCTTTCTTGGTGTTTTGGAAAAGTCACATGTGTATAGGAAGTCACAGATACCTTTGTGTTTGGGAAGGCAGATTATTCCCATGGGAAAATCCTCTTTCTCCCACTCTCTTTATCTAAGTCACTCCTATTCACTCACTTTGCAGGTCACAGATTAGACAATCTTCCCCTGGGAATTATTCTCTGACTTCCGCAGTTATACTACATTTCACGCACCCATGCTTGTAATGCCTGTTTTTCCCATCAGTCCGAAGCCCTGGGAAGGCAAGGACAGAGCCTGCCTCGGTCACTGTCATACTCCCAGCATCTACTTTAGCACGTACCATCCGTGGAAAGAATTTCCTTCTTATGTGTTAATATCTCATGAGTCCTTCACGTGTTTACTGATCCCTTAACCAGGCTACCCGTTTCACTACAGGATCATGCTGTGTGTGACAATGTTTCTCCTTAAAGGATATATGCTCCACCTCTGTGTCTATCTTCTGTTCATAGGTCTACATCTGATCACTAAGAGCCCTTCAAACCTCCCCCGAGTATGTGCGTATTTGAATACAGGTGCAATGCTCTCTGTAAGTCATCTCTTCTTCAGCCTACAGTATAAAAAACAGCTGAGGGCCCTGGGAACATCTGGCCTGGGGTAGTACTTGACCATCCAGAGCCTTCTCCTGACAATTTTTCAGTCACTCAAAACACCTTCAAAGTGTAGCATCAAAAGCTCAGCACCACCAAGAGTGGTCTGACCAAGGCAGGTTAGAGAAAAATTGTTACATTCATGGCTTCAATCTTTTTTCTTTTGTTAATGTCACTTTCAGCTCATGTTGATTTACCAGATAGCTTTGTTTTGCTGATTATAAAGGCCTTGCAGCCAGCAGTCATCTGTGTGAAAAAGACTCCTGGGTCAGCACTCATTCACATCTCACCTCGACCTGACAACATGCACTTTGTTTTACTTATTAACATTTTAGGGAACAAGCACAGCATGTTTCATCTACTCTTGTTCTATTTTATTTTCCTTTTGAGAGAGAGTCTCACCCTGTTGCCCAGGCTAGAGTTCAGCGACAGGGTCTTGTCTCACTGCAGCCTCAACCTCCTGGGCCCGAGTGATCCTTTCTCCCCAGCTTTTGCCTCCCGAATAACTGGGACTACAGTCGTGTACCACCACACTCAGCTAATTTTTTAATTTTCGTAGAGACAAGGTCTCCCTATGTTGCCCAGGCTGGTCTCAAACTCCTGGCCTGAAGCGATCCACTTGCCTCGGCCTCCTAAAATGCTGGGATTACAAGCTGTGAGGCCTTAGCCTTGCTTTAGAATGTATATGGTAATTGGACTTTCTAGGTGCTATTGTGATTACAAAAGACTGTAATATGCGATGCTCCTGAGACTCTACACGAGGCCAGAATTCCATATTATATTTCACTTAACCAGAACTTGCTTTTGGTAGAAAAGCTTCTATTTAGCAGTTGGTAAAATTATTTAGTGCAATAGTGATCTGTTTGGAAAATTAAAAAAAAAGGCCAGGCACAGTGGCTCACGCCTGTAATTCCAACACTTTGGGAGGGCGAGGCAGGCGGATCACTTAAGCCCAGGAGTTTGAGACCAGCCTGGGCAACATGGTGAGGTTCTGTCTCTACAAAAAATAAAAATAAAAATAAATAAATTAGCGGGGCATGGTGGTGTGTGCCTGTGGTCCCAGCTACTTGGGGGTTGAGGGAGGAGGATCACTTGAACCCAGGAGGTCGAGACTGCAGTGAACCAAAATCGTGCCACTACCCTCCTGCTTGGGCAACAGAGCAAGACCCCATAAAAAAAAATAAATTACAAGTGACACTGAATTTAATTTTCGAATGAATTTTCTCTTGTTCCAGCGTTGCAGGGGGGAGTGAAGGCTTTAACAAGAAGGGATGATTTAGAATTAGACAAATTTGGGATTGCATCTCTTTTCTACCACCCTGTAAATCAATCACCTAGAGTATTAAGCGGGCGGGGTAAAGGATAAAGTTACTTTCTTATGTTAAACTACACATCTATGTGGATAGATATGATCTTTTAGTGTGCGCATCTGTGCTGAGTATACTGAAGCATGCATGCAACTCGTCCTAGTTCTTTGCTTTTTCCCCCTCGGTGGCTTAAGTCTAAAAGAGGTGCTAAAAAGATGGCAGCTCCTTCTGAACCTTGCTTGGAATTGGTGGCTCAGTGGCCTTGCCTCAGCTTGGGGGCGGTGTGTGTCTACGCAGAGCAGTCACACCTACGTGGACAGTAACAGGGCGCTCTTGGTTAGTAGGTGCACATGTGGGTCGGGGAGCAGAGACAGGAGGCTCCGCAAAGAAAGCCTCGGAGCCAGCCCGGCTCAGTGCCCAGCCGCGAAGCCGTAGCGCCCTCTGGTGTGCCCTGAACATATTGCATGGCGTCACAAGGCGGTTGGGACCGCTTGGAGCATCTCTGAGCCGACGCTGCCATCTCCTGGTGAGAGTCGCTTTCAGCAAATCTCCAGACTATTCAGCGTTCTAGGCTAGGAGCCACAAGGACTGGGCCACTTTCGCCCGAATTCCCAGGGTCCACTTTTGGAAGGCATGAAAACACACAGGAAAGACTAGTTGGCTGCCAGCAGAGCCCCTGATGACTTCAAAACATCCTCTGGGCCCGCCTTCCCCTACACAAATCTTTACCACTGCACTTTTGTATGTTTGGCGAGGGGGTGGTTGGGTTTTTTTGTTGTTGTTTTGCGATTTTGTTTTTTTGAGACAGGGTCTTGCTCTGTCACGCAGGCTTGAGTGCAGTGGCACAATCACAGCTCACTGCAGCCTGGACCTCCCTGGACTCAAGTGATCCTGATGCCTCAACCTCTTGAATAGCGGGAACCACAGGTGCACCCACCACGCCCAGCTAATTTTAAAAATATATTTTGCAGAGGTGGTGGGGGTGAGGGTCTCACTGTGTCGCCCAGGCTGGTCTAAAACTCCTGGCCTCAAAGGATTCTCCTGCATCAGCCTCCAAAACTGCTGGGATTACAGGCATGAGCCACGGTACCCACCCTGCTGCACTTTACAAACCACCCTGTGCTGCTTGTTTTCTTTCTGGTCTTTGAGGCCCCTACATGATTCTGAAGCAAATTATGTGAAGATGTTGTTGTCAGTGGTAGGAATTAAGCAACTTTACCAGAAAGTAATTTTTCCATGTTATTTATGCATGGAAACAAATATGTATTCTAAAGCAATATATACTGTTATATTTACTGTTTAACCTCATAGAAACCTTGCAAAATAGAAGCCACTTAAAGCCTCACACCCAAACCTCTATTGGAACCTTTTCACTTGGCTTTGTGTGTACTTATAGAACAAATTAAACACATAAATACTAAAAACAAAAAGCAGCTCATAATCCTCTCCTTTTGGCTTTAAAAAAATTATTTAAAGGCTTAACATGTATTAATTTAAAGGAAATGGCATGAAATGAAGAAAATGTCTCCTCATCCTGTCTTCCCAAGGGAAACCTGTGTAAATCATTCCTCAAACATCCTCCTAGGTTAAAATGAAGACACCTGCCATGTATATGTAGACAGTATTAATCTCAGTCCACACAGGTGTGAAAAAAGCTGCACTCTTTGTATAGTCCGTTCTCCCATTGTTACAAGGAACTATCTGAGACGGGGTAACTTATGAAAAAAAGAGGTTTCACTGACTCACAGTTCCGCAGGCTTAACTGGAAGCATGGCTGAGAGGCTTCAGGAAACTTAAAATCATGGCAGAAGGCGAAGGGGAAGCAAGCATCGTCTTACTGGGGCGTCTTACCAGGGCAGAGCAGGAGAGTGAGTAAGAAGGGGGAGGTGCCACACACGTTTAAAGGATTAGATCTCCTGAGAACTCAGTATCGTGAGAACAGCAAGGGGGACGCTGACGTGCAAGATCCAATCACCTCCCACCAGGCCCCTCCCCCAATTCGACATTGGAGATTTGGGTGGGAATACAAATCCAAACCATATCAGCTTTAATTTTTATAACTAACTTATTTTCGGGTGGCCCACATTTTGACAGGTGGGTGGTAATTATATGCTCCAACTGTTACCGGAGAGGGGTCCTGATCCAGACCCAAGAGAGGGTTCTTGAGTCTCCCGCGGGAAAGAATTAGAGGTGAATCCATAAAGCGAAAGCAAGTTTATCAGGAAAGTAAAGGAATAAAGAACGGCTACTCCATAGGCAGAGCAGCGGCTTGGGCCGCTCAGCTGCTCAGACTTAGTGTTACTTCTTGATTACATGCTAAACATGGGGTGGATTATTCATGAGTTTTTTGGGTAAGGTGTAGGCAATTCCCAGAACTGAGGTTTCCTCCCGTTTTTAGTCCATATAAGGTAACTCCCTGACATTGCCATAGCATTTGTAAACTGTGATGGCATTGGTAGGAGTGTGTTTTAGTATGGCAATGCATTGTAATTAATGTATAATGAGCAGTGAGGACGACCAGAGGTCACTTTCATTGTCATCTTGGTTTTGGTGGGTGTGGCCAGCTTCTTTACTGCAAGCTGTTTTATCAGGAAGGTGTTTGTGATGTTTGACCTCCTAATCTCATCCTGTGACTTAAAATGCCTAACCTCCTGGGAATACAACCCAGCAAAGTCTCAGCCTTATTTTACCCAGCCCCTATTCAAGATGGAGTCGCTCTGGTTCAAAGGCCTCTGACATAACCTCTAAGGGTGATGTTAGGAGTTACAGTGTGGAGGTTCGTTTGGTTCTTGGCCAGCTATTCTACCAGGTGATTTTTGAGAGATCTGTGAATTCTGGACCTTTCAAGAGGTCCTTGGCCATTTCCATGGTGTGCGCAGGATGTGGGTGGGGGGGGCTGGGGGGGGAGCCTCTTTGCCAATCCCATGTTTGTATAAATATGCCACTGGGCACGTCCCTTTCAGTCCTGCAACTTCTTTGTAAACACCGCATAAACCTGGGACTCCTCGTCCAAGTCCAGGGCTTCTCTCCTCCCTCACTCCCTTCCCAACCCAGAGGAAGCTCTTTCTCATCTGTGAGAAAGCATCTCTTTTTTATACTCCACTTTTGACAAAGTAGCCCTATTTTCATCCATACCCGAGAATCTTATTTACTCTGTGGCTTAAGATTTGGGCAAAAATATAGAAGGATTAGAACGATCTCATTTCTTATTTGCTTTGTTTCTCGTCTGAGGCGATAATGAGATGAACAATTACTTGTCTCCAAGAAACAGACATCAGAAAAACATCCTGTTTTTTTCACAGAAATTAAGTATATCAAAGTATTTTCCTGCTCTATTTTCCCATTATCTTTGTGGTTATGAGAGTGGCCTGAATGTGGAGCATGTTGATTTCAAACTCTAATTACAGTGGTTGTTTCCGGTTTGGGGCAACTATTAATAAAATTTGCTATGAACATTTACGTATACTTTTTTTTAAAAAACGGAGTCTTGCTCTGTCGCCCAGGCTGGAGTGCAATGGCGTGATCCCGGCTCACTGCAACCTCTGCCTCTCCAGTTCAAGCCATTCTCCTGCCTCAGCCTCCCAAGTAGCTGGGACTACAGGCACCCGCCACCACGCCCAGCTGATTTTTTTGTATTTTTAGTAGAGACGGGGTTTCACCGTGTTAGCCAGGATGGTCTCAAACTACTGACCTCGTGATCGCCCGCCTTGGCCTCCCAAAGTGCTGGGATTACAGGCGTGAGCCACCGTGCCCGGCCTTACGTATACTTTTTAATGAAGCTATGTATTTTCATTTCTCTTGGGTAAATACCACGGAGGGGAATTTCTGAGTCATGGTAAATATGTGTTTAAATTTAGAAGAAACTACCCGTTTTTCAAAGTGTTTGCACCACTTTGTGCTTCTACCAGCGATGTTTGAGTGTTCCGGTTATTTTACAACCTCCCCACAATGTGTATTAATATTTTTACACATTAGTGAGCCTGTAATGGTATCTCTTTGTGTCTTTTAACATTTTTTATTATAATAACATCTATTTGCTTATAAAAGAAAGATGTACTTAGTGTATTTCAAAAACACAGAGAAGTAGAAAAAAGGAAAAAAGTAGCAATTGTCATTATTTCATAACTATAGCACTCTAGGAGGCTAAGACGGGCAGATCACCTGAGGTGAGGAGTTTGAGACCAGCTTGCCCAACATGGTGAAGCCCCGTCTCTACTAAAGACACAAAAAATTAGCCAGGCTTGGTGACGGGTGCCTGTAATCCCAGCTACTCGGGAGGCTGAGGCAGGAGAATCACTTCAACCTGGGAGGGAGAGGTTACAGTGAGCCAAGATGGCACCACCATACTCCAGCCTGGGTGACAAGAGTGAAACTCCATCTGGAAAAAAAAAAAATAGTTTATTTCCTTTTCATTATTTTGCTGTTATTTTTACATATTTATAATTCTGCATAAGCAGTCTTGATTCTTGCTGTTTATATTTTAAAGAATTCTCATTTTTGAAATTTATTCTTTCAAGAGTTTTTTATATATTATAGATATTAAATCTTTATCCATAATATATGTAACATATTTTTGAACATTTATGGTATTTCTTTCCATGCAAATTTTTTTATGTAGTCAAAGTTATCACCTCTGGGTTTTGAGTCATAGCCAGAAAGCCTTTTCCTACATCAGAATAAAGAGAAATTCACCCGTGTTTCCATCTAGCACTTGTATGCTTTCATATTATTACATTAGATCCTTTATTTGCTTGTTCTTGTGGTGGATGGTGAGACATGGGCCTAATTTTAACTTTTTCCAAATAATGATTTAGGTATGGAGCTATTCAGATTTTCTATTTCCTCCTGCATCAGTTTAAGGGATTTGCATATTTCAAGAAATTTGTCCATCTCATCTAAATGTTTTAATTTGCTCTCCGAAGTCATTTAGCTCACAAACACACACACTTTTATTGTTCTTTTAATGTCTATAAGACCTATAATGACACAATGGGAAAAGACCATACCCGAATGACTGATGCTTATGCAATAACATTAAGCAGAGGGCCTGCCACTAAGCACGTGAGTGATTACATTTTATTTTTAAATTTCATAATCTTCAGATGCCTGCAAGTGAATTGAGCAAAATTACATTTGACGACATGACTGTTGGGAATGATAGCACCATGTAGTGCTGTTGATAGAGGGAGATGATTTTTTAAAAATCATGGTGAGTTGGTTAGATGCTCCAAAGATGTTCTCCTCTTACAGCAATTACTCAGTAACTTGTTATACTTATTATTGAGATAATATGAAAATTAATAAGGTATAACCTCATTTCTTAGAATGTAAGCTCTCAGCCAGCACACGAAGGTGTATAACATCAATGATCATACTTCATCTAGACATGGTATAAGTAGTTTGATGATGAAACACAGAGGAAACAGAGGTTGCTCTCAGAGAGGTCAAGGAAGGCTATGTGATAAAGGGGCACTTAAAAATGAATAGCTTCTGGTGTTTGAAGATAAAATACAATCAGAGTAAACACCATGCAGGGAGAAAAGTCATATTCGAAAAGAAATCTTGCCTTGCATGAGTTGCGGGTGGACAGGGAGGGGTCCAGAATGGTGAGAGGTAGTAGTGGGATGTATGGCTGGAAAGGTAGGTTCACATAAGACCATTAGAGAGGGACTTGCATTCTGGAATAAAGTTTTCGGATTTGACCCTGTAGTTCATGGGAAACCAGAGAAGTAAAGAGCTATAAGTGAATTAGTTCTGACTACAATGTGACTGACAAATGGAAATGAACAAGGCTAGAGGCAGAGTGGGAAATGAAGTTCTCCCGTAGCCATGTAAGTGGCAATGCCAATCTGAGCTAGGATATTGGCGCTCCAGAAAACACAAAGATGGACGTGAGAACACAGCCGGCAGATATGAGGAAATAAGCAATAGGAATTTAACACAGTATTATAAGTTCTATTTCAAAATTTCAAAAATACTTGCCTTTGCAATGCAAACTGAAAGAGCCACAATAAAAATATCAATTTTCTTCACAGCAGGACACCTGGGCAATGTCCGGAATGAATGAGCTTCAGTGAACCATTCTAATGGCAACCCTAGTTCAGCAAAATGAACAAAGGACTGTGAAGGGTGATCGGAAGCCAGTAATTCCTGGATCCTTTCATGGAAAAGGGCCTTTGGAATTTTAAAAGTGACATATCAGGCCAGGCGCAGTGGCTCACGCCTGTAATCCCAGCACTTTGGGAGGCCGAGGCGGGCAGATCCCCTGAGGTCGGGAGTTCGAGACCAGCCTGACCACCATGGAGAAACCCTGTCCCTACTAAAAAAAAAAAAAAAAAAAAAAAAAAAAAATTAGCCATGCATGGTGGCACAAGCCTGTAATCCCAGCTATTCCAGAGGCTGAGGCAGGAGAATTGCTTGAACCTGGGAGGTGGAGGTTGCGGTGAGCCGAGATTGTGCCACTGCACTCCAGCCTGAGCAACAAGAGTGAAATTCTGTCTCAAAGAAAAGAAAACAAAAGTGACATATCAGAGCTAAAGAGCCATCAATTTAATTTAAAAATTTGAAATGGATGATGTGGATTTGTTAGAGAAGTCTCGCCGTGGTCTAGCTCGTGAATAATTTTATAGCATGGAGGTCGTTAGTATATTTTGGTAATTGTTTTTCAGCTTCATTTTTGTAGAAACCAACTATTCAAGGGCCCTCAGGCTTAAAGGGAATTAAAATAGGGTATAAGGTAAAGGTCATTACTCTGTAAAGCTATAGCTTCCATTGACTCAAATGGAAAATGTCATTCCCCTAAAGACAGTCAGAGGACTCTCATATGATATAGTGGAAGGTATATAGATTTTGGATCCAGGTGGGCCTCCTTTGACTTATTTGAGCTGTTTTTTGACCTTGAACAAAACACAGAATCTCTCAGAAATTAGGTTTCCTCCCCCATCTATTAAAAAAAAAGGGGGGAAAAGACTGGGCGTGGTGGCTCATGCCAGTAATCCTAGCACTTTAGGAGGCCAAGGCAGGGTGATTACCTGAGGTCAGGAGTTCGAGACCAGTCTGGCCAACCTGGTGAAACCCCATCTCTACTAAAAATACAAAAATTAGCCAGGCGTGATGGTGTGCACCTGTAATCCCAGCTACTCAGGAGGCTGAAGCAGGAGAATTGCTTGAATCCAGGAGGCGGATGTGCAGTGAGCCGAGATCACGCCACTGCACTCCAGCCTGGGCAACAAGAACAAAACTCTGTTTCAAAAAAAAGGGTGGTGGGGAAATGGCAAACAATGCACACAATTCTTGGTAGAATTAAATAATGTGAAACAACATCAGTCCAAGTCACATCATAAAACTATTTCATGCTTATAATTGTACCAAAAAAATTTTATAAGTCCCTATAGTATCTGTGCAAGCCTCATTTTCATTTGTTTCTTTCACTGTGTGGTTGCCAATCAGGCTTTTCTTTCTCTCAAATATACAAATATCCTTTCTGCCTAATGCTGTTAATTCTGTTTAGAATTACCCCGTCTCCCATATACCCACCTCCTTTAGTCTTTAGGTCTCAGATTAAATGTCACCATGTTCAGAGGATCTTACTGATTTCTCTAAATTAGACTAGACTCCTGTGATCTCACTGGTAGTGCCCTGCAGTTCTTCAAAACCCTTCTCATAAAGTCATCACATCATTCTTTATGTAATTATTTGCTGATGGTCTTTCTTCCCTGTTAGCTCATTGAGGGCTAGAACAGAATCCTTCCTCATTACAGTAGTTCTAGTAGTGCCTAGTGCACTCACTGCCACGTTGCTGGTGGTTAAGTATTTGTTGAATGAAAGAATAAATGAATGAGTACAGTTCAGTAGCCAGACCTCTTATTTATTTGAACAATTGAAACGGAAGACAAGCCACATGGGAAGATGCTGAGCTGAGATTTTGCAGCTGACTGCTGGAGCTGACTCTGAAATGGAGATCAGCATTCTGAATGTTGATTAGGGACTGATCTTGGGATCAACTCCCATGGAAGAGAAAGAAAGGGAAAGAAAGGAAGCAGGATTGAGCAGAGGGAGAAATTTCAATGGAAGCATTAGCCACCCTCATGGAGAGTTTTAAGATGGGTTGGCCATTCCAAGCCACCCCATGTTCAGCCACGAGGGTCAGGCCTTCATGACCCGTGGGCTTTTTTACACTTCTAAGCCAAATGGTTATTGCATGTGGCCTCCCCCAAGAAGAGGCATAACTTTAATGGAGTTGACCCTTGCTGAGGGGGTTCTTGAAGGGGACTGACACTGAGGGCAGCTTTCCAGCAGCAGCAGTACTGCTAGCAGCTGCAGGAATAAGCCCTCTGTTCCCAAAGTGGGATCCAGGTGGTGCAGTGCAACATTCACCCTGACTGACAGCATTTCGGTACAGATGTTCTCTATCAGGTATCCAGGGGGGCTTGACTTGGCATTGGGTTTGGTAGCAGGGACTTCAAGCTCTCTCTCCCACACTGGCTGCTGGTGACTTTAGCCAGAGACCGTAAAAAGTACCCATTCATGAAATATACTTTTGTGGCTTCTATCTGGGTTACAACCCATGAGGAAGCAACAACAATGCAGAGCTGGAAGGGAACAGAGTTCAGAATAAAGCGTGGCATGGTTGTGAAGATCAATAGACTTGAGTTTAAATGCAGTATTAGCTATGAGAACTACAGAAGGCTGCAAAACTTCTCAGAGCCTCAGCCCCCTCATGGGCAAGAGGATGACTCAAAGTGTTAGTAAGAGTCTGTAACACAGCAGGTACTTTCCATATATGAATTCCCTTTCTACACTCCCCCCCGCCCAACACACACATGAACTTCAATCAGGCCTTTACCTTAACATCCCAACCATCATCCATACTGGCTCTGGCACGCTCGTTACCTGCTGCTTTCCCTGTTGGATTGCCTCTGGTTATGGAGCTTGCCCCATCCAACGTGGCTGCTGATTCTACTGCTGGACAGTGGTATCTGTTAGCAAGTCCTCATTTGCCTCTCTGGTTCCTTTATCCCATGATATATGCTCAGATATACAAAGATGATATTTAGTACCCAGGTATCTCTTCTTCAGAATAAATATTCTTAAATCCTTCAGCCTTAGCTCTCGTAATCTACACTTCAAAACCTCTATCCTACTAGCCCCTTCCTCCATCTGAATGGGCTTTATTTTGTTAATATTCAACTCAAACTGAGTTTATTATAGTTTTATAAAATGCCCTGAGCAGGGACAAGTTGGCACAACCATGATCTCCTTGTTCTGCATACTAGAGTTCTATCAATGGTTTAAGGTGCAAAACCAGTTTTAAAGAGTTATCAAACATTCTTGCACAATGTAATCTAAACCCTCAAGATCTGTTTCACAGGAACCTCCGCTAAATTGTTTATACCCTAACCCTGGTAGTTCGGCATCATATATATTATTCACACTAATCCCATAAGAATGTTGACTCTGACCTCTGTTTTCAGAGTTTCCGTATACCAGTCCTCTCTCCCTATGAACTATTTAAGGCTGGGATTTCTGTTGCACACGTTGAAGTATGGAAAACAGTGACATTGATGCATGCCTTCATTGGTCACAACTTTGTAGTGTGTTTTAAGCGTTTATTTCGGTAAACTCATTGTTAAATTTATTTTTAAAACATTTGTATTATCATATATGAAAACCTAGTACTACTTGTCTGCAAAAGAAGGTAAACAAATGTATTAAAGTCTAGAAAAATATATTTGCTTGTCAAAGGCTTTATTTTAAAGGGGACATTAGAAGTTTAGAGATGTGTTTCAGGCACTTTAAACTAAAATAAGATGTTTTTAAAAAATGTATTTAAACAATCTTTGGAAATTTTTGAACGGAGAAAAACATTCTACCATGTGATTCAATGCTATTGAGCACCAGTGCCACATAGATCACAAGTGATTGTTGTCCCACACTTTGGGAAAATATCTAAGCCACTGATAAAAAGTATTACATTGACAGACTATTTAGTATTCTTAGCTGGGATCCAGGGTGAACACATAGATATGCCTATCATTCCCATCAAAGCACAGACTTCATAATCCCCTTAATGTGGAAGGGAGAGAAAGTGACATCTTATTTTATCTTCACAACAACATTATTAAAACTGGGATTATCTGACTTTCTAATTTACAAGTGATGTAATTGAAGATTAGAGAGCAAAATAATTTGTCCTGGGTCACACTTTTAATTGTGAGGAAGATTCCAGGTTTGAACCCAAAATTCCTGACTCCAAAGGGTATTTTTATTTTTATTCCATCACAAAAAGTGGAAGAATTCAGGAACTCTTCCTTGTGATAGTTCAAGAATTCTCAAACCTGGGCATTAGAATCACCTGGCAGGCTTGTTAAACCCAAATTGCTGGGCTCTGCCCCAGTTTCCAATTCAATAGATCTGGGGTGGGACCCAATAATTTGCATCTCTAATAAGTTCCCAGGTGATGCTGATGCTGTTATTCCAGGGATCACATTTCCAGAAGCACTATCTTAGTCAATAGGTATCCTTTTATGTCTGGATAAATGGTTTGCAACTCCAACTGCACATAACCAACTGAAAATTTTTAAAATAAATATACTCGGGCATTATCCCAAACTGAGTGAATTATACCTTCTGAAAGGGATTCCGGGCACTTTGTAGCACCGCTATTGATTGTAGCATGTAGTGCAGTTTGAGAATCAGTGGGTGACAGCAGATACACAGGGGTTCCAAAGCTTGCAGTTACTAACACAAGTGTATTAGTCCATTTTCACACTGCTATAAATACCTGAGACTGAATAATTTATAATGAAGAGGTTTAATTGACTCACCTTTCTGCATGGCTGGGAGTGCCTCAGGAAACTTACAATCATGGTGGGAGACGAAGGGGGAAGCAAGGCACTTCTTACATGGCAGCAGCAGGAGAGAGAAAGAGAGAAGGGGAAACTGCACCTTGTAAACCATCAGATCTCGTGAGAACTCCCTCACTGTCACACTAACAGCAAGGGGGAAACTGCCCCCATGATCCAACGACCTCCCTCCACCAAGTTCCTATCCTGACACATGGGGATTATAATTTGAGATGAGATTTGGGTGGGGACACAAAGCCAAACCATACCAACAAGTGTGTTTCTGATGCTTATTACTTTTGTTCTCTAGCCTTTCTTCAGATGAATAACTGTACTGTTGAGATTTTCCTCTAATTTGCTCTTCAGGACTCTCTGGAGAGTGGCGATAAAGCTTGGCCCTGCTAGGGCTCCAGGGGAGATGTTCACAGGTGTTTACAGTGTGTCTTTCACATGATGCTTCTTTATCCTGATTGACAGCCTAATGCCTGAGTCTGATCCATAGCCAGCTGTCTCTCTCAAAGGAAATCCAGCAGACACGCTTTGTGGCTCTTGTCTGATCTGTGTCCAGTTTATTTCTGCCAAGATAGCCACTCTCTAGGAGAGCGTGTTGTAAGTGATAACACTCCTGGAGCCCCTGGACCTTGCATTTTGGTTTCCTATTCTCCTTATGTCCTAGTTAAGGTTCAGGTGTGCCAGTCAGGAGAGACAGAAGGAAAATGGGAAAACGAAATGCATGACATGAGAGATGACCAGCAGGAGCACGCCTTTATCAAGGTCTAGGGGCTCCAGGAGTGTTCTCACTTAGGCTTTCCACAGGGGGTTGTGAATTTGCTAGTTTAAGGAAAATACGTGTGAGAAAGGGAACTTACCTACACGACTCTGGTGTTGGCCACTGGGTTTTATCACAGTCAGCAGCTGTGGGATATGTTGGGTTTGGGTTCAGTGGGATGAGGAACAAGTGGGCTATATTGCAAACAGCCACATGGGGAGAGGAAGTTTTAACTAGACCAAAGGTGACAGGGTACAACTGGACTTCAAACAACTTATGTCAGGCCTAACAACGGATGCCAAGGCAGCAACTGCATTAAACAAGTTTATGACATAGACATAACCCAGAAATGGTCATCTCTATGCATACGCTTAGCTTGCATGGGAATAGAGATAGAATAATTGCTACTTCATGATCCACATCAGAGAAGGAATTGTTCTTTTGATAGAACCTATTCAAATGTATGTTGACTTTCTGCTTGGCATCTTGGAGCAATAGGAAGGTGTATATTTCTATTGCTGGAAAGCCCTCTCGATCTCACATTCAATCACCAGGTGCATGCAGGCCTAAGCCCCCTTTGGGGTGTGTAGGTAATCTCTATTTCCATGCCAGCACTGGCCTAGTTACAGTACTAGGAATTCGTTCTGAACAACTGCAACATTTCTGACTTCCACCTCCTTCTAGACTCCCAGGGCTGTCAACAAGTCGTGTCTTTCATCCTCATCAGGTCCTTTTACATTCCCACAGCAAGAAAGGAAAAGCAGCCCATGATGTATTTTTTTAACAAGCCACTGGGGATACCCTGGAGCCAGTATTAAAAAAGCACGCCTGGCTGAGCACGATGACTCACGCCTGTAATCCCAGCACTTTGGCAGGCCAAGGTGGGCGGATCACTTGAGGTCAGGAGCTCGAGACCAGCCTGGCCAACATGGTGAGACCCCTGTCTCTACTAAAAATACAAAAATTAGCCGGGCATGGTGGCACACACCTGTAATCCCGGCTACTCAGGAGGCTGAGGCAGGGGAATCACTTGAACTCGGGAGGCGGAGGTTGCAGTGAGCTGAGATCACACAAGTGCACTCCGGCCTGGGTGACAGAGCGAGACTCCATCTCAATAAATAAATAAATAAATAAATAAATAAATAAATAAATAAAAGCATGCCTCAAACTTACTCCAGCCAAACGCCAAAGGAGCTGGAGAATTTATGCACAGTAAGAGTCCTATCAAGGGAGAAAAACTATGCAATAATTTGAACAGATAAAGTTTAAAATACATCATTATTAACTAAAATGGGATATTGGGGCAGTGAGGGGTTCACTAGGAAAAAGCAAAGAAAACTCTGAAGCATACAGAAAGAGCCGACCTACGCAGCAGCTACTGCCTGCAGGGCTGAGCTGGAGCGTCCAAGGGAGACCCTCTACCCACAGGGTGAGGTCAGGTCCTAGTTGGACAGGTCATGGCTGTGACTCACTGAAGGGCAAAGAAGTTGCTGTAGTGCTGCCTTTGTAGAACTTTCTGGAAATCTGCCCTCTAAACCTTGCCAGAAATCCATCTTCTGAGGTGTTGGGGAACGTTGTTCATGGAGAGGTGTCTCACTAGAGTCACTGCTACAAAACTACCAAAGATGGTGTCTTGGGACGCTGCTGGCTGCCATGCGCTACAGGAACCTGCGCTGGAGAAGTCGTCCACCCTGCAGAAACCTACCTAGCCGGAAGACCAGAACCAAAGCAGAAACGTCTCCCTGGCGCCCTCTACTGAGCAAAGCTTAACATCGTGTCAGCTGGCAAAGGAAACTGTTTCAAGGGCCTGATCCATTTTCACAAGGCAGGTGGTAAAGGTGAATTTGGAGCTGAGAGGCAATACATTGTTAACTGGCATATACACCCAATCCTATCGGTCAATAGATGAAGACTGTTCTGAGGCTTAGGGAGGCAGAAATTCATTCTGCAACACTTCTAGCCCACCAGACAAATAGGCCAGGCATACTTCAGCATCCATGTCATGGAAAAATGTCATGGAAAGGAATTTATGTCCTGGCAGATGGAAGCCGGCCTGGCGTGCAATGAGGTGTAAGACAAGTGAGTACAGGTAGGCGCTGACCCTATCTGCTAGAATCAGTATTCCATTTTCCACCTGCAATAAGATCATGATTGTGTTCATGCACAAGCAGGCCAACCCCAACCAGAATCCCATAGGAAGATGTGTTTCCTGGCACTTCTCCTGGTAGCAAGATTGTCAGTCAGGGTCTAATCAGATAAAAAGATAGAATTTATTTAAAGCAGAGGGAATATAATTGCAGGTGTGATTGTTAATTTTAATGTGTCAACTTGACTGGGATAGGAGACAGCCAGAGAGATAGAAAAATATTACTTCTGGTTGTGTCTGTGAGGCTGTTTCTGGAAGAGAGTAGCATTTGAATCAGTCCACTAAGGGAAGAAGACTCACCCACACCGGTGTTGCGGAGCATCACCTCATCTATTGAGGGCCCATCTAAATAAGACAAAAAGCCAGAAGAAAGGTAAATTGACTGTCTTTTTGAGCTGGGACATCCATCTTTTCTTGCCCTCAGACATCAGAGCTCCTGGTTCTCAGGCCTTCAGACTCCAGGGACTTAAGCCAGTGCCTCCTTCAGTCTCAGAGTGGGAGTTATACCACTGGCTCCTCTCTTTCTCAGGTCTTCCAACTTGGACTGAATTACACCCTGACTTTCCTGGTTCTCCAGCTTGCAAATGGTATATCGTGGGACCTCTCGGCCACCATAGTCACATGAGCCAATTCCCATAATAATTCTCCATATATGTGTGTGTCTGTGTGTATCTTTTTGGTTCTTTTCCTATGGAGAACCTGGACTAATACAGCAAGGAATTGCAGGTGCTGGAGGATCTGAGAACCAAACATGTGAGTAGCAGTTAAAAAGAGATTATCATTGGGAGGCCGAGGTGGGCAGACCACTTGAGGTCAGGAGTTTGAGACCAGCCTGGAGAACATGGTGAAACCCTGTCTCTACTAAAAAAGAAAATACAAAAATTAGCTGGGCCTGGTGGCAGACATCTGTAATCCCAGCTCCTTGGGAGGCTGAGGCAGGAGAATCACTAGAACCTGGGAGGCAGAGGTTGCAGTGAGCCAAGATCATGCCACTGCAATCTAGCCTGAGTGACTGGGAGACTCCATCTCAAAAAAAAAAAAAAAAAAAGAGAGAGAGAGAGAAATTATCAGGGAGTCAGAGTTAACAGTGCCCAGCGCCTGGGATCACTCGATGGAGGCTGCAAGCAGAATAGATTTGTCTAGGAGGAGGTAGAGCCACTGAGAAAAAGCCACCATTATTCTAACACTGCTTCCTTCTGGATGACTCCACTCACAACCCAGATGGCTGGAATCTTAGGCAATAGAGCTTACAGGGGAAGGGAAAGGAATGCCCGTGAAGGCAAACAATCTCCAAACTGGAAAATTAGGCAAGATTGTTGGCTGAAGACACTGGGTTATGTAGGTTGTTATTACATAAAAAGGAAGAGAAATGCCGCATGAAAGATTACATACATTGAAGAAAAAGGCATGGATGGGAAATGTCCATAACATTCACACTATGAAACAGGATAACTGAGAGTGGTATTGCTCTTAATTCCTTTAAAGACATGAGACTGACTTTATCTTCGGAGGTAGTGAGTTTGATTCAATTATTAACTTGCATCTGATTGTGATAATAGTGAATTTTTAAATTCAGGATGTCGCCTCTTTTTTTTTCCCCCTTTTTTGAAATAAAACTCTGGAATTCTTACTGCTTCCAGAACCTATTTTAATCTTCAGACCTTGGAAGGTATTCATATCTCATAAGAGTAACGTAATATATGGGGGCAAAGATGCAGCCAAGTAGCTCAGCACTGAAAGCTAAGATGAAGAAGAACCCCATGGCTTCCAGGACCTTCCCCTTGATGCTGTGGTCGGCAAGGAGGGAGGTGACTGCAGAACACCAGCATGCTGAACATCAAGAACTTGACTTATTGAAGGTGTCAGGCAAACCCATGGCCAGGAAAGCCAAGGTAAAGCTCCCCAGGGTCAAGGAGCCCAGGTATCCTAGGACATGGTAGAAGACAGTGCTGAAACCTCACTGCGTGTGAGAACTACAGATCCAAGCTTAGAGAGTGTGTCTGTGTCAATGAAGGGAGGAAAGTTTCTCAGCCCGAGCTGACAGATCAGGAGACAGATTCCACTTGGATTAGGGAGAATATAAAAAGGGCAAAATTAGGAGATCCTGATACCAATCACCATCTTATTCTCCCTGGCATTCTGGCCTTCAGAGCCAGAACTACAGTGATGGTTTTGGTCAGAATGATAGAAATAGCCATAGTAAACACAACTCCAAATGCTATTTGTTGGAGTCACCACGTAGCTGTGTGGGGGTGGCCAATGCATAGGGCAGAGCAGAGGAAGCACAGTGTGACGGAGGCCAGACTTTCAGCAGGGTGCAGCTGAAAGCCCATGTACTGGCTTTAACCGAGGGGATTTCCTGCTGCTTCACAAATACCCCAAGGACCACTGCAGTAAGGACAGAGAGGCAGGGCTGTGCAGGCCAGAGACATCCCCAAAGGGCCTTCAAAAGCCAAGAAGTTCACATCCTTTGGAAGACAGTAAATTCTCTGACTATTCTGATATTGATCATCTGGACACTTCTTATACTGAATAGTATCTGAAAAACAAAGCAATGGTTTTTTGTTCAAGATTCATAAATCCTTACTGATTCCCAGAAACAAAAAAGTCATTTTTGGCCTTGTAGGGCACCTTGTCCATCTCAGTGCTATACTCAAATGTCATGCTTTTTAGCATGTTACAGAAGCAATAATTTCAAACTAACATGCCAATTCTCTCCTTGGTTTTATTTCCCAAAATAACATTTTCTCTCATTGTTCATTTCTCCACATGCCAACGAATTATTTTCCATTTTCTTTCATAATGAAAGCATTATACTCCCTTAAAAATTTAAATATCCATTCTCTAGGCCAAGAGTCCACAAACTATAGCCTACAGGTCAAATCTAGCCATTAGTAATTTTATAGGGCTTATAATCTATGAATGTTTTAATACTTTTAGATGGTTGCATTTTAAATGGTTATACAAGTATTTACATACTTTCAATTTCACCTCTTGGCTTGCAAAGTCTAAAATATTTACTATTTGGCCCGCTAAGAAAAACATTTCCTGACCTCTGCCTTCTCCTGGATTATTTACACAAATGACAATTATTTTCTAAGAATTTACACTGAACCAGATGCCTTATTAAGAATGGGGACCTGTTCAACTTTTAACAGGTATCAAAGAGGCCCTCAGGTTCTAATAGCTAAATATTTCTTAGTGTATCCCTTCCACATTTCGAGGTAGAATTCCATCAGCTTGATGTGGCAGGAAAGGTCTTAATCATCTTGTTTGTACATAGGTTTCTGGCCTTATCTTTTGTCATAAACTAAACACTGGATCAAAAGATTCTGATGTAGAGATTTATGTATCATACTCACAGTGCTCATGCCTTCTCGCTTTGCCATGACCTTCTTCAACAGGGAGTTTCTTTTGCTCTCTTCTTTGCTTGACTAATTCCTACTTGCCTTTAACAACGTAGTCAACATTACCTGCATTAGGATGTGCCTGCATGCCTCCCCACACTCTAGTATGTACCTGTGTCTTTGAACCCTTTGTCCTGGGTTGCCTTCCTCATTAGGCTATGAATTATCAATGACAGTATAGTTTTATTAAACAAACCCTGAAAAATTAGATACCTAAATAGACAGTCAAGTAAAGAAACATACGAAGAAAAATATTCCTAAAAATACATTTATTGTCCGGGCGTGGTGGCTCACGCCTGTAATTCCAGCACTTTGGGAGGCTGAGGTGGGTGGATCACCTGAGGTCAGGAGTTCAAGACCAGCCTGGCCAACATGGTGAAACCCCATCTCTACTAAAAATACAAAAAATTAGCTGGGCATGGTGGCAGGTGCCTGTAATCCCAGCAATTCGGGAGGCTGAGGCAGGAGAATTGCTTGAACCCAGGAGGCAGAGGTTGCAGTGAGCCGAGATAGTGCCACTGCACTCCAACCTGGGCAACAGAGTGAGACTCAGTCTCAAAAAAAAAAAATTACTGTAGCAACATTATTATCAGGTAAAATAGAATTCAAAGAGATATACAGAGGAGAAGAACACATAAAATAAAAATTAGGCCAGGTGCGGTGACTAACGCCTGTAATCCCCGCACTTTGGGAGGCCAAGGCAGGCGGATCACCTGAGGTCGGGAGTTGGAGAACAGCCCGACTAACATGGAGAAACCCTATCTCTTCTAAAAATACAAAATTAGCTGGGCATGGTGATGCATGCCTGTAATCCCAGCTACCCAGGAGGCTGAGGCAGGAGAATTGCTTGAACCCGGGAGGCGGAGGTTGTGGTCAACTGAGATCACACCATTGCGCTCCAGCCTAGGCAACAAGAGTGAAACGCTATCTCAAAAAAAAAAAAAAAAAAAACTAAACAGATAAAACAGACTCTTTTCTCCTTTAGAAGGCTCAATATAATGATACTAATTTCCTGCATGTTAATGTATATATTTCATTCAATACAAATATCAAATAATAATAGGGGTTTTTTGTTGTTGTTGCTGCTGTTTAATTTTTTTTGAAACAGAGTCTCACACTGCCACAAGGCTAGAGTGCAGTGGCGTGATCTCTGCTCACTGCAACCTCCGCCTCCTGGGTTCAAGTGATTCTCCTGCCTCAGCCTCCCTAGTAGCTGGGACTACAGGCTTGTGCCACCACATCCAGCTAATTTTTTGTATTTTTAGTAGAGACAGGGTTTCACCATGTTAGTCAGGATGGTCTTGATTTCCTGACCTCATAGTCTGCCTGCCTCTGCCCACCAAAGTGCTGGGATTACAGCTGTGAGCCACTGCGCCCAGTCAGGTTTTTTGTTTTTTTGTTTTTTTTTTTTTTTTGGAAATAGACAATATGATTCTAGAGTATGCATAGGAAAGAAACTACCCTTGAAAAATTCTGAAACAGTAGGAAAATATAGAGGAGGTCTCACCAAGTGAGTTTCATAATATTATTTAAGGGTATAATAATAAAAAGTTTGGTATTTGTGTATAAATAGGTAACTAGATAAAGGAATAGAATAAACAGTTCAGAAATTGACCAAAATAGACATGATTATTTGGTATATGGCGAGGATGGCATTGCAGTTGGGGGGATACATGTGCTATTCAGTAAATTCTCTCCAGATTATGTACAGACACAAAATAAATTCCAAATAGTTCAAATATAAACTAAATTATAAAAGCATTAGGGCCCGGGAGCAGTGGCTCACACCTATAATCCCAGCACTTTTGGAGGCTGAGGTGGGTGGATCACCTGAGGTCAGGAGTTTGAGACCAGCCTGGCCAACATGGTGAAACCCCGTCTCTATTAAAAATACAAAAATTAGCTGGATGGGATGGTGGGTGCCTGTAATCCCAGCTCCTCGGGACGCTGCTACAGAATTGCTTGAACCCAGGAGGCAGGGCTTGCGGTGCGCCGAGACTGCACCACTGTACTCCAGCCTAGGCAACAGAGCGAGACTCCATCTTACTAAATAAATAAATAAATAAATAAATGTATTAGAAACGGTGACTTAACATATGGTGGGCAGGAGGGTGGGCAAGTGGTCTCTTCAGGGCAGGGTCCTCGCTAGTGCTGTGGGCACCAGAAGGGGAAGAACAGCCATGTGCTCTCCTCTGGGTAGTAGGATACTGAAATTGGGATATTTTGGGGTGTATGTTTTTTGAAGCTTTGACTGTGATTTTTAAACAATAAAATGTTCTAAAAATATAAAGGTAACCACTGAGAAAGATATTTAATCTCAGAGTGGAAGAGAAATTTATAGGTAATGGGCATTTTAGATAATGTAGGTTTAATAAGACTTTAGAAATAAGAAGACACACGGAAAGTAAAACAGGCTTTCCAAAAATGAGGCACAAAATATAAAGACAATGACTCCAGAAAAGAAGGTCATTAAATGCCTACTGGCTTTCATAAGATACAATTGGAAGGAATCTTTATAACTCTTAAATAGGTCTGATCACAGAAGTAAAACATGACTGCACACACTTGGAAGAAATCAATTAATTTTAGCAGGGCATGGTGACTCACGCCTATAATCCCAGCACTTTGGGAGGCCAAGGTGGGTGGATCATTTGAAGTCAGGAGTTTGAGACCAGCCTGGCCAATATGGTGAAACCCTGTGTCTACTAAAACTACAAAAATTAGCCGGGCGTGTTGGTGGGCACCTGTAGTCCCAGCTACTTGGGTGGCTGAGACAGGAGAATCGCTTGAACCCGGGAGGTGGAGGTTGCAGGGAGCCGAGATTGTGCCACTGCACTCTAGCCTGGGCGACAGAGTGAGAGTCCATCTCAAAAAATAAATAAATAAAAATAAAAAAAGAGATAAATTAATTTCAGAGTTAACACCAAGGAAGGACTACAAGACAAAAAACAGGCACCTAGGCTATTCAAATCATCTCCATCTAATAATGACTTGATAATGAAAGGAAGAAGAATGGAACTAATGTAATCTTTGGGTAAATGTTACTCAAGATTCCAATGAGAAAGATGCTGGGTAGGATTACGGTGAGTAATAGGTCACAAAAACAGAGTTTGAGTTTTGTAGGAAAATGGAAAATGAAGTCTAGGTACTTGTGAATTTTGTAGGTATGGCAAATATGTTAATTCTGCCACTGACCAGTCCCTTAAAACAGCTGGTAGATCAGCAAATAGAATATGCACGGACCTCTCACTGTTCTACTCACTGGTTAGCATCACTGCTTAACAAGATCCTAGAATGGAGAAAAGTAAGAGCTCAATATCCAGGTTCCCAGGAAAAGGTGGCCTGGGATTGTATTCACCTGTACTTGATGTTTTGATTGCTGTCTGAAATCTAAATGAACACAAAATTGAGAGATCAAAAAAGAAATGGTGGATGCCTTTGATTCTCTGAAACGTAACATGCTACATGTCCTCAAAACTTTATGAACGGCCAGTCAGGGTGGCTCACGCCTGTAATCCCAGCACTTTGGGAGGCCAAGGCGGGTGGATCACTTGAGGTCAGGAGTTTGAGACCAGCCTGGCCAACATGGTGAAACCCCGTCACTACTAAAAATACGAAAATTAGCTGGGTGTGGAGGTGGGCGCCTGTAATCCCAGTGACTCGGGAGGGTGAGGCAGGAGAATCCCTTGAACTCAGGAGGTGGAGGTTGCAGTGAGCCGTGATCTCGCCATTGCACTCCAGCCTAGGCAACAAGAATGAAACTCCATCTCAAAAAAAAAAAAAAAAAGGGAATTTAAGTAACCTAACTGTGTAACCTGAAGTTACACAGCTAGTATGCAGCAGAGCTGGGATTCTAACAAACACAGTCTGGCCCTGGGTTCTGTTCTGCTAACTAGTGTGCTCTATTAGGTAGTAATATTATTATCCTCCGGGAGATTCTACTGCAGTCACTTTGGCCACTCTCTCTTCCATGCCTTGTCTAGCTTGCTACTCAGGATGTGCTATGTTTGCATCTCTTCGGGCCCCTCCTCTGACTCCTCTGTTTTTCAGTGGGTTTCTTTCTGGCTTACTTTTTTCAAGAATGTCCTGGCCGGGTGCGGTTGCTCACGCCTGTAATCCCAGCATTCTGGGAGGCCGAGGCGGGCGGATCACGAGGGCAGGAGATCGAGACCATCCTGGATAACACGGTAAAACCCCGTCTCTACTAAAAATACAGAAAAACATTAGCCGGGTGTGGTAGCGGGCACCTGTAGTCCCAGCTACTCTGGAGGCTGAGGCAGGACAATGGCGTGAACCTGGGAGCCGGAGCTTGCAGTGAGCCGAGATGGCGCCACTGCACTCCAGCCTGGGCGACAGAGCGAGACTCCGTCTCAAAAATAAATAAATAAATAAATAAAAATAATAATAATAATAAAAAGAATGTCCTTCCGCCTTTTGGCAACACTGAGCTCCCCCAGGCTCATTCACATTTGAACCTGAACTACAAGCCAAGAAGCTTGAGAATTATGGTAATTGAATGCAAGCCCTGAGAAAAGCTGTTACAGGAAGTGAGTGAAGACTTCCCAGGCAGCTGTCAATTATTTCAATGAAAGGAGAAGTAGCCCTGCCAGGAAGGTCAGTTGAGTCAGGAGAACACAGGGCAAATCAAAAGCCAAAGTCTCGCTCTGTCGCCCAGGCTGGAGTGTAGTGGCGCCATCTTGGCTCACTGCAACCTCCGCCTTCCGGGTTCAAGCAATTCTCTGCCACAGCCTCCTGAGTAGCTAGGATTCCAGACACCTGCCACCACCAAACCAAGGGGTGTCACCATCTTGGCAAGGCTGGTCTTGAACTCCTGACCTCGTGATCCACCCGCCTCAGCCTCCCAGAGTGCTGGGATTACAGGCGTGAGCCACAGCACCCAGCTGGTCACTGCGTTTTAGAGACATTAAGCAATTTGCCTGAGGTCATCCAGCTGGTGAACAGGGAAACCAGGACTCGAATCCTAGGTGCCCAGTGGTAAATCGGCAGAATATCCAGGCTGACCCCATTTGTGTGACACAGAGAGGATGACAAAGAGGATACTGAAGTTCCTTAGAGATTCCTGGAGACTGGCCTTAGCAAGTAGGTGGTGTCAGTGGGGCAGGGGACCACAGCCTGGGCCTGGAGTCAGCTCTGCCCGGATGCGAGTGGTGACTCGGGGACTAAAGCTCCCTGGGCCTCATCTGTGGACTTGGGATAATAATGGCAACAAACGTGAGACCCAACGTTTATTGAGGGCTTACTGTACAGATTCACTATCTCAATTTTCCTCATCGCTAAATTGGGAATAACAGCAAGAATAGCAGTGAGAATAATAAATGATAGATACCATTTATTGAGCATTTATGTTATAAAAATCTCTGTTCTGAGAGATATACACACCTTAGTGTTCCTCATCTGTAGCCTGGGAATAATAATAATAAATCATATGAACCACTTACTGATCACTTAATGGACAGAAGCCTCTGATCTAAGTGAGTCACACATCTCAGTTCCCATTCTCTAGGGACTGGGAATAGTGAATCATCCCAACAATATGTGAGAGCTGGCATTCACTGAATACTGACTGTGTGCCAGGTCCTCTTCTACACACATTAGATAGTGTCCAACTTGACTGGTCCTTGGCAACTCTCCAGTGTCGTCTCCCATCCCACTCTACCTCATTCCACTCTACCACGCCGGCCTTCTCCAGACGTCTCCTCAAACACAGCGAAGTGCAGCCTCACCTCCCGCCTTGGCATGAGGCATGTCTTCTGCCAGGCCCACCTTTCCCCAGACACCCACAGGGCTCACCCCCTCGCTTCTCTACCTCGCTTCTCCGCTCAGATACCACTTCCTAGGTGAGGCCGTCGCTGACCGCGCTGTTTAAAATCCAGTGCTTAGAACAGTGCCTGGTACCCAGCAGGCAATCGGCAAATGCCTGCTTAGTCAGTACATGCTCAGTCAATGGCCGCAGCCTGCTGCTGGGTGCCTTTGGATTTGGGTCCCAAATGCCGGCCTCCAGAGTGGCGGACACATTTAACAGATCTGAGGTTGCCTGGGGGATGTGACCCCAGAGAAGGACCAGTAGGGCGAAGGCCCCGAGGGGACACGTGTTTTGGAATGTTTGAGACGGGTGGAGAGGCAGCCTTGGCTAGAACCCAATTTGTGAGGGGAGCTCAGATGGGCGGGCATGTCCCAGAGCCAGCGCGAGTCTGCGGGTCTTGCAGAGACTCTGGGTTTCCTGAGACCACCGGAGACGCACAGGCCCCGAGGACCGGAATGGGTTAACACCTGCCCTCCGGCCCCTGTTGACAACATAGATGGTTTGGGAACTCGAGATGAGGCCGTGGGGCGGGGGATACTGACACCCACTTACTCTCTCTGAGTTCAGGAGCATTTACCCAGCCTCTGTACGGCGCCCGGGGCTCGACTGGTGGGAGGGGTCCGGCAGAGGCCCCGCCTCGAGATCCCAGCACGCCCCGCCCCGCTCCACGGTGTAGCACAGACTCCGCGGAGAACGCGAGCATGGTCGGAAATCATCGCCTTTATTTCTTGGCGGGTCTCGAGGGAAGGTCGGGAACGGGCGGGTCCTGCTGGCCTAGAGGGCGTCAGGGGCAGCCACCGGCGGCTCGGGATCCTCCTCGTCGCGAGCGCGGGGGAGCTCAGGTCCGGCCTGCCGGGGGCTGGGTGAGGCTGCGGACCAGGTTCCTACGCTCCTCGCGTCCGCCCGCGTCTGCCCTAGGCCTCCACCGCGGCTTCCTCTGTCCCCGGGGCCGCCCTGCTCCCCACAGACCCCACTCTCGGGGGCCGCTCCCAGGACCCCCGCCCGCTCTCTCCTGACTCGGTCCCTGCCCGCCCCGCCTCCCTTCCTCGGGCTCCCTACCTCTCCCTCGCCGGCCCCGACCTCGGGGGCGCTCCGGACCTGCTCCCCGAATATCTCCAGCTCCGCCTTCAGCCTGCGGAGAAGGGGCCGAGGAGACAGGAGGAAGAGAGCGAGAGTCCAGGGGACGAGGAGGAAGCCACCGAGACGCGGAGACCCGACGACGCCGAGGGAGGCACAGGCCGGGGAAGCGGCAGTCGGGGGCGGAGCGGGGGACCTGGGCGGGTTCCCCTCCGCCCTGCCCCTGCCCTCCTCGCCCACTCCTCCCTTCCCCTCTCACCCGTCATTCACCGCCATGGCGCCCTCGACCTCAGGCGGCGAGTGCAGCCGCCGCTCCACCTCCCGCAGCTTGGCGCGCACCAGCCTCCCTGTCGGTGGGCGGGCGTCAGGGGCAGGGCCGAGGCCCGGGCACATCCCCCTCCCCCCGCCCACCTGGCGCGGGAGGCTCACTCTCCGAGAGCAGCTGCTCCTTGCTTCTCTCCAGGGCACGGATCTCCCGGGCCAGTCGCTGCTCCAGCATCTGCGAGGACAAAGAGGAGGCCTCCCCGTTTGGCCGTCCTCTTGGCTACACGGCCCGCCCCTCCCCTTTTGTGCTTCTCGCGAAGTCTTCACCTACATTAGGTCATTCATTCATTCAACTATTTATTAACTCAATGTGCAGTTCCTGCTGTGGCTGGAGACCCACCCACCTCCCCCTAAACGCTCTCCATGTCTCCAGGCACCTCTCAAACTTGAACTCTTCCCACTCTCCTCATCCTCCATTCCCCAATCTGCGGCTCCTCAACGGTTTCAGGCACCGTCCAGCCCCAGGGCCTTCCTTCTGCACCGATACCTGCACGGCTTCTTCCCTCACTTCCTTCACCTCTGCGTTGAGATGTCACTTGCTTAGAGGCCTTCCCACTGAAGTTCCACGATCTAGCCACTAACTTTCTTGGTGCCTCCACCGTCCCCAACCAGCTTGGGACAGCAAAGACGTGGACTCTTTGATCTGCTACCCTCCCTCCCTGCCTCAAATGCTGACCGGTGCAACCACTGACATTAGCTAAATGAAGGAATGACCTGACCATGGCTTTCCCTGGGCTGCCATTTGCCACTGCAAGGTGAACATACACTAGATGAGCAGGGGGAAAGCAGGATCACAATGGTACTGCACCCGTCTGGGCAGGTGATGCTGGGTGTGGCAGTGGGGCATGGTGAGGCGTAAGTTGATTTTAGATAAAAGCTGAGGGACTGAATAGGTGGGCAAGCGGAAGCAAGGAATCAAGGACTATCCCGCGGCATTGAGCCTGGGCAGGGGTGGACTCTGGGCCAGTCAGTGCGACACTAAAGCCAGGGAGGAGTGGCTTTGGTTGCAGGCAATGATAATGGCTCACGTGGAATTCCCAGAGGTCCTTGTGCTGGCCCATCAGATCCTCCAGCTGTCCTCTGACATCCAACCTGGAGGCCGACACCCAGGAATAAGAGAACACATGCTAGGCCTGACACCCTGTTGGGGGCTCCTCATGCACAGGCCTTCAGATCCTGCCCATGCTCCCTCTGCTGGGAGCCCCTTCATGGGTTTTATCCTCTAAGCTTTGGTTCCCGTAGCACCTCTTCCAACAAACTCTCCCTGATGCAAGCCCTGTTCCCACTTTCTACACAGTGGCCTGCCAGGCCCCAGGCTTGGGAGTTACCCCAGATTCCTCTGTTTGAGACTCTGAAACCTGAGAATTATGGGCAAAAATTTGTTCCATGCACTCTTGCAGCATGTGCTTCCTGGGAAGGGAAAGACAACCCTCAGTCATATTCTCTGAATGACCCATCATTCACTCCAGCAGGAGTGGGAGTTGGGATGTCTGTTCACAGCATTCACCTTTCTTGTTTCTCCTGTTGAATGAGAACCTTCATGGGCCTCTGTTGAGAACATTACCCTGTCCATCCTGTCCCCCATGGAATGAACTCTGCCTTCCCAAGAAAGCTTTGTGAGGCGTGTGGTAATTTGGCACCACAGATTCTATAACATCCTGGCTTGAACCCTAATCTGTTACTTCACCGAGACCCTGGCCAAGTTACTTAACCTCTCTGGGTCTCAGTTTCCTAATATGTAAAATGGTGGTAGTGATGGGAGGGTGACATTAGCCTTAACTCCTATAATTATCATTGTGAGGATTAGGTACATAAATGAGCATAAATGCTCATCATACAGTGTGAGTAGTGTGGTTGAGTATCACACATTAGCTAACATCAGGTTTCCCCATGCAATTAAAATCATGGTGCACCAGGATGAGAGACCTCTGGTAACAGGAGTGTGCTAGGTAAAAGTTCAGAAGATGTCGGGTGTGGTAGCTCACGCCTGTAATCCCAGCACTTTGGGAGGCCAAGGTGGGCAGGATCACCTAAGGTCGAGAGTTCGAGACCAGCCTGACCAACATGGAGAAACCCCATCTCTACTAAAAACACAAAATTAGCCGGGCATGGTGGCACATGCCTGTAATCTCAGCTACTCGGGAGGATGAAGAGATGGATGGATACAGGTTGGATAGACAGTTGACTGGATGTGTGAGTTGCTGGCTGGAGAAATGATAGCTGATTGGAGAAATGATGAGTAGAGGAATAGTGGCTGGACAGAGAAAGAAAGGATTGCTAAAAGGAAGGGTAGATGTCTGGATGGATGTTTGGCTAAGTGAATATATGATGGAAAGAATAAAGAGAGGATGAATGCATGATTGGATGGATGGAAGATTGTTAGGTGGAAGGCCGGAGATAAAACAGCCATCTGGCTGGATGACATGGTTGGATAGATGGATGAATGGATGAATGAGTGAGTAGGTGAATGGCTAGATGGGTGGATAGATGAATGGGTGGGCAAATGGATGACTGGGGCTTAAAATAAGGAGGCAAATAAGCAAGTGAATGGATATCAAAGGAGCTGGATAGCCAACAGAAAAAGACTGAGGCTAAGACCAATGGAGGGAATATATTTGATAAAGAAATTAGTAACGAATAATTAAATGAGTAAATTAATCTTAACACGACCATTTAATATCAGAGATAACCAAGGAAATCTTTTGTCAGGCTGCTCTATTTTATAGAAAGGTAAAATGAGGCTTCTGTGTCCAAGATTCATTTCCACAGCTCTTGCTCCCTCCTTTTTCAGCTGGGGAATGAGGTAGGGAAGAGCTGAGGCAGGGCCTCTTACCTCTGAGCCTCGCTTTCCTTCTCTTGGCAGTGCATCTGGAGGATCCTCAGTGCCTCTGTGGGGAAGGAACCAAGGGGACCCTTTGAGAGCTCTTGGGGAGTCAGGGTTGGCCAGAGGTAATAGGCCCCACATCATGTCAGGCATTGGAGGGCACTGTGAGGACTTGGGTGTTTACTCCAAGTGATGTAGCAATCCAGGAAGAGATCTGTGCAGAGAGGGAAGCACCCTGCCTTAGGTTTCAGTGGGATTCCTCTGGCTGCTCTGAGGAGCATAGACTTTTGTGGGGTGGAAGAGTAGAATAAGGAAGACACAGCAACTGGTAAATACCTTGCTTTTTGCCCAAGACCTCCTCTAGGTGCACTTTCTCTCCATTCACTGGAAAACACAATGACACTTTCTGCCTCCAGGCACCCCATTGCCATCCCCAGTGCAACTTCATATAAGGGGAAAGCCACACAGAAGGTGTAGTACAGCCCTAGGAGAGGTGAGGTATCTTCTTGCCACCCTTGCAACCATCTCCCAGAAGGACCATCCTGATCCAGCTTCTCCCCCTCTATGCCCACATTCTTTGTAAATGTTGAAGGAGTGAAGACCCTGAAGAATGTACAAGGTTTACACTGAGGAGAAAGATGGCTATAAAGAAATACACACACAGTGTCAGGTGGACATAAAGGCTCTTAAGAAACAAATCAGCCAGGGGCGTGAGAATGACCAAGAGAGGGCGGGATTCTATTCTTAGATGAGACCATCAAGATAGGCCTATCAGGGTGAAATTTGAGCTGAGAGCTGAAAGATGACATGAGACAGTGAAAGGCAATACAGATTATGTGAGCTAAGAGCATTGTAGGCCAGGGAGCAGCCTGTGCAAAGGCCCTGAGGTATGCACAGGAACATCTGCAGTGTTGATGGGTCCCTCTTTTGGCCCCACTTACAGGAGTCTAATTCCCTATGCAGGGCCTCCCAGAGACTGTGGGTCTCTCTCAGTTCCTCACTGGATTTCTTCTTTGCTGGGCCAAGAAGGGAAAAAGACACTGTATGAGTGTAGTCTCTAGCCTTGCTGTTCTCTCGCAAATATGACATTGCACAGTCATCTTCAAACAACCCTAGAGGGGCCTAGATTTTATAGATGAGGAGGTGGATTCATTATAAATCCAGTCACTTCCTGCTCGCCCCAGCTGGCCAGTCTAAGTCCCCAAGTTTACCTTGCTGAAGATCATTAATCCGGCTAATCAGGTCCTCTATCTGTGGCTCCAGGCTTCCCTCTGAAGAAAGAAAGGAAGAAAGAGTGAGCCAGAGAAGACTGGTGTCTGGCTGTCCAAGGCAGACGGAGAAGCACTGTGTCTGCTGCTATCAATTAACCGGCATATATTGAGCGCCTGCTGTGTGTTGAGCTCTGCCAGAGCCCCTTGAAGGGCTTGCATTCTGGGTTGGCAAGATGGACATTGAGCAAAGATAAATAAATCAATTCAGGTGGCAGTAACTGCTGTGAAGAGAAATAAAGTGAGGCAAAGTGTTGAAGAGCAAAAGGGTAAAAGGCATGTCTGGGGATATGCAAAGGCCCCAGATGAGAAGAAGGAAGCAGGTCCTGCAGTTCTGTGGGGGTAAAGAGTATGGAGGGGGGACCCATTCCAGGCAGAGTGCAACAAGGCAGAGGGAACAAGTGCAAATTCCCTGTAGTGTGGCAGGAGCGGGTGAGGCACGTGTCCAAAGTAACAGTGAGGGGCTGGTGTGGCTCAGGTCTAGTGAGCAAGTGGAGAGTAGCAGAAAGTAAGGTGGGGGAAGTGGGAAGTGATATCACTAGGGCCTCTTGGGCCACCGTGGAAGCCTTTAGATGTAACTCTGAGTGTGGTGTGAGCCAATGGAGACGTCCCATCTGCCCCGCCCTGTCAAAATCCAGGCAGGAAGGGTTGTCACTCTGTCAGTCTGGGCTCTGGTACTGGCCTCATCTGAGAAATGGGGAATCCCTGCTTTTACACTGTTGGTGGCAGCTTGCAAGTTTCCCAGTGACAGGGTGATCACTATCCCTTTAGGGAATCACCTCTAACTTCTCATAGCCCCTGTTTCAGTGCTCTGTACGCAGAAGACTTCCTTCTCATCCCTCTCTGGCTTCAAGGTTGCCAACACGGAACTGGGGCAAAAAGCTGTCCAACCCTTGCCAGATCTCACTGCTGACCCCTCAGACACTCTGGGGTTAATAAACTCAGACCATGGATTTTTCCAAGGTCACCAACTCCAGCTTCTGTGATTTCCAGGAGAGTGGGTGCTCTCCACGGTGCTGATTATGACTGACAGAAATCTCTGGGGGTCTTTGTTTTACTGGAAATGATCAGGTTGGATCACTGCATTTCTAGCCCTGCAATTTCTCTCCCTAATTTTACCGTAGGCAGCAGTCCCAGTGCACTTCTTCTGCAGGCAGCCACAGAATGGGAGCGGGGAGGCTGCTGCTTTTGTTTGGAATAGACTGACGTGATAGTATTTTAAGATGAGAATGGGCTGGGGGTCTCACCTCTGGCCAGCACTGCCTCAGCTCTGATGTAGATACTGGGTGCACACTGGCTCCCAGGTTTCCCGCAAAAAGCAAAGCAAGGTGCAAAACCAACTGCATTTCCATTTGTGTGTAAAAAGGGAGGACAAAAAATATACATCCATGAATGCATTTTTTAAAAATCTCTGGAAAGATACTTAAGAATTGAAAAACAATAGCTGCTTGCCCATGAGTCAGGGAAATAGATGACTGGTGTGTGGGGGGAGGGAGTAGGGATGGCGGGGGAACTGGTTTTTCCATTCCTTTAAACTTCTTGAATTTTGAACTGTGGGACTGTATTCTTGGTTCAAAGAATTAAACTGTATAAGAGGGAGAAAGTGCAATGGGATAATTTCCTGAGGTTGTGAGTTCAGGGGGCTGAATTTGTACCATGTCTTTCTGACTTGAAACCCCAGGCTGAGGCTCAGAAACAAAGAGACACATGACCTTTCTGCAGCTTTATCACCATTGCCAGCAAGTCTTCAGTCTTCAAAGACTTGGCTTGCCCTGTAGAAAGGAAAATCAAAATTACAGGACACAGCGAGAGTGAGAGGGGAGAGAGAAGGGAGGCAGGAAGTCCCAGTGGGCTCTGCAGACACCCGTGGGCTGGGGCTAAGGATGGAATGACAGACAGGTTTCCATCTGAAGCAGGGCCCCCGTCTCTTGCCCTTGAGGTTTATAGTGTGTGCTAGATAAATCAGGACCCCTAAGGGTCAGCTTCTCCCTGAGGGGTTAAAAAACACCACCACAAACATCCCCTTAATGAAACTCAGGGGTGAGAGAAGAGAATGCATGTTTGCTGATGCTGCTGTTCAAGATCATTATGAAGTTCTAACCAGAACAATAGGGCAGGAAGATTTCATATGAATTTCTTTGAAATAATAATAGCTCATAATTTATAAATTCTTAATGAACTGATAGATCTAGGTAATAGTTACTAATGGCTACTAACATCAAAAAAAGACAACTGGATATTATGAGCCTCTCTCTTTTTCTTTTTATACCCTGCAGCTCCAGCTCAAAGGATTTTTATTTTTATTTTTAATATAGAGAGTTTGTTTCAGCTAAGTTTGAGGACTGCAGCTCAGGATGCACTTACAAGCTGCCTTGGGGAGTGCTCCCTATGAGCCTCTAGATGAAGGAACACAACACGGCTGATGAAGGATTTTTGCCTCAAAAACCCCCACCAAAAACAAAAAAGCGGGATGGAATCTCATCAGGTCTCCACATCTAAATATGAATTCAGAGGAAATACAAAGGGCAGGAAAACACATTAAATGACACCACTGGGGATGTGCTCAACATCACGTGGACTGTGGGAAACTGCACAAGAAAACCTGGTTTCTTCCACAAATAAGTTGTAAAGAAGAAAATGAGGGAGAGAGAAAATCCTACAGATTAAAAAAGACTTGAGGCATATATCAATCAACTAAATATTTGAACCCTGATTCACCACACTTTTCACCATATATACTTCTATGTAAATATGTATGTATACATATATATATATATATTTACTTCTATGTATATTTTAACATGAGCCTGTGTTACTTCTAAAATTCAAAGAAGAAAAACCACAGGAAAATATTAACATAAAAAAATTCCTTAAGTCTTGAAATCAGTGGTAAAAGTCAAATCTCAGTGACCTACGCCTCTCTAAGGAAAACTGAAGAGAAGACGAAAGGCGGCTCACAAAACATGATAGCCAAAAAGTTAATGAAGAAATGCTTACCCACAATAGTATACAGTGAAAATTCCCTCTCCCTCAGATTTTAAGTTCTCCAATTCTCCTCCTCAGAGGCCACTAGCATTACAAGCTATGTGTAGGTACCTGGAGATAATTCAATGTATATACAAACATACCTCCCACATTATCTTTTTCTTTTCTTTTTTTTTTTTTTTTGAGATGGAGTCTCGCTTTGTCACCCAGGCTGGAGTGCAGTGGCACGATCTCAGCTCACTGCAACCTCTGCCTCCCAGGTTCAAGCGATTCTCCTGCCTCAGCCTCCTGAGTACCTGGGACTAAAGGCGCACGCCGCCTCACCTGGTTAATTTTTTGTATTTTAGTAGAGATGGGGTTTTACTGTGTTCCCCAGGCTGGTCTCGAACTCCTGAGCTCATGCAACCCTCCCGCCTCAGCCTCCCAAAGTGCTAGGATTACAGGTGTGAGCCACCGCAGCCGGCCACATCCCACATTTTCTATGTAAGTGGTAGCATGTTGTACATGATGCACCCCATCTTGTATTTTTCATTTGACAATGTACACCAGTGATCTTTTTATTCTTTTTAGTGGCTGCATGGCATTCCACTGTGTGGATATACCGTAATTTCAAAGCAATATCCTATTGATGATATTTAAGCTGTTTACCTTATTTTGCTGTTACAAGGCATGCCACAATGATCATCTACATTTGTGTTGTCAGGCTGCCATAACAAAGTACCACAAACTGGGTCTTCCCTGTCTGTGTCTTCACCTGCCACTCTCATATCTTTATGTGTCTATATTTCCCTCTACTTATAAGGACACCAGCCATTGAATTATGGCCCTCCCTAATCCAGTGTGACCTCATCTTAACTAATCATAACTGCAAAGACCCTACTTCCAAATAAGTCACATTTCTGAAGTTCTGGTGGACATGAATTTTGGAGGGACACAATTTAACCTAGTACACCATCCTTGTACATTATTCTTTGTGCTTGCATTAGACTGTATCTACTGGGTACACATAGAGTACTACCTAGACGCTACCTGGTGGACCAAAGGGAATGTATATTATGGAATTTGGCTGATAGGAAATTGCCTTTCACCTGTCTCAGGCCCCAAAATCATACTCTTACCAGGCAAGTATGTTTTTAATCTTTTTCTTTTTTTTTTTGCCAACTGGACAGGCAAAAACTGTTTCATTTCAAACTTTCTGATGAATAAGTACCAAAACCTTATTCATTTCCTCTTGATCAGAAATTCCACTCCTAGGAATGTGTCTTAAGGACATAATTAATAATGGTGGGCGAGATGTTGTTTCACTGCTTATAATTTTAAACTTGGAAGTAACGGCCGGGTGCAGTGGCTCACGCCTGTAATCCCAGCACTTTGGGAGGCCGACGAGGGTGGATCATCTGAGGTCAGGAGTTCGAGACCAGCTTGGCCAACGTGGCAAAACCCCAACTCTACTAAAAATACAAAAATTAGCCGGACATGTTGATGCACGCCTGTAATCCCAGCTACTTGGGAGGCTGAGGCAGGAGAATCACTAGAACCCGGGAGATGGAGGTTGCGGTGAGCCGAGATGGCACCATTGCACTCCAGCCTGGGCAACAAGAGCAAAAAACTACATCTCAAAAAAAAAAAAAAAAAGGAAGTAACTTGAAGATACCTTAGGGGATTACTTACAGCATGTTTGCAGGCTGAAATTCTTTGCAGCCATTAAAATCCATGTTGTAAATCAGGGTTTTTTAACCTGAGCTTATTAGATTTTTTTTTGAAATATTTGGTGGTATGTTCACCTTCTTTATATCTTTTTTTTTTGGCCTGAAATCCTTTATAAATTAGTATGTATTATTTTAATTTGCATTTTAATTTTTAAATTACATAATAAACACATGTAGAATAACTTACATGATAAACAAATGTGGAAGAATAAAATAAAAAGGAAAAGTCTCCCCTCACCAGCAGCCCCTTCTCCAAGTCACTCCTTTTCCCAGAAGTAACCACTGCCAGCAGTTCGGTGACAACACTTGGTCTTTTAGTAAAATACATTTCACGTATTGCTTTAATTTTTACTTTCTTATTCGAGTAAAATTCTAAGAAAATTCAAACAAAGAAATACGTGATGTAAAAAATGAAATTTTCTCTTCTCTCCTTAATCCTAAATCTCACTGCTTCCCCTGATACAATCACTTTGAACAAGTTGGCATGTCCCTGCCTGAGATTTTTTTAATTTTAAAAATATTCTTAATATTTTGGAAATAAGACAAAAAAGTAAAGCTACTTTAATAACAAGGGGAGGTGTTTGTGATTATTTTATTTTTAATACCTTATTATGAGAATTTTCAAATGCACATGAGAGTAGAGAGGATATTATGATTAACTCTGATATGCTCATTGCCTAGATCTGACAATCATTAATATTCACCCTATTTATTTCAGCTATGTTTTTCCTGGGTTGAATTATTTTTAAGCAAGCCCCCGGCTTCTTGACATTTTATTCCCAGAAACTTCATTAGGAGTCTCAACTACTTAAGGACATTTTCTTAGCTGACCCCAATCCTATAATCACAACTGACAAGATTAATACTCATCAGGTAACATCTCCTAATACCCAGGCTATACATTAATTTCCCAATTGTCTCCACATCTTTTTTATGGCTGGCATTTGCAACCATTTCTGCAGAAGCTCCATCTGTGTTTTTCCTCTCTCTGCTTTCTAGTGCTAGTCATGAAATAAGGCCAAGAGTGGGTAATAAATAAATCTTTTAAATAATCCAACTAACATTTTGACACACACACACAAAGTCCATTACAAAAGAAAATGGCCAGCACAGTAAGAGCACCCTTTTAAACATTTTATTTTGAAACAATTGCAGATGTACACAAAAGTTGTAAAAATAGGCCACAGTGCTCCCATTTTGTCCTTATATCAGATTTCCCATTTGTGAGTGATTCTGAACAATAAGTTGCAGACATCTTGACCCACTACTCCTTACTATTCCAGTGTCTATTTCCTATATACAAAGGGAATCTACCAGGTAACCATAGTACAACAATCAAAACCTGGATGTTAATACTGATCCAATATGAATATAGGATCCTCAGGTGCCATTCAACATTTTGCCTCTTCTCCTTTATATTTTAAAATTATATATGACTACTTACATTTTTCTAGAAGAAAAAATAGAACAATAAATCACAAAAATGCCTCTACCTCTGCACTACTCCCAAAATCCAAATTCCTTGTCCAGAGTTATCACTTAGGCCTTTATCATTCAGATACTTTTTCTGTGCAACATACACAGGGCTATACCCCCCTCCATTTTTGTTTCAATCCCAACTGGCTTGTCTCTAATAAAAATACGATCTCTTTTGGAGCTCCTTGTGTGTCAATAATAATCCTATCAACTTATAATTTAATTTTAATACATTTAAATTAGAACTTATAATTTAATACATTTAAATTAGAATTTTTTTCTGCCTCTTAAAAAGAAATCCACCACAGAGACACTCCACAGCATGCACACATAAACCTAGACTTAGCAATTTCTGTGACTACTTCTTGTGTTGTGCCTACATCAACACTCCAGTGACCATTCCTGGTCCATACACTTACGTATTCTCCTTTGATTACATCGCATGGTCACTGCCGAAGTGGAAGAGCATTTTAGATGCTAAAAATACTCTGCCGACTGCCTCTAGCAAAGCCTTTACTTTGAGTCAGCTCTCTTCCCTGAGGCAGGAAAAGGCCTGTTTCTCTACAAGGTCGTCAATACCAGATACTATGCTTCCCTTTATAAAGCCGATTTGATGGGCTAGAAATGGCAACTTGATACATCCTTCAATTTTTCCTTTGCTGGTGAAGTTAGTCATAACTTTAATTTTGAGGAATTTGAAAGGTTGATACTAAAATTTTTTTTTTAATTGCAGTGGCAGCTGCATTACACAGTTAATAAATGAGATCTATTTGCATCTGTCTTATTTCCGTCTGTCTTTTGTTGAATGCTGGCACTTAGTATGTGCCTCTAATCTAAAAGAGCTCTCTGCTCTTGAAGTTATTTCATTGGTCACACATTAAAAAATTACTGAGCACTTACTTTACACCAAGCAGGCATTGTTTTAGGTGCAGGGGAGCGAGAGGTAAACAGTCTCTGTTCTCATGGAGCTCACATCCTAGGTCAGGCAATAAGCAATAATCATTACTTTGATGTCTGTATGGGTAGGTCTGGCAGGATGCAGTCTAATGTGTTTGTTAATACAGTGGTTTAAAGAGTGTGCAGAAAGGGGTGTTCGAGATAGATAAAAGTGGGGCAGAAAGGTGACAACAGTTAAAGCATACTGATAGGTACACATGGGCTTTGTTTAAAGCTATTTTCTCTACGTTGGTACACTTTGAATATTTCTATAACAAAAAAATGCTAGTGGCATACAAATGCATGACTGCCTTGGGAGATTTTTTTCTTTTTGTTTTTTCTTTTTTTTTTTTTTTTTTTGCTCACTCTGTCTTCCGCGCTGGAGTGCAGTGGCGCAATGTCAGCTCACGATAACCTCTGCCTCCCGGGTTCAAGCAATTCCCCTGCCTCAGCCTCCCCAGTAGCTGGGACTACAGGCGCCCGCCACCACACCCGGACAATTTTTGTATTTTTAGTAGAGACGAGGTTTCGCCATGCTGGCCAGGCTGGTCTCAAACTCCTGACCTCAGGTGACCCACCCGCCTCGGCCTTCCAAAGTGCTGGGATTACAGGCATAAGCCACCAAGCCCGGCCAAGGGAGAATTTTTTTTCTTTTGAGACGGAGTCTCACTCTGTCACCCAGGCTGGAGTGCAGTGACATGATCTCGGCTCACTGCAACCTCCGCCTCTCGGGTTCAAGTGATTCTCCTGCCTCAGCTTCCTGAGTAGCTGCGATTACAGGCCCACACCACCGCGCCCGGCTGATTAGTGTGTGTATATATATATATATATACACATATATATATATATACACATATACATATATATATATATACACACACATACATACATACATATAAATACACATACACACATATGTATATGTATATATAGTTTTTTAGTAGAGATGGTGTTTCACCATGTTGGTCAGGCTGGCCTCGAACTCCTAACCTCGTGATCCGCCCGCCTCGGCCTCCCAAAGTGCTGGGATTACAGGCGTGAGCCTCCGTGCCCGGCCTGAGATTTTTTTTTCTTTTGGATGGAATACAATTTCCAATAGTGTCTAGGCCGACACCCCTCCACCCTCCTTTGCCTGTCATTCAAGTCAATACCCTGGAGAAAAGAGGCTGTGGGGGAGGCCATGTTCGATTAGGAGGTTTAAGAGTCCATCAAAGTGTCATATGTGTTAGGTGTGAAATGGCGACACTGGGAATTACTGTTAATAAGGGGTGGCTGCAGCACGGTGATTGTTATGAGAACATCCCCACCGCCCCACTTTTGTTTGAAGACTTTCGTACTGAACTACATGTTGTTTACTTTCAACAACGTATACACTACAGTTGACAAAAGTTAATCTCGGTGATAAGAATATGCCTGTTAATTTATCTCCACTGTGCTGAACGGTTAAAAAATTGTTTTTCTTCAATAACAAAAGGCTTAACATTTTATTTAAAAAAATTAGAATATCATTATTTCATTATTGTAATGGGACGAATCCTCCCTCCTTTCTGCCCTGGTTGGAGAGAAAGGAGTGCAGCCCACTTGCCCTCACTACCTTCAGCCTCCTCAGTAGCTTCTGGCGCCTCCACATTCAGAGGTTTCAGCTTCCCCGCCATTTTCCAACGCGGGGCCTGCGCGCGAGCCTCGCTTGATGACTGGTTAAAAAAGAAACCACGTGAGGGTGAAAGGCTTTTCAGCACGCATGCGTGCAACCCGCGGTTACGCCAGCGGTTAAATCAGGAGTCAGCTCTGGGCAGGCGCAGAACACACTGCGGCCCTGATTGCCAGCACACATGCTACAACCTTGAGGCTGTAACTCCACAAACAAGGGCAGAACTAGGGTAATGGCCAGTTGGGGAGTGAGGGTAGTGTGCACACACACAAAACCCTAGGGAGGTCTCTCCTGCTTTAGGCTGCTTGTCTTGTGCAGGTTGTCAAAGTCTGGGACAGACGTGCATGTGCTATGTGGTGGTACACAATAGTTCGAGTCTGTTTTCGTTTACAAATCCTCATCAAAGAGTTCATGAGAGAGGGTTACTTATCTCTGTTTCACAGATGAGTAAAACGAGGCTTAGAGGCTAAGTGCATCTCCTATGTAAAAATGCTGGATTTCAGCCACTGTGTGCAGTCAGGTGCTGTGTCCTGGGTTCCACAGGTGGACACTGAAGGCCACCTTCTCATTAATGTTAGCAGCAGCCAGCATTGAGGGCGGGTCATTTCTGGCAGGGTAAAGATGAAAAAAGTACAAGAAGGGCAAAGGAATATCCTTGTGGGTCTTACTTTTAGGCCTTTTATGTAGTTTTTTTCTTTAAAATACCCTCAGGCCAGTCCCAAGCATAGCCTGGCCCTGAAGTGCCAATTCCAGCACCCCCGTGGGCCACCCTAGACACCTTGGCCAGATCTGGACACTCAGGGCTGAGATTCAACTAGGAGGCAGACCACGGAAGCAAGTTTGGAGGGGACAGTCCCTGACAGAGGCTAGAGCATCATCCAAGTGGAGGAGATGAGACAGAGGGAAGGGAGAGGGAGGCCTAAGGATTTCCCCAGAGGGGGAGGTGCATGACTGGGCAGGGAAAGCAGCCTGCTCGCCTGGCGGCTGCCACCATCTCTCTCATCGGTGGGCCCTCAGACCTTGCCCCATTGCTTAGGGAGACAATGACTGGCCACAGACACACCCCCACACACATTTCCAGGGTAGACAGAAGGTAAAAAACAAAGGTGGTTGCTCCCAGCACTGCCTGGTCTGGGAGCTCCAACTATCAGAGTCCAGTGAACAAGCCATTATGGGCAGCTTGGTCCGTAGAGGTGGCTGGTGGTGTGGAGTACTTGGGTGGGTAACGAATGAAGAGCCGGTCCTCCTCTTTCTTCACCCAGCGCAGGAGTTTGGTCACTACCAAGATTGCACCTGCCTTGGTCACCAGAGGGCTGAGGCAGGTATAGAGCTCGAATTTGGAGGTCACCTGGGGGTTTCGGAGGAGACAGAGTCAGATGGGCCAGAGCTGGCTATGGACAATCCTGCCTACCCCAGTGCAGCTGCATGTCTGCCTCCTGCAACCTGGAACATGTACCTGGCAGCACCTCCTACCAGGTGCTGCCTAGATACTGGGCTAAGGTAGGTAAGCTGATATTGTGCAATTTCAGCTGGACCTAGTGACTTCAACTGGATGATGCTGGTTGTGTGTGTGGGTACTCTCTAGACCTGTTTGCTCATTGGGAACTGGGGAAAACAGTAACAATGTTTAATATTCTGTCAGTAACCTATTGTGTACAAGGTCCTGCTCTAAGCTCCTACAACTATGTTTTCATCATCTACAGCCAGGGAATAATATAAAGAGGAACTCAATTTATGCCTCATACCACATGGAGAGGCCTGACCCCACAAGGTCACTAGCGCCTTTCCTGTGCCACCTCCCAGAGCGCTCCCCTTCACTCCCTCTGCTCCGGCCACTCTACCCTTTCCTTGCTATTCCTCAAACATAGCCAGGCTTGGTTCCACCTCATAGCATATCAGTCCTTTCCCTCTGCCAGGTGTACTCTTCCTCCTAATATCCACGTAGCTCAATACCTCCCTACTCCACTCAGATGCCATCTGCTCAGGGAGGCCACCCTGATCACTTGGTTTAAAATTCTGCTCCTAACATATATTTTGTTTGTTTTTGTTTTTTTGTTTTTGACGTAGAGTCTTACTCTGTTACCCAGGCTGGAGTGCAGTGGCACGGTCTCGGCTCACTGCAACCTCCGCCTGCCAGGTTCAAGCGATTCTCCTGCCTCAGCCTCCCGAGTAGCTGGGATACAAGCGCATGCCACCACATCCAGCTAATTTTTTGTATTTTTAGTAGAGATGGGGTTCCACCCTGTTGGCCAGGCTGGTCTCGAACTCCTGACCTTGTGACTCGCCGCCCACTCCCCCCAACTCCCACCCCGACTCAGCCTCCCAAAGTGCTGGGATTATAGGCGTGAGGCACCGTGTCTGGCCCATATCTTGGTTTTAAAATTCCAATCTCTACTAAAAGGTATAAGGGCTCCATGGAAAAATGGCTGAGTTGAGGACTGGAATAGAGAAAGTCAAGTAAGATGTGCTCACATAGTGAAGGGGACGTGTCAGAGACACAGGGATCAGCCTGGCTAAATCAGGGTACCCACCGGCTAAATCAGAGGCAATCTGAACACCAAAATAAATGCTAGAGAAGGATTTTAGCTCACTGAATTAAAGAAAAATCCATGAGACAATATTGATAGAAAATTAAAAATTCAATAAATAGGAGAAGGAAAAGTTATTCCTTTTTGTTTTTGAAATGGAGTCTTACTCTGTCGCCCAGGCTGGAGTGCAGTGGCGCGATCTTGGCTCACGGCAACCTCCACCTCCCAGGTTCAAGCGATTCTCCTGCCTCAGCCTTATGAATAGCTGGGACTACAGGTGCGCACCACCACGCCCAGCTAATTTTTGTATTTTTAGTAGAGACGGGGTTTTGCCATGTTTGCCAGGCTGGTCTCGAACTCCTGACCTCAAGTGATCAGCCTGCCTCAGCCTCCCAAAGTGCTGGGATTACAGGCGTGAGCCATCACGTCCGGCCCCATGTTACTCTTTATAGTAAAATCCCAGCCAATAAATGTAGAAAGAATGATGGAGTTAGGAAAACCACCATCTGACCAGGCGTGGTTTTCACCACGCCCTTTATAACTCTTTATAAATATAAATATAAAAACTCTTTATATTGTTTTTGCAGCTTCTAAGTCTAAAGTTATTTGAAAATGAAAGTTAAAAAAATTTAAAAACAAAATTCTTAGCCTAGGACAATACCTGATCCACAGCAGTCACGCAATAAATTAATAAATATGCATTACATGGCAGGTGCCATTTCTGATGAGGCCTCCTTCACTGGCCTCCCTTAGTAGCTGACCTTTAGCAAACCCATAGGAAGTGAGGGCTGGAGCCCAGAGGAGACCAAAGGGAAGGATACCCCAGGTGGAGGGCACAGCAAGGGACCACGCCTGTAGTCTGAGGAGTGCTGGGGACTCATGGAGTCACAATGAGCTGGTGATGAATGGGGTGCCTCCAAACACATGGATTGGGCTACTGGGGAATCGGCAGGCACAGCAGTGGTAGTTAATGGGGCCTCTGGAAAGTCAAAGACACTGTCCTGGTTGCTAATCTGGGAGAAGCACACAGGAGGGTGAGGCTAATGTCGGATTAGAGACACGGTCATTAGTTGTCAGGGGCTTCAAAGATGTGTGTGTAAAGGCAGGGACAGTGTTGCAGGCAAGGCACAGCCCAGCCAGAGGCCTGCTGTGTTTGGTGGAGGCACTGTGGCTGGAGGGGATACAATATAGGGAAAGGAGGCTTGAAGTGGGGAATTAATTCACTCAGAGCCCTGCCCAACTTACCCAGGCCAGTAGTGTCTCCTTCTCAGCCACGTGGTAAATGAGGCGCAGGGGTCGGGAGGTGCTGTGGAGACGAGCATGCAGGCGGTGGTACAGGTCCGACAGCCGCTGCCGCTCCTCCTCTCTGCTGTAGGGGGCCTCTAGCTCAGGGCTGCCATGATGGAGGGAGGTGGAGGACAAGGTTAGTCCAGGGCCTTCTTGGCTGGCCCATTTCCTCCCTCAGTCTAGAGATTTCAATGAAGTTAGGGAGCTGAGCCTCTCCCATGAGACTTGAGGATTCTCAGGGGTTGGAGGCTGACCTTCCCTCATCAAACTAGGAGATTCCCTGAGTACTAGGGCCCTGCTGTCCACCAGAAGAGGGGGATTCCTTTAGGTCTGTGGCTGATGCTCCATCATCAGACAGAGACTTGTTCTCTTCCCTCTTTCTTAAGCATGGCTGGTTATCTCTCCTGAGTCACATCCCTGAGATGCTGAACTTCCTGGTTTGACAGGCCTTCCCACCCAGCCAGTTGCCTTAGGGTCAGGGCCTACCTGGTAAACTGGGGCAGTTGGCGGTGGTGGTCAGGGATGTCCAGCGGCTTATACAGGAAGTGCCGGAGGCCCGGCGCCCCGACAGCCTGCACGCTGTAGGCAGGAGCACTGGCTGATGAGGCATTAGAGAAGCTGGCAGCCTCCCCAAGGGCACGCATGGCACCAAGGGCATGCATCCCATCTTCAACCAGGCGCCGGCAGGCGGCCATGGCATGGAAGGCTTCACGTTGGGTGCCAAGCAGCAGCAGGCAGACAGGCATAGCATCCAGGCGGGCCACGTAGGCGTAGAAAAAACCATCAGGGTTGAAGCGGGGCAGGCACACAGGTGCCCAAGCCTCACCCGCCGCAAAGGCTGGTGCACCCACCCAGTCGAGCAGCAACTGCAGGTCAGCTGGGTCCAGCCGGCACTCGGCCAGCACATTTCGCTCCTGGGCTGCTGTTATAAGTCGACCGCCTACTGCCAGCACTGACAGCGCCAGGCCAGGCGCTGTGCAACGTCGGAGGAGCGCACCTAGTGCGTCTCGCAGCGGGCGGGCAAGGGGCACACAGCGCACGGCACCCAGGAGCAGGGCTCCTGGGTCCTGCTCCATACTGTCCAGAAGTCGGTCCAGTGTGCGCTCTGAACCAGCCAGCAGGCGGCGGAGGTCATAGTTCTGCTTGTGTGCGAAGATGCGGGCGACACTTGCACGTGTAAGTGTGCTCACGATCTGTGCGTGCACAGCTAGCAGCTCCCCCCGCAGCTGGGCTGCTGACTGAGAAGTCCGTGACATGGCCACGAGCAACAGTGGGCCCTGTTGTAGGAACACCAGCTTGTGGTCCTCTAGGGAAGGAAGGGGTAAGAAGGGGGGGTACAGCTGGATCAGGAATGACCAGAGGGAGACAGTGGGGCTCTTCTGCCCTCTCCTACCATACACACACCAGGCCCGAGTCCACATGCTCACTCTGTGGGCACCTGGACTGGGGTAAGGACAAGCTGGAGGAATCTGGACATTTGCAGAGACATGATGGGATGGACAAAGGAACAAGTAGGTTAGATACACAGCAAAGACCACGGGCAGGCGGGTAGAGATGGTACAAGGGCTGACACAGAGCCAGAAAGACACAGCTCAACCACACAGCCCCCACAGTTATCCTCTCAGGTGACACAGAAGTATCCAGCTAGTCACTGAGATCCCAGCAAGTCAATCACTAAGAAACCAGCAGGCCAGACAGAGATGAACCCCCCCACCTCCCGCCACTGACAGAGCTCTGGCTGACCATCCACACACATGGACCCAACCCTGGCTGGCTGGATAGTGCCTGAGGCAGACAGACCTACCCGTGCCAGCCATATTCCCAGTCACTGTCCCCCATTCTGCCTCCCACCTGTTTGCTCACCAGCGTAGATGGCACGGATGGCATCTCCCGCACTCTGCACAAAGGACACCAGGGCGGTCATTACACCCATGGTAGCCGACAGCGCCTCCACACTACCATACCGCGAGTAGATGGGCTTGCCAGCCTCACTCAGCACAAACACATGCTTCCGCTGGCTGCGCCACTCCTCATCACTGGGGTCCCCGCCCTGGCCTCCAGAGCTACTCTCAGGGCTACATGTGGGACTATTCTCAGGGGCTGCAGGACTCCAGAGCCGAGAGGTGCTTGACAGGGCCTCTGACTGGGGCGGTGGTGATGGGCTGGGTGGCTGGTCCTTGTCCTTGGATCCTGAAAGGGAGCCCCTGGTGGGTCATCTGCATGTGAACTCCTAACTAATCCCACATCCCCAAGGACCCACCAAATATCTACTAGCCCCTCCATGACCCCTGCATGCTGACGCAGAACTCCAAGTGTCTCCTATGCCCCTCAATGACCCGATGACTGCCCTAGGACCCCGCAATGATCTCCACTAACATTTAGGTTCCAATGAACTTCCTAAAACCCTAATAAACCAACATATTCTCATTGTTATTCCACTGGACTTGCTATGTTCCTACAGACCAATTACTTCCCTTTCAATCACTGTTATTCCAAAGTCTTCAAAGCACCCCATTGACTCTGGATGACGATTATTCATCTTCAATGATCCCCCATTAACTCCTCTGACCGCTATTTTTTCTCCTGATATCTGCTCACCCAATGGCCACCATTAACATCTATTAATATCTTAACTGTTTGAATGCCCCAACCCCCGCTACTACCCTATCAGTGATGCCCACTGATACCTGATGACCCCTACTAACTCTCCTGGTTGCCCATTTATATTCTTGGTAATGTCCACTATTTCTCCCAATGACTGTCGTTAATATCCACTAACACCCAGATATTTAGGACTCCCCTAATCCACTATTCACTCCCACTGTGGTTCACAAACACCCCAATGACCCCACATTAACAATCATTAACACCTGGTTTTTCAATGACCCTCCATGACTGCCCTGATCCACAAGTTATTCTACTCCATGTCTACTCCCCCCTACCCCCAACAATGACCATCATTAACCTCCACTAACACCCAGCACTTCAGAGACCTTCAGTCACTCCCCTGACCACCTTCAATCTCATTGGTATCCACTCCCCTCCCTACAGTAACCATCATAATATCCACTAACACACAAGACTTTAATGACTTCCATTGCCCCTACCCATGACCATCATTAACATTCACTAAAACCCACAACTTCAACAGCCCCTACTGACACATCCATTTATTCCCATTGATTTCCATTCATCCCCCAATGACAACCATTATTATCCATGTGCAACTATGTCTCAATAATTTTCCCATAAAATCCCAATAATTGCATATTCTGTCACTGACATTCACTGACACTCCCATGTCCCCAAATATCTTTACTCCCTCCTAATAACTGCTCTTACCTGCTATTAATTCCCAAGTCCTCAACCTCCCCATCCACATTTATTCTCAGTGAGGTCCACTGATCCTTCCCAATGACTCCATTTACATCCACTAATTCCAAAGTGATCAATGGCACAGACTTCTCAGTGACTTCCATTAAATCTCAAATGAACAACTTTACACATCCACTAACATTTGGTCCCTTAAAGACTTCCCCAACAGTCTACAAGTGACTTCAATGATGTAAATACTCTGAGTGCCCATCGAACTCCACTGATTCCCCTTCCCACTTCTATTATTTAATAAATAACACCCTACTCCTCAAAAACACTAACTTCTCAACAGTCCTCCTCTGTTGAGTCTATTGACTTTCTTCAGCGCATTCTTTGATCTAAACACTCTAAATCCTCAGTGACCCTCTTTGGTCCTAACAGCCCCCTTTTTGATTCCTCAATGACCTAAACTCACACCAAACCCCCAGTGAACATCCGTTGACAGCCAATGACTTCCTCAATGATGTAAACTACACCATGTGTCCACAGTGACCTCCTCCTGACCCGGCGATGGTTTAAGCCACTTCTCTTAAGTCCCAAGACTCCCTACTGGTCACCCACTGACCCTTCCCCCGTCCAACAATGACAACCCCTAAGGATTCCTTTTAAGACCCCACTAAGTGGAGTCATACCTGTTTCCTCCAGGCCCTCGTCTTCGGGATCCGGCGGGACCGCGTGAACCCCTCCACCTTCTCTAGCTTCCTCACTGGGGAACTGCGTGTCCTCCAAGTCCTCCGCGCCCCCGGGGGCCGGGGCAGCAGTGTCTCCTCCGACCTCCATCTGCACATCCCTGAGTGGGAGGGGAATCGAGGGTGACGGGCGGTGAAAGAAACTTCTGAAAAGCCTTTATAGAGTCAGGCCCCCTTGGACACACTCCTACTGCTCATTTCCCCACGGATTTCAATAGGACGAGACATCCAAAATCATGCCCAAATACGTCCCCCCTCCAACACTTTCCGAAAAGAGGAGACTCTACTGGGCCTCAGGAAATAGAGATATACAAACACCTGTTTTAACTCCGAATCTCAATTGGCCGGATACCATTACTTCCCCGTAGCGGCGGTGGCATCACACTTCCGGGTGCGGCCCGGGAGGTGCCACACTTCCGGGTACGACCCCTCCCAGAAGACACTTCCGGTTGCGGAGCTTTATTGGCTCCTCGCGGCGTCCCTCTCCCGCCGCCTACGGGTGTCCCCTCATAGTTGAGATGGCGCGGGCCACTTCGGATCTACGTCAGGTCTGTTCGGGAGCGCAATGAGACCTCTCTGCACTCCTTTCAACGGATCTGGCTACGGCTGCTAACCCGGGAGAGCGAGGCCCACTTCGCTTACCAGTGGTTGGCGTGAGGGGGGACGCGGCTCGCTCTAGCCAATCCCGGAGTACATAGGGCGCGACCGTCTTCTTTCTGGGCCAATCGAGATGAGCCGCCTCATTTCCCCGCTGTCTACTCCCCCCGCCAAATCCTAACCAATACTGTGCGTTGTGTTGCGTTTGCACACGCCCATCCATTGATTGACGTCTCCCTCGACCCAATCGAAGACTCGAGCCTATTCCTTGTTTCACAAGAGGACTTTTGCAGCGTCAGTCCCGATGGATACCTGTGCCGGACCCACAAACGGGCTCTCCCAGAACTGAGGCAACTCCACTTTCTCTTATCCCTTAACCCTGCCAAGAAAGTCAAGGGAGGGGAGAGGCGCGAATGCTTGACGGGCAGTCGCCGCTTCTAATCAGCGTGCCGCGCCAGCAGCTCCGTACCCTGCCGGGTTCCCACGTCTACCTGCAGCTGGGGGAAGAACTCTGCCAGCCCAGGGCAGGGGCGGGCACTCACTTGGACCAGGACCTGCCCGACGCCCCCGGTCCGCCGGGCGAACGGGTCGTCACTTTCTGTGATCAGTTTGGGAAAAGGCTTGGGGGCCCTGCCACGGGCCAGTGTGGGAACCCAGGGTTCGAATTCCCGCCCCGACGCTGCTTCCGGACCGAAAGCCCCCTGAACGCCTTGCCCCAAGTGCCCTGGGCCTTGGTTTCTCCATCAGTGAAACAATGATGGGAATCGCTTGACGTGAAGTGAGTGGAGGTGCTGGCACACTTCGAGTGATTGCTAAGGGGAAGCCTTTGGTACTAGTTAGGATAATTATTTTAATTACAGTATAGTTAGGGTAATGAATTCCAAATACCAGTGTAGCATCATGTGCTTTATATACAATAGGTAATCGATAAGTAATAAATATTAAATTTATATAACAGAAACAATGGATAAATTTATGTGCATACAAAATATATTTACCTAATACATTTAGAAGTATATAATATATAATAAACATGTAAAAAAGTACAATAAAATAACATCTCATAAGCAAACTTATTTATTAATCTCGCTGTGTTACCCAGGCTGGAGTGCAATGGCAAAATGTTATTGACTCATTGCAGCCTCCGTCTCCCGGGTTCAAGCAATTCTCCTGCCTCAGCCTCTGGAGTAGCTGGGATTACAGGTGCCCGCCACCACGTCCGGCTAATTTTTGTATTTTTAGTAGACATGGGGTTTCGCCATGTTGGCCAGGCTGGTCTTGAACTCCCGACCTCAGGTGATTCACCCGCCTCAGCTTCCCAAATTGCTGGGATTACAGGAGTGAGCCATCATGCCCAGCCCAGGGCTACACACTTTAAACAACCAGATCTCGCAATAACTCCCTCAGTCACTGTCACCAAGAGGATGATGCTAAACCATTCATGAAGGATTCACCCCCAAGATCCGATCAACTCCCACCAGACCCCACCTTCAATAATGGGGATTACCATTCGACATCAGATTTCGGTGGGAACATAGATCCAAACCTTATCAGGGGAGTAGAGGAATAGTTACGCCTTCATCTAGCTTTGTCAATCTGCATTTTTACCTCAGAGGAAGCAATCAGATATGCATTTGTTTCAGGTGAGCAGAGGGATGACTTGGGGTTCGCTCCTTTGTCTCGCACCTGTGAAGATAAACTATCAATTTACGTTGTCAGGGTAAAATTCAACAGAACCGTTTTAGGGTAAAGATCTTGCAGCCCACAAGGAATCCCTAGAGGGCAAATTATGAGGGAAGTATGTAGCTTTATCTTTGTAAATATCTTATTTAGGGATAAACTGGGAGGCAGGTTTGCCTGATGCAGTTCCCAGCTTGACTTTTACCTTTGGCTTAGTAATTTTGGAGTCCTGAGATTTATTTTCCTTTTACACCTGCCTTGTATTTCAACAAAACCATATCACAATTAGGCTCCTTTTAAAAATTCTTGCTGATGTGCTCTGTGAACTTTAAAGATTGTTTTCCAGGGAAAATGGCAGAACTAAGAACAATTGTCACACAGTCTCTTATCTGAAACCCTTAGTGCCAGATGTGTTTTAAATTCACACATTTTCCTGATTTTAGAAATGAAATTAGGTGCATGTGCCATGTATTATATAGAGCCCAGCAAGGGACTGGGAAACACCTGATAACTAAACTCATTTTTTCTGAGTGAAACTTTTTATTACTCCCAGTAAGAGAAACACTAAACCGTCTTATGTTAGTTTAGTTCAGGTTTTACCTCCAAGTGAGCTTTTAAAAATTATTTTTCTGGAGCTTTTTGGATTTCAAAACTGCAGACGTAAGTTTATGGAGCTTTATTAGCATTCCGTGTTTGATGATTTGCCACTCTAAACAATTTCTACAATCAAAGATGAGAGATGGGAACAAGTGAAGGAACATAGAGCCATCTCTGGTGTGTCTGCCTTTTTTTTTTTTTAATCAGAAAAGCAAAGACCAAAAATATCTCAACAAACCTCTCCAGTAGATTTTAAGTTATGGCTCATGGCTTGAACTGCAGAGTGTTTACAAATTGTAGACACACACACAGACACAGAGTTTTTTTCTGTTTGTTTTTTTAACAGATCAAAGATGTCTTTGTGACATTATATATGTTTATACTTCCTGACTTTATGGACACTGTGTAAGTCCCAGGTAATCCCAAGCTACAGATGAGTCTAAGAAAGGACGTAAAGGAAAACACAAAATACTGCCTAGGACTTAAGGACAGGAACTCAGTTAGACCCTCATGTTAAGCCTGAGCTTGATCTCTTACGTACCATTTCTGTTTGATAATAAAGCGTCCAATGTCAGGCTGGGTACAGTGGCTCATGCCTGTAATTCCAGCACTTTGGGAGGCCGAGGCGGGCAGATCACAAGATCAGGAGTTCGAGACCAGCCTGGCCAACATGGTGAAACTAAAAATACAAAAATTAGCAGGGCGTGATGGCAGGTGCCTGTAATTCCAGCTACTTGGGAGTCTGAGGCAGGAAAATCGCTTGAAACCAGAAGGCAGAGGTTGCAGAGAGCCAAGATTGCACCACTGCACTCCGGCCTGGGCAAAAGAGTGAAACTCCATCTCAAAAATAATAATAATAATATTAATAAAATAAATAAATAAAGCACCCAACCTTATAGCTAGGTGAGTATCCAACACCCAGCCCATGATCGAAATCTCAGGCTGTGCAATCACCTGACATCCCATAGTTAGGTGCTCATTCTTTACCAAGGCCTGGTCCCAAACCTGTTCAAAAGAAGAATCATTAACTACAGAAGAGAGGATAGATTTATTTCAAAATCTTACACATCTGTGTAGTGTTTTTTTTTTGTCCTATTGTTGCTTGCCAGATGCTCTGTAGAGCATCCTTATTTGCCATGGACAGTTTGACAATCTATGGGTCTGCTGGATCATAAGCCCCAAGTGGTGGATTAGCTTAACCTGCAGTCTGAACTCACTTTCTTTTGTTCTTCTCACTTGAAATCTACAGGTAATTCTGTAAATGAGTCAAAGTCACACACTGAAATGTGGTATGTGTTGCTTCCAAAATCTAAAAGACTTTTACTATTGTGGATAAATAGTAAAGTATATTTTCTCATTTAAGAATATAATTGACTTATCTAAATGCAAAACCGATGTATTGTGGGGTTTATAATATTTGTAGAAATAAAATGTGTGGCAGCAATAACACAAATGACTGAAGTTATACATGATAGCACATTACTTTAAGGCTCTCACATTTTACATGAAGAATTATTATTTGAAGATATATTGTGAGGAATGAAAGAAGCATTTTGTTGACATGGGGAAAAAAATACAGAAATGCCAAAGAAATTTAATGCCAAAGAAATAATAGGCCAAGAGTTGAGATAAAGTGGAATACTAAGTGTATGCCATCCAAAAGAAAGATGAAAAAGAGGAACAAAACAATAAAGAACAGATTGGACAAATAGAGAACAAACAGCAAGATGCAAGACACTAATTCAACTATGTTAAAAATTGCATTAAATACAAATAAATAGTAGAATTAAAACAGAGATTGTCCAACTGTATATAACATCAGGGCCTAAATATAGGCTCACTACAAGATCTCAATGTAATTATGTGGTCTGTAAAAATATAAATGGGCCAGGCGTGGTGGCTCATGCCTCTAATCCCAGCACTTTGGGAAGTTGAGGTGGGTGGATCACTTGAGGTCAGGAGTTCGAGACCAGCCTGGCCAACATGGTGAAACCCTGTCTCTACTAAAAATATAAAATTAGCTGGGTGTGATGGCATGTGCCTGTAATCCCAGCTACCTGGGAGTCTGAGGCAGGAGAATCAGTTGAACTTGGGAGGTGGAGGCTGCAGTGAGCCAAGATCATGCCATTGTACTCCAGCCTGGGCAAAAAGAGCGAAACTCCATCTCAAAAATAAATAAATAAATAAATAAATAAATAAATAAATAAACACCAACAAAAAAAGGGACTCCTGTAAATATACAAAAAAAAAGCAGATCATTTAAAAGTAAAATGTCAAAACATTTTAAACTATGAGATAATGCAGGTATTATAACATCTGAGGGTCTATGTTACTATCAGAAAAAAATACTTCAAAATAAGAAATATTAAAACAGGACATATCATGATGATACAAAGTTCAAGAATATGTTTTCATCCAGAAGACACAACAATCCTAAATATACATATATGAATGCAAAACTTCAAAATACACAAATGTCAAATTGACAGAAAATAAAGGAGAAATAGACAAATCCCTAATTATAGTTGGAGATTTCAGCACTCCATGCTCAGTAATTGACAGAACACTAAGGTAGAAAACAAGAAAGGGTATAGCTAATGTGAACAACTATCAGCCAAATCAACTTAATTGACATTTGTAAAAATACTCCTCCCAATTATAGTAGAGTATACATCCTTTTAAAGTGTACATGGGACACTCACAAGGTACAGCATATGCTGGAAGATAAAACAAGCTTTAATACGTTTTTAATAAGTAAAATTATAAAGAAGGTGTTCTTCGATTACAATAGAATTAAAATAGAAATTATTAACAAAAATATCTGTGAAATCTCTATTGAAAATTAAGACAACACACTTCATATTGACACGTGGATCAAATAATAAATCTCGATGGAATATTAGAAAATATTTTGAACTGAATGAAAATAAAGACACAACAAATAATTTGGAAGATACAAAGCAGTGCTTATAAGAAAGTGTATAACTACATGCTTATGTACATAGGAAGAAATGCCTATAATCAATAGTCTACATGTGAACTTTAAGAAGCTGGAAAATAAGAAGGAAATTAAACCTGAAGTAACTAAGAAGTAAGGGAATAATAAAGATAAGAGTGAAATTTGGTGAGACAGAAAACATACAACCAAAAGAGAAAATCAATGCAACAATATATATATTTTTCGAAAAGATCCATAAAATTACTGAAACTTTTGCTTAAATGATAAAACAGGAGACAAATTACCAATAGTAGGGCTGAAAGAAGGTAACATGATTAGAGATGGCATAGACATACATGGGTAGTAAGAAACTACTATGAGCACTTTAATGGCAAAAACTTTGAGAATATAGAGGAAAAATTACTGAAAGACGCCAATACAAATATTTATTCACAAGGAATGGAACAAACCTGAGGGCTCTATATCACTAAGTAAATTAGATTTATAATTAAAAGTTTTCCCATAAAAATTCCAGGCCTAGATGACATCAATGGTGGATTCAAATATTTAAGTAACAAGTATTACAAATGTTGTATAATTTTGTTCAGAAAAGCAAAAAAAGGGAAAAACTTTTCAACTTTATAATTTGATAATTACCATAATAATAAAACTATAGCAAACATTATAAAAATGAAAAAGCAGGTCAAATTTCTTCAAGAATATGGATTCAAAAATCTGTAGACTATTGAATTCAATATATTGACATATCAAAAGTGAAGAAGAATATCACAAAATTTGATTACTATTCATTAAAGACATTCTTATCAACTAGGAATAAAGGAAAATGTACTTAAGATGATGAGAACATGGAAGAAAAACCTGCAGTTAACTTTAGCCTTTATGGGGAAAGACCGACTACTTTCTCCCTAAGATTAGGGGAAAGTCAAGGATGTCTGTTATTGTCACTTTTGCTCAAGATTACATTGCATATTTAAAGCTAGTATAAATAGAAAAAAAAGAGAAATAAATAAAAACCCCTAAATATTAGTAATGAAAATATCTCTTTTATTCTGAAACAATATGGCATTGTATATAGACATTTTAAGTTATATACATGTGACTGTAACAAGGTTAAAGAATACCAAAATCAATTACATATGGATATACACACAGCAATAATACAGGTAGATACATACACACACACACACAGAAAATTAATGAAGGAAAGGAATATGGAATCTTAAAAGATAAATACCATATGCAATAGCATAAAAACTTAAAATACTTAGGAATAATTATAATGATATATATGCTTATATAATTATAATAATACATATGCCTTAATTATCCACTGTAAAATCATTTTTTTTTTCTGGAGGAACTTAGAAGATTTAGTAAATTGAGATATTCACTATGTCCAACAATTGGAAACTTCTCATTATCAAAATATAAATTCTCCCTAAAATTATCTACTGAATTTTACATAATCCTAATATAAAACCTAGAATGGTTTGTAAAGACAAATTACAAAATTATTTTGATATGAAAATGCCAGTATTTTAGAATAGCCAAGACGTTTCTGAGGAACAAAGATAGACTTAAACTACATTATTTTAATATTTACTGTAAAGCTAAAGTAACAAAGATCACGTATTGATGTAAATATAAATATATAGATCAATTTATCAAATCACACAGTCCTGATTTCTCCACACCTGTATGGTTCAACAAAGATACCAATCTAATTAATTGAAGAGATGCTAATCTTACCAACAAATAGAATTGGAACAGTGGACATTCACATGGAGAAAATGAACTGCAACCCTTATATAACACCATACAAAAATTTAATTTACAGTATATTATACAGCTTAACATAAAAGCTAAAATGGTATTTCTTGTGGAAAACATAGAAGAAAAATTCTACAATCTTGGTGTATATATAATGATTTATTCGTTTTGTCACAAAATCATGAATCATCAACCAAAACAATGAGAAACTGAACTTGAAAAATATGAAAATCTGCTCAAGACAGTGTTAGCAAATGAAAATGCAAGCAATAGACTGAAAAAATACCTGTGCGCATCAAATAACTTGTACCCATAATACAAAAATTTTAAAAGGACATATTAAACTCAATAATATGAAAGCAAACAATTCAATAAAAAAGATTTAAACAGAAACTTGATCAAATAAGACACAAAAGGCCAATAAGTCCATGAAAAAATGCTTACCATAATAATCAGTCCTAAAAAGGCACATTGTATCTAGAGTAAGAATTGACCACATACTAGCTAGAATTGCTAATATTTAAGAAAAACTTACAATACAAATTGCTCGAGGAAATTTGCAGAAACAAACTCTTCCCCATTGCTGGCAGGAATGCAAGATGGTGCAACTTTGAAAAATGCTTTGGTAGATTCTTATGAGGTATAAATACACACTCTTACTGCATGACTCACCCATTTTATTCTCAGGTATTTACCATGAAACATATGCCCACAAAATTATTTCTGCACACATGCTAACAGCAACTTTCTTTATAGTAAATAAAAACTGGAGAAAAGCTCCAAATATCCAACAAGAAGATAATGGACAATGAATTGTGGTATATTCATAATACTACTCAGCAATAAAAACAACTGAACTATTGATACGTATAACAACAGCATGAATCTCTAAAGTATTTTGCTGAGCAAAACAGCCAGATACAAAAAAGTACACACTTTTTGATTCCATTTGTAAGAAATGCTAGAAAAAAAATCAAATGTATTTTGATAGAAAGCAGACCAGTGTTTGTCTAGTGCAGGGGCTAGGGAGGACTTCAGCAAAGAATCACCAGGGAGGTTTTTTATTTTTGTAAAATTTTTTTCTGAGACAGAGTCTGGCTCTTTCGCCAGATTGGAGTGCAGTGGCACGATCTCGGCTCACTGCAAACTCTGACCTCTGGTTCAAGCGATTCTCCTGCCTCAGCCTCCCAAGTAGCTGGGACTACAGGCCAGTGCCACCATGCCCAGCTAATTTTTGTATTTTAGTAGAGATGGGGTTTCACCATGTTGGCCAGGATGGTCTCGATCTCTTGACCTCGTGATCTGCCCGCCTCGACCTCCCAAACTGCTGGGATTACAGGTGTGAGCCACCGTGCCTGGCCTATTTCTCTTTTATTTTCTTAAAGTGTTTGTGAGTGTATTATTTCTTTCGTAAGTATTCATTTGAATTCAGTTAAACAAACTATTTACATTGTAAAACCAATTCAATATGCAAAGTCTGTTTCTTTAATGATTTCCATGCTATTGAAATTTTGTATTTATTCTTGAGTGTATTTTGGTAATTTTTTTTTTTTAAATTTTGTTTGTTTGTTTAGATGGAGTCTTGCTCTGCCACCTGTGGTGGAGTGTGGTGGTGTGATCTTGGCTCACTGCAGCCTCCACCTCCCAGGTTCAAGCGATTCTCCTGCCTCAGCCTCCTAGCTAGGACTACAGGCAGTTGCCACGATGCCCGGCTAATTTTTAAAAAATATTTTTTAGTAGGGACAGGGTTTCATGATGTTGGCCAGGCTGGTCTCGAACTCCTGGCCTCAGCTGATCCACCTGCCTCGGCCTCCCAAGGTGTGGGATTACAGGCATGAACCACTGCATCTGGCCCTCTTTTGGTAATTTTTATTTTTCAAGGTAAATTTGCCCAATTCATCTAAGCTTTCAAATTAATTAGCATAAAAATTTTCTTAATTTTTTATTCTACTTTTATGTATGTAAAATCTGTAGTGATATTCTTTTATTATTCCAGATAACGGTCATCTGCACCTTTTCAAATTTCTCCTTGATTAATAAACCTAGTGGGTTGCCCTTTTCAAAATATAACCTTTTGGTTTAACTGAAATTCTCTAGTTTTCTCTCCTTTGATTTGTACTCATATTTATCTTTTTCTTAAATTTCATTGTAATATATACTTCGTTTCCAGCATCTTAATGTGACAATCTTAGGGTTGCTAATATGAAATCTTTCTACTTTTTCTAGTTTAAGCATTTAAAGCTATAAATTGTACTCAACACTGTTTTAAGTCCTATTCCACAAATTTTGAAATGTTTTGGTTTTTTATTCAGTACAAAATATATTCTAATTCCCTCTGTGATTTCTTCTTTGTTTTCTGTGGGTTATTCAGAAGTGTGCTGTTTAACTTGTAAATTTCTGAACATTTTCAAATAATTTCAGTTATAGATTTAATTCTCTGTGATTAGACAGCGTAGTCTGGATTATTTGAATCCTTTTATATATTTGAAATTTATGTCATAAAATATCATCCCTATTGGAGAATGTTCCATTTGCAAAAGAAAATAATTGTTATTCTGCTGTTGATCATGTTGATTGTGTTGTTTATGTTTTCTAAATACTAAGTAATTTTCTGTTTATTTTTATAAGTTACTGAAGGGAGAAGCTGAAATATCTGATACGTCTAATATATTTAATAGGATGTATTTCAGCAAACTCAGGTTAGTAGCTTGAGATTGGCAATGAGATGATGAAAGTATTTACACCATAGAAATTGGCAAATTGTAAAATCCAAGGCTGTCCACTCCCATTCTTGGGAGTGCTGATTGTTAACTAGCACGGCACTGGACAATTCCTACAGAAAAGAAAGAGGAAACTCACTTCCAATTGCCCCAAGTCACCATGCTCCTCCTTACCTGGTAACTTTTAGGGTATGTGTAAGACCTCTCAGATGGTGATCTGGCCTGGGCCTGTGATGGCAGGCGAGAGAGTAGTAGAATGAGCAGACGTTCACTGAGCACTTATTATGTTGCCCTCCCAGTGATATTAACAACAGTAGGGGAAGGCTTGGCTTCTTGTTTCTCCAGCACATTAGCTTCTTTCAGTTCTCATTATGGTAGTGTGGTATTGCGTAGTATTTTATGTAACACTTTTTTTTTTTTTTTGAGACAGAGTCTTGCTCTGTCACCCAGGCTGGAGTGCAACAGTGCAGTCTCGGCTCACTGCAAACTCCACCTCCTGGCTTCAAGTGACTCCTCTGACTCAGCCTCCCAAGCAGCTGGGACCACAGGCACACGCCACCACGCCCAGCTAATTTCTGTATTTTTAGTAGAGACGGGGTTTCACCATATTGGCCAGGCTGGTCTCAAACTCCTGACCTTGTGATCCGCCTGCCTCAGCCTCCCAAAGTGCTGGGATTACAGGCATGAGCCACCGCGCCTGGCCTTTATGTAATACTTCTAAGTTGCCTAGTAATCCTTGGTCTTTGATTGCCTCATATGGGTGCATTACGCAGCAAGAATTATCTAACTCTGGTCTACTTGTGCTTGTTCCCATCAGCCACGAATTTTGGAACCAAGACGGATGGGGACATTTTGTCACACTGGTTGGGCATATGTACTGACTTGTCACTGCATCATCTAATCTCTCATCTACTACTTTGAGTGTCAAGAATTAGCCTTAGTTGCACCACAAAATTGCTTTATGATAAGGAAGACTTTCTTATTCAGTTCTTTCTAAAAAATTAGGAGGGATTTTTTTTTTAAGCTCAGAGAGGGGAAACATCCCTTTATAACTATTGAATATAAAACAAAGTTAAACACATGTTTACATTCAGTAAAGCTGGTTTTGAACACCTAAGCTCAACTTTGAGTTGAGAAACTCAGATTTGACCATTGTGCTATGCTTTACCTAAGGAAGAGTAATTAAGGTAACAGCAAAATTACTAATTAATTGTGTAAATACACTAAAAGGTGAAGAGTGTTAGGATGTTTAGATTGAGTGACAGAGTAAGTTTTGTTTAATGACTAAAACAAAAACATGAGGGAGATATGAGGAAAGAAGTTTTAAATTTATTTTCGGTTTGTATTTTTACATTAAACAGTTTTTTCATTTTCTTCGTTGACCATAAGAATAGTGTCCATACATCAGTAAATAATTAAAGTGTAACTTATTAAGTGCCTAATATAAATCAGGCCATGAGGAGCAGGGAACTAAGACAATTTTTGCCCTTAAAGATTCCAAGTTAATGGAAGGGCATGTGGGTGGTGGCAGGTGGCTAGGAAGTATATCATCTTAGGGTCACAAGTGCAGTGGGGCATAAAAGAGAGACATTTTATATGGTCTTGGGGTGGGATAGGGCATGAGAGAAATTTATTCTTTTTTTTTTTTTTTTTTTTGAGACGGAGTCTTATTTTGTTGCCCAGGGTGGAGAGCAGTGCCGTGATCTCGGCTCACTGCAACCTCCACCTCCTGGGTTCAAGTGATTCTCCTGCCTCAGCCTTCCGAGTAGCTGGGATTACAGGTGCCCACCACCACACCAGGCTAATTTTTTGTATTTTTTAGTAGAAACAGGGTTTCGCCATGTTGGCCAGGCTGGTCTTGAACTCCTGACCTCAGATGATCCACTATCCTCGGCCTCCCAAAGTGCTGGGGTTACAGGCGTGAGCCACTGCTCCCAGTGAGAGGAATTTATTCTAAGCTTAAAATTTAAAGAAATATGCAAAAAGTTGTAATAAGAGTTTAATAGTTAATCTTTAGTTTTGATGGAATCAGCTCTAGAATAGGAGATAAAATGGACTCCATTTCCATTTTACCTATCTATAAAATAAAAAGAACAAGTGAACAAAATTTGACATCTTGTTTCTTTATAAAATATTTTTTTCTATTATAAAAGACATAAAAAAATAAAAGACACATCAGAAGAGAGGATTTTAACAGTCAAAAGATAATAGGGACCATGATCATAACAAACAAGAACAGGTGAAAAAAAGTATTAAGAAAAATTAACATTCAAAATTTAGAAATAAAGCAAAAGATGAGATCCTGTATTTTCAGTGTCAAATGAAGGTCACTGTTAAGAGGTCTCATCCAAGGATTATTTATTTAAGACAATGCACCTGTGTTTAATTTTGTTCTTTATTGTTTGATGGGAACATTGATAATATAATTTTGTGCGTTAAGTTTTAGATTTGTTTGATCAGAACTCTAAACGCTAAAGGTGACTGTTTCGTCATCTTTAACATTAAGCGGGTTTGTATCTATTAACAAATTAATTTTCACATTCCATTGAGTGACTATTTAAATTTCTGTTCCTTAAATTCTAAATTGAAGATGAGGTGTACAAAGGAATCTTTGTATGTCTTTATTTTATGTTTATATGAAAATCCTGGTTTTAACTTTTTGAAATTATCCTTTGACAAAAGTCATTACTTTGTGAAGTTCAACAAGAAATACTAATGTTTTTAGACTATTTGGTAATAGAAAACTCACATCCCCTCTGTTCCTCTGAAAGCCTAATTTGCTATTGGCTCATAAACTGAACCAAAACTTTAAAGTTCCCAATGGACTCTACCTCAAAGATAAGGCCCTAGAGATAAAATGGTCCATCATCTCACCAAGATCAAGCCTTAATGTCGAGTCAAAAGCTATTATTTTGTTCTAAAACTAATTTTATATGTACACAAAAATAAATTTGAGAGTATAATTCCCATATCATAGAGCAAGAAGTTACAAAATTCTAAGATACTTTCATTTCCCACTTTATACAATTGTCATTTAAATATTTGAAAACATATTTGGTTAATATTCAAAATATATAAAGAACACATACAAGTCAATAGCAAAAAAAGCAAATAACCTGATTTGAAAAGTGGTCAAAGGTTCTGAATAGCCGTTCCTCCAAAGAAAACATACAAATGGCCAACAGGTATATAGAAACGTGCTCAACATCACTGATCATCAGGGAAATGCAAACCAAAACCACAATAGGATATCACCTCATACCTGTTAGGATGGCTGCTATTAAAAAAAAAAACAAAACCCAAAACATAAATGTTGGTGAGAATGCAGAGAAAATAAAACACTTGTACACTCTTGGTGGGAATTTAAATTGGTCCAGTTGTTATGAAAACCACAGTGTATATTCCTCAAAACATTAAATATATAACTACCGTATAATCCAGCAACGCCACTTCTAGGTATATATACAAGGGAATTGAGATGAGGATCTTGAAGAGATATCTGCATTCCCATGTTCATTGCAGCACTATTCACAATAGCCAAGAAAAAGAAACAACCAAAATATTCACTGATGGATGAGTGAATTAAAAAAACATGGTGCATACCTACAATGCAATATTATCCATCTTTAAAAAAGAATAAAATTCTGCCATCGGTGACAACATGAATGGATCTGGAGGGCATTCTGCCCAGTGAACACCAAATACTGTATGATCTCACTTACATGTGAAATTTAAAATAGCGAAACCCTGAAGCAGAGAGTAGAATGGTGGTTGCTAGAAGTTGAGGTGAGGGGTAGTTGGAGAGGGAGTGGTTAATGCCTACAAGGTTTTATTTACACAAGGTAAGTTCTGGTGAGCTGCTATACACGATAAAACCTACAGCTAACAATATTGTATTGTATGCTTAAAATTTGCTAAAAGGGTAGGTGTTGTGTTCTTACCACCAAAAATAATAATAATAAAGAAGACAGGAGGAAATTTTGGGAGGTGATGGATATATTTGTGCCTTGGTAGTGGTGAGAGTTTTATGGGTATATACTTATCCCCAAACTCATCAAGTTGTATACTTAAAAATGAACAGCTTTTTATATGTTAAAACATATTTGAAAATGAGTATACATTAACTTTAAATAACATAACAATAATTAAATCCTACATTAAACAATGCTGGTTTTCAATAATGTTTGAATAATGTTACTTGTCTATGACATTAATTCCTACTCTAACCCTTTGCCATCATCATGGATAATTCAGAATTGACTAACTCACTTAAATGTTTTCTTTCATTGGATACTTAAAGGATAGTAAGAATAATAACACCACTGCCACCACCACCACCATCAATCCATCGAACCAATATTGTGTAATATAGAGAGAATGTCTGATATATATACATTATGTTATATATTATGTATATATTACATATATACATTATCTTATATAATATGTACATATATTACATATAGATACATTATCTTGTTTCATCTCCAGAACAACCCTTTGGAATGGATATAGCCAACCCATTTTAGAGTTGAAGTACACAGATGTTTAGAAAGTTTAAATTATTTAGCCAAGTCAAACTTGAATTCGCATGTGAGATTTCATGCCACCCAATCCCACGCCTTATCTACTATTCCTCCCCACTTTAGCTCTCCCTTACAGTGTTCCTATTAAAATGCAAAAACATGAGCAATTTCCAGGCCACAATTATCTCAGTATTCTTTTGGATAAATCTCATCTGGCCACCAAAAACTTAGACGGTGTAAATTGCAGCATTCATCATGCTAGGTGTTGTATGACACCTAGCATGTGTATGACACCCTCACATGACGGGTGAGTAACTTTGTCTTCACAGGTCTCCAGATCTGTTTCCCTGTGGAAGTAATGAAGCCCGTCAGTATCATCACTCTTCAAAGAATTAGGAAAGAAGAAGGAGCACAAAACCATTTCCAAGTTACCTGCTGCCAGCAAAATAAGATTTGAATAGGTTTTCTAATGTTTCAAACTACTTCCTTTCAGACGGCTAAGAAATTCATAAAACCAGCCATGAGAGTTATATTGCCTGCAAGTGTAAACAGTTTTGATAGAGGAGTAACTGCCTACTCAGAAAGCCTTTTGAGAAGAGACTGATACGACTTTATACATCTCAGAGAGAGGGAAGAGGGCCTTTTTGATCATTCTCATGCAAATTTCCAATAGCTGACAGAAAGCTGCTTTAGGTTGTCCCATATTTTCTTTTTAAAATGCATATGGAACGCGTAGCTTAGAAGTAATGCTTTCCTTTTGAAGATTTTTTTTTCTTAAATTTGAAACAATTATGGGTGTTAGACTTTTCCTCTTTAAATAGATATTTTCCTTATAACTTTCCCCCTGGAAAATTCCTTTATCATTAAGACAACAAACCAATGCAATTGACTTCTGGATTTGTTTATCGGAATGGGTCAAAGTCACTTCTTCCTTCACTCCATCTTGTATGTAATCAGAAAAAAGAAGCCCATAGCATCAGCACTATCTGCCTCATTTCTCCTTCTTTGGATTTCAATAGAGACACACTTAATGGTCTCCTGAGTCAGCTGAAGGAGGTAGAAAGTTGCTGTTTAGAATCTTCTTTTTAAAAAATATTTTAACATATATATATGATATCACATATATCTTATTTCGATAGCTTTTGGCCCCCAAATGGTTTTTGGTTAAGTGGATGAATTATACAGTGGCGAGTTCTGAGATTTTAGTGCACCCATCATCCGAGTAGTGCTTGTTCTATCTACTATGTAGTTTTTTATCCTACATCCCTCTCCCACCTTCTTCCGAGTCTCCAAAGTCCATTAAATCACTCTGCATGCCTTTGCATCTTCATAGCTTAGCTCCCACTTATAAGTGAGAACATATGGTATTTGATTTTCCATTCCTGAGTTTCTTCACTTAGAATAATGGCCTCCAGCTCCATTCGAGTTGCTGGAAAAGACATTATTTCATTCCTTTTTAGGGCTGAGTAGTATTCTATGATGTATATATGCCATATTTTCTTTATCCACTCATGGGCCAATGGGCACTTAGGTTGGTTCCACATCTTTGCAGCTGTGGATTGTGCTACAATAAACATATGAGTGCATGTGTCTTTTTTTTATATGGCTTCTTTTCCTTTGGGTAGTGGGATTTCTGGATTGGATGGTAGACCTACTTTTAGTTATTTAAGTAATCTCCATACTGTTTTCCATAGACGTTGGACTAATTTACGTTCCCACCATAGACATTTCTCAAGAAGACATACAAATGGCCAAAAATCATATAAAAAATGCTCAATATCACTAATCATCAGGGAAATGCAAATTAAAACCACAATGAGATTCCATCTTACTCCTACAAAAACGGGCATTATTAAAGAGAGTCCTCTTTGGTCGGGTGTGGTGGCTCACGCCTGTAATCCCAGCACTTTGGGAGGCCAAGTCGGTGGATCAGGAGGTCAAGAGTTCGAGACCAGCCTGGCCAACATGGTGAAACCCCGTCTCTACTAAAAATATGAAAATTACCTGGGCGTGGTGGTGGACTCCTGTAATCGCAGCTACTCGGGAGGCTGAGGAAGGAGAATTGCTTGAAACCAGCAGGCAGAGTTTGCAGTGAGCTGAGATCGCTGGCCACTGCACTCCAGCCTGGGCGTAAGAGCAAAACTCCGTCTCAAAGACAAACAAACAAAAATTCTTCTTTTGTTTAATTATCTGTGACCTATTTCTCCAAGCACAGTCCCTTCTGTGTAGCCTCTGATTCTCTGACCACTCTGATGGGTCATTGTCAGGTGAAGTGGGATCTCTTACTGGTAGTATTACTCCAGCTCTCTCCTCAGTTTTCTGAAATAATGGTATGATTCTGTACCCTACAAGTGGTATTCCCCAGTCAGATAGGGAGCAGGAGTGCCTTTGCTCAAGCCCTTCCTCCGGGATGGGGTACTCCTCTCCTTCCAAATAAATATTACAAGTACAGCTTCAATGCTGCCTCCTCTACTGACAGAACTCGTTCTCTCCAGCAGGCATCTCAGAATTTTTCTGAACATTTGACAGACGTAATCATCAGGCCCAAAGAGGAGACTGGGACTTCACTGTTCTCTAATTATTTTTGGGTAACTTATATTTCATTGATTTTATTTTCTTATTATTAGAATACATATTTATTGGGGTCCTGTGGGAGATGATTGAAGATTTAGAGCCCACAGTCCCTGCCCTTAACAAACTTCCAGTTTTCTGGAGGATGCAGACAGGTCAACGTTTGCAGCTCAAAAGGATAAGTCTACTTAAATTCAAGTTGTTCCAAATGGAAACTCATCTCCTTTTCCCAAACTTGTTTCTTCTCTTAATGTTACCAGAAGTTAGTCCCACAGTGACTTATGTCCCTCACCTTGGGGTCACCCTTGTCTCTGCCTTCTCCCACATACCTAGGTCCAATTATTAATGATCAACTCAGTACTCTCAGAACTTGGATGAGTTCTTAGAGTAAACCACACTGTCTCTTCTGCCTGAGTATTCTCCATTAGTTTGGCAAAACTGGAAGAAAAGCATCTATGAAAACTAAGGTGAAACACATGGAAAGGTTGCTTGGAACCCACATGAGCTATAGATTTTATTAGTATTATTATTATTTTAAATTGCAGAAAACCCAACTTGAACTGCCTTAAACAATGAAAACACTTCATTGGTGAGTTGAAAAGAAGGTGAGGGCAATCTTCAGGTGAGGGTTGATCCAGGGCTCCAATGATGTGGCCAAGATTCAGTTTCTTTCTTCATTCCTTCCTCTTCTTCCTTGATGTATACTCCATTTTCTAGCAGTTTCTCCCTCCAGGTCTCAAGAGGGCTCTAGCTGCTTCTGTGGCTACATATGTCTTGCTTTAAGTCCAGAAGGGATGGGAGAGAATCTATTTCTCAGAAGTCTCAGTGGAAATCTCATTGACTCTGGTTAGATATGTGTCCATGCCAGAACCAATCACTATGGCCAGGAAATGATTCATTTAGAATGGGCCAAGGCAATGAAGGTTCACCCTGGGCTTGAAAGTGAGGCCAAGATCACTCAAGTCATCATAAGGAGTAATTGTCCAAAGGAAGTTCAGGTTGTTGCAGCTGCTGGGAATCTGAATGCCCAGGAAGCAGGAAATAAATTTCTCTCATAGGCCCTGATCAAAGAATGCCAGGAACAGCATGATACAGTTTTAGACTGAAGGATGGTGGCAGGAAGCCAGTGGAATCTTTGGGTAGAAGTATGGCAAACTTGAAAATTGCTAAGAGAGTAGATTTTAAGTGTTTGTATTGCAAAAAAAAAAAAAAAAAGAAATGTTAAGTATGTGAAGGTAATGCATATTTAATTAGCTTGATTTAGCCATTTCACAATATCTATACATATATCAAAACAGCATGTTGGACACCATCAATATATATAATTTTTATTTGTCAATTAAAAAGAAGAATGAAAAAGATTATTCTCTCCTGATTTTTGGATGGAATAACGATGAAAGGAAAGAGATTTTAGAAGCAGGTGGGATGCTAATGAGAATATGTCAGTCCTTCGAATAAAAGCTTGGGAGGACTTAAGCCATTTCTGTGGCACGGAGAATAGAAAATTGCGATTTAAATAAACCCCATCAAATAGATTACTGTCCATTATCAGTGCGATAAAACCTTTTGAGAATTTGTCAAGGAGTATCTACATATTTGAAATAAACAACTTGCTCATTGATAATCTGCATTTTACTTATGGACTTTAGGATAAATGAAGCCATGATTCATACAGTCTCTACAAGGAAATTGAAAAGGAAAACCTTCCCCAAGAGGAAGATGATGTCAGAAACATGATACTCAACTACCTTATCGCTGAGTTGTCCTAGGGAATAGCAACTTCGTTGTCTAGATGTTATAATTTCTCCTCGATTTACTTTAATTAATGAGGCAAGTATAGACATGCTTGTCCAAATAAAGATTTAAAATTGGAGGGACTCAGAACACCAGAGTATTAGAGCTAACAGGGACCCGCCAGTGTGATTTATCTTATAGATGAGAAAACAGGTTGGGGAAGGAAAAGAGACTTAGCTGGCAGCCACCCAGAGAATCAGTGGCTCAGCTAGTGCTATTCTAACAACTTATCCTAGCTTTGTGCCTCCCTGAGGACTAGGACCTTTGCTTTTATTCCAATTTCAGAGGCAATTTTAGGGGAACTCCCTGAAAAGTGTAAACTGAAAAAGATGCCTGGGAGCCTGGGAGTTTCCTATGTAGTGCTCTAGGTGGGAAACCTTTGCTCACATAAAGATGACTGTCTTTATCAAAGGTGGCCACTAGATGGCAGAAAAAACCCATGTACCTGATATGGAAGCATATGTTCCAAAGATTTTGAGACTTGAGTATTTCTGAGACCAGCTCATCTGCCTGGTGAATATAGAAAATTAGGGATCATTGTGATATCAGTCCACCCCCATGTAAATCCCCCAAATCTGTACCTCTCTCCAGAGTCCTGTGGTTAATCTCATCCTTCTCGTCATTAAAACCCATAAAGGAAACAATTTACTTTGAAAACTATTTTATAAAAAGCTTGAATGACTATTAAGTAGCATTTTATGGTTTCTACTAGGATTTTCTGCATAACAATAGAAATTATTTGACAACTCAAAGTGTGAATGAATCTCTGGTGGCCAGAGTGGTGTATGAAATAATTTTGGATAAGGGAGAATTCATCTGCCTCTGAAATCAAGTCAATGGGGAAAGCCAGGTACTTCCAGTAATAAAAAGAGCTGATATTTACTCAGCACTTTACCATGTGCCAGGCACTGTGCTAAGCACTTTATAGAATAAATTTATTTAATCATCACAATAATTATATGATGCAATGCTCAGTAAATCTGTTTTACAGAAAAGTACACAGATCTCCACAGAGTTCACGTAACTTGCTCAAGGTCATATGGTTAGAAAAATGCTCGTGGCTATTTTCTTTTTATTTATTTATACTACATGGAATTAAAAATATGGTGCTTTGTGTTAGTATAATAAGGGTTTTATGAATTCAGATGAAAAGTAATTGCTCTCTTGACCCTGTGACACGTGTGCTAAAAACCTTCTCATTATTAGACCATTAGAAAGAGTAGATATGGTAAAAAATTTTAGCTGTGTTACAGTAACTGTGACCATAAATTAATGCTTAAGGAAACACTGTGACGATAGCTAGGACGATGTCAGCAGAATATTCTAAACCAGCACTATCCTGCTAGCTCCAGATCACGTGACCCTCTGTAGTGCCATGGGGTGGCTAAACCCATGTCCTAGGGGCTTCAAGGGATCCAAGGCTATCCTCCACCCCCTCCACAGGCAAAACATCACCCACATTCTTCCAATCTGATGTCTTTTTCTGCTGGCATAACTTGATGTTCAAGAGCTTCCTGCAGCAGCTCAGCATCCCTGGGGAGGAATGAGCTTTGTCAGTGCTGGGATGTCTGTGTCAGGGTCCTGTGCCCAGAGAACAGCCTCCCCACTCACTGGCCCATCTCCTAAAACCCACTATGGTGGTCAGGATTCTTGGTTGAAAGTAGGAGAAACCAATCCCAGTCATCTCGTTGAAAAAGTGGCTATGAAATCAGTTAAAGTTAAGTCATGGCGGGCATGATGGAAAATGGCTGAACTCCAGGAAAAATGGAAGCAGAAACTGGAAAGAAAGATTCTGAAAACTCTTTTTCTCTGACACCCAACCCCTGCCTATACTTCTCTCCATGCATCATTATTCTTGTTTCTTTGCCCACAACTTTTCCTGCTTCTTAGTAAAATTCCTGGCCATCCACAGCTCTAAAAATTCCCAGCCATCCACAGCTCTAAAAATTCCCATTAGGTATTCTGCCACACAAGAAAATCTGACTTGGCCCCCATTCCAGGTTCCTCAGGAAAATATATTGCTAGGCTTAGTTCTGGGGCAATGTTATGCAAAGACCTTAATTTTTCTTTATCTCAGGCCATGCATGATTTAGAAGTTTTTTGTTTTGTTTTTCTGTTGTAATGGGGCTGTTCTTGCTTTCTTTAGATAAGGCTGTATCAGCTCTTTATAACCTGCTAATTTCAAGGGACTTAATACGTTGGCTGTAATTCACATTTTCAAAATTGGGAAAAGCTGTGTCTTTTGAGATAGAAGTGTTCTTTTTCTTTTAATTCCTGTTTTGCTTTATTTTTTTTCCTCCCCAAATATTGGCATACTATTTTTTCAGGTGTCACATAGCTCTTTGACAACAGAGATTACTCAGTTTTTTTTAAATGAACATTATCTCCAGCTTCTCAGCTGCGAGAAGTTTTTTAGTTTTGCAATTTTTAGGGGTGCTGAGAGCCTCCTACCCGATGTGCCCTCAGTCTGAATCACTGATGCTCTCCTGGGTACTAGGGATTCTTGATTCTGTACTGCAGGGGGCGCTAGCACTCCTCCTTTCTCTAAGCCTGTGAGCAGGTAAATCTGCTGGTGAAACTGACAAGTGGTCACCATATATATTTGGCCTCAGCTACGTGTTTTTACTGCCCTTTCTTCCTTGTATGCCCACCCAAGCATGATGGGAGGTTGACCTGTGACACTTGTCTGGTGTCCTGGTAATTGATAAACGGAACCCAGAAGCAGGTATCAGAGACCAAACGACTAGGGTCAAACCCTAGACCCCTAGAGAAGTCTCCAAGTTCTCTGTGCTGCCTCAATCATCATCCAATTCTTATTTCCTGCCAAGCCTATATGAACAGAAGATTAGAAAGAAGGATCAGGGTGTGATGTGGCTCTTCCCACTGTGAAAAGCCCATACTTCAACCTTTTAGAGATTTTCCAGGACCATCTTTTATGATGGATGAGTGCTTCAGAAGGACAGATAGGCAATCTCTTTTGCTGGCTGGATGTGTCTGCTTATATAGGAAGCTTGAAGAGTGGGAAAGAGAATTTGACATAGGCAGGAGGAAGGAAGGAAGACAGAGTGCTGTGGCAACCTGGTAATTTTGGAGGGACAAGGTCGTGAGTGTCTCATGAATCAAAAAGAGTCTACTGAACAATTAGGTGGTCTTGAGTATTTTGCTGGTTTTGTCTTATAAATATCATTAATTATTATAAACTCCCTTTCCCATACCATAAACAAAAATCAATTCCAGATGGGTTGTAAATGGATTTTCCAGATGGGTTTCTCACTGTGAGAGAGAAAACAATCGCGATGCTAGACAGGATTTAGGAGAATATGTTCATAACTTTGTGGCTGGCAATAATTTCTTCAATGGGCCACACCCACATACAGTATGCGTTCAATGCTATACAGTGCAAGGTGTTTTACATAGTTTAATTTTCTACTTACACAGTCCTGTGAGGTAAGAACAACTCCTTACTTCTGAGTCTTGGAAAATTAAAATTCCATATTTGACATTTTTAGGGAAACTGAGAAGCCTAATGGGAGCCCTCTTCTAAGCTCCTGTCTCAACTCACAGTTGGCTGCAACAATATTTGTAGTTAAAATCAAGACTCTTTTCCAACAGAAGTAATAGATATACTCAGACTAAGAGGAAAAAATATAATATTCATTAAGCTCATATTATGTCAGGGATTGAGCTAGCTTATTTACAGACACTACCTGGCTCAATCTTTATAGCAATCCATGAGGGAAATATAATTATGCCTATTTTTATAACTGATGGAACTGATAGACAGGTTAAACCTCCTACCCAAGGTCACAAAGCCAGCTACCAGAGGAGCCAAAACTGAGATCCAGATAGTCATCTTCATTTATTCCCCATGAAACCAAAATGATGGAGATTATTTGGCTTACACCTTTTTCAGAGCACGTTATCTGCCATTGGTCTCCACTACAAGACAACCTCAGTTTTCTTTCCATTGAACTGCAGACCTTCCATGTTCTTCCCTTCCAACAGCCATCCAAAAAGGTTATTTTTCGATTATACTGAGAGATGACTGGGGCTAGACTTATTTAACTTTTGGAATTTTCTGCTGAGTGATTTTAAATGGTACGTCTGGCTACATGACTATAGGTATTCTGTGCTTGATATTCCAGAGTAGTGATCAGTGCTTCTTTTAGAAACAGATTTGAATTTTCAATTTTATCATAGAATTGGGACAAATAAGATATAGTACCATGGGGCATAAGTATAATACACATTTTGCTGTTTCAGGAAATATTTTTCTTTATTGTCCCTCTCCCCCAGAAAAGGTTCAGAGGCAGAGAAAATGCAACTGATGAAGATCATTTATTCTATTATTTGATTCAAGCCTTTGTATTTTTTTACCTTTCCTTATTCCCCTCCAAGATTATACAACACACACTTTTCTCTAAAATTTGTCATTCTGCCTCTCCCCTTCCCTCCTTCCCTCCCTTTCTCCCTTCTGCCTCTCTCTCTCTCTCTCTCTCTGTAAGCACCAAAGACTCAAGCCAAGAAGTACTTGGTAGACTGCACTCAAGCAGGAGCCCCTTCTTTGTCTTTCCCTGTTCCACTCCTTAGAGATGATTAGAAATATGTGTGAAACCTAATAAGTCAATCTGTAGCTACATTGGAGGACCAGAAAATTGTATGCGATCCCTAAAAGTCTGAAATCAGAAAGGATCATATTGAAGTGGTGATAGCAAAGCAAAATGCGTTCAGGAATATTAACGGGAGCTCAACTACAAAATACGGGTATCATCCACACTCTAAACCTAGAAATTAGGGAAGCTGGAGCCATCTGATGGGGGGAATTTTAGGGACTACATACACAGGAGCAATCAGAGTAGATGGTCCTTGTGCATCCCTCCCCTCCTCCCCTCCATTGTGTCTGTGTTTAAGTCAGAACAATACTGGAGGTAGAGACAGTTCAATGGCCCAGGTGGCCAACAATACCTTGGAGAATCAGAAACGGCCATGCTGAGAGGAAAAGTCACCTGAAACAGCCTCTACCTAATAGCCTGCTCCATTGTCACTGGAAACTGTGCAGGGCATACGTCCGTAAGTTACTTCTACGCTTTGCTTCCTTCAGGTGTCTACAGAAGCTGGGGCAGGAAGAGGAAAGTCGAAGGAGCTATCCTTGAAAGATGAGTTCACTATTAAGAATCACTAGAATACTTTAGTACTAATTCTAAAAAGAGAATCTACAAACTGAGTAAGAACGGAGTTTATAATGAGGCAAATGTTGGTAGAACAATCAGAATAAGACTTTTAGTATAATTAGTATCCTTAGAGGGTTAAGGGAGAGTATCACCATAAAATAGAAATAGAGGATACAAAACACGAGCAGAAATAGACTGCTCTGAAATAGATGCAATGAAAGAGCCAGGAAACCATCGCATTGCAGTCCAGAAAATAGTCACTCTGAAAGGAAACAATTCTTTTCCAGATAATTTTGGTTTTATTGAATTTCACTGGACTTTTAGGAAATGTGTGGACTTACCATAAGATTTACAAGACCTGCACTGTGTATCCCTATCCAATATTGCTGTCATTGATTATCTTATATCCTTGATAAAGAAGACACAGGATCCCATCCAATTGAGAGGCTATCCTGAGAGCTATGTGGTTTCCTAACTCTGTCTTTTATTTTATTATTATTACTATTATTATTATTTTTGAGGCAGAGTCTCACTCTGTTGCCCAGGCTGGAGTGCAGTGGCGCCATCTCGGCTCACTGCAACCTCTGCCTCCTGGGTTCAAGCAATTCTCCTGCCTCAGCCTCCCAAGCAGCTGGGACTACAGGTGCGTGCCACCACGCCTGGCTAATTTTTTTTGTATTTTTAGTAGAGACGGGGTTTCACCATGTTAGTCAGGATGATCTCAATCTCCTGACCTTGTGATCCACCCGCCTTGGCCTCCCAAAGCAAAGGGATTACAGGTGTGAGCCACCACGCCTGGCCCCTTACTCTGTCTTTTAATGAAACACAAAAGACACTATGTGCAATGGTGTGATTCATTAATATTAAGTGTCAACTTGACTGGATTCAAGGATTTAAAGTATTGTTTCTAGGTGCACCTGGGTGTTGCCAGAAGAGATTAACATTTGAGTCAGTGGACTGGGAGAGGAAGGCCCACCCTCAGGAAGACCCACTCTCTACGTAGGTGGGCACCATCCAATCAGCTCCCAGTGGGGCTAGAAAAACTGGGCAGAAGAAGGTGGAAGAAGCTGACTTGCTGAGTCTTCCAGCTGTCATCTTTCTCCAGTGCTGGATGCTTCCTGCCCTGGAACATCAGATGCCAAGTTCTGCAGCTTTTAGATCCTTGGACTTACACCAGTGGTTTGCAAGGGGTTTTCAGGCCTTCAGCCACAGACTGAAGGCTGCTCTGTTGACTTTCCTACTTTTGAGGTTTTGGGACTTGGACTGAGCCACTGCTGGCTTCCTTGCTCCTCAGCTTGCAGATGGCCTATCGTGGGACTTCACCTTGTGATCGTGTGAGTCAATTCTCCTTAATCAACTCCCTTTCATATATATATATATATATCCTATTAGCTCTGTCCCTCTAGAGAACCCTAATACAAACGGTAACTGAGACTCTGGAAAATTCCAAAGGAATACATGATGATTTTTTTCTCTCTCTTCATTGTAAAAGTTATATGTAGGCTGGGCACAGTGGCTCACGCTTGTATTCCCAGCACTTTGGGAGTCTGAGGCAGGCAGATCACGAGGTCAGAAGATCGAGGCCATCCTGGCTAACACGGTAAAACCCCATCTCTACTAAAAATACAAAAGATTAGCTGGGTGTTGCGGTGTGCACCTGTAGTCCCAGCTACTCGGGAGGCTGAGGCAGGCGAATCGCTTGAACCCGGGAGACAGAGTTTGCGGTAAGCTGAGATCATACCACTGCACTCCAGCCTGGGCAAACAGAACGAGACTCCATCCAAAAAAAAAAAAAAGTTATATGTAAAGGAGTAACAATATTTTTTAAATGTTTTATTTTGGTTTAGTTGGCCGCAATTTAAAACGTTTTTATTTCTTTCCATATATTTATAACACAATAACCTTAAAATCCTCAATAGATGGCTGAATAATATAATGGACATACTTGAGTAGTGAATTGGATCCAGCTCCTAGAAGGGAGGGGAAATGATACTTACAGGGTAACCCAGATACTGGGCCTTTTTCATTCCCAGAGGAAGCTTCCATCAAGATATGACAAGCAAGAAGTTTGGCCTTACTGACTGCTTTTGAATTGTCTGTCCTTTCAGGAGTGCAACCTTTCCCCAGTTTCTCTGGACCACATGGCCTCTTCTCTTCCCCCAAAGACTTTTTTGTTTGTTTGCTTTGTTTTTTTAAACAGAGTTCCACTTTTGTTGCCCAGGCTGGAGGGCAATGGCATGATCTCGGTTTACTGCAACCTCTGCCTCCTGGGTTCAAACAATTCTCCTGTCTCAGCCTCCTGAGTAACTGGGATTACAGGCACATGCCACCATGCCTGGCTAATTGTTATATTTTTAGACGTATTTTTAGTAGACACGGGGTTTCATCGTATTGGTCAGGCTGGTCTGAACTCCTGACCCCAAGTACCCACCTGCCTCAGCCTCCCAAAGTGCTAGGATTACAGGCGTGAGCCACCACACCTGGCCCCACCAAAGACTTCATATTTTTCTATTTTTTTTTTCCTCACCCGTGGCCTCAGGTCAAACCCCAAAGACTTCTTTGTTTGAGTCTTTCTTTGCAAATTTTCATACGTGTCCCTCAAAGCAGTATTTTAACTTCTGAGTCCTTCATCCTGTTAAGTAAGATTTATGGGAGGTCACTGCTTTGGACTGAAGTCCATCTCAACAGACAAGACTGAACCAGAATGGAGTCACTCATGCTAGGAGCCACAAAATCAAACAGAACCTAGAAAGTGCCCATTTTCCAAAAACCAGGAGATTCAGAGCAACCAAAGGGGCTCTGTCAACCTCAATCAGCATGATAAGAAAGTCCCCTCTGCTTGAACCCATTAAGGAAATTAACTTTGAAAATATCAATCCATTTTTTTTGTTTGTTTCTTGTTCTTTCTTTCTTCAGCCATTTCTGTCTATAAATCTCACCCCCCTCTGCTCAGTTCATTGGAGTGCCTTTTTATTTCAAAGATTCAATACCACCTGATTTATGAATTGGGAATGAAAGCCAATTAAATCTTTGAAAATGAATTTGTTAAAATTGTATTCTTTGACAGTCCCCACTAAGTCAGAGCCATCAAGACCAGAACACGTGGAGCTTTTCTTGAAGATCACTATAGCCTGTGATGCCAAAGCCCTATGGAGGGGCCAGGGGCAGCCACAGTACTCTAGGTCACCTGGCCTAGTAGGCATTCCCAGGATGGGGTATACTTTTTACACCCTAACCACAGAAAGCCTCAGGCTTCTTTTACTATTAGACTTTTGCAGCAAGCACCTGCACATCTATCAAGGGGGAATAGGAATTATCCAGAGAACAGTGTAATCTAAGATAATATTGGTGTCAATGAGCAAGGTATCATGAGCATTTTTTCATGTTCTATTTCATGTCTGCTGGATTAATATAAACTATATTATCCTTTAATATCTGTTCTTTTCCTCACCCCAGATAGGGCTCTTATCGGCCATTCTAGTGAGGTCTGCATTAAATTGTTTTGTTTCTTCACCCACCTTTGATGAGGAATAGATGGAACACTTTGCTCCATTACATAGGAATAGAGGGACAAAGGAACATTATATTAGTTTTCTATTGCTGTATAAGAAATAACCACAACTTAGCAGCTAGCAAAACAAAACAAAGTAAAACATTTATTATCTCATATTATTAGCTCAAAACTCTCGTGGGCTTACCTGACTTCTTTGCTCAAGCTATTGGCCAGCTGAGTTCACCTAGGGTTCAAGGTCCTCTTCAAGCTCTGTCGTTACAGGAATAGCAGAATTTATTTCCTTCTCAAATTTCCACGTGGCCCCTCCACCTTCAAGCCAGCAATCATGCATGTAGTTCTTCTCAAACTTCAAATCCCTCTTTTTCTGCCTCCGATCTCTGCTTTGAAGGGCTCATGTGATGACGCTGGACCCACCTAGAATGCTCCATGATGATCTCCCTATCTAAAGATACTATTCAGGTCAACTGATTGGTAACTTAATTACATCTGCAAAGTCTTTTGCCAAACAATGTTTCTTATGTTTGTCTTAACATTTTCTCATCATATTCACAACTTCTGAAGATTCGAGAAGGACATCTTTAGGGGGCCATTTGAAAAACTCCCCTTAACGCAGGCATGGAAACCCAGAATGGGAGGAATATTAGAGACCGGCCTTGCAGAAACTGCGTGGGCAGGCAGAGCCCCTAAGCTGCAAGATCTCAGCCCTCACTGCTGTGTTACCCACCTGACTTAGTTACCCAACACACCTGATTCTTCCCTGCCTATCAGCTGCTCTCCCAGCCCGCCCTGATTTCTGCTGCCCAACTTTATTTGCACATCACATAGCCTACTGATGTGGACCTTATCTATAATTAAAACTTTGAACCCAAAGTCCCACCGCTTCTTGGAAAACTCTTTGTATCTTAGTTCAAATGTCTGAGTGAGAAGTAGACTGGTTCAGCTCATCTTTTCGAGCCAGGTCTTCCAGGACATGGGGAGCTTGTCCACCTTTGCTTGCAGTGCTCACCCAATCAGCTGAGGTCAGGAACATCAAGGTTAGTGAAACATGGTGAACCAAGGGTTATGTCATGGTGGGTTAGAGGATACTCTCTACAGCCAGAATGCCTGCATCCAAATTCTGACTCCCCTTGATATGTTGTTGTTTTTAACTCTCAGGTGATAATCCATTTATGACTCTATTGAGAACCATATATTATAATAGGATAAGCCCCCATGTATGACATTATTAGAAAATAACCATTTAACTTAGCATTTTGTATTTTAAGTTATTTCAGGTGTGTGGCTGAAAGTCATGAGACTTTGAGAAGTGGTACATCTTGGATGGAGAGCCAGAGGATGACTAACAACATCGTGTAGTTGCTCAAATATTTATTTAAAAGGAGGGGGATCTGGTCCTGAGAAGTTTAGAAACTTATTATTGCAGGTTTGGGGGCTGCAGTGAGGTCCTTTTGGCTTCAGCTTAGTTTAAGCCTCAGGGAGAAACCTGGCAGGACAAGCCTAGGGGCAAATTATGTTCAGATGCTCTTCATGAGGAAGGACAGCCAACAAGTCATAGAATGCCTACAGGGGACACTGTCCCTGGATCCAGAAACTCTGGGCAGCAGGACCTGGGAAAGTATGCCAGGTTTATTTTATCTGTTTTATCTGTTCAGATAGAGGATAATGGCTTCTCAACATCAGCTTCAGTCTGATGCTTGGGAACTGGAGATAAGTTTTAAAAACTGGAACCTGACATACTGTTTTGGTTTAGTGTAACTATCCTTGATGAGGGGTCTGTTTCTTTCACTCTTGTTTCACATTTTACTTAAGAACATTTTACTAAATGTTCTTACTAGCACATAAGAAACAAGGTAGGCTTGGTAAAGTTTTAACTTTTTTACTAAAGTTAATTTTATTAAACAGCAACAGTAATAACAGCCATATAACAAGAAGATCCGATAGAATTAACTAAAGTTAAAATTACATGTTGTTGGACTTTGAAACCTCAATTGGCTATATCTTAGCTGGGTGACTTTAGTCAGATAACTTAATTATTTTGGTTTAGTCTCCTCATCTGAAAAATCGGGGAAACAATATTTAACTCTTAGAGTTTTTATGTCAAACAAATGAAATAATAAATGAAAAATCCTAGTTCAGTGCCTGAAACTTAGTATGGAAACAAAAAAATTTTTGTATAGACGAGTATTCAGTATCTCACACACATCAGGGAGTTAGAATTACACCTGAGTCCTTTCCTCCTGACTGGAACCTACTTTTCTAGCAAGTATAGAACCTACAAACATAGGGCTCATGAAAAAAACAACAAATTCTTGAGATTTATTTTGCAAATGCAGTGTATTTCAGTGACGGCAAATTCACTGCTCACAGTTACAAAATGTACATGAAATCTTATATAGCCCCCTCTCTTCTTCCCATCAAAAAATTCTAAATAATTTATATTGGGTAACAATTAGAAGCAGTGAGAAACTATGACCAAATTTTTTTTTTCAGATTTTTATTATTTATTTTTTGAAAAGCTGTAAGGTAGAAACATTTTGAGAGGATCAAGTATACTTGAAAAACCCAAATAAGAGGAAATTTGGGTACCTTTGAGAGGAAAGAAAGCCCTTCTTTACCTCAATTAACCAGGAAATTCAGGCAAAACCACCAGTATTCCGCCAGAATGACAAAAGTAATTGAAGTTACATATATATGTTACAAGAAAATAGATGCTTCTTTGAGGATGAAATTTAAGAAGTACCTTAAAGATGATTCAAAGATGTATAGCTTCAGGCACAACATCAGAATTTGATTTCATAAGGGACAACCTGAGTGTGAAGAACTCACTATAGTAATGTTTCAAAAGTGAAAGTTTGGGGAAATCCAAGCCATCCCACTCCGCTTAACTCCCATTTCCCAGAGCTCAGTCCCCTGCCATGGAAGGGAGGTCTGCAAGGCACTGGTTGGACTCAGTTCTACTCTTAGCCGAGCTAGCTCAGGACCCGGTCGATTGCAGTTTTTGCAAAGACAAACCTGATGGCTATATTGTAACCAATGTATCTCTGTATTCTGTCTTATTCCTGTTGGTACTCATATTTGCAGCCAGGGATAAAGGTCCTTAAATACTTTTTGTAGCATTTCACTGTTTTGCGAGATCAGAATAATAGCATAGAGGGCTGTGAGTGCAGATAACAGAATATGACTCTGGGTAGCTTAACTGCAAAAGGAAGATATTTCAAGACTACTGGGTAGTTCATTAGATCAAAGGAAGAACTGAAAAGTAATTAGGGACAGTATCAAGGGCCCCTCCAAGAATCCAGTAGCAAGAGCAATTGGTCCAGTCTCCTTTGGACACTGATATTAAAATGGCTTAGCTTCACCTCCATTCTCATTATGTGTAAATTTTCTTGAGATCTACATTCCGGGAAAGGGAGTTGGATTGTCCTGAAAATCCAGTGGGGAAGGGAAGGGTGTCGAACACTGCGATTGACACAACCAAAGGAAATGATCAGTTGCAAAGAAAAAAACAGAACACTGTTACTTAAAGAACATTGAAAGTATTCTGAGCAGGCAAAACCTGTCTCTACCAGTCACATCACGCTGGTGGGTAATGATGTCACCTGGAGTTAAGCTTTCCCAGTAAATCAGCTGCTAATGATGAAGGAAATAGGGCCCACTAATGATCTCTCTGACACCTCTCTGCTACTAGAGCTCAACAACAGCAGATGACTTTGGCATAAATAATCTTAGAAAAAAGGAAAAAAAAAAGAGGAAAGAGCAAAGAAGAAGAGGAAGAAGAAGGGGAGAGAGAAAGGAAGGGGAAAAAAGTGGCTCAAGTCTCAGCTGTTGTAACTTGAAGAGTCCTAGGGTGGTGGAGTACCATCAGTCCTTCCATCTGCCCTATGTCAAGTGCACTTCACAGAGTGCTCTCCACATGCCATATGGTGACTGGGAGAGCATGCAGAGAGTGCCTCTCTCTAGATTTTTTTTTTTTTTTTTGAGATGGAGTCTCGATCTGTTGCCCAGGCTGGAGTGCAGTGGCACGATCTTGGCTCACTGCAACCTCTGCCTCCCGGGTTCAAGCAATTCTTGTGCTTCAGCTTCTGGAGTAGCTGGGATTACAGGTACGCTCCACCACGCCTGGCTAATATTTGTATTTTTTTAGTAGAGACTGGGTTTCGCTATGTTGGCCAGGATGGTCTCAAACTCCTGGCCTCTAGTGATCCGCCCACCTCGGTCTCCCAAAGTGCTGGGAATACAGGCTTAAGCCCCAGCGCCCAGCCAAAAAAAAAATAAAAAAAACTTCTTCTAGATCAGCACTATCCAATAGAAATATAATGTTGGGCACATATATGATTTTACATTAGAAAATGGAAAAGATGCACAAAAAGTAAAAAGCAACAAGTAAAATTAATTTTAATAATATATATTTTGTGTAATTCAATATATCCAAATTATTATCAGTTAAATAATCAATATAAAATTATAATTAATGATTTTATATTTTTTCATACTACATCTTTGAAATCTGGTGTGTATCTTACACATCCAGCATAGTGTGGGTGGAATTGTTTCCCTCTAAAATTTATATGTTAATGTTCTAACTCCCAGTGCCTCAGAAGGTGACTTTATTTGGAAACAGGGCTATTGCTTCTGTAAATGTTTTTTTTTTTTTTTTTTTTTTTTGAGACAGAGTCTCACTCTGTCACCCAGGCTGGAGTGCAGTGGCGCCATCTCAGCTCACTGCAAGCTCCGCCTCCCGGGTTCTCGCCATTCTCCTGCCTCAGCCTCCCGAGTAGCTGGGACTACAGGTACTCACCACCACACCCAGCTAATTTTTTTGTATTTTTAGTGGAGATGGGGTTTCACCGTGTTAGCCAGGATGGTCTCGATCTCCTGACCCTGTGATCCACCCGCCTCGGCCTCCCAAAGTACTGGGATTACAGGCATGAGCCACCGCGCCCGGCCTGCCTATGTAATTTTTAAGATAAAGCCATACTGGAGCAGGGTGGGCCCCTAATCCAATATGACCGCTGTTCTTACAAAAAAGGGAAATTTGGAAATAGAGACATCCATGCAGGGAGAATACCACGGGAAGATTTGAGTTACGCTGCCCTAAGTGAAAGAAATACCAGAATCTAGGAGAGGGTGCCTGGAACAAATCCTTACAGTGCCTTCAAAAGGAGCATTTCCCTGCCCACGCACTGATCTCAGGCTTCCAGCCTCCAGAACAGTGAAGCAATGAATTCCTGTTGTTTAAGCCATTAGGTTTGCTACATTTTGTGAGGACAACTTGGCAAACTAACATACGGCACATCTCTATTGAGACCAGCCACATTTCTTTAATTTTTTAATTTTAATTTTTTTTTAACTTTTAACTTCCGGGGTACATGTGCAAGATGTGTAGGTTTGTTACATAGGTAAATGTGTGCCATGGTGGTTTACTGCGCAGATCATCCCATCATCCCATCACCAAGTTACTAAGCCCAGCATCCATTAGCTATTCTTCCTGATGCTCTCCCTCCCCTCAACCCCCAACAGGTACACAGTGTGTGTTGTTCACCTATGTGTCCATGGGTTCTCATCAGTCAGCTACCACTTATAAGCGAGAATATGCGGTGTTTAGTTTTCTGTTCCTCTGTTAGTTTGCTGAAGAGTAATGGTTTCCAACTCCATCCATGCTCCTGCAAAGGACATGATCTCATTCTTTTTTCTTAGACTAGCCACATTTCAACATCCTCATGTGGCTGGTGGCTGCCAACACTGACTCAGAAGATTCTGATATTCTGGGCTTTGCTTTGAAAACCTCTAGTTTTCCTTCATATACAATTATAGTTTATCTGGAGTGTGTATGAGGGTGGGGTGTTTCGGTTTTCTTTCACTTTATGCAAAATTAAAGGCAAACACACTACACTTCATTTCCATTCCATGTTTACCAAGCTAAGATGCTGTGTGTTTCTGATTTACAGTTGTAATTTTTTCCAGTTCCTGTTCTGAGCTGTCCATGTTTTGTGAAACTTCAAAAATGCTTACTTGGAGACAGAAGAGAGAACAGCAATACAGATCAGGAATTTGAAGCCAGGGGAAAGTAGATAATTTGCCGAAAGACTGCAGCTGGGTGGCTGCAAAGCTGGGGTTGGAGCCTTATTTGTTCCATCCACAATATGGTCCTGAGGTTTGCCTTGCATCAGACCTCCTGGGAGATGGTCAAAATATAGCCTCCCTGCACTGGGATGGAAGAACTAGACCGTGGATAAGAGGATGCTGCCTGCACTTCCTCCCTGTTCAGAATAACCTTAGTCTAATCTGTGCAAAGGCAGTTGCTTATCCACATCTAAAAATATTTTGTCTAAGGACTAAATGTTTGATGATGAACATGTGTTAAAGTTTCATTCTCTTGGTTACAGGGAAGCTATCTCTGGGGCATAGCAGGGCTTGGAGAATGACCGGTGCTTTCTTTTCCTTCTTTCTTTTCTTTTTTTTTTTTTGAGATGGAGTCTCACTCTGTTGCCCAGGCTGGAGTGCAGTGGTGCAATCTTGGCTCACTGCAACCTCCGCCTCCCGGGTTCAAGCAATTCTCTGCCTCAGCCTCCCGAGTAGCTGGGATTACAGGCACCTACCACCACGCCTGGCTAAGTTTTGTATTTTTAATAGAGATGGGGTTTCACCATCTTGGCCAGGCTGGCCTTGAACTCCTGACCTCATGATCCACCCGCCTTGGTCTCCCAAAGTGCTGGGATTACAGGCATGAGCCACTGCTCCCGGCCAAGACTGGTGTTCTTATTGGACTCACTTGGCTCCCCTTGACTTACGAGCCAGTGTAGGTAATCTGTAAATTTTTTTAACAATAGGTTTCTTTTTCTCATTTTGACGGTAGCATATAGTTAACATAGACAATTTAGAAAAAGATAGGGTTTTTTTTTCACAAGTATACAGTTGACTCTTGAACAACACAGTTTTTGGACTGTGAAGATCTACTTATACCCATTTTTTCAACCTACGGTGGATTGAAAACCTGTGTGTATGAAGGGCCAACCTTTCTCTCTCTCTCTCTTTTTTTAGACAGGGTCTCATTCTGTCACCCAGGCTGGGGTGCAGTGGCACCATCACAGCTCACTGCAGCCTCAACATCCCAGGTTTAAGTGATTCTCCCACCTTTAGCCTCCTGAGTAGCTGGGACCACAGGCACACACCACCATGCCCAGATAGTTTCTTTGTTTGCATTTGTTTTTATAGAGATGGGGTCTTACTACATTGCCCAGGCTGGTCTTGAAATCCTGGGCTCAGGCAATCAACCTGCCTCAGCCTCCCAAAGTGCTGGGATTACAGATGTGAGCCACTGTGCCTGGTCTCCAACAGTTTTTTATACGTGGGTTCCATAGAGCTGACTGAAGAGCTTGAGTATGCATGAACTTTGGTATATGTGGGGGTCCTGGAACCAATCCCCTGAGTATACTAAAGGATGACTGTAAGTAAATATCACCTATATTCTTAGAAGTCGAGGTGGGGGAGAAACTCAAAAGTTGGATATATTTTCTTCTAGTATCTTTTCAAAACATATGAAAATAACTTGTGCATTTTATTGTTTTAAGAACAATGTAGTTATATTGTATAATTTATTTTATAATCTTTTAAAAAAATTATTAGTATTTTTATTTTTTATTTTTATTTATTTATATTTTACTTTAAATTCTAGAATACATGTGCAGAACGTGCAGGTTTGTTACATAGGTATATATGTGCCATGGTAGTTTGCTGCACCTTTCAACAGCTCATCTAGGTTTTAAGTCCTGAATGCATTAGGTATTTGTCCTAATGCTCTCCCTCCCCTAGCCCCCCACCCCCCACAGGCCCTGGTGTGTGACATTCCCCTCCCTGTGTCCGTGTGTTCTCATTGTTCAACTCTCACTTATGAGTGAGAACGTGTGGTGTTTGGTTTTCTGTTCCTGTGATAGTTTGCTGAGGATAATGGTTTCCAGCTTCATCCATGTCCCTGCAAAGGACATGAACTCATTCTTTTTTATGACTGCATAGTATTCCATGGTATATGTGCCACATTTTCTTTATTCAGTCTATCATTGATGGCCGTTTCGGTTTAACCTGCTTATTTTTACCCCTTGCCCCATTGCTTCCTATGGGTGGCTTTGGGTTTCTGGTCATTCTTCTGGGTCATCAGTTGCTTCACATAAGTCCTTTCCCTCTGGCCCCTGATCCAGCTGGAGCTGGGCCCGCTGCTGCAGGTCCCTATAGAGAGGGAAAGTAGAGGGAATGTGTAGACCCGTGCTCACAGTGGCTTCTGGGCCCACCAGGCTATGGGACAGGCCTGGAAAAGGAAGAGGCTGGGGGACTCTGAAATTGACTAGCCACTCCGACCAGCTTCCCTGAAGAGCCCCAGGACTGAGTATTCTAATAGATTAATTTTTTTAGAATGCAGAAAAGCCTGTTTTGGCCTGCTGGACAGTTCTGAATATAGCTAGAAGTGTGTTTTAGTGCTTGCGGGATTGGAAGAAGGTATTTAGCACTCTGGGACTCAAGAAAAGGTTTTAGAAGGAAACAATGAGTTCAGCGCATGGGTGTGAATGTGCATTCTCAGCTCAACGTGCAGTGGGTACACTCAGTTACACAAAATCCAGGACCCTGACCTTTAGCCAGCATGGGCTCGGGCCCCTCTATCCCCCAACACACAGTCGTATCAGCAGTCCCAAGTAAGTCTCAGCAAACAGACACCAGGCTTTGCTTTCCCGACTTTGGGGATATAGAGCCTAGATGGGCCTTGCGACCAGGCGTTGGTTGTCCAGGTGGCTGTGTGGGGACAGTGGGCAGTTGATGCATGTCTGCCCTCCTGAGTTCATGTTCCTACTCACTAGACCCATTTGGCTGGAGCTGAGAGTTTATTTTCCACCATGGGAGAGGTCCTAACTCCCTTCTCCTAAGAATCAGGAAGCAATTAATTATACTGTCACACTAACAAGCAGCAGCACACATTTCTCTTACTAGTTTTTTTACAGATATATTTGTTGACCTATAGCCAAAACTTATCGTAACACATTGTGCTGATGACTGCAATAGAGAAGAGACTGAGGAGAGATTATTTTTTAGGTTGCTAAGATATGAGCAATGGCATCTCTGTCTTTATTTTCTTTACTAATAAAATGTACTTTCTACAAATATAGAAGATGACAGGAGTGTATGCATAGATAATTATAGGAATTCAGCTCTCCGTTTGCCTAGGGAAATCAGCTCTGTTTCAAAGATTTTTAAAAAATGCTTTCTCATAGTACTTTTTCTCCTGTTGAGCACCTTCTGATTGTTGACAGTAATGTTTGCAATTTCTTTTTCTCAGAAACTTTGTGCTCATGTCAGGATTCTCTCCACAGTGTTCCTGCAGGTGTATTGATTATTCTTTCCCACAGTAAAAGAACAAGTCCACCTTCAGTGAGGCCACTCTGGCTTAGAATGATCAAACATTCTACCATGTACACTCTGTGGATCTGGGCAGATCACACCCACTTCATGGGCCAGATTTCTCACCTGCTTTGTTGGAATGATGACGTCTACCTCACTGGATTGCAGCACAAATACATTGAGATTCTAATTGTGAATGCCCCTGAGGAAGTGTGTGGCTTATTAAAACACTCAGTGGGCCAGGCGCGGTGGCTCATGCCTGTAATCCCAGCACTTTGGGAGGCCAAGGTGAGCCGATCATGAAGTCAAGAGATCAAGACCATCCTGGCCAACATGGTGAAACTCTGTCTCTATGAAAAATACTAAAATTAGCTGGGTGTGGTGGCGCATGCCTGTAGTCCCAGCTACTTGGGAGGCTGAGGCAGGAGAATTGCTTGAACCTGGGAGGCTGAGATTGCACCACTGTGCTCCAGCCTGGCGACAAAGTGAGACTCCGTCTCGAAAACAAACAAAAAAACAAAGAACACTCAGTGAGCATTCTTGTCCTTCTCTTCCTCAAAACAGAATAAGAATTCCTCCCATTTATTGAACGTGTGATGTGCACTAAGCATCTAATCTGCATGTTCTTCTGTTATCCTCAGCACAATATGAGGTAGGCACTACAAATTCATTTTGTAGATGAAGAAAACGAGAGATTTAGAGATTTGACTTTAGTTTCTTAATTATAACAGGAAGAGCCAGAATTGGAAGCCAGATATATCTAACTTCATAATGGATTAATTCAAGCACCACACTAGCTCCTCCTCAATCCTCATAGAGAGATGGCTTGATATGTTGTACATAAGCTGGTTTGAGTTATATGCGTGTTTTACCACTTGGGAGTCACATATGTAATGTCAGGCACTCAAAAATCCTCCCCTTTTCCCACAGTGAGACACTGTTTCCCATATCTCTGTATTCCAGAGCAGTAGCAACCAAATAGTGCCACACATTTCCTTCTGCCTGGTGAAGGATTCCCTTTCAGAGGAAAGAGACTCAGAGCCTCAGGTCCCTGGGTATCTTCTGTCCTTTGGAGGCAACTGACCTTTCATTTTGTTGTTGTACAAACTCAGAAACTCATTGCAGACTCTGCAAGCAGCGAGTACCCCTTGCTAACTTAGAAGGGTTTTGAGCTAGCCCTGGAAGATGGTCCTTCTCCATATCTTCAACAACACCTGGAAGCTGCCTCTTTCTCTGTAGTCTTAGCCCACTTGTTATGATCATTCTACAAATGCAAGGTGGCTTCTCCTGCCACAACAATGCTTTGTGAATATTTTCATTGCATCTGTGAATTCCTTTGTGGACCAGGTCCTACGCTAGAAGCTGGGGATTCAGAGGGGCCAAACTATAATATGCGAGGAGTGCTACACTCTCTGAACAGAAGAACAGATATTAAAACAATATTCCAAGTAAGTATTTGCAAGAGATCTATGCATAGTTAAGAGAAGCACAGAGTCCTGTACAAGCATGAGACAAAGGGCCTTGAAGAGCCTAGGGCATAAGAGTTGAGAAGTATAATAGTTTCCTGTTGCTGCTGCAACCAGTTACCATACAACTGGTGGCTGAAGACAAAACATATTTATCATCTTACAGTTCTCGGAGCAAGAAGTCCAAAACTCATCTTAAGGGGCTAAAATTGAGCTGTTGGCAGGGCTGTATTCCTCCTGGAGGCTCTAAGGGAGATCCCATTTCCTTGTCTCTTCCAGCTTCTGGGGGCTGTCTGCATTCTTCAGTCCCTGGCTCTCAGCCTGCAATCCATCACAACATCTGCTTCCATCCTTACATCCCCTTCTGATGGAATACTACTCAGCCATTAAAAGGAATGAATTAATACTGCATTCACAGTAACCTGGATTGGAGACTATTATTCTAAGTGAAGGAACTCAGGAATGGAAAACCAAGCATTGTATGTTCTCACTCATAAGTGGGAGCTAAGCTATGAGGATGCAAAGGCATAAGAATGATTCAGTGGACTTTGGGGACTTGGGGGAATATAGTGGGAAGTGGGTGAGGGATAAAAGTTGACAAATTGGGTTCAATGTATACTGCTCGGGTGATGGGTGCACCAAAATCTCAAAAATCACCACTAAAGAACTTACACGTGTAACCAAATACCACCTGTTCCCCAAAAACCTATGGAAACAAAACATTAAATTTAAAAAATCTTCTGACTCTCCTGTCTTCTCTCCTTGATAAGGACCCCTGTGATTATATTGGGCCAACTGGCTAATCGACAATAACCTTCCCATCTCAAGATCCTTAATTTAATCACCTCTTCAAAGCCTCTTTTGCTGTCCACAGATTTCAGGGATTAGGAGGTAGACATCTTTGGGGAGGCCATTATTCTTCCTACCACATGGAGTAAAAAGGAGTTGAGAAAAAGGCATTAGGAAGAGAGAGCTTTCAGAAAAAGACGTAAAGGTGAGTAGGAGGTAAGCGGGTGTCGTGGGCGGCAAGAACATGCAATCCAGAGTGTCTTATGGAAAGCCCGAGGTGGGATGAGATTTAGCAGGCTGGGATTGAAAGGGCCCTGGGCAGGTGGTGTAAGGAGAGGAAAAATGAGAATGGATGAGACCCAGAAAGATTTGATGTGTCTGAGAGGACTGGGGAGGAAAGACTTAGGTAGGAAAGGAATGGACCTACCTTTGTGTGTTACAAAGATAACTGATGGTTCTCTGGAGGATCAGATTAGAGATGGCAAGATTGCAATCTTGGGTGCCACTGCAATAAGAAGGAAGAGATAGTGGTGGCTAGTCTAGGACTATGGGGTCAGATTCAGAAGATATTTAAAAGGTGAAGTCCACTGAGATGGGTGATAGACACCATTGAGTGGGGGAAGATGAGGTGTCAGGGGTGACCCCAAGACTACAGGTGTGAACACCTGGATGACTGGTTGTACGTACATGAAGACAGGAAACTTGAAGGAGTGGCAGTGTGAGGAGAGTTCACGAATAAAGTTTGGGACGTAGCTTGAGTTACATAAATGACATTCACGTTGAGCTATGGAGCAGGCATATTGGTATGGAATAAAACTTCAGTCTGGTCCTCTTTTAGAGAAATTTATTCAGGAAGTGTGACATGCTATGAAAAAAATACTATTTGAGTTTGCCTGAGCTGTTTTTCCAGCAACTCTATGTGATTGGGTCAAGCCAGACAAATCCTTAGTGCTTCAGTTTCCTCCTCTTTAAAATTGGTAGAACTTTTTACTCTGCTAATAATACCAGATCATTCTAAAGATTAAATTAGAAAATAAATATAAAAGTGCTTTGCCACTTTTAAATGCTTTATAAGGATTTTTTTTTGTTTTTTGTTTAAATAGGAATGATTATTAGTATACCTCAATCAAGAGGGGTATGTTACCATTACTGATTACAAAATTATTTATTTATGTATTTACTTATTTATTTTTTGAGATGGAGTCTCACTCTGTTGCCCATGCTGGAGTGCAATGGGACAATCTTGGCTCACTGCAGCCTCCGCATCCTGGGTTCAAGTGATTCTCCTGCCTCAGCCTCCCAAGTAGCTGGGATTACAGGTGCATGCCACCATGCCCGGCTAATTTTTGTACTTTTAGTAAAGACCGGGTTTCACCATGTTGGCCAGGATGGTCTTGAACTCCTAACCTCAGGTGATCTGCCCACCTTGGGCTCTCAACGTGCTGGGGTTACAGGCATGAACCACCACACCTGGCCAATTACAAAACAATTTAAATTACATTGAATATTTTTCTTCACCTTCTTTCTACATGGACTAAATAACTTCTCATATTTTCTTTGAGATTCCATGATATAATCATTTGGTCATTTCTGTGGACAGAACTGTCCCTGGACAAAACTGCCAGGAGAGTGGGGGGATCTGGGACTCTCATGATGAGGTGATGGCAGAGGCAACTGGAGATTGCTTGCAGGAGAGGTGGTCAAGAGAAGGTTTTTTGCATGCCTGCCATCTGTGTGTATCTCTGAATCACCTTACAAGATTATTTCCATTTTGTTGATAGGGAAGTAGCATTTTCAGCAAATTCATCGTCTTTGTCAAGGCCACTCAGGCAGCGAGTGGTGCAGCCATCAGCATCTGGAGCCCATGCTCTCTGGCCATGCCCAGAAGCCTCCTATGGGACTTTGGTGCCCTTTTCCCCCTGGAGGTGCTCATTGAGCTGATACTTTCCTGGTTTAAAAACATGAATCTGATTGTCTGATACTTACTGGTACTTTTAACTTAGTGGTGAGCTCCTCATTCCAGAGAAAAGCTTCTTGAAAATGGAAACTCTCTCTTTCACTGTTGCTTGTTAATACTCCGAGAGTATGTAATACATATTTCTTGAAGTGAACTAAATGGCTCCTCTCAGTGTCATTTCTATTATTTAAAAAAAAAAAAAAAGAGTCAGAAATGGCGATAGCTCCCTTTGGCAGTATTTCAGATGGAGAGAAAGTCTATAGGAGCAATTAATGTAGTGCACTCTGAAGTCTAAGGGGGCGCCCTCAAATATGGCTTCCCACTTCATTGGCTCATAATTCTTGGTCCAGCTGAAACTCTCCTCTGGAAGGCACTTACTCCAGTTCTCCATCTGGCCCGTTTAATTCTTGGTGAGCACAGTGAGACCCAAGTTCTCTAGTCTGCCCAGGATACAGGGTAATATTTTCCATTTGCTTTCTTTCTCCAGGAAAACGAGTCAATGCACGGAATTAAAAAACGTAGCAGATACATGCATTGTCATTTGTAGTGGCAAAGTCTGGAATATACACCCTTCTCTGACAATTAGGCTTCTTGCTTGTTCACTTCAAGCTCCAGTAACATCTAACACTTTGACATGATTTCCGATGTGATATTTTTCTGTACAGATGAAAGATAAGACATTGACACTCGCTTTGCATTTGGGAGGAAGTTGTTACTACAGCACTTACAGTTCAGGAAGATACAGGAAAATATTTCATATTTGCATGATTTATTCCCAAGACCCATTATGACAAAATGCTCCTGATAATTTCAAGTTCGTATTAATTTTCTGCCATTCAGACAAAGGACAATTTGGGCAAATAAGTGCTCATTAAAATTTATTTAGAGGGAATATTTTCCATTAGGGTGTTTTATTATTTAAGAAGAAAACAGAAGCTCATGCAGTAATGCATAATGCTCACAAACAACATGGCATTTCAGATAAATTACATTTGGATAAAGATGAACGCGTCTGGGTTTGGAAGGCCAGTTGATTCTAGCTGGTACCATAGTTGCATAATGATAAGCCAAGTTGAAAAGAGTTGCTATAAACAAAGATGGGCCCAAAGAAATCCACCACCAAGTGTAGAGAAAATTGTTTCATGCTGGTCTAACTTTTGTTCCTTTGGAACTGAAGTTTTGGGGCTCTATATCAGTGGAGCAGGCCCATCTGTGTGAATTGCTATGACTCTGTGGGTAGGTTAAGGGGAGATGGAGGTGGTATGCAGGGTGAACAGGGAATAGTGGCACCCTGAAGAATACAGACACTGCCCAAGGCACCATGTTCCATTATTTTTAAGGCAAAGGAAGACTTAGGCCAGATTTGGGGTGCAGGCCACCAATGTATAGCCATGGAATTTTAGTAACCACACCTTCCTCTTAGGAGTTGCATTTTCCACCTACAAGTCTGGTTTCTTTCACAAGGCCTCATGGCAGCTTCTCAAGATGTCCACTTTCTGCATCAAGGCTCTTTGCCCAGACATCCTGGATGATTTTAGCTTTCTCGCCATCTCCCTCCAGGTGTCTTCAATTAGCCCCCTTTCCTGGCTCCACATCTTTCCCAAGTGGCATACTCTGCAAATAGCTGCCATGTTTACTCTCTCCCATCTTTCTATCTTTCCCACAGCTCCTGCAATCCGATGTTTTTCACAAACTTTCACTTAGCCTCTCAGGAGGCATGTGGATATATCTACCTTCCTTCTCAGCTGCAACTCCAGATCCTTTCTCACTTCCCAGGCCCCATGGCTGCTTCGTGCTGAGCCAGCAGAAAAAAATGAGCACAGCACAGGTAGGGAGAGCACTGCATATTCGCCCACAGCTTTGGGACCTGGGTCAAGAAAACCCGTCAACTGCCCTAAGACTCAATTTTGTCATGTATGAAATGAGCACAAGAAGTATCTTACAGGGAAATTTTGAAGATGAAATAAAATAACATATAGGAAAATGCAAGCAAGTTGAATTAAGCAGCATTCTATGTACTGTACACTACACAGTATTTCCTGATCCTTGTTCTCATTGTGTCCACAGTCTACTGTCTGGAATGTGGATGGCAGTTAATTAGTGTTAACAGAGAATGATACTACCAAAAAAAAAAAAAAAACCTCACAAATATGTCCTTTATTCTGTGCATTGAATGCTTAACAATTTCTTTACTCAACTGTGTATAAGATCAACATTCATTAACATTTCTAAGTGGATTATCTGCCATGGTTTGGAACTTCTGAATGACAAAAGCCAAATCAGGTTCCTATCTTAGTGAAATCAATCATCCTATGTCATTAAGCATATATAAAGAGTAAGCCTCATATATCTGATCCATTGAATGATGTCCAGCATACTTAAGATAGGAAATATGTGCTCACCCAACTGAAATAGATAATTACCAATAAGTTAAAAATTGCTACCATTCTCCCTCACATTATTTCACAAGTTAACTAATTGTGGCTAACTTGAACTTCTGCAGAAATAACTGTCAAAATTTGCAAGGCCTATATAGTAAAATGGATTTTCCTTCTAAACAGATCACCAATGTCTTCTTTTAACTTGTTCTACATTTTGTTTTGTTTTTAACCATCATTTATTGTGCTTACTGAGCAGCTCTGTGGTAGCTGGTATTACCATCTTTGAATCCTCAGAGAAGCAAAATTGATTGCAAGATTTAGATACAAACTTTTCAGAAATAGCAAGATAAAACACAGAGGGGGGAATTAAGACATTTAATTTATCTCAAGGTATTTCTTGGGAAGCCTGAAGCTCTAGGTCTCATGCTTATAATTGATGATTCCTTATATCTACACATTGCCGCCCTGCTAAGGATCTGGGTTCACATTCTCATGTTTTTCGCTGGATACAGGCTTAAGAGAAATAATAGGGAAGATCCAGACCTTTCCTATAAGGTAGGTCAGTGGCACATTTTCTGTCCTGGATGCCTGAGGGCATCTTCAGACACTTATATTTTCAGGTACCCTAAACCCTCCTAACCAATATACATTTAGTGTCAATTTTAAAGCCTTAACTTTAGAATTCAGACTGAGCTTTATTCTCACATGAGATGCTCATTAAAGTCAAGTGTTGTTTATTTTATTCCTGGGAAGTTGTTGTTTGTAGTTCAACTTCAGAACTTGACATTCATCCTTGTTAACATTCACCTCAGTTCATCTCATTGTGAATGCAGACAGAATGGTGAATGGGGAATTAATAGAACAGGTGAGTGTACGTTCTTGTTTGTAACAAACTTTTATTTCTCTTTAATCCTGAGATTTTTAAAAGAATATAGCTTCATTTTATGACACCCAGATAGCTGGCTACATGGTTGGAAAAGAAAATGCAGATTTGGATATTGTTCTACACAGAATTATAGAGAAAGCATAACTGGTATAACCTGGCAGTGGTCAAGTTAAACTGTGTTGTTCTGCTACCACCAGTTATGTGTGTCTTATGTTGACTTAAATAAAGAGCAGCAAACTTAATAAGAATAAGATATAAGAATCTAGAAATGAAAAAACAGTATTGTTCCTTCAAAAAATATTAATACTTTAAAAGTAAGTGAACCACCAGGTCATCATTTAATTTGAGAATCCATAATATCAATGGCATGTGAATAAGGACATATGTGTTAGGGCAAAGCTGAAATAGACTCAACCTCATACATTCTAAAAGTGGGCCTCACTGGAACAAAATAATCTGTTGGCACTTTTGCTGCCACCCAGGAAAAAAGTCAACACTCTTTGGAGAAAGGTAGGATAAAAAGATTCTCACCCACAATGCTCAGCATGCAGTAAAAAAGTTAGTATGCATGACGAGAAGCAAGAAAAAGTGTACAAAAATAGATAAAATAGTCAATAGAAACAGATGTGGAGATGATCTACAGCTGGTAGGCAAAAGCTTCAGAAAACTGGATACTACATGAAATAAAAGAGAAGAAAGGATAAAATTAATGCAATATGAAATATATAAATGAAGAATTGAGATCTGTAAAAACAATCAAATGAATGTTCTATAATAAGAAAATGTAGCATTTGAAATAACGAACTCACGGAGTGAGTTGAACTGTAGAATGGACAGAACAGAAGATAGGATTAAGAAACCTGAGGAAAGTTCAAAGGCCAATGTACATGAAGAACAAATAAAAAACAATAACAAAAAGAAACAAAAATGAGCAAACAGGAAATATGGGACACTGTCAGAAGGTCTAATATACATGTAATTGGGTAACCACGAAGAATGGAAAGAAATATAGAAATGATAGCTGAAGAAATAACAGCCAAGATTTTTCCAAATCTGATGACAGCCATTACTCCATAGATCAAGAACCTCAATTATCACCAGGACAAAAAACTGCAAAAAATGCAACACCCATATGCATCATAGTCAAACCACAGAAGTCCAAACAGAAAGAGAAATTCTTAACAGTATAACAAACATTACTTTCACGATAACAGGAGTAAAAATAATGGCTAACATTCTGAAAGTATAGAAATAATAAGAAATTGATTGGACATGGTTGGAAGGAGGGGAACAACAGACACTGGGACCTACCTGAGGGTGAAGGGTGGGAAGAGGGAGAGGTTCAGGAAATGAAACTACTGGGTACTATCCTTAGTACCTAAGTGATGAAAAAACCTGTATCTCAAACGCCGGAGTCATGAGTTTACCTATATAACAAACATGCACATGTACCCCCGAAACTAAAATGAAAGTTAAAATATTTTTAAAAAATAAAAAAGAAAGAAATTGGTTGGGATACTTAAAGTGCCAAAAAGAAAAAAAACAAACATTACAAACTTAGAATGTGAAATTCAGAAAAACAATGCTCAAAAATAAAGACCAAATAAAGACATTTTCAGCCTAGAAAATGAGCATTTATCACCAGGAGATCTGCTTGCTCTATAAGAAATAATAAAGGGAATTCCTCAGGCTAAAGGAAAACCACCCCAGCTGAAAACAGAGGCATGCATGAAGGAATCAATAGCCCTAGAATAAGTAAACAGAAAACAATGAGAGGTTTATAACAAGTATAGGAATAATATTTGTAGTGACAACAACAAAAACAACAACCAGAAAGCCACAAGGGAAAACGGAATTAAACTTTTAATGGCCTCAAGCATAATTCAGGCTATGATAGAATAATCAGTTAAGGTCTGCTGTAATAAGTACAGTGTATGTATTGTAGTCTTGAGTGTAATGACAAAAATTAATAAAAGGTAGAACAAAAACCAGAAGATTATATAGTTAAGTTAAAAAAGAACACACAATGAGGTGAAAAGATATGAAGAAAGAGGACTAATGGAATAAAGAACAGAGGACTAATGGAATGTTCTTCTGGGTTTTGATATTGTCCCAAAGCTCTTTGGTATTTCATTCACTTTTTTTTCCACTTTCATTTTACCAATTTGTGCTTCAGATATTTATTTTTAGTTTCGCTAACTAGTTCCTCAGCTGTGCTGAGTCCTTGGATGGGCTCCTCAAACTTTCTTTATTCTGACTTTTATCTCATAGTATGGACATGTGGGTCGTTCTAATGGTTTTCCTCTCTCCAATTAAGTGTTTTACTACAGACTTTAATAAATTAATTACATATGTATATGTAAACAAACATGTGTGTGTATATATATATATATATATATATATATATATATATATATATATGTAATATTTTTCCCAATTCCCTGGTTGTTTGGATAACTGAGTCATCTCTGAATATATTTCTTTTGATTAGTTTCTTTTTTAACAGATTTTTTATTTTATTTTATTTTATTTTTTGAGACAGGGTCTTGCTCTGTCACCCAGGCTGGAGTGCAGTGAAGTGATCTCGGCTCACTGCAACCTCTGCCTCTGGGCTCAAGCAATTTTCTTTCCTTAGCCTACCAACTAGCTGGGACTACAGGTGAGCACCACCACGCCCGGCTAATTTTTGTATTTTTACCAGAGACGGGGTTTCACCTTGTTGGCGAGTTTGGTCTCCAACTCCTGGCCTCAAGTGATCTGCCCTCTTCAGCTTCTCAAAGTGCTGGGATTACAGGCATGAGTCATCATGCCCAGCCTGACAGTTTTTGTTTGTTTGTTTGTTTGTTTTGTTTTTTAGTCTTCTGTTTTTGTGTGTGTTTTTCACACTTTTTTGGGGGGATAGAAAACTGGCCACCATGTGGACAGTAGAGATGGAATAACACTATGCTGGGAAATGGGCCCACCTCTTCTTCCAGTACACTTTTAGTAAGGGGTTTTGGGGCAATCTAGTTAGTGGGTAAGCTAGGTCTGCATTTTGTTGTTGCTGTGGTTACTTTCAGTTGGCCACCATCTTTGAATTCTTCCAGCTTTACCTTGTGCCTAGGGTAGAGTTGGGTAGCCAGAGGATTTTTCTCAATGTTCTTGTTCAATTCTTAACCTTAGGCTTTCCCTGTGAGCCAAAACCTCAGAGATGGTCTTTCTGCACACTCTTGCTCCTCTCCATGTGACAGACAGCTCTTCTTCTGGTGACTCATACTCCCTGGCCTGGTTGAGGGTACAGGGCTGGAGAGTTTTCTCTGGTTTTCCTTCTTTAACCTCAGTCTTGGGCTTCTACTGTATCCCTGGGTCTCACTGGTGGAGCACATTCAGTGATCCTGCCACTCCTGCAAAGGTCATAAATTTCTGGTTTTCTGACATTTTCCTGACAATAGTGGATTTTTTCCTTTTTCCTTTCTCTGGCTGCAGTGGGTCTTTGCCTGTGTTCTGGGGTTGACAGTTCTTGTTGCCTTTTGCCCAACAGCCTAAGGCTTTTGTTCCACAGGGGAGAAGGATCTGGGTGGAGCTTTATGCCTTCTGTATCACCGTGTTTCCCATTTGACTTCTAAGTTCCCAGTGATGTCAACTGAAAATAACCATTAATTGGTATAAACTCCCCTTGTGTCTGAGTCTCCCAGGGGTTCCATATTCTCACACTTTCCCACACTTGGCCTTTAGCAAGTTATTAAAACTTTTAGTTTAAATCTTACTTGTAAGGCTCATAAGGCCTGACTTGGTGAAGAAAGTAGAATGATTTCCTTAATCTAGGCAAAGTTCTGTCCATATCAAGCCTTTCTCTGATTTCTAGAAGCCTACCTTTCCCTACGCTTCTTCCCTACCCCAAGCTCCAATGCCAGGCAACTCTGGTGTTTGGATGGTGCCCATTCTGGGAACAAAGGACTGTGGCTCTAAGCTATAGATAGATTCTGAAAACGATGTCTTTATTTTATGATTTATCAAATGTTATAGTCTTTCAGATTCATAGTAGTCTGTTAAGTTCCCTAGGAAACTTCTTCATCTGTAGGTACATGTAGAACAGAAGAAATCTTTTAAGACCCTTACCACACAAATTTGTACCCAATATGAATTGCCCTAAACCACAACTCACACTGAAACACCATGAAAACTGATGTTTCTGGGGAAGGGCACTCACTGTAAGATTTGCCTTGAGGTCTAAATTTTAGAATTACTTAAAAAAAATCAATAGGGCAGAATACTTATCATGGGGAGGAGGGATCCCTTTCACCACACTGCCAGAACTTACTGGTTGTTCATACAATAGCCATTACCTCATTTTTTTTTTTCTTTTTTAAAGCCTTCTGGTTTTGCTCAAGTATGTACCTTTCTTCTTATGATCAGATTTTTCATTAGGCCTCTCTTGGTCATCCCATTTCTTTTGCCAGGGACTAGTCTAGAAATGAACATGGGAAAATTATGACCATGAAAGGATGCATATGTGTGTGTATTTGGAGAGGTCTCCTGGATGGTCTGCTAGTTAATATTTCTTTGGAGGAGACATTTTGAAAGTAGCCCCTCTTTTTTCACTGAATTTCATTTGGTCTTCGTATAACAGCTGCTACTGCAGCAGCCAATCTGTATCCTAACAGAGCAGCAAGAAAGAACCCAGATCTCCTTGATGGTGTTGTCAAGGCAGTAAGATACAAATAACTGAACAATATGATTAAATAATTAAAAGAAATACAGATAACTTAAAAGTATGTACCATATTCTAATTTAATTTTAATTAATAAGTATCTTACTTCCTCAATACCAAGATGAAAATATATTCTTAGTGGAAAATATATTCTTAGTGGATACATGTAAGACAAAAGCTGATCTACATAAACAGACCTATCCCGTTACTCCAATCTTTCTTAACTGGGCCCTGTCTCACTCCCATCTTCAGAGGTAACCACTGGCAATTGTTGGATATGTGTTCTTCTCATTCCTTTATCTTGCATTTAAGAACTAATATATGGCTATATATGCACATATAGTTTTCTTGCACAAAATGGATCATAGTATATGTCTTCAAAGTGATTTTTTCACTTAATTTTAATGTCTTTAGGTTATATTTCCAAGTCAACACATACAGTGCATATTTGTATACATATATAAGAAATTCAGTAAGACAGACTCTTGGAAGAGGACTTACTGCATCAGTGGCGATACCATTTTAAGTTTTGACTGATACTACCAGATTGCTGTCTAAACCAGCTTTACCAAGTACACTTCTCCCAAAAGTGTATATGAGAAAGAAATTTTGTATTTTCTAGAAGACACTTTTGGGAGCAAAATACAAACTAATAAGTAGTTTTATTATAGGTATTAGATTTTACATGTGTATGCCCTTTGACACAGCAATTCCACTTCAAGAAATTAATCCTACAGAAATAATTACACAGATGGACAAAGATAGATCATAGGGATGGCAAACATAGCATTACTTACAATCTTGAAGAATTAGAGACCACTAAATGTCTGGCAAAAGGCAACTGGTTAAATGAATTATGATACAGGGAGACTATGTGCTTGAAAAGAGATATTTAATATGTCAAATAACCACCAAGCTCAGGAAATAAATGTTCAAGGATCATAAACCCTAAAATCCAATGCTGTTAGTTCCAGCAGGCTCTGGGCAGCTCCATAAACGCTTACCCCACTGGTAATGGGTTAAGATGTGGCAAATTTGGTAATAAAATACAGGATTTCAAATTTATATTTTCAAATGTTTTAGTATAATTTTGAAAAAAGACAAAAATTCACAAACTCTTTGGCTTCAGAACTTTAAAAATCAGTATCAAAATAAACTATTAGATATTAGGAAAAAATAATTGAGATGAAGGTTGGAAGCTATAAAAATTAAAGTGTAAGCAAAAGCAGAAATATTTGCTAGGATGCATGAAGTTGTAGCAGACACTTTAACTTCTACCCAGTAAACGTCCTCCTCTCATTTAGTAATAGAACTTCGATTTTTTTTTTTTTTAATGGAAAGCTACTCAAGCTGCATTCCTAGTTCCCCATTGTCTCATGTTCTGGCTCTGTGACTAAGTCCTGGAAGATGGCGTAGGAACAAAGGTATGGTCTAGAAAATCTGAGTAGAATAATAATGGGGGCTAAATTGTTGGTGAGGTGATTTTTTTTTTTTTTTTGAGACGGAGTCTCGCTACGTACGTAGCCCAGGCTGGAGTGCAATAGTGCGATGTCAGCTCACTGCAAGCTCCACCTCCCAGGTTCACGCCATTCTCCTGCCTCAGCCTCCTGAGTAGCTGGGACTACAGGCGCCCACCACCGCACCCAGCTAATTTTTTCTATTTTTAGTAGAGACGGGGTTTCACCATGTTACCCAGGTTGGTCTCGATCTCCTGACCTCGTGATCCACCCGCCTCGGCCTCCCAAAGTGCTGGGATTACAGGCGTGAGCCACTGCGCCCGGCCTTTCTTTTTTTTTCTTTTTCTTTTTTTTTTTTTTAGACGGATTCTCGCTCTGTCACCAGGCTGGAGTGCAGTGGGGCGATCTTGGCTCATTGCAACCTCCTCCTCCTGGGTTCAAGTGATTCTCCTGCCTCAGCCTCCTGAGTAGCTGGGCCTACAGGCGCCCGCCACCACACCCAGTTAATTTTTGTATTTTTAGTAGACATGGGGTTTCACCGTGTTGGCCAGGATGGTCTCAATCTCTTGACCTCATGATCCGCCTGCCTTGGCCTCCCAAAATGTTGGGATTACAGGCATGAGCCACTGCACCTGGCCAGGTGATTCTTTGATCTTTCTCTTCTTCTACCTGCTGCTTGCCAGGAACACAGATCTGACGACTGGATCTCCAACAGTCATCTTGAATGATAAAGACCACAAGGATGGAAGGCAGGCATCGGGAATCAGGGCATGAGATTGAGTCTAGATCCCTGAGGATGCTGAGGCACTGGCATATCTGTCTCAGACTGCACACCTTGGCGTGTCTCTTACTTGAGAAAAAAATAAACGTTTATCTTAAGACACTGTTACTTAATTTTATGTAACATACTGTATGTTCTGTGTTGTGCAAAATACAAATTTTATTTCTGATAAGAATACAAAAGAAAATCCCAGAGAAACGTGTGTGTGTGACAAATGTATGAGAGAGTGAGTGAGAGAGAGAAAGAGAGGAGAAAATAAATATACAAGGATACAATGTTAATAACAAGATGTCATCTTCAAATATGGAAGAGCTTAAAGATTTATATTAAAGCTTCTTATACAAACCAATGACAATGGAAAATCTTGGAGAAATGGCTAACTTGTTGTCACAATGTAAAATACCCCATTTGACCCAATATGAGAGAAAATCTGAACAGACCAATAACCATAGCCAAATTTGGTGGCAGGCTCAGATGGTTTTACTGCTGAGTTTACTCTAAATTCAAACATCATGTAATTCCTGTGCTATTTAAAAAATTCTAGTCCACAGAGAAAGTTGAAAGATCATTAATTCATTGTATAAAGTATCATGAAGATACGACACAAGAGAAAATTAGACAAATTCCAAGTATATAGAGGTAAATATTTCAAATAAATAATCAGATGTCTGAATCCAGATATTTATTTATAAAATTATATGACATGAAGAAATGGGATTAATTACAGTAACACAAGGACTTAAAAAATAGGAACTTTATCAACACATTTGATTATATCAGTGAACCAAAGGATATCAATAGATGTTGAAAAGCTATTCAATACAATGTAGAGCTATTGTGAATATTACAAAGAAAGTAGGATTAGAAGGAAGCTAAAACATACAACTGTTATTTACTAAAAATAGCAAACAATATTTTAAAGGGTAAGATATGAAAGTCATTCCCATTAAAAACTGAGATTAGATTCTATCATTACTCTATTTTGATCTTTGTTTTTGGAGCAGCAGTTAATGTAATATAAACGAAAAGTGAAATATTTACAATACTTATTGAAGAAAAGAGACATGTTGATATGATTATAAAGGTAAAAACTCTAAACTATGAAAGTTAAGAGAATTGGATAAAGTATTGAACAAAAGATATAAAACTCCTTTTTTATATTTACAATACTAAATTAAAAATAAAAATCAGAAAATAAATCCTATTCAGAACAGCAACGAAGATGTAAATTCCTGGGAATTAATATAACCAGAAAGTATAAGCAAAGAAAACCATAAAGTCTTAACAGAATGACTTAAAAGAATTCCAGGACAAAAGGAAAGACTGATCAAGACCCTAGATGGAAGAACTTAACCAACCAAAAATATTAATTCATGTCACGTTAAGAATACAAACCATGGCCGGGTGCGGTGGCTCACGCCTGTAATCCCAGCACTTTGGGAGGCCAAGGTGGGTAGATCACGAGGTCAGGAGATCAAGAACATCCTGGCTAACATGGTGAAACCCCGTCTCTACTAAAAATACAAAAAATTAGCCAGGCGTGGTTGCAGGCGCCTGTAGTCCCAGCTACTCGGGAGGCTGAGGCAGGAGGATGGCATGAACCTGGGAGGCGGAGCTTGCAGTGAGCTGAGATGGTGCCACTGCACTCCAGCCTGGGCGACAGAGCAGACTCCGTCTCAAAAAAAAAAAAAAAAAAAAAAAAAAAAAAAAAAAAAAAGAATATAAACCATCAGTTTTCTCAGAATCCTAATAGAACTTTTAAAACACTGGTCATGTCCCACGCATATGCTCATCACTGCAAAGACATGGAATAGCAAAGACATGGAAGCAACCCAAATGCCCATCAATGATAGACTGGATAAAGAAAATGTACATATACACCATGGAATACTATGCAGCCATAAAAAGGAATGAGATCATGTCCTTTGCAGGGACATGGATGGAGTTGGAAGCCATTATCCTCAGCAAACTAATGCAGGTACAGAAAACCAAACACTGCATCTTCTCATAAGTGGGAGCTGAATGATGAGAACATATTGACACATGGTAGGGAACAACACACACTGGGGCCTGTTGGAGGGAGAGCATCAGGAAGAATAGCTGATGGATGCTGGGCTTAATACCTAGGTGATGGGTTGATAGGTGCAGCAAACTCCCATGGCACAGGTTTACCTATGTAACAAACCTGCACATCCTGCACATGTACCCCGGAACTTAAAATCAAAGTTGAAGAAAAACAAAAACATAAAAATAAAAATAAAACTATTCTAAGTGAAAAAATGGTTGGGCATGCCTGAGGTCTAATCTAACATAGATATACAGTTCTATCTAAACAAGGTAAATTAAATGCTCAGTGAAAAACTACAGTTTTATCTCAGTTATTATAATTGTTACGTGAATTTGTTTTCTTAAAGTACCAAGGAAGGAGACATTTCCCTTCTCAAGAGGAAACATAAAATTTTATAACAAATGAATTTGTGGCAATACCATCAAACTGGATTCCTCTGTCAGATAAGAAAGTGCATTTGGGTCTGGAAGGAGCCATTGGTTTATGAATGCAACATTTATAGAGATCCTCAGTATGTCTGTCCTTAGGGGCCTTAAGTGCTCACAGGCGGAAGAGAAAGTACAAAAATGTTTTCAGAGTGTGTGACAAACCACAGATAGGAACACATGTAACAGAATTAGTATAGAGAAGGAACATTGGAGGGTGGGGTGATGGCTGATGAGTAAGATTATTCTAGAGGACTACCCAGGAGTTTTCCAATAAACACAATGGAAAGGGCATTCGTAGGCAGAGCTCCCCACAGGAGCAAAGGCAAGGACGCAAGACACAGCATGGTTTGGGCAGGCCCTGTACTTCAGGTCAGCTGGTAGGGCTGGAGTTTAAGAGGAGAGGCAGGGAGTGGCAGAAGAACAGGAGGACAGGCTGATCGCGGCTGGAGGCAGAAAAGGACACAACTCTCATCTTGCTAATGTAGTCCAGATTTTGGTGTGTCATTAAACCAAATCAAGGACACGACCTGACCTTTTTTTTCTTTTGTAAAATAAAACTTGAAGCATAGAATCAAGAACCTGAAAGGAGCCCTGTGGCACACGAGGTTACTGAGCGTTTAATTGCCAAAGAGTCAATTAATTTAATTGCCAACTTGTCTAAGCTGTAAGCTGTAAGCTCTAAAACCATTTGTAGGCGGCAGTGGACAGAGGAGGAGTTTGAATTTAGGGCAGTCTGACCCAAGAGAATGCCCTTTTTCTTAAGTTATACATCTGTTTTTACCATTCTTTACCCAGCTAATGCCCACTTACTCATTGAAACTCAGCCTGTTTCCCTTTAGCCTCTTGGCCCCACAGTCCAGTTGAGACAACTCCTGCCTCCCATCTCCTGGTTTTCAACTTTTATTTTTTCAGTGGCCACACTGAACTGTCCTACCCTATCCTATAGTATCCTATGGTATCTTATACTACACTACTTTTTCCTTCCCTTCCCTACCTTATCCTGTTGTACCCCACCGTGCCCTACCCAATTCTATTCTAGCCTATCCTTTGCTATGTAGACTGTACTATAAGAATTGACTTACTGATTTACTCTCTGTATCTTCCAGTAGGTTGTAAATTCATTGACTGATGAAGTCCTGCCCTTTTAGATCTTATATCTTCAGCTCCAAGAATGATGTTTGGAACATAGTAATAGGTGGTCAGAGGGTATTCTGATGTATGGACAGACTGGCTCACTGAATGAATGGAAAATGGGAGGCTGTACTTCATCAGCTGATGCATGAGTTGGCGTGGGGAGGGAATTACAGATTTGAGAAGAATTTGAGGTGGCAGTGAGAAAAACTTTAATATTATCAAAGGTGTTTCTAAGACTTGAATTTATTTTTGTTTTACTACTTTTTCTTAATGAAGTTATTTTATTTTGTATCTGTATAAACCATACAATGTTTTAACAAGTAACTTCCAGATTTAGGAAAGATTATTATTATTTTTGAGAGAGTCTTGCTCTGTCACTCAGGCTGGAGTGCGGTGGTGCGATCTTGGCTCACTGCAACCTCTGCCTCCTGAGTTCAAGCGATTCTCCTGTCTCAGCCTCCCGAGTAGCTGGGATTACAGGCACCTGCCACCATGTCCGACTAATTTTTGTATTTTTAGTAGAGATGGGGTTTCGCCATGTTGGCCAGGCTGGTCTCGAACTCCTAACCTCAGGTGATCCACCTGCCTTGGCCCCTCAAAGTGCTGGGATTACAGGCGTGAGCCACTGTGCCTGGCCAGATATTATTTTGAATTACTTTTGCTGTGGACTAAATATCACATGTTCAGCATAGAAAAATGTAGGACAATGGGAGAGGAGCCTCAGCCTCAACTTCATGATCTCTGAAGACCCCAGGTCAGAGCATACCATGATGGGATCAGCATGAGATTCACGTATGACCATGGCTGGCAAATCACCTTTCTGAGCCTCAGATCCTTTTCAGTGATGAGAATTTAGTACTTATTTCACACAGCTGTTAGTAATGAAATAGCCTAAGGTAGAGTCTGATCTATGAATTTGATCTATGAAAATTCAAATGTCTATTCTAGTCTATTTTGCCACAAATCTGTCCGTTAGGGACCAGACTCAGGATTGAGACTCCTAATCCCACTCTCTTCAAAGTGCTTCTTTCTAAAATCCCTAAAACCAGGAGCTCAGGCTTTCTTCATAATGAAATTGGGCACAACAGGAGGGGTGCCCCCTTGCCTCCCCAGAGCTCAGGCCATTGACCATAACTGCCCTTTGCATCTGTGGAGGCTCTGGGACCATCCTGCCCTCTGTGGTCAGGGCCCTGTTCCATGTTCAGACCACTACATCCACATCCATCTCGATTCTGTGGCACCCACTCTGGTCACTCACTGAATTCCAGCCTTTGGATTGAACTTGGTTTTTTGCCTGCTTTGCTGACCATGGACTAGACCCAGTGGGGAAAGTGGAGAGCATTACAAATTATTGTCTGGTGAGAAATAAACCTGGAGAAGAAGGCCTTTGTAAGCCAGGTAAAGAATTTGGGTTTATATTGCTGGGTATATACTTGAAAGAATATAAATCATTCTATTATAAAGATACATGCATGCTTACGTTTATTGCAACACTATTCACAATAGCAAAGACATGGAATCAACCCAAATGCCAATCAATAATACAGTGGATAAAGAAAATGTGGTACATATACACCATGGAATACTATGCAGCCATAAAAGGGTCATGTAATTTGCAGGGACATGGATGGAGCTGGAAACCATTATCCTCAGGAAACTAACACAGGAACAGAAAACCAAACACCACATATTCTCACTTACAAGTGGGAACTGAACAATGAGAACAATGGACCTAAGGAAGGGAACAACACACACTGGGGCCTGTCAGGGGAACAAGGGAAGGAAGAGCATTAGGATAAATAGCTAATACATTCAGGGCTTAACGCCTAGGTGATGGGTTGATAGGTGCAGCAAACAACCATGACACACGTTTACCTATGTAACAAACATGCATGTCCTGCACATGTATCCCAGAACTAAAATTAAATTAAAAACAGAAAGAGTAAAAAAAAAATAATTTGGGTTTATTCTAAAGGCAATGGGAAGCAACCAAAGGAATTTAAGCAGAGAGATGACATGATCGGATTTGTGCCAAAATTCCTGCCTATTGCTTCCCAGAAGCCAGTTGAATAGGCTCTTGTAGGTGCCTGGGACTTGAGAGTTGGCTGACTGGTGGACTGGGAAAAGAATTACCTAGACCCTACTTACTGTGTGCAAGCCCTCATGTCTCATGGCTTTACATTGCAGAGCAGGCAGACAGACAGGGAACAAGTAGATCAGCAGATGAGGAAGATAACCGTGAGAGTAACAGGTGCTATGAAGAAACAAATAGGATAAAGCAGGTGATGTGATAGTGACAGGGGACTCTGGAAAGGTAATGTTTATTCTGACATCGAATAAGAAAGAGCGCTGGGACCCCTGGAGACTGCTGCAGCTGGAGGAAGCTGCAAATGCAAAGGCTTAGAGTCAGGAAAGAGCTCGGTGTGGGACATAATATTGGAGATGCAGGCAGAGCCCACCTCATGTAGGGGCCTGAGAGATTTGAAAATTATTCTAATGGATTTTCAGCAGGGGATAGTGATCTGATTAGGGACCCAGTGTGTGACTGACCGTGAAATGTGAGAGAAGAGAACAAAGCCAAGGGTGGTGCTCAGGACTGTGTCCTGGGTGCCTGAGTGAATGACAAGGCCATCTCCTATGTAGTAAATACTTGTATGAACTGGCCCCTTGTTGCTTAACTGCCACTTCGATAGTATGGTCTGGGTGCATGTCATAATAATATAATTTGTGTCTATACTTATAATTTTTTAAAAAAAGTTTGATATATAGAACCCAACAATTCATTTTATAGAATGGAAAGGTCCTTTGCAGAACATCTGCAAATTAATTCCCTTTCACCTCACTTATGACTATTTGTTGCCAGAGAAGATAAATAGACCAGTTGTGGCTTAAAACCTGGTTGAAGAAAAGATAATTCGGTTGACCTTTGAACAATGTGGGTTTGAACTTTGCCGGTCTGCTTATATGCAGGTTGTCTCCCGACTCCACTACCAGAGACAATAAGACCAACCCTCCTCTTGGTCCTCAGTCTACTAAATGTGAAGATGATGAGGATAAAGACCTTTATGATGATCCATTTCCGCTTAATGACTAGTAAATATATTTTCTCTTCCTTACGGTTTTCACTGCAACATTTTCTTTTCTGTAACTTATTGCCTACAGTATATAATACACAAAAAATGTAGTAATCAACTATGTTGTCGGTAAGTCTTCTTGTCAACAGTAGGTTTTTAGTAGTGAAGTTTTTGGAGAGTCGAAAGTTATATGTGGAGTTTTGACTGTGCGGGTACCGCTAGCCCCTACGTTGTTCAATGGTCAACTGCACTCTCACTTTTTTTTAAAAATTGCCTTTTCAAAGTAACACAATCTCACTTAACAAATATGTATCGGGACTTCTCTTATAAATTAGGTGAACCAGATAGACAAGGCAACTACCCTTAAAAGCTTAAACACTAGATTTGGAGGTTGGTGGGGGCAAGGAGGCACATGATAACCAAGTTAGCAAGATAATATCAGCTAGTACTAAGTACTTCTTGTGTGATAAGTACTAAAAAGAAAATAAAGTTAGCTGTTGTGTTAGAGATTGTCTGAGAGGAGGCTGCTTGGTTCAGAGTGGATAAAGAACATGTTTTTGAAGAGATGACATTTTAGCAAGACCTTGAATGATCAAACCTGTCTTGCCCTGAGATGGAGAATGAGTGTCAAATGCCACACTTTGAGATATCTGCAGTCAGTGGTGCATGGGTTTTGAGGAGGACGAGGAGGAGGAGGGGGAGGAGGAGGAAGGGGAGGGGAGAGGGGGAGGAGGGGGAGGGGGAGGGGGAGGAAGAGAGGGAGGGGAAGGGGGAGGGGAAGAGGAAGGGGAAGGGGATGGGGAGGGGGAGGAGGGAAAGGGGAAGGGGAAGGGAATGGGGAGGGGGAGGAGAGAAAGGGGAACGGGAGGAGGGGGAGGGGGAGAGGGAGGGGGAGGAGGACCTCAAGGAAACAACATTGTTTTTAGGGCAAGGTTGGAAAATACTGGCTGCAGCCAGAGGAAAGAGGTCACTGTGCTCAGTCACAGAGGAACATCTCTTCCTGCTTCCAGCCATTCTACTGATCCCGGTGGACTTGTGAACCATGCCAGGAAATGGGAATAGCTCTTTACAAACCTCAGGTTTATCCAAACTCCAGGGAAGAACAGGCTCCTCTACCTGAGCCTGCTGTTTTTGGGTATGTTGAAAAAATTGTTTGTTTAGCTGCAAGGAAAATATAGAATTACTACAGCCAAAGTCCACCAGGAACAAACCTTTAATCCAACGAAATATATTTATTGACTTTCCGCAATCAGGGAGGGTATGCTAGGTGAATCGTGAAGTGTCCCTTGGTAAGAAGGGATGGAGAGAATTTTCTATGGAGCTGTTTCTGTGTTAGATGAGTCTTAGGAAAGGCTAGAGAAGCATGAATCAGTTCTGAATTGTTTGCTATTATGAAGTGTAACTTTTGTTGGGGAGGTGGAAGTTGCAAAGCTGGGCTGGGGATGTCTTTTTTTAAAAGAACTCAGTAGTCCTCAAAGAAGAGGGTCATTATGATATGCTATCGCTGCAGCATGACCTTTGGAGAAATACTCTTTACTGTTAACTTTGCAGTTGTCTTTATCTGTGTCTGTTATCACAATCTGGTTAATAGCAGGCCTGGTATTTAATGCCTCAGAGGAAAAGTGTAAAACGTCCATGACATTTTTAGGAAATCAGGGCTGTAATCAATAGTGTTTTTAGCCCCACTGTGCTTAAACTACAGAATAAACCTAGAGAATAGATGCAGGCTGCCTTATGTTAGACTATCTTTCCTTCAAGCCAGTCTGGCCTCTGTTTAGGAGCAGAACTTGAATTGGAATGGCCTATCTTGCTAAATTGAAATGAATCTAACTACTTATATTCTTTTGGAGACAGGATCTTGCTTTCTCACTCAGGCTGGAGTGCAACGGCAGGATCATGGTTCACTGCGGCCTTGAACTCCTGGGTATAGGCACTCTTCCCACCTCAGCCTCTTGAGTATCTGGGACTACAGGCATGCACCCCCATGCCTAGCTAATTTAAAAAATATTTTTGTAGAGGCAAGGTCTCACTATGTTGCCCAGGCTGGTCTCGAACTCCTGGCCCCAAGTGATCCTCCTGCCTCGGCCTCTCAAAGCGTTGGGATTACAGGTGTGAGCCCCTGCACCTGGCCTTAAATACTTATTTTTTTATTGAAACTCTCCAAAAAATTGCCAAAAATATTACTCAAGGCAAAACAATCTAACAAACCAATTCAAGTGAAAATTTTGCCAACTTGCTTTTTAAGACCACAACATCCATACACTGTCTGCTTGAGCTAGTTAAGAATCTTTAGCATGGATTTTGCAGAAAAGCAATCTGGTTGGAAATGTCTGGAGGAGAAAGAAAGGATATCAACATACATCCGGAGTTTATTAAGCAGAAGCAGAGTGCTTGGTCCCTCCCTTCTTCATCCTTCTCTTCATAAACATCATGACAAACATTTTCAGATGCCTTTCCAGGTGCTGGAGAGACGAAGAGGAATGACACTGCCAGTGTTTTTCACTTTACAGAATTATAAACCGAGGTCCAGAAAACTTAAATCAACAAAGAAATACACCTGGTAATTGACTAAGCTGGGATTTCAATTCATGCCTGTCTGAACACAATTCCAACAAAGAAATCCTTTGTTGGAAAGAAACCAAGACTTTGGACAACCCTAGGCAACTATTAAAGTGTCTCTCAGGTATTTTACGTTCACACAATCAACTTTAAAGTTTTTTTCTTCCTCACCTCTGCACCTCCACCCAAAGGCATCCTTTTGTCCTTTTGTCATCCATATTCACTTAGAAATCCAACATAGATTTGTATGAAGGAAGGGCATTCTTCTTTTTGTCCCAAGAAAGAGGCATCCTTAGCTTTCTCTGAGTTCAAAGGGAAAATTAGGCTTCAATGGAGGAACTGGAAATTGACTGAGCTGATATGTGGCTTTCAGCAGAGGAGGCTACATATTTTCTTGGCTCCAGGCTTCTTTTCCTCTACTTAAAAATGAAAGTTGATGAAACTCACCTCCCAGTGAGAGCTTCTGCCCTCGAGACTGATAAGAACCCAGTGGAGGTGGCACAGATATTTCAAAGAGCATAATCATTGAGCAACCCTGCAGCTTTCAATCAGGTTACTGGGAATGTGACTATCAATGTAGAAAAAAAAAAATCTTTGAATGGCCACTCAAGAGTTAGGTGGCTGACCTGGGAGACTAGTGACGTATCAGATGGTTACTACTGGAAGAAACGCCATTTCTTATTTTCCTCTCCTAATAAGACGTTTGAACACATAAATGAAATAAGAAATAGACTCAAAGCACTGCTTTTGAAGGCTTCCAATCTTACATTTGCATCCAAGGTGGAGAAAAGAGTAAGACTGTAATATGGCAGGAAGGTTGCCTCTGTGCTATTTTGTTTTGTTTTGTTTTGTTTTGTTTTGGTTCGGAGGTAAAATTTAATGAGGGGAAAAAATGCAGGGGAGTGACAAAATATATGACTGATATTTTTCTTTACAGTGTTCCTTTTTCCTTCCACTCCATCCTGTAAGTGGCTGCTCACAGAGAGAAAGAGAGAAAATTTAATGACCTATGGCAACAGATGCCTGCTTTCCTAGGCAATTCTCAGTTGATAAAGTGATAGCAAACCTGAGGAGTAAATAGCATTTTTATTTAACTAATCTAGAATTGAGGGCACTTATAACAGCTTTGAAGGAAAGGCAATCCTCTTTGGACAAGGATGATATATGGGTGGATGAAAATTGTTTTATAATTTTTTAAAATAGATGGACCAGGTAATATCTGGGGCACATGCAAAGAACCTTAACAGTGTTCATTCTTGTGTCTCTTAGGGTATTCAATATTCTTATATTTAAACTGATTAATATATACATCCAGCTGTTATGCCTCACTCTTTGCTGGAGAAAAGTAATTTATCAAAATATATCTGAGTGCTATAAAAAAGATGACTACTCACTTTTCTGAATATTTTGGAAAGATTTTAATTTTTAGTAAAGATTTATTTGCTTAGGTTGCATATAATTGGAAAGTAGATATATATTGTGAGCTCTAGACACTTAGAATTTTGGCTGCTGAAGAAAACTCCATAATGTGAAGCAACCTGTATATACCACATTTTCAAATGAAGAATAAACAGCTCTTGGTTCATCTTTAATATGAAGATAACACTCTGACAAATGTGAAGAGTTCCTGTGCTTTCATTTCTTAAGCACTGCTTTTTATGCTTTTCTCTGATTATCTTTCATCGTGCTTTCATCATTCAGTTGTAAAGATGTAGAAGGCAGGTGTTTTGTAAACACTAGTTAATGTCAAAAGCACCATATAAACCTACATTCAGAGGGTAAATTTGGGAAGAGATTCACTTGTTTCTTCTTAATAATGATTATACGAAGATAAAGGCACTTCTCTGGACACACTAGCGACTCTATTTTAATGTAACTCTCCTACCAAAACACAGTAGTATTCAGTGTAATTTTACCTCCCTAAGTTTATTCCTAAGTATTTTATTCTTTTTGATGCTATTGTAAATGGGTTTTCTTAATTTCTTTCTTGAAGAGCTCATTGTCAGTGTATAGAAATGCAAATGATTTTTGCATGCTGATTTTACATCCTGGAACTTTGCTACTAAATTTATTACTCTCTCTCTATCTCTCTCTCTCTGTCTTTCTCTCTCTGTCTCTCTGTCTCTGTCTCTCTCTCTCTCTCTCTCTCTCTCTCTGTCTGTGTATAGAGTCTTCAGGGGTTTCTACATATGACATAATGTCATCTGCAAACAGAAATAATTTTACTTCTTCCTTTCTGATTTAGATGCATTTTATTTCTTTTTCCTGCCTAATTGCTCTGGCTAGGACTTTTAGTACTATGTTGAGTAGAAGCGATGAGAATGGGCATTCTCATCTTGTTCCTGATCTGAGAGGAAAACCTTTCCATTTTTTACCACTAAGTATGATGTTACCTGTGGACTTTTCATATATGTCCATTATTATATTGAAGTCATTTCTTGTATTCCTAGTTTTTAAATTTTACTTCTTAAAATCTACCAAGGAAAAGAACACATATATCTGCACAAAAGCTTACAAATGAATCATAGCAACATTATTTATTATTTTTTGTATTTTTTTTCAATTTTTATTTTATGTTGAGGGGTACATGAGTGGGATTGTTACAAAGGTATATTGTGTGACACTGAGGTTTGGGAAATGATTGAGCCCATCATTCAGGTAGTAAGCATAGTACCCAAGAGGTAATTTTTGAACTCTGCCTCAATCTCTTCCTCCCATTCCTGTAGTCCCCAGTGTCTATTGTTCCCACCTTCACGTCCATATGTATCCAATATTTAGCTCCCACTTAGTAGTAAGAACATGTGGTATTTGGTTTCCTGTTTCTGCATTAGTTTCTGTGGGATTATAGCCTCCAGCTCCATCCATGCTGCCATAGCAGCATTATTTATAATAGCTAAGGACTGTAAACCACACAAACATCCCATTGGTTGAAGATGAATGAACAAAATGTGGTATATTCAGGCAATGAAACACTACTCAGCAATCAAAAGGCAAAAAATACTGATATATGCAACAAGAATGGATTTCGAAAGCATTTACTAAGTAGGCAAGCACACAAGACTACATATTGCCTGATTCCATTTATGTAAAATTTATAGAAAAGGCAAAACTACAGAGACACCAAACAGAGCAGTTATTGCTTGGGGCTGATTATAGATACAGGGATTTACTAAAAATGGACATGAGGGAAATTCTGGAGTAATAGAAGCATTCTGTAACCATACAAATTTACTGAAACTCATCAAGCTGTGTACTGAAAGAGGATGAATTTTGTAGTGCGGAAACTACACCTCTGTAAAGCTTAGTTAGAATCGGCTAACGAAGATCCAAAGTGACATTTCAGAGAGGCATACTGATATGGTTTGGCTGTGTCCCCACCCAAATCTCATCTTGAATTGCAGCTCCCATAATTCCCATGTGTTGTGGGAGGGACTCGGTGGGAGATAATTAAATCATGGGGGCTGTTTCCCCCATGCTGTTCTTGTGGTAGTGAATAAGTCTCACGAGATCTGATGGTTTTATAAGCGGTTTCCCCTTTTGCTTGAGTCTCATTCCCTCTTTGCCTGCTGCCATGTCTTTCGCCTTCCATCATAATTGTGAGGCCTCCCAAGCCACATGGAACTGTGAGTCCATTAAGCCTCTTACTCTTTATAAATTACCCAGGCTCAGGTATGTCTTTGTCAGCAGCATGAAAACGGACAAATACACATACACGGAGGACTTCAGGCATAGTGATGGGTAGTTGTGAAAGACTTGCCTTCAAAATGCAGGTATCTCTATAAAGGTCAAACTTCTCTATCTTATATAACTCTTAACAGTATCTGTATTGTTATTATTAAACAAGAAGAAATCACTCACCCTTAGATCAATGTCCAAAATATGTGGGGCTTTTATGTTGGAAGTAACACTGTCTTTAAACTTCTCACTCTTCTGTCTGTACTTTCCTTATTATAGAATTAAGTATTATGTTCTAATAGGTCAGACTCTTCTCAATCTCCTGACAATGGATTCTGGGCAGAACGATACTCTGCAGAAACAAGCAGCACAGCAGGATAAGAAAACCCTGTGTGTGTGGCTATGTTTTTCCACTGGACTGTAACTTGAAACATTCTTCCAGATCAGGGAAGAAAAAAGATATTCTGCAGAACAGAACAGACACACTGTTGCGTTTTTAATTTAAAAGGGAATGAAAGCAGTGCACCTGTTTTGAAACGGCAGTTTTTTACCCCCTCTTGGTTGGGTACACATTTTTAAGCTAGGACTTTCAGCAAGAAGGCTCACCAGTTCTTTCTCAAAGGAGAGAGCTGTGAACGGGGCTTCCAGGATCCATGTAGAACAGCTGAGAGACTTCATCAGGGTTTGTTGGAAAATATCTCACCACAATAAAAAATAAACTCAATTCCCCAGGAAAGAGACTACATAGGGCCAGTTCCAGGATTTATGCATACAATTAACTCTTTCAGGAAAGGAAATCACTTCCTTCTTCAATCCCAGCACTGTTAGAACAGTGCCTTGCAAACCTGAGGTTGTCACCTGCGGACCCTGTTGAAAGGTATATTCCATTTCAGCAGGTGTGGGGCAGGGCTCCTAGGCCACACTTTGAATCACGAGGAATTATAGAGGGTTTTGTGAATTTTGGAAGAATAGAGTACAATTCATTGGAACAGTAGCTCAGGAAGAAATAATTTCTTTTTTCATCAATATTCTTATCACAGACAATAATAGAGATTTTTGTGAAACTCATGAAGCTGAAGAAGAATAATTATTGTTATGGAAGACTTTAGAAAGAGAAAGAAACCTCTGTTTTCACTTAGCCAATGGGCTAACCACGGTCAAGTGATATTTCCGGGGCTTACACTGAGTCTTTTTTTTTTTTTTTTTTTTTTTTTTGAGATGGAGTCTCACTCTGTCACCAGGCTGGAGTGCTATGGTGGCGTGATTTCGGATCACTGCAATCTCCGACTTCCTGGTTCAAGGGATTCTCCTGCCTCAGCCTCCTGAGTAGCTGGGATTACAGGCATGCGCTACCATGCCCAGCTAATTTTTGTACTTTTAGTACAGACGGGGTTTCATTATGTTGGCCAGGATGGTCTTGATTTCCTGACCTTGTGAACTACCTGCCTTGGCCTCCCAAACTGCTGGGTGGGATTACAGGTGTGAGCCACAGTGCCCGGCCTACACTCAGTCATTTAGCCACAGTGTCAGGTAGGGTAGTTCTGAGAAATACTTCCATTTAGGAAGCAACTGTCTCTGGGAAGATCAAACTTCTTTTATTTATTTATTTATTTACTTACTTACTTATTTATTTATTTAGTTTTGAGACAGAGTTTTGCTCTTCTTGCCCAGGCTGGAGTGCAATGGCAACATCTTGGCTCACCACAATGTCTGCCTCCCAGGTTCAAGTGATTCTCCTGCCTCAGCCTCCCAGGTAGGTGGGATTACAGGCATGTGCCACCATGCCTGGCTCATTTTGTATTTTTAGTACAGACCGGGTTTCACCATGTTGATCAGGCTGGTCCCAAACTCCCAGTTGCAGGTGATCCACCTGCCTTGGCCTCCCAAAGTGCTAGTATTACAGACGTAAGCCATTGTGCCCGGCCGGAAGATCAAACTTCTTTACCTTCTGTATTACTTTTAATATTGTTTGCATTGTTATTATTAAAAAAGAGGAAATTACTTATCCCTAAATCAGTGGCTAATATTCCTAAAAGATAAGTTATCATAATTTAAAATTCTATGGCACCCTGTCAGATACTTTTCTAAGCAGTATGCTGCATCTATGGAAGTCCACTTAACTTTCACAACAATCCTATAAAGTAGGCACAATTATTATATTTCAGAGATGAGGAGACTAATGCTTAGAGTGTGAGTATCTCATTTAGATCACATTATCTGTATTTCTTGCTTCTTCCATAATGCTGCTTCTGAACCACCAGACTCTACCACAGGGCAGAGATTTTTAAATCTGGTTACACATTAGAATTACTGTCATAGTCAGCTCAGGCTGCTGTAACAAAAATACCACAGACTGGGTGGCTTACACAACAGAAATCTACTTCTCACAGTTCTGGAGGCTGTGGAGTCTAAGATCAAGGTGCTGGTTTATTCAGTTCCTGGTGAGGGAGGGCTCTTTTCCTGCTTTGCATATGGCCACCTTCTTGCTGTATCCTCACAAGGTAAAGAGAGATATCTCTCATATCTCTTTTTAAAAGGCAACTGATCCCATTCTTGAAGGGTCTCTCCTTACAACTGGATAACCTCCCAAAGGCCCCATACCTCCAAATACCATTATATCAGGGATTAGGGCTCCAATATATATTTGGGGGGAATATAGACATTCAGTCCACAGAAATCACCTTTGGGCTATCCAAAATATTGGTGCTTAGACCCCACCAATACCAGTGGAATTCCTCATTGAAGTGTAGGCAGAGATTTTTTTTAATATCCCAGATGATTATCATGAGCAGTAACGATTGAGAGACTACCATAAGGCACTTTTTATAGAAGTGTAACATGGTCTGAATTCAGTTAAGTAAGTCTTCTTGGGTAAGGCCCAGGGCTAGGCATAGGAATATGATGATGAGTAAAGACAACAAGTTACTGAAACAGTCCTGCCACCAGGGTGCCCCTTCCCTTCTTTGTGTATTGATAAATACCAATTCCTTTCTAAGATCCACTTTCCCTTCCACTATCTCTTCATCCATGACATCTTCCATGAATCTGACTCAAAGCACAGCTGGCAGAATCTCTCCTCTCCCAAGTATGCCCACTGTCCCTAATGCACATCCCTGCTATGGCTTCCATCCCACTGTTTAGCATGTCTTGTCACTTGTAAGCTACCCAAGGGACCACAATTTCCTCTCTTTTTGCTCCTGTAGAATGCAGTCACCACACCCATTAGCAGACCTCAATAAATATTCCTAGAACAAAGGAGAAAACTTTGGATGGTAATAAAAATGAACAAAGAATTACATTTTACCTCTTTCAAGATTTCAAACAAAATAATCTATGTAAAAGCATTAAGAAAACTGATAGCTGCAATATATGTAATAATACCAATAGTGCTCATTAACTTAAATGAGTGTTTTTTCAGACTCAACTACACTATAGAGGAATCCAATCTGAGAGTGCACTAAACTATAGGGTGACCTCATATTGCTAGAATGTCTACAAGGATCCCTAATTTTGGCCCTTGAGGAACTAGGTGAGAGGACTTTGTGATTAAAAGCATATAAAGGCTGGGCACCGTGACTCATGCCTATAATCCCAGCACTTTGGGAGGCCGAGGAGGGTGGGTCACGAGGTCAAGAGATTGAGACCGTCCTGTCCAATAGGGTGAAACCCCGTCTCTATTAAAAATACAAAGATTAGCTGGGCGTGGTGGCGTGTGCCTGTCATCCCAGCTACTTGGGAGCCTGAGGCAGGAGAATCGCTTGAACCACGGAGTCATAGGTTGCAGTGAGCCGAGATTGCACCACTGCACCCCAACCTGGGTGACAAAGTGAGACTCCATCTCAACAACAACAACAACAAAAAAAGGCAAAAATTAGCTGGGCGTGGTGGCACACATCTGTGGTCCCAGCTATTCAATAGGGAGGCTAAGGCAGGGGAATTGCTTGAATCCGGGAGGCAGAGGTTGCAGTGAGCCGAGATCATGCCACTGCACTCCAGCCTGGTGACAGAGCAAGACTCTGTCTCAAAAAAAAAAAAAAAAAGCATATAAAAAGGTTGATATCAGACGCCAGATATTGTCATTTCACATTTTTCTTCAGTGAACAATAAAAAATTGGGACAAAATCTACAAGAAAGGAAGTAAAAATCAACAGAGAACACAGATGACCAGCAACCTGCAGAAATGACCTGCTGATACGGTTTTGCTGTGCTGCCACCCAAATCTCACCTTGAATTGTAGCTCCCATAATCCCCGTGTGTTGTGGGAGAGATCCGTTGGGAGGTAATTGAATCATAGGGGTGGGATTTTCCCTCTGCTCTTCTCATGATAGTGAATAAGTCTCATGAGATCTGATGATTTTATAAAGAGGAGTTTGCAGGCACATGCTCTCCCTTGCCTGCTGCCATGTAAGATGTGACTTGCTCCTCCTTGCCTTCTGCCATGATTGTGAGGCCTCCCCAGCCATATGGAACTTTGAGTCAATGAAACCTTTCCTTTATAAATTACCCAGTCTTTATCAGCAGTGTGAGAACAGACTAATACACCCGTCTTGGGTGCAAGTTAGAAATGGGCTGCAGATGAGACCAGCTAGGATCTGTGCCAAAGCCTGTGTCTCAGTCCTTTTGGGCTGCTATATCAAAATGCCATAGACTGGGGAGTTTTAAACAATACAAATGTATTTCTCACAGTCTTGGAGGCTGGAAACTCCAGGATCAAGGCACTGGCAGATTTGGTGTCGGGTGAGGGCTCACTTTTTGATTCATAATTGGTGCCTTCTCGTATGTGTCCTCCCATGGTGGAAGGGGCAAACTACGGTTTCTTCAGCCCCTTCTACAGACAGCAACTCATTCATGAAGGCTCTCTGCCAAGCCTGTCCAATCTGTGGCCCACATGCCACATGCCCAGGATGGCTTTGAATACAGCCCAACACAAATTCATAAACTGTCTTAAAACATTACAAGATTTTTTTGGCAATTTTTTGTTAGCTTATCAGCTATCATTAGTGTATTTTATGTGTGGTGCAAGACGATTCTTCCTTGGCAGCCCAGGGAAGCCAAAAGACTGGACACCCCTGCTCTATGTTTATGACCTAATCACCTACCAAAGGCTCTACTTGATAATATCATCACATTGGGGCATTAGGTTTCAATAAATGAATCTTGAGGGTTGCAAACATTCGGTCCCTAGCTCCTGGAGAAACAGTTCTCAGATGGTTCCCAGGCCAACATCAGGAGCACCAGTAACTTGTCAGAAATGCAAATTCTTGGCCACACTTCAGGCCCAGTGAATCCAAAGTCCTGAAAGAGGGCTCTGACAATCTGGATTTTAAAACACTTTCCAGGTGATTCTAATGTCCTCTGAAGTTAAAGAACAACTTATCTATTGTACTCAAAACCTTTATTGTCTTCTCTCTCTCTCTTCTGTACAATGTTACTCTAGTCACAGGGTTCATTTATTACATCACAGCTTCTGCCTGGCCAACAGCAATCAATCGTAAGATGCATCTAGATTTTAGAGCCATTGAGATGTGAAAAACCTGTGTCTTCAAATCACTGACATATGGTGGAATACAGAGTGCGTCTGCATTGCCAGTCATTTCTAAATGAACCCTAAAGGGAAAAGGAAGGAGCTACATGTTGATTTTGCCCCAGAGGTCTGTGGGATTCCTGTTTTCACTTCGTTTGTTGGTGATACGATACTGGTGGATGAAGTCGGTAGAGGGACTAAAGGTGCCAGGACTCTGGTGCCTGCTCCTGACCCCAGGACACAGACTAGCTCACTTGGATGATGGATAATCAGGACTTAGCACAGGACATCTCCAGCTCCCTCCTGGCCTATCTCCCCTGAGTAAGGAATTCTACATGGAGGTCTAAATTGATTATCTTGAAGCTCAATAAAGTTAGATTTTAAATGCTTCTTACCACAAAAGAGGTAACTTTTCTCGGAAATGCTAATTAGCTTTGTGTGTGTGTGTGTGTTTTCACAATCTATACAAATGTGTATATCTTGTGTTTTCACAATCTATACAAATATATTTGTGATTTCACAATATATACAAATATCTAAACATCAAGTTGTATATCCTAAATATATACAATTGCTATTTGTCAATTATAACTCAATAAGACTAAAAAAATGAGGACAGTCCACTAAACTATTGGTAATAATTTCCTGTTGGTAATAGTGCTCCTGGAGGCTAGAAAAGAGGGGTGGATTTCACTCTCAATGCTACCTATAAAAGATACTTATGTTTAGTTTTTTCTTTAATTGAAAAAAGTTAAAGAGAAAATAGTTTGTGTAGAATAAGTGCACTGATATAGGAAGCTATTCATATCTTAAATGAGAAAGTTATTTAAAAAATAAGTATACACTATACCATTTCATTTTGTTAATTATACACACACGGAAGTTTGTAAGGCTACAAAGCAGTATATTAACAATGGCTGTCACTAAATAAGAAGGTTGTACATAAAAAAAATTAGCACCCTGTTAACAGAGTTCGCTTAGTTAAGGCCTGCTTATTTTCTCAGGGATTAAGATGCAAACTCCTAAGCATTCTGATAGTCAGAAGTGAGTTCTGGTAAAGAAGATAGAAAAAAATCCTAATTCAGCCCTCTCTCTGTCTCTTTCTCATTTTATAATAGACTGTGACTTTATTCTTTAACAAAAGCACTCTTCCAGTGAAAAGACCCTTTTCTGTATGTGGAGTTTTTTTTTTTTTTTCTTTTTGAGATGGAGTCTCGCTCTGTCGCCCAGGCTGGAGTGCAGTGGCACGATCTTGGCTCACTGCAAGCTCTGCCTCGCAGGTTCATGCCATTCTCCTGCCTCAGCCTCCCGAGTAGCTGGGACTACAGGCGCCCGCCACTATGCCCGGCTAATTTTTTGTATGTTTAGTAGAGACGGGGCTTCACTGTGTTAGTCAGGATGGTCTGGATCTCCTGACCTCATGATCTGCCCGCCTCGGCCTCCCAAAGTGCTGGGATTACAGGCGTGAGCCACGGCGCCCGGCCTTATGTGAAGTTTTTTAACTGATCACAGTAGAGCTTCAGACCAGTGATAAGCAAAGCAGAGATTTGCTATTATCTTAAAACAAGGGAGGCTTGTTTTAAGTAGATAGTCATCACTGCATTAGCTAAGCCCACAGAAGAAAACACATTAAGAGAAAATGAAAAACGAACAAAAACAAACAATTGAAATATTCTTTCCATGAATTAGAAGAGTGTTCTTAAGCAAAAGTAAAGTAAGTGAATTAAAATAAGCTTCATTGGGAAATATTTTTTCACCTTTAGAGTTTACGCTCATTTGGATACAATGAAAAAATATTATTTGTTCAGTTCTCTACAGTGATGAGAAACAAATATTTTTAGAATATTACATAAAAATGAAAAGGACAAATAAGTGTTTCTTACAGTTTTCTGAATGATCTCTAATACTAAACTCATTATAAATGAAGCTTAATAAATGAATATATTAAGCTTAAAATATAAATATAGAGTCAATGTATTCATCCATAAAGCCTATCTTTAAAAACAGCAAATATCCTTGTATATGGTAATTGTCATATCATTTGTAGATTTTGATTTAGTGTTGCAGTAGGTAATTATCCTAAGACCCTGAGAGTAATTTATCAATAAGACAGAAAGAGAGTGTATGCTTAGTTTAATTAAGAGGGATGCTCACACATGGAGCTCAGTTGATTCTAAGTGTTTAAGAAATATACGATTGGCTCTCAAATCTAGATGACCTCTGATCATAATTAGCGTGGCGACCCTGGAATAATTTCCTATGAACACTAGTGGAATAAAGCTTTCTTTTTCTTTTTAGAGAACTGAAGACTGCAGATTTTAGTGAAGCTGAGTCTTAACCTCCGTGCTTCTGAAGGTAACTTATTTGGACTCTGGGATGATTGCATCATGACATAAGATAGGAAATTACAGGTGTTCCCATGACTCTCTTTCCTTGGCCTGGGCCATGACAACAGTGGTCGGGTGACCCTGAGCAGGGCTGACCAAAGCCTTTTCCATGAGGACCTACACTTGCAAGCAAGAAGGGACCATGGCAGAAAGCTGAGCTTCCCCTTCCCTCTCCCCCAGGCCTGGCAGCTAGGGGTAGAACTCCCAGGATTGCCCTGCTGATTTTCAAACTGACATATTTACAGTGGTTAATTTCTCATCTTAAAAAATCACAGGATAGACACTAGTACATCAATGTTCAGAGAAGCATTATTCACAATAGGTGAAAAGTAAAAACAACTCAAATGTTCATCGATGATGACTGCGTAGACACAATAGGGTACCTACATACAACAGAATATTATTTAGCCTTGAAAAAGATGAAGCTGTGACATACGCTACAATGGAAATGAACCTTGATCACTTACCACATTGTGCAAGGTAAAATAAGCCAGATACAAAAGGACAAGTACTATATGATTTCACTTATATGAGGTACCTAAAGTAGTCATACCATAGCAAACAGAACGGTGGTTGCCAAGGGCTGAGAGGAGAGAGACACGGGGAGTTATTGTTTAATAGGTAGAGTTTCTTTTTGGGAAGGTGAGTTCTGGAGGTGTATTTCTGGAACAAATACACACACAAAAAACAGGTGCTTTCCTGGATGCATTTACAATCTAGGAAATAACAGGAAACCAACAAAAGTATTTGTAACATAAATAAAATACTCTGAAATCTAATTTTAAAGTTTCATACCAGACACTCCATATTTTTCCCTTATATTTTTACAGAATCAGGTGTGTATAGTAGAAAGAGTATTGGCTTTGGAACTACACTGTTGACTTTTAGTGTTGTACCCTTGAACTTCTCAGCCTCAGTTTACTCACTGCTAGACTGGGGAAAATGGTACTGACCTTTCAGAGTTTCTTTGCAGAGTAAATGAGATAAGGAAAATGCCAAACATAAAAGACTAACACACAGCAAATATTCAGTAAATTCTGGCTTGTTTCCTTTCTCGCCTTTCCCCTTTCACAGTTAATCAAGATTTCAGAAGTGCAGGCATGAGGTTGGAAGGCATAGTGTAGAGGAGTGGGTAGGAACGTGAGTCATGATGAATGCCAGCTGTCAGGAACGGAATCCCAGTGCAGCAATCTGCCAGCTGTGTAACCTCAGGCAGGTTTACCTAATCTCTCACTTTTTGCAGAAATATAATTTAGCCTAGGAAATTATAAATTCACTTTACATTTTAAGTGAAAACAGTATGAAATGGAATTCATCAGAATTTATATGTTTGTAAGGCACACTCCTATGGTAGTATTGCAAAAAAAAGGTACATCTGTATGTGAACTTTCATGTTTAAAAAACACCAACTATGACACAGGGAGGGGAACATCACATACTGGGGCCTGTCGGGGGTGGGGGGACTAGGGGAGGGAGAGCATTAGGAGAAATACCTAATGTAGATGACGGGTTGATGGGTGCAGCAAACCACCATGGCACGTGTATACCTATGTAACAAACCTGCACGTTCTGCACATGTATCCCAGAACTTAAAGTATAATTTAAAAAATTCAACCAACCATGTTAGAGGAAAGATAAAATTATTCTATTCTTTTTAGAGAAAGTGGAAACACAATTGTTGTCATATGAGAAAGCAATAAAAAAAATACAAGCCAAAAAAAGTAGGAAAATATTTTCTGGAGATGTGTTAATAAAAATGTGTGTCCAGATTTTGTAATAATTGTGGTATTTTTCAGCTTTTTATAGATTTCTGCGATTTCTTTTTTATTCCAAATAAACACACACATTTGTACATAGTTCTGTCTTTTTCATTTTATATTCTTTCTCTTAAATTGAGCACCATAGTTGGTTTCTGGAATTGCCTCTTACCATATCTTGTTCAAGTGAGTTAAGAAGGAAGTAGAGGCTGGGGCAGACGGTTCAGGGGTGTAGGAGGCAGGAAGTCCACCTACAGAATCATGTCCTCTTTGTGTAATTGTCCTAAAAACTGTGGTGAAAATAAATATAAGAAGAAAAACAATACCCATAACTGCTTTTTGAAGATCTATTATTATTTTCATATTTTGAGACTTTTTTTGAGATATGAAATGGTTGAACTAATTTACATTCCCACCAACAGTGTAAAAGCATTCCTATTTCTCCACAGCCTCGCCAGCATCTACTGTTTCCTGACTTTTTAATAATCGCCATTCTGGGCTGGCGTGAGATGGTATTTCATTGTGGTTTTGATTTGCATTTCTCTGATGATCAGTGATGTTGAGCCTTTTTTCATATGTTTGTTGGCCACATAAATGTCTTCTTTTGAGAAGTGTCTGTTCATAGGCTTTACCCACTTTTTGATGGGGTTGTTTTTTTCTTGTAAATTTGTTCAAGTTCCTTATAAATTCCGGATATTAAACCTTTGTCAGATGGATAGATTGCAAAAATTTTTTCTTATTCTGTAGGTTGCCTGTTCACTCTCCTGATACTTTCTTTTGCTATGCAGAAGCTCTTTAGTTTAATTAGATCCCATTTGTCAATTTTGGCTTTTGTGACAATTACTTTTGGCATTTTTGTCATGAAGTCTTTGCCCATGCCTATGTCCTGAAGGGTATTGCCTAGGTTTTCTTCTAGGGTTTTTATGGTTTTGGGTTTTATGTTTAAGTCTTTAATCCATCTTGAGTTAATTTTTGTATAAGGTATAACATTTTCTTCTAGGTTTTTTTTTTTTTGCTTGTTTATCTGGCATGTACTTTTTTTTTTGGTTGTTTATATGGCATGTACATTTTATGAAATTGAGGTTAGGCTATTTAAAGTTTTTCATTATGTCTTTTCACCTCATATTATATTATGTTCAAAAGTCTTCAAAATGTGATGTTTCAAAGATATATTCTTTGAAAAATGAATCTATTTTAAGTTGAAAAATTATATCATATTAGACATTTTGATTATTTATATTTCTGCCATATGAAATAAATAATAGGACTTACTGGCTGAAGGGATGTAAGGAAATCTTGTTCAATCATTAGTTGACAATCTGCTTAGTGACTTCCATAGTCACGTATGACAAGGAATACAGGCTGTACAGAATTAGGAAGGTAAACAAGAATCAACAACATCAACATCAACAAACTCTGGGGAAGAGGGAGATCGGATTTGATAGTTGATGCATTATATTATATACAATGTCCGGTCCTCAACAAAAATATCAGATATATGAAAAAATAGAATAGTACATCTGACTCATATACAAGGAAAAAAGCAGTCAATGTTCCCAAGGAAGCCTAAATGTTGACTATATGAGACAAAGACTTAAAATCAATTATTATGAACATGTTCAGAGAACTAAGGCAAACCATCTCAGAAATCAACGCTGAGACACATCATAGTCAAATTCTGAAAAACCAAAGCAAAGGAATCATGAAAGCAAAAGAAACTTAAGATACTTAAGGTATTTTCTCCTTCTTCCAGACAGGAAAATATATATATATATATATATACTGGGAATGCTCAATAATTTCAGTATTTACTGCAAAGTAATGAAATATCCATGTCAAGGCATTGTATGAATAAAAAGCCTTTCCTAAAATTGCCCAGAAATAAATCAATAGGACAGTTTATCAGGATTTTTAGGATCCAATAGACTGCAAGCACAGGAATCCAAGCTGTAGTGGCTTAAAACACAAAAGAAGATTAAGAAGTCAATGTTAACAGGGTTATTTAGCTCATCAGTGGCGTCAAGGCCCCGGATTCTCTCCATTCTGCTTCAATGAGGGCCCTTCCCATTTCAATGCTGGTTGTTTTATGGTCACACATAACTACAAGGCTACTCATACAGCTGCATTCTTAACAGGAAGGAAGAGTCAGAAGTAGGTGGGATCTTTCTTCTGAACTGAGTTCCCCCTTATGTCTGCTGGCCAGAGCAAGGTCACATGACTACCTGTAGCTGCAGAGGGGTCTGGGAGTGTGTGTTTCTAGCAAAGGGAATACAAGAGACATGACATGAGTAGCTTAGACCAGTCATGATTCATCCCTTATAGCTTGGCACATTGTCATCCTGGACAAAGCTTAAGTTCTGTTAGCAAGAAAAAAGGGAGCGGGCTGGTCGCAGTGGCTCATGCCTGTAATCCCAGCACTTTGGGAGGCTGAGGCGGGCAGATCACGAGGTCAAGAGATTGAGACCATCCTGGTGAACATGGTAAAACCTCGTCTCTACTAAAAATACAAAAATTAGCCGGGCATGGTGGCAGGCGCCTGTAGTACCAGCTACTCGGGAGGTTGAGGCAGGAGAATCGCTTAAACCCGGGAGGTGGAGGTTGTAGTGAGCCCAGATTGTGCCACTGCACTCCAGCCTGGTGACAGAGCAAGACTCTGTCTCAAAAGAAAAAAAAAGAAAAAAGGGAACAAGGATGATGGCTGATTAGGTAACTAACAGAGTCCATGACAGATGGGAAATCACCTTTTTGGACATTTTGTTGGACATTAAAAGTAATGGCAAAAGCCACAATTACTTTTGCACCAGACTAATAGTTGAGAGTAAGAATTATCCATTGTATATCTCCCAACTTCATATTTCTTCAGTGCTCAGTAGAATGCTTGTTGAATGGTACCTGCTTTTTAGCTGTAGGCTGGATATATAATGAGTAAATAAAATGCTTGGTCTTTGATAACTTGTACTTTGGGCTGAAAATTACTCAATCCATTGATAGAAATAGAAAATCAGGAGCAGAGTGTCTGTACACTGAAATTTTGTGCCCAGAGAACATTTTTAGTTATAACTGAAGAGAATCTAAAGTACCATATTAACTAATTTTCTAGCTTTTACATAAATAGGAAAGCTCTGAAAGTGTCAAAGGTTTAGTATCCCTTAGCAGTGCTTGAGCCTCAGAGGCAGACGCAAATGGGCTCTTTGCCATCTTCCCACGTAAGCAGGAAGCACTGAGCAAGTGTATGTTTCAAACCTCTTTCCTGGAAATGCTGCTGTAGCAAGACAAAATCTTCAAGAGTAAAAAGGCTGATCAATGAATTGTTTGCAACATTCTTACTGGTGCTGTGCTCAAAAGCAGAGCTTTCCCATAATGGTTTCCTGATGAAGTTGGGAGTGTGTGTTCAGATGCGTCATTCTCTGTGTGTGTGAATTTGAAGCTTGGGACATTGCAGTTGATTTTGTGTGACACGTCTGAATAATGTGCAATGAATTTTTTCTGTTATATAAAATTTGGGATTTTAAAAGACAAGAATTTGAAATTAAATTCTTCAGGAACTGCAGGGGAGTACATTTTCTACAGCAATGTACAATTTAGATAATAAATGTCAGTGTAAAACCCTCATAATCCTATAATCAAGATACTTGCTGCTAACATTTTGGTGAATTTCCTTTACTAGTTCTAATTTAATGTCATTTAAAAGTATAAAATTAATGTACATTCACTGTAAGAAATAAGAGTGGTACCAAAGGTAGAAATCAATTTGCTTCTTCAAACTCCACGGACTACTCTCCAAAGTTAACGCCTGTTAATGCATTATAGCTTATCCTTCCAGGCATTTCAGCATGCTTATTTTTAAAGCTCAGAAAGCATTCACCACCCGTCATCTTATTCCATGAGAAATAGAAGAGTTAGATTGTGCTTTATGTAAAGAGACTCTTCTGAGGGTCCTGATAGATAATGCATTCAACTTGGATATGAAAATCTTTTATTTCCAGCTCAGCTTAAGACTCACTTCTGAAAGTCACTTAAGTTCTTTGTGCTATTTATCCATTTACAAAGTGAATAATGCAAAATTCAATTATTTCATACATATTTATAGCATAACTACAATGTGCTTGGCATAGTGCTGGGTATTTAGAGGGCTGTGCAAAATTTGGTGCTGAGCCAGATTTGTGTATGCAATGCAGAAGAAAGAGCAAAAATTTTTGGACTCTGATTGTTTTAGTTATCTGTTTACATAGCAGATGCCCTTAATACTTAATGACGTCAAACAACAACAATAATCAGGTCATAAACATGTGATTTGGGCAGGGCTTGGAAAGAAGGCTTGTTCTTGCTTCATACAACATCAGTTAAAGCAAGTTGACTTGGGCTGGAGGATGTACTCACAGAATCCTTATAGTCACATGACTGGCAATATGATCCTCGCTGTTGGCTTAGAATTCATGGGGATGAGTGCCTGGACCTTGTTTCCTTTTTGCATGGACTTCCCACATATGTTTCTGTAGCATTGTGGTTGGTTTGCAAGAATGAGCCCAAGAGATAGGATAGCTGCCAGTTTCTTAATTCTTTGGATTGGAAACCGGACAGCGGCATTCCCGCTATATTCTGTTGGTCAGGCAAGCACAGAACCAGGTTCAAGTTCCAGGGACTTAGACCTGCTTCTCAATGGGAAGCATGTTAAAAGAACTTGAAGCTGTACTTCGTAAGTGGATATGTGTGTGTGTGTATTTAATGTAGCATTGTCACCCTTCCTCTGATAAGATAATTTGTCTCTTTATGGGGAATTTGTTCATCTTTACCATCCATTCCATAGAATGCTGGTGGTTTCAATGTTTTCTGTCCACTGACCACAAGGTGGGTATATGATCTCAGTCTGGCCAATGGTAATACCTATACATATGGCCACAGCGATCGATGCTTGGCCCTAGGTAGACACATGCTCCATTAGGCCAATCATATTTCGTCACTGGTACTACTACAAACAGAACAAAAGATAGAACATTCTTCCCTGATTCTTCTAGTATTGCTTTGTGGTGATGGTAAAAGCCACACCCTTGCCACATGAAAGAAGCTTGTCTGAAATAGATGTGGATCTCATATGCCATGTAAATGCTTGTACATAATAGACAACTTCGCTGGGTGTCAATTTCCTCTTTAGTAATACTATCTACTTTGCAGTGTTGTCATAAGGACTAAATGGGACATGGTAGACACTCACTAAATGTATAATTATCATGGAATTATAAATACAGATATAAATCGGTGAAAATATTGAAGTTCCTCAAAACAGAAGTTTCCACATGTTTGAAGTCATATAGCCCTTACCTTTCGGAGGGCATGACAACTTGATCAAAGGAACAGATGTGAATGAATGATGTAAGTTAGCAAAAGTGAACATACACATAAAATGTGCACTGAATTTCATCCAGGGGTACATGTTATAGGATTTCAAATAACAATAGTTATTACAATAATTAGACATTACAAATATAATATTTCATTCTGCATTTATTTTTCTTATCTACAATATGATGAAGAAAGTAAGCTTTACATGCATGCTACAACAATGGTAGCATTTATTTTCTGTAAGCAGCATCCCTTCAAAGACATCTAGGAGACATGCTCTATTAATGAGCATGGAGGAGGAAGTATAATATTAATAGACAAAGATTGGCTTCATAAATGGTATCCTCAGAAAAGTTCCAAATGTAAACATTTCACAAAAATGGGACTGTACCTGCAATTGCAGATACACATGCAATTAAATTATGACTAACTTGTTTTTCTGATTTCTGCATTTTATAAATAAAACCTTAGGGTTTTACCAGTGATAGACTACGTAACTCATCTGTGATAAATTCGTTTCAGTTTTGAAATCATATTACTTAACTGTATATTAATATCTTCCTGAAAGCTGAGTGTACTTTCTTTAAAATGGAAAGTATGTGTCAAGACATAATAAGCTTTGGTGGAATGCAGAAGATACAAGAAGGGCTGAGGTTAATGGCCCATTGGTGAAAATGTCTGTCTTGGAAGAGTTGTGCAATATTTTTTCCTGCCAGAGAGATCTGTCACCCAATTCAGTTTATCTAGTTAAGGAAGCAGGTGTAACAGTTCAGATATTATGCCCAAATTAGGTTTTAAGAAGCCTCAATTGGCTCTTGCATTATCTGAGTGGACTGCCCAATGTTATTCTTCTAGGCCTCTACTTTTCCTCCCAAACCACAGGGTTGTCATATTGGGTCCTTAGATTTGAGCCAAGATGAAAAATACACACCCAAACACACCCAAAATGAAGAACTAATATTACATTTGTAAAACAGCTTATTGTCAATAAAATTTTCTCAACATTAACTTAAGCTATGAAAGATGGTGTTGATGAAGTAAACTTTCTTGACATCTGTCCCAGGGTATGTAAAATAGTATAATAGACAGAATATCTGATTACCAAGGGTGTTTCCATTTTCCGACTCTTTTCGATGTTTATTTTCAGACAAAAAATACGTTGTTGCTGATTTTGCTACATTAAACACTGTATTATCAGAATTCCATTTTCATATTTGCTACTGTTACTGGCATATACATTTGTTTTTGCCTTAGGTTCAGTAATATCAATGTCACTTTGAAAAAGGCACCAATATGGCAGTGTCTGCTGATGCAAAACCAATAAAATCTACTGACTTTATGTAAGCATAAGGAAATAACTTGATTAGAATACCTGATGCTATATTCGAGGCTAACCAAGTAATCTGAATGTCCTCTGTTGATTCGCACTGCAGAAGCCACCCATTACACCAGATTAAAACAATATTTGACATCGTTTAAAGCAGGGATGAATACACTACCCCTCCATTATTTCATTAGAAACTATTTTTAAAGCAGCTTTAACTTACTGAATATAACATTATAAAATTGAATATAAAACTGGAAGATTTCTAACAGTATCAGGCTCTGTGTACTTTCCTCCCCCTTTTATTATTTTTATATATTATGGGGACAGAAAAGCTGTACAATCTGCATGGTGGAGAAGCTGGAGTCAGCTTGGCATTAAACAAATACCCACAGATCATCTTCCAAGTTACCTTTCAACTTTCTCCCAATGCTAAAGTTGAACCAGCAGTGTTCCCAAACAAATATATCTTAACCACAATTTAAAGACAGTTTTAAAGGAAACAATCTTTCTGGCAGGTATAAATCATTCCTGCTTAATCGCTACCTTCCACAGAGTGGGTTTTCAGAACAGTTTCTGTTGCTCACAGCACCGCTGGAGGAGATAGAAGGTACAAGCAAAGGATTATTAAACACCTGCTGCAGTGGAACTCCACATCATCCTCACACCTGCCAAAGCAGCTGGCTCCCTGCTTGGGGACAAAGACACAAAGAGCCCACTTTAATGAGTTACCTCTTTGAGTCTGAAGAAAATTTTGTATATTGGAAAAAAAACTCACAAAGGTCTTAAGCAAAACTGTAATATCTATAGATGGGATATAGCTTGGTAGATATTAGCAATGATTACAGTGGCATAATGATGACTTTCATTTTTTTTCTATTTCCATGAGCGTTTTATATTTTTGACAACAAATATCAATGTATTTTGTAATCACAAAAGCTATTTAAAAATGTATGCTTTATCCAAGCTCTCATATTTACTTTTTATTTTTGTTTTCTTTTTAAAGTCAGGAAGAAACTTTATTCTTGAAGATAGCAGTTTCAAGTGTCACGGCATTCATTTAATTTGCAAATACTTAATATTCAGGCATCATGAAAATACTTGTTAATATAGAGCATTTTGTTTGTTTGTTTGTTTGTTGTTTTTTGGACAGAGTCTCACTCTGTTGTCCAGGCTGGAGTGCAGTGGCTCACTGCACAACCTCCACCTCCTGGGTTCAAGCGATTCTACTGCCTCAGCCTCCCAAGCAACTGGGATTACAGGCATGCACCACCATGCCTGGCTAATTTTTGTATTTTTAGTAGAGACAAGGTTTTGCCATGTTGGCCAGGCTGCTAGTCTCTAACTCCTGACCTCTGGTGATCCGGTCCCCTGGGCCTCCCAAAGTTCTGCAATTACAGGCGTGAGCCACTGCGCCTGGCTGGTTAATATAGAGCTTAATCAAACACAGGTCTTTTTCTGCAAAAGCTTGCTATGGAGTAGATAGCTCACGTACGCAAATAGCTTGCCAAATGAAGTGGGACGTGGGGAATACCACATGAAGGGAGCAGGTAAGTCTCTAAATGTTCCCAAACAGAAGGAATACTGAATACAGCATCTCATATTTAAAAGGATTGTAGAATAGCAACTCATATTTCAGTATTTGGTGATAATTTATTTTCTGGAGTCTTGTTTTTGAGATAGAAGTCCACAAAAGCATCTCCAAAGCATTTTCTCTCATGAGAACCATTCTTACCCCAAATTTGGGAGGAGACAGAAACTACTTAAGCATCTCTCTGGCAGTCTTGGAATATTCCCAGTTATGCGGTGCTGTTTCTTTTCCTTTTTTTGTTTTTTGAGACAGAGTCTCACTCTGTCGCCCAGGCTGGAATGCAGTGGCGTCATCTCGGCTCACTGCAACCTCTGCCTCCTGCATTCAAGCAATTCTCCTGCCTCAGCCTCCTGGGTAGCTGGGATTACAGGAGCCTGCCACCACGCCCAGTTAACTTTTTGTATTTTTAGTAGAGACGGGGTTTTGCCATATTGGCTAGGCTGGTCTTGAACTCCTGACCTCGGGTGATCCAGCCACCTCAGCTTTCCAAAGTGCTTGGATTATAGCCGTGAGCCACCATGCCCGGCGTGGTGCTGTTTCAGATTGGTTCCAAGGTAAGACAATTTTCAGATCTCTGTGGGGAAACAGGTGGGCCACCTGAAGTCACAGGCCTGATGGAAAAAACGTAAACCTAGCAGGAGGAATGTTCACTAAAAGCAGATAATAAATCACTCAACTGGTAAAAACAGACTCAACTGGGTCTAAGAGCCATTCATTACTTTGATCTATTCCTCAGCTGCTTAATTTACTTTTGGGGTCAGTTCTGGCTCTGTGGGTCTTGGAACTAAAAAAATAGACTTCCTGATAGGTGAATCCTTTTGAAAGATTAGGTGGAGAGCCAGTTGTTATGTTCACAGAAAAGCGCTTCAGGTTTTCGAAAAGACACATGAGAAGCTGGCAAGAGTTATTGCCTCTACAGAGGGGACTTGGGATTCTGGATGCGGGGGTGACCTACTTTTCCTGTATATCTTTTATACTATTTGTAATTGTCACTATGTCCTTGTGCTGCTTTTTCCATTAAGCAGCAACTAATTATGCAGAGTTCAAACTTGTGTTAATTCTGACTTTTCCCAACATGATTTAAAAAATATTCTACTGGAGATGGCATCACTATAAATAGGTAAAACTTTTTTTTTCTAGGAAAGAAATATATAAGCAGGTTCCTAAAATAAATATTTATGAAATATTCTTGGATATTCTAGGCTTGCATTTTCTTTTTGCCTCATCCAGAGGGTCTTGTGTAGATCACTATCCTAAGGAACAATGTTTTTATTGTGTGAGATGTCATGAGATATAACATATCTTTTTTGTACTTTTAGAAGCGGATGGAAACTCGCCATGCCTTTTCTCAGCAATGGTTTGGTGTCGTCATCTGCAGCCTCGTTACTTCTCTTACTTTCTAGATATGGCCTGGAAGTCACACAGGCAACTCACACCCAACTTCTTTTTTTTCCCTGCTTATTCATCCAAGCAGAAGGCTGGGAGTCACTCCTAATTTTCTGTACATTTTAATTACTCTGCATCTCCCTACTTTTCATAGACATGCAATCAGCCACTAAGTCCTGAAGCAGATACCTCTTTGTTGTTTTTTTTTTTTTTTTTGAGACAGAGTCTCACTCTGTCTCCCAGGCTGGAGTGCAGTGGCCCGATCTCGGCTCACTGCCACCTCCGCCTCCTGGGTTCAAGCAATTCTCCTGCCTCAGCCTCCCAAGTAGCTGGGACTACAGGCATCCACCACTATGCCTGGCTATTTTTGTATTTTTGGTAGAGACGGGGTTTCACCATATTGGCCAGGCTGGTCTCAAACTCCTGACCTTGTGATCTGCCCACCTTGGCCTCCCAAAGTGCTGGAATTACGGGCATGAGCCACCGTGCCTGGCACAGCTACCTCTTTAAGATCATCTCATCTCATCGCTTTCCCTACTGTTGAGTACTCTAGGTTATTTTCTCACCTCTTTCTAGCATTGATGCAAAATCCTTTCATAAGTGCTCTTGCTTTTAGTCTGGTCTCCATTGAGTCCATCTTTCAACTGGCTGCCAGGTGTTTTACGTAAGATGTGCTGAGACCAGCTTGGTCAGTCGGGGAGACCGTAACCCAGCAGCGCTAGAGGAATTAAAGACACACAGAAATATAGAGGTGTGGAGTGGGAAATCCGGGGTCTCACAGCCTTCAGAGCTGAGAGACTTGAACAGAGATTTACCCACGTATTTATTGACAGCAAGCCAGTGATAAGCATTGTTTCTATAGATTATAGATTAACTACAAGTATTCCTTATGGGAAACAAAGGGATAGGCCAAAGTAAAGAGATGGGTCTGGTTAGTTATCTGCAGCAGGAGCAAGTTCTTAAGGCACAGATCGCTCATGCTATTGTTTGTGGTTTAAGAATGCCTTTAAGTGGTTTTCCGCACTGAGTGGGCCAGTGTTCCTTGCCCTCATTCTGGTAAACCCACAACCTTCCAGCGTGGGCACCCTGGCCATCACGAACATGTCACAGTGCTGCAGAGATTTTGTTTATGGCCAGTTTTGGGGCCAGTTTATGGCCAGATTTTGGGGGGCCTGTTGCCAACAAAAATGCATAGGCCATCTTGTTGCTTCCTATTTAAAAATCCTTTAATGACGTGCCTTTTTTTTTAGGATATTGTACTCCAAGTGGTTTGTGACGTACTCTGGGTAGAAAGCTCCACTCTCATTCCTCAGAACTCTTTTATACTATAGCCATGCCTGATGTCTTAAAAATGTTCTCAGTGGGGCATGCTCTCTTTCTTCGATGCCTTTACACATCCTGTTTCCTTGGCCAAAATAGCCTTATCTCCCTCGCTGCCTTTCAGTTCTTCTTTGTTTACAACATGGTTCTAGTCTCATCTGTCCCAGTCCTACTCATCTATTCCTTTCCTGTGCTCCCATTGGTCCTCTCTACATACATCTACTCTTACTCTTTTTCTGGAATTATAAATATTGCTTTACTTATTGCTTTCTATACCAGATTGTAAATTCCAATTTATAATTTGTGGAAGGAGGGCAAGAGTTTTTAGAGAGAATAAGAAGGATACAAATTTTAAAGTCTCACTTCTTTATCCCCTTATTATTAAGGGTTCAACTCCATTTTTGATGTTTAATACTAATGTCTTTTAATTCTCATCACACCTCCTTCCCCTTTTGCCCCACATTTGGAACAATAAAAGAGCCCAGTTACTCCCTCCTTTGGCACCAGCAGGAAGTTCACACAATGCAAGTCCTGACCCTTGTGTAGGAACCCTTGTCCCAGCCCCATCCTGTAACAACATAAAACCCTAAGCTAGTCTTCTTCCTCTGCTTATTCGAGGAATTCTTTTCTTAGACTTGCTTGGGAGACCACTCAGCTTTCCACAGAGAGCTTTACTATGTGAACAATAAACCTCTCAAATCACAAGTCTCCAGATCCAATTAATATTATATTGTATGCACATGATACTCATATAGTATTCATTGCATAAACAGAAGTAAAGAAGACATTCCCAAGCAGACCCACATGTAGGCTGCTCCACTCAGACAGAGAAGCTTGGTTTAACATTTTTTTTTTTGAGGTGGAGTCTCGCTCTGTTGCCCAGGCTGGAGTGCAGTGCCACGATCTTGGCTCACTGCAACCCCTGCCTCCAATGGGTGAACTCCAATGGCGTTCATGCCATTCTCCTGCCTCAGCCTCCCGAGTAGCTGGGATTACAGGCACCCACCACCATGTCCGGCTAATTTTTTGTATTTTTAGTAGAGATGGGGTTTCACTGTGTTAGCCAGGATCGTCTCAATCTCCTGACCTCGTGATCTGCCTGCCTCGGCCTCCCAAAGTGCTGGGATTACAGGCTGTTTAACTTTTTATCTGGATCATGAGAGGAGGTGAGTGATGGAATATAAACATTCAAACACCCCAAAGAAACTTATAGATATGAACTATTTTCATTGCATTATATACACTTGTTTCTCAAATCATTATTTTGTGAATGTCTATAATGGGTGTTTCTACATCTCACAGAATAGAAATACATTTTAGGGTACTCCTTTTGCTACAAATGTCATTTAACCAGTGGGATATTTTCCATTAATTTTTATAAGAACAAAGCCCTGCCCAAGAGCTCGTTTCCTGGGACCTGCCAACTTCCATGAATAAGCGGGCAAGGCTTTAATTCTAGTGAGCTCACTTCCATAACCAAGCAGCATCAATTCACATCAACCTATAAAGTCCTGTGCCCTGTGAAAGGAATAGGCTTGAAGGGCGGATGAAGGATCTAAAACCCCTTGTTTAACGGTGGTATCATTCAAACCTAGGTCTTCCTCTTTGGGGATTTTCAAGGTCATGGTGGTTCACACTTTAAAGAATTCAGAATAGTGATGAATTCTGCATTTCAAGCCACATAAAAATTGGTGTTAGTAACTAACAGAACATGAAGACTCTCACTAAGTAACTAATCCCAATTCAAGCACTTTGAAACTAGCTATAATGAAAATCACACCAGGAGAAGGACATCAGACGTCCGTTAGCAAAACAAAGCATAATGAAACCCTTTACTTTACTCTATTATGAGTACCCAAATCACAGGGTACTGAAGAGACTTTATAGAACACCATTTCTTTCTTTCTTCCTTTTTCAAGAATGTTATTGATGTAACAACACAAAGGAAATGTCAAAAATAGAAAATGTGTCCTATAATCCAACTCTTCAATATGCATCATTACTGTTCAAGCCTTGTGCTAAAGATTATATATTTTTAAGTAGGTAGGCATAAATCTTTCACGTTCTGTTTTAATAAATAATATTTTTTCCTTTTGGAAGCACGGTTTTCAAATGGTAATTTAAAAATAACTGCATGTCAATACAACTAATTAACAAATTACCCTTTCCAAAACTAAATCCCTTTGGTCAGGCAATTAAAAGTTTTCCAATGTTTTCTATTATAATTACATGTAACAATAGTTTTTAAAGATGTTGAGCCCATCTATATGTTAAATCTTTTATAGAATCAGAGCGAGCATCTCTTCATTGGGTCTGTGTATCTGTATCTTTATAAACAAGAATAGGAAACTGACAACAGATTTTATAAACAGTGGTACTAATACAGTTAAATTCTTCTGGACCAAATGATAAAGTTGGATTTAGTTGTAAGTATGATGTTTCTAATTTTCAACAAGCATAGCAGATCTGTTACATGCTCTTTAGTGCTAGAACACAGTAGTACTAAACAGTACAAAAACTATGTCATTACTCTCTAATACAGAAGGGCTCATTTTCAAGATAAAGACATACTTGGAAAATAAATATCATTAACATCTGAAGTTCACAAATATTATTCTTGAGGAGAAAAAACACATCATGATAGCTATACTTGACCCAAAGATTATCATTAAAAAGAACACAATAGAGCAATAAGACAAAGATGAGTTTGGTTTCTTTCCTTGGGAAGTGACATTTTAATGCAGGTGATGGACAAGAAAAGAGGCAATTAAAATGTAAGGAGCAGCTAGGCCAATCCTAATGAGACCTGCCTTTTTTTGTGGTCAAGAATAATCTCGGGGCTGGGCACAGTGGCTCATGCCTGTAATCCCAGCACTTTGGGAGGCCAAGGCGGGTACATCACTTGATGTCAGGAGTTCAAGACCAGCCTGGCCAACATGGAGAAACCCTGTCTCTACTAACAATACAAAAATTTAGCCAGGGGTAGTGGCAGGCACCTGTACTCCCAGCTACTCGGGAGGCTGAGGCAGGAGAATTGCTTTAACCCAGGAGGTGGAGGTTGCAGTGAGCAGAGAGATTGTGCCACTGCACTCCAGCCTGGGCCACAGAGTGACACCCTATCTCAAAACCAAAAAAAAAAAAGAAAAAAAAAAAAAAGAATAATCTCTGTACTTATGACTGTAGGAGGAAAGCTGTTAGTAAAAAATGGGAAAGACTTTGAAATGAGCAAAAATGATAAATGGATGTTCTTTCTAGGGTACGCTTGCAGCTTAACTGGGTCTTTCATTGGCTTTGAGCTATTTACAACTCTCTAAGTTGTAGAAAGCTGATGGTAATGCAGATGATTATTGTCCATACAAACGTGAATACATTTTGTCTGGTACTGAATAATTGATTGTTGCTTTGTGACTATTCACCAGTTTTGCCTCTGTTTATGAATTCATTTTAGTATTCCAGATTGCCTATTTAAATCTATCTTCTCAGAATTCTTTGAACAAATTTTAACTTCTTACTGATGCCCTTGTTAATTAATAAGTTAAATAAAATCTTTTACAAGCATTCATTTTCTATCTGTATGACAGTCATGAGTTCAACATCTTTTTGGAAGAAATATGTCTTAACACTAGGGTACAATAGCTGCTTAGTAATTCTCTTATACAACCTTTAGTAAAGGCCACATTTGGCATTTCACAGGTTTTCTAACAAGACTGACTTTCAGTGACATAATTTCGCAATTATCCGGCCTAATTCATGTCCACAAAGATTTACTGAGCCTTTGTTCCATGCACGTGTATCAGAGATCAGTAAGATCCACTTGGGTCCCATATAGTTCACATGGGTACAATTACAGCTCTAAGCTTGATGATGCTATGTGTTATGTTATGTGTAATAATAGAATCCCATGCAAAATGTCTGGGGAGACTGAAGAAGCAATGAATTCCAATGAGACAGAATGTGCTATACGTTATGAAGAAGGCAGGATTTGAGTTGAGTCCTGTAGGGTAAGTATGGTTTTTACTGAAAAAAAAGAGGAAAGGGCAAATATTTGAAAAGGCAGTGGGGCATGGAAGGGCATTTTGGCTGGAAAATTATCTCTCAGGTAGGTGGATGTGGGTGTGGACATGGGTGGGGACACCCCTGCAGGTAAATGGGAAGATGTGAAATTTGGGACAGGACCAAATTATGAAATCCCTCAATATCAAGCTTTGGAATCAGGCCAGAGCAGTTAAGACCTATCACAGGTTTTAAAGCAGAGAATGATGTCATTAGATCTTAATAGAAGACAGAGAGTTGACATTGTGGTGTCTTAAAATATCCCAGCTGCTAAACTGCTAAAAGAGATTTGTGATATAATCAGTATATTTGGGTTATGTTTACACTAGACAATCTGGAAGGGTATACTAGCCAGAATACCCTCTTATTATTTTTGCTCATTTTAAAGTCTTTCATATATATTTCTGACAGTCTCCCCATCATGATCTTGATATTCCCGAGATATTTTTAATCATGCATTCACAAAAAAAGACTGGTCTCCCTATCACAATTCTCTTCCTGTCAGAGAGTCTGGGAAAGGTCATAAGTACTTTAGAAACCCTGCTAAAGGGACATTAATTCAGAGATACATTTGGTTAGTATTAATGTCATAGATTTTATGGCTGTTACTTCCATGGATAATTAAATTAGTACTAGCCATATCCGTATAGGAATGTCTTTCAGGAGTATTCTTACTACCCACCTTGTTGACCCATCTTGCAACATGATTTCAAAATACAGGACCAGAAAGTCGACAGTGATAGAAATGTATCTTACAACTCTTGGCACTATAAGTAGTAGGAGAAGCAAGGTATTAAACTGTCCAGAGCAGATGCTAACATCTGGAAAATGACTGGTTTGTGTGAAACTATTAAAAATATTGTATTTTTCTGAATATTTTCTGATTTGACAGTTGTTATTTCTTATTCTAATATAATTTTAACAACTTTCTGCTTTTTTTCCTTAAAGAGAGATTCCCAAATTGGTATAAATTTTGGCTCCTATAAAACCAGATTCACTCTTGGGTATATGCCAGTAGATTTATTATAATAAGTTTATGCAACAAAAAGTCTGAGGATGACCTCCAACCCCACTATTGCACTGAAAATCTTGCCATTTTTTTTACCAACGACTTAATGACTATAATACCAATGACTATATTTGGTGGGTAATTTTCTCATTTAAAAGTGATAAAAAAATCCATAATTATGTGTAAAAAATGTGGAAATTATATAAATGGTTAAAGTAAGAAGTATAAATTTTCTTTCATCCCACTCTGCTCCCAATTCTACACACTTCTCAATGTGTAATCACTATTGACAGTTTGGAAGATTCTTCTGCACCCCATTCTCTTTGCATTTATGTGTGCATCTATGTGTTTATGTGTGCATATATATACTTATATTTATGGTATGTGTTTGTGTTTCTATATAGACAACTAATATTTTATGTTTTTTACATTACAGAGATAATACTATACATATTCTACAATATGCTTTCATTTAAGAATATCTATTACAGCAGCAGTCCCCAAACTTTTTAACAGCAGTGGCTGGTTTTGTTAAAGAGAACTTTTCCACAGACTGGTTTCGGGATAAAACCGTTCCACCTCAGATCGTCAGGCATTAGATTCTCATATGGAGCATGCAGCCTAGATCCTTTGCATGCACAGTTCACAATAGGGTTTATGCTCCTATGAGAATCCAATGCCACTGCTGATCTGACAGCAGCCAGATCTCAGGCAGTAATGCTTGCTCACTTGCAGCTCACCTCCTGCTATGTGGTCAGGTTCCTAACAGGCAACAACGGTCTGTGGCGGGGGTTGGAGACTCCTGTATTAGAGATTTTCCATGTTGGTATAAACAGAAGTACTTCCTTCCTTTTAGTATTATTAATAATGCATGGGATGAAGATACCATAGATTTATGAACCGTTATCTTATTGAGAGACAGGTGTCTTCAAATTATTTGCTAGGGTCAACAATGTTGCTTGCATGTGAGCATCCTTACATATACAATATTATGTAAATATATGTTCATTTCTATAAACTCATAGAAGCAGAATTCCTCTTGAAACTGGAGAATAAGGAGACATATTCACTCATACAATAGGAGGCAAGAATAAAGAGAAATAAGAAGCTGAGAAACAAGAGTTAACTGGGGATTGGTCAAAATGAAGAGAGGAAAACTACAGTGAAATGTAGGCTATGTCTTCAAATAGGTCTGGAGGCTAATGAGGGGGATTGAGAAATGTCATGATATTTGTTCTGGATATTTAAATACCAGCCTGCCTCCTGCACTCAAAGACTTTTCAAAGAGCTCTGTGTTATATTGTGTACCAGGGCCTGGAGAATATCCTGACAATCTGTGGGAAGTTTTGCACAGTAATGGGGACCTTGAGGAAAGTGGCATTTGGCAGATTGTGACTTTACAGGGAGGAAATACTAAGGGAGCCTTTCCCAGAACTGTACAGCGCTGATCTCCCCAGGTCTCACACACTGCTTGGTAACTGGGAGTGATTATAAGTCTTGCAGTCTTACAGAAATAATTGCAAAGAAGTGAATGAGTGAGGAAAAGCCACAACATCGTGTTAAGCAAATCAGTGAGATTTTAAGGGAGAAGATGAGGTCTCCTGTGCCCATAAAGCAGTGGTTCTCAAACCCTCGTTGTTCATTAAAATGACCTGGACAACTTTAAAAAATCTTGATTCCCAGGCCACTACCCTGACTAATTAAAATTAAATCATAATCTTAGAGGGTGGAACCTAGCATCAGTACTTTTAAAGCTCCCCAGGTAATTTCAAGGTGGTTTAAATGCTAATGAAATTAGAAATTACCAGCAATCAATATTCATGAGTCACAAGGAATTATAGTTATGGATTTTGCCAGTCATGTTCAGATCTGGAATATGCCCTCAAGTTATATAGCATTTAGCAAAGATGCTTTTCCTAGGCTATCCCATTGCAATTGATTCACTCTTTGATCTTAGAGACTTTTACTATTAGTAAATAAATATATCTGTAGGTACTAAATCTATGGTATATATTTACTGAGTAAGAATCCATTGCAAATTGCAAATGGAATAACTGGTTCCCGTTAGCAGTATTTGTCAAATGTGCTTTTCCTTGGGTTTTGCTTTTGGGTGTGAGATTTCCTTGCAATGTCATAGTGATGAAAGCATTAGCATTTCACATATGGTGTCCTTGCCTCTCAGTATAATTCATCATCTAAGGTGGGGAACTGCCTTGCGTTCACCTGCAATTATTTCTTGTAATTAGAGCTGCCCCCACATGTAATGCTCTCCCCGTGAGATCCCAGATAATACATTTCAGGGCAAGGATTATTTAATTCTTCCCTGGTAAACTGATCCATCACCAAAGTGTTTCAATTTGTATTGAAAAATGCTACATGGGGTCAGTTCCTAGATGAGTATATCTTGTTCTGTCATTTTGCTGTAAAAAATTCCTATAAAAATTTCCTTTAAGAAAGTTGGACCTGTGGCAATTAAGGAATGAGAAAATACCTAAATTTTTTTTTCTGACGTCTATTTTCCTTCAAAGCAAACTTCACCAAGTTTTACACATAACGTTCCCTTAATTTATTGTCAGAGAGATTGCGTGCCTATTATGCATTTCTTTCCTCTTTTATTTCAAAGTTTTCTACATTTCACAATATTTTCTGATTTTTTTTTTTTTTTTTGAGACAGGGTTTCAATCTGTCCCCCCAGGCTGGAGTGCAGTGGTGTGATCTTGGTTCACTGCAACCTCTACCTTCCAGACTCAAGCAATCCTCCCTATTCAGCCTCCCAAGAAGCTGGGACTACAAGCGTGTGCCACTGTGCCTGGCTAACTTTTGCATTTTTAGGAGACAAGGTTTTGCCATGTTGCCTAATTTTCTGATTTTTTTTAAAAAATTCCTAAACTTTTAAACATTTTTTAAATTTCTCTATAAAAACATTCTTTGGGTCAGGCACAGTGGTCCACGCCTGTAATCCCAGCACTTTGGGAGGCCAAGGTGGGTGGTTCACGAGGTCAGGAGTTCAAGACCAGCCTGGTCAAGATGCTGAAACCCCGTCTCTACTAAAAATACAAAAATTAGCCGGGCGTGGTGGTGGGCGCCTGTAATCCCAGCCACTCAGGAGGCTGAGGCAGGAGAATTGCTTGAACCCGGGCGGCAGAGGTTGCAGTGAGCTGAGATTGCACCACTGCACTCCAGCCCGGGCGACAGAGCAAGACTCTGTTTCAAAAAAAAAAAAAAAAATCTTGGTGTCATGATCCTAAAAAGTTCTCATTCTTTCTCCCTCTGATTGAGGTTGGATTTGACTTGACTGTCAACTATAGGACAACCAGTGATGGTTTCCAAAAAGTCACAACTTTGAAGTTCAGAATTTTTAAACCCCTTATTGTGATACAAAGTTCTCAGTACTTGGAAACACCCATCATCGAAAACTTTCCCTAAACCTACACTGAGGATATCTGCACCTTTTGTAGTTTTTCTCTCTAATCGTGAAGGTAGAAATCGAAGGTTTCTTCTAAATTTGTTAAAAGAAGGACAGCTGAGAGGAGGTGGTGAGGAGGAGCAAACTTAGAATAAGCTGGAAAGAGGCCAGTTAGATGGGGTATGTGACTCCTTGAATGAGTGCCTGCGGGCAACACCCTTCATTACGGCGGTAACTGGACTGAACTGCCTTCATGTCAACATAACGATGTCTCCAGACCTCAGTAAGAAGGCCTCTGGGTGCCATTTGTCATAATATTCTCTCTTCTCAGCCTAACCCTTTTGAGTGCCCACGTTTAGACCTTTCCCCACAAATCAACTTTCCTTCCACTTCCCAAGATACTTGGGTAGAAGTTTCCCAAGCAATTACTTTATCAAACAGTGCCTAAGTGTCCAGTTTCCATGACTTGTACCCTCAGTTGTCCTTTCCCAAAAATCACCTCTTTGCAAATTGCTTGGTCTTTTGTCTGTCTATAACCAAGAGGTGCTTGGAATTGGTTCATTTTTACTCATTCATTTACTTAGTCTTCAGTGTTGATAAACATTTTATGTATTTGATGACAAACCCTTAAGTTTACCAGTTTGCAGAAGAAAAATACTCATTTTAATCTCTAAAGTGGTTATTAAGACCATGACAGAATTACAGAATTAGGTTAGTGTTAGTTTTTCTTTCTTCTTCTTCTTCTTTTTTTTTTTGAGACAGAGTCTCGCTCTGTCACCCAGGCTGGAGCACAGTGGCACAATCTTGGCTCACTGCAACCTCCGCTTCCCGGGCTCAAGCAATTCTTCTGCCTCAGCCTCCCTAGTAGCTGGGACTACAGGTGCATGCTGCCACGCCCGGCTAATTTTTGTCTTTTTAGTAGAGACGAGGTTTCACCATATTGGCCAGGATGGTCTTTCTCTCTTGACCTTGTGATTCGCCCGCCTCAGCCTCCCAAAGTGCTGGGATTACAGGCGTGAGCCACCACGCCTGGCCTAGTGTTAGTTTTTCTGTTAGTACTAGCTACTTAATAGGAAGTGAATTTCAGCACTGTCTTTATGTGCTAATAAATAATGTGTAGAGAAGGACATAGTGTGGAAAAATAGACTTTGAAGACTTGGATGGGTGGGACAGGGGTAGGGATGAGAAAGTATTTAATGGGTACAATTTCTGCTATTCAGGGAATGGGTATAATAAAATCCCAGACTTCACCACCACACAATACAGCCTTGTGTCAAAACTGCATTTGTACCCCCCTAAATTTATACAAATAAAAATTGAAAAATGAATTTTGAAACATAAAAGGCAATTCTTCTTACATAATAGATGATTCCCTCAAAATTTCATCACCATTTACCAAGTATTAGGTTTGTGCAAAAGTTATTATGGGGTTTTGTGATTAAAAAGGCAAAAACTGCAATTACTTTTGCACCAGCCTAATAATTACTCACTCAGTACCAGGCACTGTATGATTTTTCTTTAATCTTGAAAACAATTTTTTTAAGCTAAAGCTGATGAGGACGCTGAGTAAGCACACAGATAGGTTTTTAACCTGGGTCACAGCATAATTAAGGAGATGAAAACCAAAATATGGTCATGCTATGGCCAGTGTCCTGATGCTTCTTTGCACATTTCACCATCTGTGAATGCATACATGTGAATGTGCTTGTGTGCAAACATACATGAAATAAAAGCTTCATAAAACACTAATGTTTAATTATTTGGTGCATTCTGATATTGTATATTATTTAGAAATGGTGGTTAACATTTACCAAGTCGATTGGATGATCCACTGACATGAGTTAAAATCATGCATTGCATCAAGTGTGTTCATGTCATTTTGCTCTTTCTTCCTTAATGTTAAAATTTTTAGCATTATGAGGACATTATTTCAAGTCATACGCATTTCCAGTACCCTTGAAATAACAGCAGCAGCATGATCAACCATCTGCATACTTATATATAAGTTTAATGGTTAATTCAACATAATTCAATGGTTAGTTGTTGATTCAAGACAATAAACTTATAGTGGGAAGGCAGGGGTCTGGGCCTGGCTATTGTCTCTCTTGCTGGGCTCAGCTTCCTTCAGTTCCCCATCTGTATCACATAGTTTAGTCTTAAAAGCAGGTTGGTTGTTCATTTTCCATTTGTTTGGTTTTTGTTGAGACAGGGTCTTACTCTGTTGCCCAGGCTGGAGTACAGTGGTGCAATCATAGTTCACTGCAGCCTAGACCTCCTAGGCTCAAGCGATTCTCCCACCTCAGCCTCCTGAGTAGCTAGGGCTACAGGTAAGAGCCACCACACCTGTGTTTTTTTTTTTTTTTTTTTTTTTTTAATCTTTAGTAGAGACGAGGTCTCATTATGTTGCCCAGGCTGGTTTGGTCTCAAACTCCTAGGCTCAAGCAATCCTTCTGCCTCCCAAAGTTCTGGGATTACAGGTGTGAGCCACCATGCCTGGCTCAGAGGTTGTTTTTTTTTTTTTTTTTTTTTTTTTGTTGTTGTTGTTTTTAACCCCACTAGTCTCTTACTACTATGGCTTTGGAACACTTGCCACCATTATCAGCTGGGTTAAATCCTAGTTATCTTTCAAGGCTCAGCTCATAAGATGAGCAGTCATGATTATTTGAATTAATACATGGATGAATTGGTAAATAAATCCTAACATCAAAACTTTATATCTTTGTCCAGTCCTGGCAGTGTGAGGAAGGCTGCTGAGGCATCTTACTTTATTTCTTCATTTTGGAAATAGCATTTCCTCATCTGTAAAATTGGAAATATAACTTCCCAAGGTTGCCATGAGAATTAAATGAAACACTAAGTTTGAAGAACTTGGCACATAATTGTTCTTAAATTTTGCAAAAATATGGCAATACCATAGATTGGACACAGGTGCTAGAGATGGTTAATTTGAGAGAAACAGTAGTTGAATTTTTAGGAATTTTGTAAGCTGATTAATAAACCATCAGTAGCTTGATATTAGGCACAGTGGGTGCATTTATGCCACAGAACTATGGCAAATACTATAGATCAGGGCTTTCCTGCCTGGAGCTGCTTCTTGCCATTTTCCAGCACACCACTGGCTAGAGACTTCAATGGGATGAATACAGGGGTGGCCCTGCTTTCTTTGGAAAGCAGATGCTAAGAGTTTAGTAAGCAGGAGCCTTAATAAGGAGTGAACTTAGGACAACGCATGTTGAAGGGAGGGAAAAATTTGGAGTTCGGGAAGTTGAGCTACAGTTCAGACCCCATATGCCTTGCCTGAATGCATGGAGAGGTCTGGGGCTAGAATAGTCATTCAGAACTGTCCTGAGTCATCCTGGAAGATTAGGACTTCAAACTCCTGCATCCATCATCCATTTGACATAGGCCACCCCAGGCAAGGGTATGACCTGGCATGAGGCAGCGCTGCAGCTTAGGCAACCCCTAAAGGTTGAAAGCACTCCCATCTGCTGGGAGAATGGATCTTCCCTTGCAGGATGATCTGGACAACACATCACAGGGTCCATCAAAAGGGTAAAGGAAATCTGTTCTTGTATTTAGAAAGCTCATGGACTGGTGAGCTAGACAAAAGGAAAAAAAAACACTTGAATATATTCTATGGGTCAGTGCTAGGACTGAGGAAGACAGGCTCCTGAGGATATGGGTTGTATGAGAATGTGTACATGAAGAGGAAGGAAGGGGGAGGGAAACAGAGTGTTAAACTAAGCTCTGCTCTTTGGCAGGCAAAGTTGCCGTAACAAAGTCAAGAAGTCATTTACTGACTCTGATGGACCGGGAAATGTTATAATGGGGAAGAGAGCAGCAGCTTAGGATGGTGTCTAATACCTTTTTGGTGTTCATCAAATAATGTAGTTATGGGTCAACTTGAAACTGTTAGAAAAAGGTGGAGGCCACATAATTCCTTTAAAGGCATGTGCATCTTGCTAGATGGACGGGGCAAACTGGGCATGATTTTTCTTTTCTTCCACATTCCCTAACAAACAATAACATCTTCTGCAGTACAGCAAAGTACAGAATGTAATAAATACCCAAACCCAACAAACTCCTCTTCCTTACCTTCAGCAGCATTGATCTGAGCACAGCTGCCATGGGGAATTTGCGGCCCAATGGCAATGCTTGTCAATATAAAAGCCCGAGTCATTTTCCTGCTGACACATGCCCCACTTTCTACCTTCTTGTAGCTAGGAGGAGGGGTAGATGAGAAAACTGACCATGGAACAGCTGCTGATTTATATTCCTTTTCTGGACCAGGGAATTCATATTGATTAGTTGGATGAATGAGTCTGTCCCTTTGTTTTAAAAGACTGGAGTGAGTGTCTGCCCTTGGAATATAGCATAGCTCCATTGCGACATAACGAATAAGATCCACTGTGTTTTTTTTTTTTTTTTTTTGTAAATCTCAATGCCTTTACTATACTTATGAAATACACCTGTCGATGATGCTTAACCTGGTTATGGAAAAATAGGTCTTTAGGGAGTTCTGAAGAATCTGCCAGCAAAGACATCAAAATGTGTTGTCAGATTCTGTCTTTGAGCTCTTTCATGTTGCTTAATATAGTTAAACTGAATTTGTCATCAAAGTAGTGGATGGCATATTTGTTACTCATCTGAATTCCATTTTCCTCTTATTATTCTGTTGTGGGAGCTCATAATTGATCAAGCTCATGCAAATAACTTTGGCTGAGTTCCTCTTTTATAAGACTCACTTGCTTATTGTGGGGCAGACAGGGAAGGAGGGATTTGCGGGGTGGGGGGACTACCACAAAGCATACATCTACATTTTAAAGGGATATTTGTCTTTAACATTTATAATTAACATGTTCATAAAAATACATTCAACATTTATGTTTTCCAGGAATTCTCTGGATGAAGGTGACTATTTGGAGGAAATACTTTTTATTTTATATTGGTCCCTTTGCTCTATGTTGACTTTTGAAGGAAAAGATTGACTTTTTAACAAAATTGTAATCAATTTTAAAGGGTTAGAAATAAACTTATTCCCTGGTGCTCAGTTTTGTCTCCTTGAATTTTTCCCTTGGTGCATCCTGGTTTTTTCCTCTGGAGGAGCTCAAAACAAATGTTCATCCTCTTCAACTTGGTAATCCTTCAGATGTTGAAGACAACTCTAATGTTTTCCATTGATTTTTCTCTTCCTCAGATAGACTATCTCTAGTTTCTTCAACCACTCATAAATTAGTGATTAGTATTTCTAGGTGCTTAAGCCCACCCATTGATACCCCCACCAGTGGTCAAGCCTCCAGGAAAGTGCTCAAGGCTCTCCCCGCCGCATCAGCTGGAATTCACCTCTTCCTGTCCCTTACTCCTGAAGAAGTGTGTGCTTTGGTTGCAACATTGCTCCTGTGCTTTCTGGGTGATTTGCGATTATTTTAGCTCCCCTTCCAGCAGTAGTCTGAGCCCCTCTTTGTCTTCCAAGTGACCTGGAGACACCTCTAATCCATTTGACATTTCCATCTCAGTAAATTCATACATGGACGGGAGAGAGAACAGGAGCGGTGGTGAAGGATGAATAAAACGTAGTAGAATACATTTTGAAAAGGGGCCATCATTTTTGTTGCAGTGCTCTTTGAGAGTCAGTGTCTCTCACACAGAGATTTTTCTGAGTGAAAAAATATATACTCCAGATATGATAACTTCTAGGAGCAATTCAACTTCCAGTAATGCTTTTTTCCCCACAGTACTCAAGACTTGAGATTTCAGTTCTATTCTCAGCAACTTCCTGGGTGTGTATAGAACATTCATACATTTCCACAAATGTTCCCAACTCAGACATAAATAATCACGTTAGTGCTTCATCATTGTAACTCTCCGTCTAATGTATTTTTACGAAATTTATAAACACAAGTCAGAGAGCACCCTGTGCCATAACCTGCCTTTTGCCCACTCATTGGGTAGACATTGGGGTCATTTCACCACCACTTCAAATCCAGAACACCATTTACAAAGGTTCCACTGTTCTTACTTTTAATTATTGGCATGCACCTCTATTCTAGCCTTGCTTTCACATGTTCACAGGGCCCTTATCTTTTTATTCAGTGAAAGGTTCATGCTATAAAGCACATATTTTGATTTTTTAAATATTGGATTTCTAAGATAGGGCATTCTCTTAAAGAATCAGAATGCTATAAGTTTATAGGTCTCTTCAGTTGCCATCAGATTAGCTTCTCAGAAGGTGCGATTATCAGGCTCCGTGTCCTCTGCTGTTCTTGGCATCTTCACCCTCTAATGTTCCTGCTAGATCACTCTTTCTCACCTTCTCCACAGCATCATATTCAGTCAATAGATGGCAACTGCGATTAGTGTGAAGCAAAAACTAGTGCCAAGCATCCAATGGATAAAATAAAACAAACAGGATGGAAAGCAGATGAGGCAATCAAAAAGCTCAGATGAGTGAGACTTGCTGAACACTAAAAATTAAAGATGTGAGGACACATAAAGCTGGAAAATATGGAGCTGTCTCTGTTTCCCTCACTATGCCCCTGGAGAAATGTGAAACAAGTTTTGCCCAAAGCCAGTCTCATTGACAGTGTCCAAGGATTCCCAATGAGCTTCCCAGATATCCCGATTCTTAAAGGCTTTTCCTGTCCCAATTGCAACAATTGACTCAAACTCTCTTTGCATACTCGGCTCTCTCCCCCTAACCTTGGATTCTTGAAACTCAGAAGACCCCGAGCCTGCCCTAGAAGATCACAGTAATTCCTATTCACCCCTTACTTTGGATATCTCCTAGAAAATGCCAGCTAATTGCTTGAGTTTTCAAATTTAACATTACTTTCTGCTATGGTTTGTTTGTTTGTTTGTTTATTGAGATGGAGTCTTGCTCTGTCGCCCAAGGCTGGAGTGCAGTGGTGAGATCTTGGCTCACTGCAACCTCTGCTCCCGGGTTCAAGTGTTTCTCCTGCCTCAGCCTCCTGAGTAGCTAGGACTATAGGCATGTGCCACAATGCCCGGCTAATTTTTTGTATTTTTAGTAGAGACAGGGTTTCACCTTATTGGCCAGGCTCGTCTCCAGCTCCTGACCTCAAGCAATCCGCCCACCTGGGCCTCCCAAAGTGCTGGGATTACAGGCGTGAGCCATCACTCCTGGCCGGTTCATTTGGTTTTAATGCTGCTCTGGATCATGAAGTGACTCTGATCTTGTCTCAGCAATGTGGGTCCAAAGTGGCTCCAGCTATCCTGGCTTATGTCAAGAACAGGTCTGCAGTTTAAGCACCCCAGATTTTCTTGCTTTTATTAAGACTGCAGTGCATGTCAGCCCACTCAAAAGTGAGCTACCTTAGGTCTATGACATGTGTACCTGAGCACTTTGAGGGAAAACCACAAGGAACTCTGGTTTTATACCACTACCATCCTATGATATAAGTGGGTGAAATGAATCCAAACAGAAATTAAACTCTGAGTGTAGGGAGAGGCTATGAAGGGTCAGACACTGTCTAAAAGCTTGTGGAGGAGTGTGAGTCATGGTCCTTGGCCATCACTGTGCTTATAACCTAGACAAGGAGATAAGCTATGAGTGGGAAAAGCAACAGCCATGTATTAAAACAGCAGTAATGAGGAGGTACTCAGGAGGGAGAGACGTGGAAGAATTATGAGCCATCTTTATCAGTCTTATTTAACTCTGATTTATGAAAAACTTGTTATCTGTAGGAGTGAACTTTTGCAATCTGGCTGATGAATGACTAGGCTTTTTGATGTTACAAATGTGAGCTTCCTTGGTAGGAAGGATCATTAATAGATTAATGCGAAACACATTTTCCAGTGAAAACATGCTAAAAATGGTGGTTAGGCCTCCAGAAACCAATGTAACTCAGAATATAACTGAAATATTTTGATGCTGTATTACAGGTTTTCATTCTATACTGAAGGACTAAGCCTCCCATATTTCAAGCCACTTGGTTGCAGTCTTTTTTTTTTTTTTTTTGAGATGGAGTTTTACTCTTGTCTCCCAGAATGGAGCACAGTGGTACGATCTCAGCTCACTGCAACCTCCGCCTCCCGGGTTCAAGTGATTCTCCTGCTTCAGCCTCCCGAGTAGCTGGGACTACAGGTGCACACAACCACGACTGGCTAATTTTTGTATTTTTGGTAGAGACGAGGTTTTACCATGTTGGCCAGGCTGGCCTTGAACTCCTGACCTCAGTTAGGAGTTAGGAGTTAGAGTGTTAGGAGCACTCTATATGTCTCAAACCTCAAGGTTTACTCTTCTTGCTCCCCAGTCATGAAACAGTATTATTTTTTCTCTCTTCCCTCTTAGGCCAACACACACTGTTTCTGGAGGTAGTGGAAACACTGGAAGAAGGTTTTTGGTTATTCAAAAACTGGAAGGTTACTGCAGAGGAAAGGTTGGGGGTAGTAGAATGAGTTAACTTCAGTAGTAACACAGGATCTATTGAGTTGAGAGTGATCTAAAAAGTAAGGCCACATATTTCAATAACAAATAGTTATAAGCCATAGCTCTCTGTTTTATCATGTCTCGAAAAAGTCAGAACATTTCTGTTAATCTACACTTTTCCACTTTTAAAAATGACTTAATACCTATTTTGTTATCTCATTTAGTTTAATGGGTTGATTGGGCTCAACAGGGCAGTTCTTCTGCAGCTCTGGCCTGGGATGTCCCATGTAGCTCTTGTCACCTGGCAACTGAGGCTATACTCATCCGGAGGGTTGATGGAGGTGCTGGGACAACTGGGCCTTTCACCGTCTATATATAGTATCCCAGCGTTTCCCCTCCAGGTAGCATCTCTACGTGGTTTCTCCAAGTGAACTCTCCAGCAGAATATATTGACTTCTAAATGATGTTTCTGGGCTCCCAAAAGGTAAAGCTGCTAGAACTCTTTAAGACTTTGGGTAGCTTTTGTTGCATGGCTTCAAGTTCACTGATCTCGTCAGTGTCTTACGGCAAGAACAGGTCTGAAGCTTGGGCAACCCAGATTTCCCTGCCATCAGATTAATTTCTCATAAGGTGTGATTATCGGGCTCTGTTTATCTGTCATTAAACTCATTGAGTGAACTGTTCATTTCAGATCTGGCATTTTTCATCTCTGAAAGTCCTGCTTGGTTCCTGCTTACCCATTTCTCTTTTTTATTATCTTTTTCTTTAAATTCTCAGCCTGTCGAATAGTTATAAATGGTGTTTTAATTGTCTTAGACAATTCTATCATCTTCGTCATTTATGGTATTTTGTTGACTGATTTTCCACCCAATATGGATCCCATTTTTCTGTTTATTTCTAGTATATTTTATTAGCCAATGGACATTATGAGATTTTAATTTTTCAGTGCTTTTTTTTTTTCCTTAAGAAGTGCTAGACTTTAAGGTGGACAGTTAGACTACCTGGGAATAAATTGAATCCTTTTAAGGCTTATTTTTAATCTTCTTAATGGTAACTCCAGAGTAGGGTGACTCTTTGTCCTAATTTGTCTGGGACTGAGTGTTTTTCAGAGATGCAAGATTTTCAGTGCTAAAACTTCAAAAGTTGTGGGCAAACCCAGGCAAGCTGGTTATCTTCAAACTCTAGAATAGACCTTACTAAACTTCTGAAAAAGGTATTTAGAAAGTATAATTTTTGAAATTCTATAGACTAAAAGTGCCTTCATTCTACCTTGTACATTCACTGGTAGTAACCTGGGCATAACACTAAGTTAGGAATTTATTTTACCTAATAATTTTGAAGGCATCGTTTTGTTGCTTTTAGCTTCTAGTATTGTTATTAACTACACTGGAACCTTTGGACGTGACCAGTTTTTGTTATTTGCTTTGCTCTTCTTGGAGTCTGTAGGTTATTTCTTCCTCCCCTCCATCACCTGCCAACCCCTCCCACCCCTGCCCACCCTATCAATAATATGTCTTGGTCTGAGCCTGTATTCTCATTATCCACTTCATCTGGCAATACATATCCTTCAGTTCTAGGGAATTTTCTTGTGTTTATACACAAATTCTCTATCTCTGGCACTTCTGATCACATGTTAGGCCTCTTGAACTCTTCTAATTTTCTGATGTTTTTCAATATTTCCTCATTGAAGTGTTCTAATTTCTGAAAGATGTCCTCAGCTAAATTTCTAAATTTTCTATTGAGTTTTTCCTAAGTATTTTCGGGGACCTTCCATATGTGTTTCCTTTTTCATACCATCCTTGTTTCCCGGCTCTACTGTTTTCTCGACTCTCTAAGGATAACCATGAGTGTTTTGATTTTAAATTGTACTCTCCTTGTATCGTTTCCCATTCTTCTCAGGAAATATAAAGTGTTAGTGTTTTTGCGAGGATGTGGCAAGAATCTGCATATCTATCTCCTTCTTGAGAGTTTCAACTCATATTCCTACTTTTACCCCCATCCTTTCACGTTCATTTTCTGGCAATGTGGGCATTCTGTGTCTAAATTCCATTTTTCTCCATTTTCCCCAGTGCTGTCTTATTCAGCTTCTCAAGGATGCCAAGTTCATGAACACTCTTTCTGTTTCCCAGCCTCTGAAATATGGTTGTTGTTCTTCCTTTTTCCATCCTCTAAGCTCCTGTGTTTCAATGTCTAAAAATATCTTCACTTTTATTTTAATGTAATGAGAAAGGATGCAAGTCTTTCTGTGTGTTCAATTCATTATCCTGTTTGTTTTTGTTTAACATTACAATCTATATTTTTTTCTGTTAGCCGAAATACTTATAATGTTTAATAGATACATCTTAGATATTTTATTTAAACATTGTTTGGTCTTACCCTTGATGGGAAAGTAAAACAGATTCCTAAAGATCTTAAATACACTTTTACATTTCTATAGAAATCTGAAATTATTTTTGATTTCTATAAATTCACATCTATATTACAAATTAAAAGTTATGAATCAATATTTAACTGCAAATGGGGAGTATTGTAACAGAAATATTATTATAGTCAGATAATAAAAATCAAGTTAAATGTAAAATACAAATTACTTGTAATCCCAAGTTACAAGTATTGGTGTATTTTTGGAAATCATGATTTTTTTTTTTTTTTTTGAGATGGAGTCTCACTCTGTTGCCAGGCTGGAGTGCAGTGGCGCAATCTCAGCTCACTGCAACCCCCACCTCCTGGGTTCAAACGATTCTCCTGTCTCAGCCTCCCAAGTAGATGGGACTACAGGCATGTGCCACCATGCCAAGCTAGTTTTTTATATTTTAGTAGAGACGGGGTTTCACCATGTTGGCCAGGTTGGTCTTGAACTCGTGACCTCAGGTGATCCTCCTGCCTCGGCCTCCCAGAGTGCTGGGATTACAGGCATCAAATCATGTTGCTTAATAGGAGTCTAAACTCATTGCATAGTTTCAAGTGTTAAATTCTTAAAGTTAAACTGTTTTAGTTGTGCAAATTAAACTAATCTACCATCAGGAAGGATACAAAGAAGCTGAAATGTATTTTCTGATTTGTTCTTTTCTCACTATGGACACTGCTAGTAACATATTCATTTGGAGAGAAACGTTACAATGTTATTTCTTAGTGATGGAAATCAAAGATGCAGGAGACAGAGTTGAAAGCTGGAGCAGGATGCCTTTTGAGATGGCCAGACTGCTGAGTAAAATGGCTTATTGCTTTTTAAATTGCCTTATATTTTCTCCAAATTCTTAAACAGGCCCTAGAGAACAATTCATCCTATGTCTTTCAAAACTAGCTACTTTAAGAAATGCTGATTTAGTTTTTTAGTCAAAGTTGCAACAGTTGGAGAAGATGATCTAAGATTTTGGCCTTACTGTTAGTGTGTGGCCTTACTGTTAGAGGCAGCAGCCCTCTTTGGTTTGTTCCTTGTGATACCAAGAAACTCTGAACAGGTATAGGAAAAACAATTCAGAGTTGATCACTCTCTTCTTGTAACTTTCTGGGTTCAATTCATTTCATTCTTTTTCTGAGTGCTTCTCTATTTTTTTTTCTTTAGTGTTCTGATTTATACCTTTTATTTTATTTGGGTCAATTTCCCCCATCCAAACCAATTCAGTCCAATTCATTCTAACCTAATCCAAATGAGTTAAATAAGCATTCCTGGTGTCAACCTGACCTTCACTTCCATTTAGAGAAAATCAGATGGGAGCTCACATATGTCTGGGTTCCAAGTGTTCACATTTACTTTAATTTGTACTTGTTCTGTCTTCCTTCTCTCTTGGAAGGATAAAGGAGCCGCCTGTTTGCCCATCTAGCACTAACGCCTCTACCTGTGCTGGGACCTTTCATCTTCTCCCTTGGCTGAGAAACTTTATCTTCTTTACCTTGCCTTTGCTTATACATTCATCTTCTCCTACTCAGTTGGTCCTTCCATCAGCTTCTATATGTGCTCAGAATTTTTTCATGTGAAACAAAAACAGAAATATTCTTTCCCAGTTCCACTGTCTTGATAGAGCTTTGCCCTGTTTGAGTCCACTCATCTAGAATGCATAGTCGAAGTTGACGTTTCCACTTTCTCTCCACCCACTCAGTACTAAATCTAGCCCAGTATGTCTTCTGTGCTCATCACTCCACTGAAGCCACCAACATCGCCAGTGTCACAGGATCTAGTGGGCATTTTAGGTTCTGTTCTTCTTGACTTCTCTGCAGTATTTCACACTGATGCCCACTCTCTCCCTGAAATACCATCTTGCCTTGGCTGCCTCCTGCTGTTTTGCCCTTCTCTCCCTGTATTCTTTGTGCACGAATTTGGAGGAATATATGTCTCCAAATATTCCTCATGGCATTTCCCGGACCCCCTTTCTTCTCACTTTGCACACTCTTTCTCAGTGGTCTCATTCAGGCACATAACTTTAATTACAAACTGCATAGAATATACTCAGGTTTATACCTGACACCTAGGCTTTCTGCGCCCTTCAGATCCATGTGTCTAATTGCCCATTCATCTCACTGGGAATGTAAATCAACCTGCCCACAATGGAATGCTTCATCTTCAGTGATTAAGTAAAATTCACTTTTTACATTGACCCATCTTCATAAAAAGCCTGTCCTTCTACCCAATTGCATAAATTTAGGGTCTTCTGAGTCATCCTCAACACCCCCTTCTCCTGCACTCTCATCTACAATCACTGGGGGCTCTGAGTTTTAATTTAAAATATTTCTTGAATACACATACTTCTTTCCATCTCTGCTGTCACCTGTTCTGCCCCTCCAATACTGCTTTGTTCAAGCAAACATCATCTCTTTTGTCTGGATAGCAGCAATAGCCTTCTACCTCTTTGCTCACATCCTCTTCAATGTCTCATTCAGTCCCAATCCTTGAGTCAGAATAATCTTTTGAAGGATAAATCTTACCATTGTCATTCCTGTACTTACAATGGTTCAAGAGTTTCCTGTTGTTCTGTGAATAAAGGTGACATCCTTACCTCTTCACAAAAGCTCCGCATAATCTGCTCCCACGTCCACACCAAGCACTCATTGTGCTTTCTGCTTCAGCCACCCTGGCTTTTAAAATTCCTCAAACACAACCTGTTAATCATTTCACAGATTATTTGCGTGTGCTTCTTCCTCTCCTTAGAAAGCCTCATTGCTCTTCTGGAATGGTTAAATCCTTCTCCTCCTTTAGACAGCATCTTTGTCATGATTTCTTGAGGAGCATCTTTCCTTAATCCTTTTGATTTGGCACAATTTCCCTATTTATGTCCCTGTATGCAGGTGATGCAGTGGTGCACTACCAAGATGACCCCTTAACTAACAGATGAGTTACTTCCATCTGCTGGGAATATTGGCTGCTAATGGCTCCCCAGCTGCCCCTCTTCAAGCCTTGCCCTCAGCCAAACGGTGCTATACCATTCAAGATTATACCTTACTCACAGAGACAAGCCCATGTCCAGCAATAGGTCAGTAGAGGAGCATGGGTTATAAACTCTTGCTTCCTTCTCTGAATTTGGAACATCTTCACGAGATCATCCTAGCTCTAGTCCTGCCCATCACATTGGCTAAGGCCTCTGCTGTGATTGCATAACTGTTCACTATCTCCCTCCTCTCATTCCTGCTTCTCAGCCTCTCATGCATTTTGTACCAAGAGCATTCTCCAATAAACCTCCCATATACATATCACTTATCTCCCATGAGACCCAACCGAAGGCCCTGTGTGTTTCTCCTTCCCAATGTCTATCATGTCTGTAAATATATAACATTAGACTGCCTGCCTTTGAATCTTGGAGGTGCCACTTAATAGTTCCGTGATCTTGTGCAAATAACTTATGTTGCTTCTGTTTCAGGTTCCTTACCTATTTCATTGTGAGAATTAAACTGCTTAGAAAAGCATCTAAGTCAGTTAGGGCTGCTTAACCAATTACCATAGATTGGATGGCTTAAACAAGAAACTTTTTGTTTGGTTTTTTTAATGGTTCTAGAGACTAGATGGGCCATTAGAGATCAGGGTGCCAGCATGGTTTGGTTCTCGGCGAGGGTCCTCTTCCTTGTTGTGTCTCCACATGGCCTTTCCATGGTGCATGCACGAAGTGAAAAAGATACTTGCTTCTCCTCTCTTTTTTTTGTAAGGGCAGTAATCCCATCATGGGCACCCCATCTTTATGACTCATCTGACCCTAATTTCCTCCCAAAGACCCCACCTATAAATACCATCACATTGGAGGTTAGTGTTTCTACATAAATTTGGAAGTGGAGGACACAAACATTCAGTCCACAGCAAACGGTACGTTCAGCATATAGTAGATTCTCAGTGATAGCTACTAATATTACTATTATTCCAAAGGAGTTTGTTGCTTTTATCTGGAGAGAATCTAAAATATAAACAAGTTTAGGAGGTGCCACCTTAAAACAAAGTTTCACAAGTATGTTATTGCAAAAACACTGATCCGATGAGACGAGACACAGATGAAGCGTTCTTTGTTTATACAAGTGTGAGAAGAGCTCACAGATCTCACACCTGGAGCCTCAGGGCATTGAAACTCCAGAGAAGTTTAGAAAAATAATGTGCTTCATCTTTTATAATCCAATGGTCCCAACATTCAGACTATGGAGACATTTCCTCAAGTAACATCTATTAATCCTTTGTAAATCAACTAAAGCTCTTCGGCATAAATTGAATAAGGCAGGTTTAATGTGATTGTAGGGCAGGGAGGGACAAGGGAGCTAGATGGGCTAATTTTGCTCGTTGATATGCCCTGCCCTTCCCTGGCCTTGCCAGTGTCCCTGTGACCCACTCGAATGTGACTGCACAGGCCATCACCAGAGACACCTGCATCCAACATAAGGCAGCAGCCCAAGGCAAGGTAAATTACTGGATGAGTACTTGGTCTTCTAAAGCCACAAATTGCCTAGGATCTCCTTTTCTCAATGTAAGCAAAGGCATCCTGCTGCTGTGGACAGTGTGTGGTGCCTGTTCTGGGCTTGTTATCAACATTTCCTGATCACAGTGACTGATGAGGCACTCCGTACGAGCCTGGTTTGTGCTGCAGGTAATCCCACACCCAGCTGACAAAGCTTTCTCATTAAACAATTACTTTTAATAAACTCGACTGACTTAAAAACACACACACAGAACTTTCTTTTGGATAAGCAAATTTCCCTCTTACTGAATAAGAGAACAGATATGAGTAGTAATTTGTGTGTGTGTGTGTGTGTGTGTGTGTGTAACAGAGATGAAAGAAAATGGAGGAAACAGAGAGAAATGCAAAAAAGCACTAAAATATGAGTGGGTGGGTGACTTACTTCTAAAAATTTTGAAAGCCTGTTTTCCCAAAAGTTTAAGAATAAAAGGTTATATATACATACAAATCTCAACTGAATGTGTCACCCCAAAATTCATATGTTGAAACCCTAATTTCAATGGAATGACATTTAGAAATGAACCACTAAACCACTTTTCTAAACCACTTTCATAGGTTTAGAAAAGTCAATGCTTGGCTTCAAAACTTCAAAGGAAAGCCTGACTGTCTTGTTTGGGGCTAATGCAGTTGGTCACTTTAAATGGAAGCCAATATTCATTTACCATTCTAAAAATTCTGGGACCTTGGGAATTATGCTAAATCTGGGTGGGACACAGTGGCTCATGCCTATAATCCCAGCGCTTTGGGAGGCCAAGGCAGGAGAATTGCTTGAGACCAGCAGTTCAAAGTTATAATGAGCTGTAATTGGGCCACGGCACTCCAGACTGGGTAACAGAGTGAGAACCTTCCTGTCTCTAAAAGAAAAAAAAAATACGTTAAATCAACTCTATTTGTGCTGCATAAATGAAATGAAGCCTGGATGACAGCCCATCTGTTTACAGCATTGTCCACTAAACATTTTAAACTCAGTGTTGAGACCTACTTCTCAGAAAGAGAGATTTCTTTTGAAATACTACTGCTCATTGATAACGTACCTAGTTATTCAAGAGCTCTGATGGAGATGTACAAGGAGATTAATGTTTTAATGCCTGCTAATACAATACTCATTCTCCAGCCCATGAAGGAAGGAGTAATTTGATTTTTAAGTCTTATTATTTAAGAAATGTATTTTGTAAGGCTGTAACTTCAAAGTCAATTGAAAGCCTTCTGGAAATAATTCACCGTTCTAGATGCCATTAAGAACATTTGTGGCCGGGCATGGTGGCTCACGCCTGGAATCCCAGCACTTTAGGAGGCTGAGGCAGGCAGATCACGAGGTCAGGAGATTGAGACCATCCTGGCTAGTATGGTGAAACCCTGTCTCTTCTAAAAATACAAAAAAAATTAGCCGGGTGTGGTGGCGGGCTCCTGTAGTCCCAGCTACTCGGTAGGCTGAGGCAGGAGAATTGTTTGAACCTGGGAGGCAGAGCTTGCAGTGAGCAGAGATCGCACCACTGCACTCCAGCCTGGGCAACAGAGCAAGACTCTGTCTCGAAAAAGAACATTTGTGATTCATAGGAGGCAGTCAAAATATCAACATTAACAGGAGTTTGGAGGAACTTGATTTCAGCCCTCATGAATGACTTTGAGGGTTTCAAGACTTCAGTAGACGAAGAACTGCAGGTGTGGTAGAAACAGCCAGAGAACTAGTTTTAGAATTGGAGCCTGAAGATGTGACCGAATTGCTGGAGTCTCATACTAAAACTTGAATAGATGAGGACTTGCTTTTTATGGATGAGCAAAGAAAGTGATTTCTTGAGATGGAAACTACTTCTGGTGAAAATGCTGTGAACACTGTTGAAATGACAATAAAAGATTTAAACTAATACAAAAACTTAGTTGATAAGGCATTGGCAGGGTTTGAGAGGATGGACTCCAATTTTTAAAGAAGTTCCGCTGTGAGAAAAAATGCTATCAAATAGCATGACATACTGCAGAGAAATCTGCTACGAAAGGAAGAGTCAATCAGTGTGGCAAACTTCACTGTTGTCTTATTTTAAGAAATTGCCATGGCCACCCCAACCTTCAGAAATCCCCACCCTGATCAGTCAGCAGCCATCAACACCAAGTCATGACCTTCTACCAGCAAAAAGATTAAAACTCACTGAAAGCTCAGATGATCATTAGCATTTTTAAGAAATAAAGTATTTTTATAATAAAATTAACATATGTACTTTTAAAAGACTATAAACATAGACTTAATAGACTGTAGTAGAGTATAAACATAATTTTTTATATGCACTGGGAAGCCAAAAAATTTGTGTAATTCATTTATTGTGATAGGTACTTTATTGTGGTGGTCTGAAACCAAACCAGTATACCGAGGTATGCCTGTATCTGGGCTTTTGTTGATGCTAGGCATTATATTATTTTATTGTTGATACCATAGAGTTCCGGCTCAATTCTCTCTTGCTTTCCATGGAAAAGTCCTTATGGGAAGGCATTGATTCTTCTCTTTACCTTTCTAGAGCCCAGTTAATCCAAATCCATAAAAAAGTCATTATATCTTATGAAGGGCATTCTCCTCCCACCATCTGGGCTTTTACTGAGATTTTTCTGTAGGACACTGACTATCTTGGTCTTGATGGCACTTTGTGACTAAATAGACCTACATCTCAAGTTTTTCAGTTATATTAACTTCCTTTTCAAATACTTTTTGAAAAAAGTTTAATTTTCCTTACAAGATGGATTCTTCCCCTAATAGTTTCATAGCTGCTCTCTCTCCTTTATTCTTCTAAGTATAAAGAGTAACAGTCTAATGGGCATCTGGAAATCAAAGAAATTTAAGTCTGTAAGATTTCTTCCCTGATCCCAGGGAAATTTTTTTTATTTTTATTTTTTTTTAAGTCAGAGCCTGGCTCTGTCACCTAGGCTGGAGGGCAATGGCACCATTTTGGCTCACCACAACCTCCGCCTCCTGGGTTCAAACTATTCTTGTGCCTCAGCCTCCCGAGTAGCTGAGATTACAGGCGCACGCCACTACACCTGGCTAATTTTTGTATTTTTAGTAGAGATGGGGTTTTGCCATGTTGGCCAGGCTGGTCTCAAACTCCTGACCTCAGGTGATCCGCCCGCCTCAGCCTCCCAAAATGCTGGGATTACAGGCGTTAGTGACTGCACTTGGCACCCAGGAAGATTTAAGCAAATCAGTGTTGGTCTTAAGGAAAGGGAAAGTTTAACATAGACTGGTGCAATTCATCAGTGTGAAAGATGATTCCAGCTATTCCTCAAAAGGAATAAGGAACAGAAAAGTGTGAGGTTGGGGATGGAGTTCTCATGCATCAGGATGCTTTCCAGTTCAGTATAAATCTGGGCTCTTCCCAGAAGTGCAGTCGGACCTATTACATCCATCCATTCAACCTTCTGTCCAACTGTTTGTCCATCTATCCATCCATCTACTAATTCATTCATTCCTTCAAATCCACATGGATTGAGGTCAAAAGAAAATAAAAATACATTTTACATATTCAACATTTTCAGCTATGAAAGCTGGATTTTTCCACTTTTTCACTGTTAAATGTTGAGTAATCAAGAATTGATAGTTGATGAAGCATCCTAACTACAGTTAATTCTTAGAAAAAGAATATTCTTTAGAAAAATATTTATTATCCACCTACTGACTTCATGGGGTGGCTTAAGGCTTTCGCATGATAGAATAGCAGTGAAGATAATGTTTTGGGAAATGTCAAGCACTGCTAAATAGTAATCCAAGCATTGAATTATTATACAACCTGATGTTTCAGAGTCAGGCGGGGATTTTAAATTAAAAAAAAAAAAAGAGTAAAAGACATGTCATCATGGAAAATTCTCTTACTTTCCCTGACCATCACAAACATTTTTCTAATAACAGCTGAAATAATTGACCTTTCCAAGACTTATCGGCACTTCCAGGTGCTAATATAATTGCACTGAGAAACTTACAGGTTTCTTTTCATATTAAAGTTAGCTTGCAGGTTCATGAGAACTCAGCTCATGAAGTGTCCACCCTCATCGCTAGCAAGTATTGATTTCTCTGTTTCAAAGAACAGTTATTAAAGTGTGGACTCTCTTACTATAAACTTCAGATAGTTTCCTTTTTGTGGGATTAAAGGATAGCTAAATTAAGGCTTTTAAAAAAACTTTCCATTTGGAGAATATATTCTTGCCTTCTATGTCTTGTTAATTATGAACAAAACGCAGTAGAATAAACACAGTAAAGCAAAGGGAAATAAACTATAAAGGATTAAAAAGGAAAAGATAAAGAGGCAAACTAAAGAACAGTTTTGAAAGCAATGTTATTTTTTATTATTTGGTGCAGAAAACTGTGAAGCACACAAAACAATCTACAGGAAGTGGGAAAGATTTCTTCTCATTACTGGCCTTGAGGCAATTTTTTAAGCTGCCATAAGCTGACAGACAGTCATGATGGATATCATTATAAAATACACTGAGTTGGAAAATGGAGCACAGAATGAAATGGTCCACATCAAAGGGAGAAAAAATAAGTCCCACAGAGTTCTCCACACAGTGAATAGCTCCGAGACTGTTAAAGACTGGCATCACAAAATTAGCCCTAACCTTGCATGATTTTTTCTTTTCTGGAAGATCATATGACCTTTTCTTTATTACTTATATCTCGTGGTTCCAAAATTCATGTCAAGACTTACTAAATAAAATTAAGGCTAGTAGCCCCAGTCTTGTACTTTAATAGACAATGACTATTAACGAATTTCCTTCCTACTTAGATAAAGCATGTCAAGGGAAAAAAACACTAATGCTGATTTCCTCAGTGTTCAAACCCATTGTGGGTGGGGATGGGGAATGTGTGTATTAACTCTTCTAGGCCTACCAGAACCATTATGTTCGTGAGAATGCCAAATTATTCCGAAAGGGTGAACCGCAATTCCTCTAACACCTCTATGCACCCCTTTTGTACTGAGGCCTCACAGTCGTTGGTCAGTCAAGGGCCAGTTCTACAGAACTCACTCCTCAGTTCCCACAGCAGAGCAGATGGGACACAGCAGACACAGACAGCTGTGCAGTCACGGCAAAACTGTGATGTGAATCGAAGACAAGTCTCCTTCAAACCCCAGCCCTGCCCTGTGGGGAGGGCTGAACTCTGCAGACTCTGGCCAGATCACTTAAGTTACTGGCACTTGCATTTTCTCATTAAAATGGGTAAACAAAGTCTACTTCACATGATTATTGCATGAATGAAATAAAATAAGTTATATATCAGGGGCATAATTATTACCATATGTGCAACTAAGAGTGTCTTTAATAGGATGTCCATGGTTCAGGGTTGCATATAGTAAATAGTCCCAAAATCTATAGATTTATGAAATACAGCTTCCCAGAAAAGATTAGATAGAGCTGTAAAGTGGAGTTGCTTCATAACTAAACATTTCCTCCCGTGTGCAATAATATGTCACTGATCTCAGGGACTTCATCTTTTCTAACCAGAGAAAGGATGTCCTAAAAAGGAAGGAAGGTAGGGTGGGGTGGTTGCCCTTTTCCGGTGTCACATACCTGTTCCTATTTTGTTGGAACATCTGCTTGTTCACCTTTTTTTTTTTTTTTTTTTTTTTGAGATGGAGTTTCACTCTTGTTGCTCAGGCTGGAGTGCAACGGTGCAATCTTGGCTCACCGCAGCCTCCGCCTCCCAGACTCAAGCAATTCTCCTGCCTCAGCCTCCCGAGTAGCTGGGATTACAGGCATGTGCCACCATGCCCAGCTAATTTTGTATTTTTAGTAGAGACGGGGGTTTCTCCATGTTGTTCAGGCTGGTCTCGAACTCCTGAGCTCAGGTAATCTGCCCTCCTCGGCCTCCCAAAGTGCTGGGATTACAGGCGTGCGCCACCATTCCCAGCTGCTTATTCATGTTTTCAAAAGTATTAGTAAAGCTTGATAATGGGTAAGAGCTTCAGGTCTCAGTTTCCATTAATCTAAATGGGACTAATAATGCCTGCCTTATGTATCTTAATTCTTTTCTGGTGGAAATTGTACTAGAGATAAAAGTAGTTTAAAAAGTCGTAAGTTTTACCAACACAGACATATTAAAAGCAACATTCATAAAACATATACAAACACTGGGTTGCAAGAAAACTTGTCATGGTGGACTTTCCTAATCTTAACACTTTCTTCCTCCCTCTGTTAACTATTCCCATCAGATTTAAAACTTTTCTTTTTTAGCTTTTTCCTTCTGGTCTTGTATTAAAGTGAGACCAGGAAACATGCCCTTTTCATCTCTCATTTTTCCAGTACCTACAAAAATGCCTCATTCACAGTGGGGCTCCAAAAATGCTTTGAAAATGGAACATTTTTACTGGAGTGTTTCATGTTAAACACCTCACACTTCACAGAAATCCTCCTGTCTGGGATATTGTTTAAAGGAGATCTTAATAGGTGCCAAGACAGTGATTATGCATGGAATTTTCTGAGCTAGAGGAGAACTTGAATACCATGAATTCTGCACTATTATTTTTTAAGTGGTTAATTCCCAGTGAGAAGGAGTGGATTACCCAGAGTTACCTAACTAGAAAACGACAGAGCCAAGACTGAAAATTAGCTACCTTCACTGCCATTGTTGCCCCTTCAGTATTATCATCTCATATAAGCATTTAGAAGTTTGATAGGTAAAGCATGAGATACCTGTCAGGTATTTCTAAGAGTGTATGGTAAAAATGAAGAAAAATTGTGGAATCTAATATATAAAATATTTTACTTTTGGACAATATTAAATTGTTATTTATTTATTTATTTATTTATTTATTTATTTATTTTTTGAGGCAGAGTCTCGCTCTGTCGCCCAGGCTGGAGTGCAATCGTGTGATTTCGGCTCACTGCAACCTCCACCTCCCAGGTTAAAGTGATTCTCCTGCCTCAGCCTCCAGAGTAACTGGGATTACAGACACCCACCATCATGCACGGCTAATTTCTGTATTTTTGTAGAGATGGGGTTTCACCAAGTTGGCCAGACTGGTCTTGAACTCCTGACCTCAGGTGATTTTGCTTGCCTCGGACTCCCAAAGTGTTGAGATTACAGGCCTGAGCCACTGAACCCAGCCTAAATCATGATGATTTAGATAAAAGCTATACAACGTGACCATGGGTACACTTTATTACCTGCATTCATTGGATAGTTGATTGCATTAGTCAAAAATCACAAAAAATTTCCCTTGGACTAAAGTACCATTTGAAAATTGGGCAAATAAAATTTCTGGTGCTTTTATCTAAAAAAGAATATAAACACATATACACACATTTATACTTTTTTTTTACAATGCAAAATTTTTTTTAACTTTTAAGACAAACATACATACTTTTAAAATGTGCTGTTTTATTTGGCAGGGCACAAACTGTCATTACAATCAAACCTATAATGAATTAGTTTTGGTTGTTATAATATAATTCAATTTTAGGAGTTTCTAGATCTCCAGTGTCTAATGCTGTTTGTTGAAGAGTCATTATCATTTTTCCATTGAATTGCCTATTGTACCCTTGTCTAAAATGGCCATATGTATTTGGATGGATCTATCTCTCAACTTTCTATCCTGATCTTTTGATATATATTTCTATCCTTTCACCAAGACCACCCTCTCAAGATTATTGAAGCATTATAGTACACCTGAAAATGGAAGAATATGTGTTCTACAACCTCATTATTCTTTTTTACATTTTTGAATTATTATTCTCATTTCTTTGCCTTTTCATACCAATTTTATAATTCATTTGCTAGTGTCTGTAAAAGCTCCTGTTTTGATTTTGAATGAAATTGCATTGAATCTATGGGAATAATCAGCATTTTCTTGGTTAAATATTATTTTCCATAACACAGTATGTCTTTCTTTTTTTTAAAAGGTCTTTGTTGATTTATTTCATCAGTTTTACAGTTTTCAACATACAGATCCTGTACACGTTTTGTTAGTTTTATAGCTTAGTATTTTATTCTGTTTGAAACTATAGCAAATGGTATTTCAAAAACTTCAATTTTCACTTGTTCGTTGCTAGAATATAGACATGCAGTTGTGTATATACTGTGTATATATTGCACTTATACTTTTGCTAAAGTTAAACTCTGCTAAACTCATTTATTATAGGTAGAAGTTTTTTAGTAGACTGTTTGAAATTTTCTGTAGAGATAAATTATGTTGTCTACAAATGAGGCCACTTTAATCTCTTGCTGTCCAATATGAAAGCCTTTTATTTATTTTTTATGTCTTACTACACTGGTTAAAACTTCTAGAACAATGTTGAATAGGAGGGATGGAAGTAGACAGCAGACATTTTTGAATTTTTTTCATCTCGTTAATGGGAACACATTCAATCTTTTGCCATTAAGTATGGTGCTAGCTGTAGGTTTTTCATAGATGCACTTCATTAGGTTTGAGGAAGTTCCCTTTTATTCCAAGTTAATTAATAGTTTTTAATGATTGATTGATCTTGACATTTTGTCAGCTGATTTTTTTCTGCCCCAATTGTTAAAATATTTTTTTCTTTATTAAACTGTTAGTACTGTGTATTTCACTGATATTCTAATATGAAAACAACCTTGCATTCTGGGAAGAAACTAGACTTAGTAATTTGTGTTGTATTAGTCAAGGTTCTCCAGAGAAACAAAACTATAAACAAAACAAAACCATAAACATTTAGGATTATTATGTTAGTGAATTGAGGTTTTTCTCCATCTATAACTTGGCAATTTTCTTTGCTCTGAAGTTTACTTTGTGTGATATTAATATAGCCACTCTAGATTTCTTTTGATTAGTGTCCATATGGTATTATCTTTTTCCATTCTTTTATGTGTTTTAATCAATATTACTTTTCATATTTACGTTGTACTTCATTTAATCCTTCTTTGATGCTCTTCTTTTTGATCCAAATTTCTGACCTATATTATTTTCCCTTTCCTTAAAAAATAAACTGTATTTATCTATCAGTGATAACTTTAGGAGTTGCAATAAAAGTGCTCAACTTTTTATAGTCTGCCTAGAATGACTATTTTGCGACTTCAGATGTGATGTAGACATTCTTTCGCCCTGCAGGCCTCTCTATTCTCCTGCTTTTATTGTATAAGTATTTATTATATCTAGATAGATAAAAAAATTCCATGAGACGATACTATAACTTTTTTTCAGCTCTCAAAAATATTTTTAGTAAATTTTAGGTATTTAGGTAAATATTTATTTTTAGGTATTTAGGTAGTATTTAGGTAAATATTTATTTTTAGGTATTTAGGTAAATATTATATTTACCTACATAATTGACATTTCTGTTCTTCCTTCCTTTCTGGTATTCTGCTTCCTCTTGGAATAATTTCTATTTTTTCAGAAGAGCTCTCTTCCAATCTTTTTTGAACAAACTGTTTTATTTTTCCGTCACCTGCTGAATTTCTTTTATTGTACTTTGTTTTTTTTTTTGAGATGGAGTCTCGCTTTGTTGCCCAGGCTGGAGTGCAGTGCCATGATCTTGACTCACTGCAATCTGCACCTCTGGGTTCAAACGATTCTCCTGCCTCAGCCTCCCGAGTAGCTGATATTGCAGGTGCATGCCACCTTTCTTGGCTAATTTTTTTTTGTTTGTTTGTTTTGGAGATGGAGTCTTGCTCTGTTATCTGGCCAGGCTGGAGTGCAGTGGCACAATCTTGGCTCATGGCAACCTCCACCTCCCAGGCTCAAGCAATTCTCCTGTCTCAGCCTCCCGAGTAGCTGCGACTACAGGCACGTGCTACCCCGCCCGGCTAATTTTTGTATTTTTAATAGAGACGGGGTTTCGCCATGTTGGCCTTGCTGGTCTTGGACTCCTGACTTCAGGTGATTCGCCCACCTTGGCCTCCCAAAGTGCTAGGATTACAGGTGTGAGCTACTGCGCCCTGGCTAATTTTTGTATTTTTTAGTAGAGATGGGGTTTTATCATATTGGCCAGGCTGGTCTCAAACTCCTGACCTCAAATGATCCACCTGCCCGGGCCTCCCAAAGTGTTGGGATTACATGCATGAGCCACTGCACCCAGCCTATTGTACTTCTATTCCTGGATGATCCCTAGATATAGAACTCCTAAATTATTGTACTTTACAAAACAAAACAAAAATCTTCCAATATTTTAAATACCTTAAGTATGTTCCACCTCCTTCTGGTATCCTTTTATTTTTTATGAGTAATCAACAGGCACTTGAATCATTGATTTCCCCATGGAAGTAATGTGCCATTTTTCCCTGGCTACCTTCAAAATTTTTTTTCTTGTCTTTAGCTTTTAGCAGTTTGATGATGATGTGTGTGGCTGTGAATTTCTTAGGGCTTTTCTTTTTTTTAATAAAATTTTATCTTAGATTCAGGGGGTACAAGGCATGTTTGTTAAACGAGTATATTACATACTGGCAGAGATTAAGCTTCTAGTATACTCATTATCCAAATAGTGAACATTGCACACAGTAGATCTTTTTTCAACCTTCGCCACCCTCCCAACTTTCCCTTTTGAGGTTTCCAGTGTCTATTATTTGCATCTCTATGTCTATGTGTGTTAGTCCATTCTCATGCTGCTAATAAAGACATACCCAAGACTGGGTAATTAATAAAGGAAAGAGGTTTAATGGACTCACAGTTCCACATGGCTGGGGAGGCCTCACAATCATGGCAGAAGATGAAGGAAGAGCAAAGGGACTTCTTACATGGTGGTGGGCAAGAGAGAGCTTGTGCAGAGGAACTCCCATTTATAAAACCATCAGATCTCATGAGACATATTCACTACCACTGGAACAGTGTGAAGGGAACTGCCCCCATCATGCGCTTCTCTCCCACTAGGTCACTTCCACCATATGGGGGAGTTACAGCAGCTACAATTCAAGATGAGATTTGGGTGGGGACACAGACAAACCATATCACTATATATACCTCCTGTTTAGCTCCCACTTATACGTGAGAACCTGTGGTAGTTGATTTTCTGTTTCTGAGTTAGTTCACTCAGGATAATGGCCTCTAGCTCTATCCATGTTGCTGCAAAGGACATAATTTCCTTCCATTTAGGGTTGCATAGTATTGCATGGTGTATATATACAACAACATTTCTTTTTTTTACCCATAATACAAAAGAACTCATGTTTATTGGTTTCAAGTTCTAAAGGTCAGGATTCTGAGGCTGTCACATTATTTGCTTTCACAATTTTTGTCAATTTTGTCTACTCTGAATGGTTTTGCTGCATTCCACACTTGGCTGGCTGCCCCCCATCCCCTATCTCCAGCAATGGGTAGCAGGAAAAAGAAGTTAAAATACAGTGATGGGATTACTGGGCAGGGAAATTAAAACCAATAATAAGCTGATAAAGGAAACCAAGTGAGGTTGAATTTCATGAATAAACCTAGATTTATATATTTTAAACCTAGATTCTTAATAACTGTCTTGATTATAAGGAGTATCAGCTTTATGATGGGATTTCATTTTTGTTTACAGTTACATAGAACATTTTGTTTATCCAGTTAACTGTTGATGGACACTTAGGTTGATTCCATGACTTTGCCGTTATGAAGAGTGGAGGCTTTTGTTTAGAGATCATAAGCTTCTCCAACCCGTAGGTTCATATTTTTTGCTAAATTTGTAAAATTTTCAGCTAATATATTTGTGTGTGTGCGTGCGCATGCGCACATATACGTGTATGTGTACTGCCTTCTGCATTCCCTCTCCTCTCCTTCTGGAATCATTAGAGCTATTGGTACTGTCCAATGGTTTTCTGTGACTTTATTCATTGTTTTTTGGTCAATCTTTGTTTCCTTCTGTTGTTTTAACTGGACAATTTTTGCTGAACTATGGTGAAGCTCACTGACTCTTCTTTGTCATTTTTGTTTGCCTATTGAGCCCATCCAGTGAGTTTTTAATTTCAGTTATCGTGTTTCAGTTTAAAAATTTCAATTTGATTCTCCTTTGTATTTTCTAATTCTGTTCATTAGAAGAGTGTTTCCTCTTATTTCTGAAGGATTTTTATAATAGCTGCTTTAAAGTCTTTTTTAGAAAATTTCAATACCTGTGTCATCTTGGCATTGTCTTTTTTTAAATTACCTTTTTCCACATAAATTCCAAGTTTCCTGGTGAGTGATTTCGAATTGTATCTTCAACATTTTTAATGTTATGTTATTAGATACTGGCTCTTGTTTATATCCTATAGACAATACTGATAATTTTGTTTTAGCAGGCAATCCACCCAATTTTGCTCAGGCCACAAGTTTTGACTAACTTTCTGTGGATTTGGGCTTTGATGGCAATGCCTTTGCAGTGCTATTTGAATATTCCCTATGTGGTCCCCATCACTAGCCAATCTGGGACATGGGCAGTGGTCTATCCTATAGTTTAGTTCTCAGAATCTGTGTATGTCAGGTTCATGCAAGTGCAGCTCAGAGTGGAGCCTAGGAGTTTATAAACAACTTTGTTATGTAGATTTCGTGCATTCCTTCCTCTCCACATTCATGCCATTACTTTATCATTTTCTCGAGATCCTCTTTTTAGTCTTCTGAACAGAAAGATGGAAGTTTTGTTTCCTCACTCTGCTGCTCACTTTCTGCAGCTGTGCTCAAGTCCAGCACCAGCCAGCAAGAGGACAAAGTTTAATGGATGATTACCCCTACCTGTTGGTGCCATTGCTCTCTGATCAGAGAGAAAAGCTCTTGGGCCACTGCAGGCTGGGCACAGGAAAACAGAAATAAAAGTCAGGGTATTTCTCTCCCCACACTCAAGCATTGCGAGACCCTTTTCTCACTCTTCATGCTAGACTAGAGGATTTCTCCTGGAACTCTCTCTCTGTCCCAGTGCTCACTTCTGTCATTGCTGAGGAATACTGGAGATAAAAAACAGTAAATGTACCAATGGTTTGATAATTCGAATGCTGTTCTCTTGCAAATTATTTCTAGTTACTTTTCAGAGTCCTTGAATAGCTTCTTTCTGTCTGGATTTTATAGCTACATATACTGGGAGAACAGGGATATACATGCTTATTCCACCTTACCTAGAGCAACAACTATGGGTCTATTAATAAAGTACTTAAGACTATATACAATTAAACATGAAATTCCTCAGTTACAGAACACACAATTCAAGTGCTCAATGGCTACATGTCTAGCGGTGATTGTGTTGCACAGCACAGATACAGGACATGTCCATCATCACACAGAACGCTATTTGTCAGAAATATTCCAAATTAACAAACAAACCCAAGTGGAAAAATTACTCTTAAATACGTCCAAATAGTTGCAAACAGGCTTTGTTTTCCAGGCAGAAGAATTTGGAAAATGCTAGAAATCGTATCTCACACCTATCTGCAAAATTGCAATGTTATTTAGAGTAAGGATGTTCTGACTTCCTCTTCGTGACAAGCAGACAGACATCTCAGGAAGCACTCAGGTAGCCGGCTGCTTCTGGGAAGGAGTGGGGCAGGGCTCCTCTCACATTTACAGGACTGTTCATTCACATCATCTCTTATGGATCATGGTGCCTCAACTCCACCTGCCAACATTAATAGAAAATGACAGTTGCCCTTTGCTCCAGGAGTCTCTGGTCTTATGGCTAACTGATGCTATTTTTAGAAACATTATCTACCTGTAACAGGGAAAGGCATATGGAGTTTTTGTTATGGTTTATGTTGTTATTCTTTGTTAAGAAAAACTGAGCCCATCCATCAATCCCTTGCTACATTCACAGATTAATTTAGTTTGGGATATATGGCCAAATTTAAGTCCTCAAACTTTTTAAAAATGTTTTTCCGCTCTTATCCATTATTACACTTTTAAAAAAATTAAAAATAGGAGAAAGACTACAAAGAAGAAAGGAAGGAAGGCTTAAAAATAACCACATAAGCTCATTAATTTTCCCTTTCATAGACTGTGTGTGGGTTGGGGTTGTTCTCTAGTACACACAAGGGACATGTTTAAATTCTCTTCTCACACTTTGTGCCTCAAATATCATGCACAGGAAAAGGTATCATTAAGCAGTATTGTTGTAATAAGACCTGGTGTTTCCTGAGCCAGGTTTTTGTTCTAAAATATAGAATAGAATACAGCTGCAATCAGATATTCATTTTTTAAGCTAATACAAGTTGAAAATTTTACAAATAAGTATAACTTGCTTCACACAAAACCTGTGGGAAAACCTGCCTCAGTGTGTCATGAGGCCATAGCTAAGTTTCCCAAGCTTTTAAAGATGACCCACTGGAGAGAAGGACGTGATGGTCAGTGTTTAGCTGAAGAGGACACAGTTAGTCCATAATTTAAAAATGTTTTTTACACGTTTCCTAAATCTTTGATGCACTTGGAATTTATTCTGTTGTATTATTTGAGGTATGGATGCAATTTATTTTTTTTTTCCTGAAATGGCTCTCCAGGTTTCTGAAAGCCATTTATTTAATAACCCATGTTTTCCCCACAGCTTTCACATGCTGGCTTTATTGTATGTTACAACCATTGGATTTTAAGCGAGGGAGGGGCATACTACAATCTTTCATTCATTTGTGTCTGAGGTAGAGCTTTCTATTTTTATGATTCCACCCACAGAAAATTGCTATTCTAGACTCAAGTCTGCAAAATGTCCATCCACATTATTTGTAGGTTGTAAAAAGTCAGACTCACTTGCCTTCTGAACAGTGTATATAGGTGGTAAACATTTACAATGGAAACCAAATGCCTCCATTAGAAGACAGGAATAGATGGTTTAAGGTTAAGAGAACTTTAGAGTTAAACTACAAATATTCCACTCCTTGTTTGAAATGTTTCTAATGTTCATCATTGCATTTTCTCTATTCAGGAAGTAGACAATATGGAAGATAATTTAGTGTTTGAGTTGCAACATAGCATAGCACTTAGGGGCATAGACTGTACCATATACCCTGGGTTTCAACCCTTGTGATATTGAGAATGTTGCTAAATCTCTGTGTGCCTCAGTTTCTATTAACATTGAAGCAGAGGTAGGACATGGTTTGGATTTGTGGTCTCCACCCACAACTGGTGTTGAATTGTAATCCCCAATGTTGGAGGCGGGACCTGCTGGGAAGTGATTGGCTCATGGGGGTGGATTTCTGCCTTGCTGTTTTCAAAATGAGTGCATTCTCACGATATCTGGTTGTTTAGAAGTGTGTAGCATCTCTTGCTTCTATCTTCCTCTTGCACCTGCCAAGAGGTGGAGCCTCTTGCTCCACCAAGGAGCTCCTGCTCCTTGCTGGCTTCCTCTTCGCCTTCTCGCATGATTGTAAGTTTCCTGAGACCTCCAGCCATGCTTCCTGTACAGTCGGAACTGTGAGCCAATTAAACCTTTTTTTAAAAATAAATGACCCAGTCTCACGTAGTTCTTTTTATAGCAATGCGAGAACAGATTAATACAAGGTGATAATGGGAACCTCTTGCAGTGTCTCTGTAAAGCATAAATGGTTATACACAGGAAGCCCAGTGTCTGGCCCATGAGCCCTTCTGATTTCCTACGTGATTTATGGTCTGGTGGCGTCCCAAGATCATGTGCTTTTATTCCACCAAACTGTTAGGGCCATCAGGACTTTATCGTATAAACTTTGGCATCACACAGGCCTGTGTTTAAATTTCAGTTCCTTGTCTAAGAGGTGTAACTGACCTGTTTCCTTATTTGTAAAATGGGAATAGTAACAGTGATTACCTTGAGGTGATGTTGTAGGGATTATATCAGATGATGTGGCTATAGAGTCTAGCTCTGTACCTGGCACATACTAGGCTCCTAAAGCTGTTAATTCTCCTCCTCCTTCCCTTCACCAGTCCCTGGCTGTGAGAACCTGCTGACTTCTCTAGTCAGTCAGCAACTTCCTGATCAGCCACTCTTTTAAAACTGCCTTTTATTCTAGCAACAGGGCAGCAAAGAAAGGCAAGCTGTTTATTAGCTATTCTTCCAGATGCTCTTCCTCCTCCTACCCCCACCCCTACCCTCTGACAGGGTCCATGGTGTGGTGTTCCCCTGCATGTGTCCATGGTCCATGTGTTCTCATCATTCAGCTCCCATACTCATAAGTGAGAATACATGGTATTTGGTTTTTGGTTCCTGCATTAGCTTGCTGAGGATAATGGCTTCCAGCTCCAGGTGATGGAACGATCTGTGCAGCAAACCACCATGGCGCACGTTTACCTATGTAACAACCTGCACGTCCTGCACAGGTACCCTGGAACTTAAAAGTTGGAAATTAAAAGAAAAAGAAAAAAAACAAAGGTAAGCTGTCTAGTCTTCACTCAAATTCTGGGAAGCTCTTGGCCACAGTCTCCTAGTGGTGGTTATCCAGAAGAAAATGGGCTGAGTGGGTTCCTGCCTCTGAACAGCCTAGACCTAGGGTATAACTCACTTTGCACTGGTTTTACTTTTTTTTTTTTCTGCAAGGAAAATGCATGCATTTTTTTCCATGCTCTTCCTGCCCCAGGATCTCTCCCTCCCATAGGGGATGACAATAAAAAAATTACTTAATAATATTTTAAAAACATGGTAAAGTGGACTTTATTCAAGACCATTGTGATAGGTATAGGACCCACTGCAATGGGCAAATGGGAAGTTATAGCCAAGCGACAGGGTGGGGTTCAGTGGATAGAAAACTACTAAAAAGAAACATCAAGGATAAGAAGGATTTTGGCTAAATCTTCCTAACAACTTTTGCTGAAGACAGGCCAGGGTGAGCAGACATTCCCTGGAGGACAGAGGAGGATGAGAAACCTGGTCAGATATTGAGGGTGATGTGATATCACAGGTAGGGAGTTCTTGCTAAAATGAATTAGCAGGATTCTCTGCTAAAACTGAATTTTATAAAGAATTGCACAGATAGGCCTAGCAGGAGCTTCAAGAGCCTGACAAAAGTTTGACCAAGCAAAGAATCTTTATATAAGGACAAACACTTGTTTTCCTCTTTTGCTCTCTGAAGTGGAGGCCTTTGGCTTTGCCAGCTTTCTGGCCGGTTGACCCACCAAACACAGCAGTGCCTCCCCTTGCTCACGATTTTCCTGAGGCCACTCCCCACCCTCCCAGGCTCTCATCAGCTAAGTTGCTTTGTGCCAACTCTGCTGTGTCCTCTTGGCCTGGGATGGCATTTCTTTCTTGGAGGCCTGATTAGTTTTTGCAGTAGCATAAGCTTCTCTTTCAGAGACTGCATGGCTCTTGCCAAATTAAGTTACTGTCACAGTACAAATGAGAGGTCTCTGGAGTCAAATTTTATACTGTTTGGTACCAATATGGTAAATATTATGCCCAATATCTAACCTAGTGCTGCAGAATTGACCATTGTTTCATAATAAAAATTAACTTTTCTCCAGCACAGTGCCAGGCTGTGTGCTCAGCACTTAGCATGATTTTAAAAAAATTAACACTAAACCCCATGAGGCGGATACTATTATTGTACCCATTTTGCAGATAAGGCAGTGCTTGAGGTCTAGAGAGGTGAAGTAGCTGCAAAGACGATTAAGTCAGAAAGTGACTAAGTTAGGATTGAAAATCCATCTGCCCTACACAAATGTTGGGGCCATGAAAGTGTCTATTGATATTTCCTTTTTTAACTTTGAAGTTCAGGGGTATATGTGCAGGTTATTACATATGGAAACTTGTGTCCTAGGGGTTTGTTGTACAGGTTATTTTATCACCTGGGTATTAAGCCTAGTCCTCACTAGTTATTCTTCCTGATCCTCTTCCTCCTCCTTACCCTCTACCCTCTGATAGGCCCTCGATAGTGTTTATTTTCTAATTCTTGATCTATTAGTTAAGGAGAATGGATGTTTCTTGGTGCAAGAGTATTTTTTGCCTTTCTCAGGACAGGTGGGTTCTGGGCCTGGCTGGTCAGGGGCGAAACATGGGTGTGGGTGTCACAGACAGGCAGACGCTGAGGGCCCAGTACCTGGAGGAACTGTGAGGGGGCCTGGAGACAGCCTGAGGCACCCTGCAGTCTTCCTTCCTTAGGCTCCCCAGGGAGGGCCTGAGAGCACAGAAAGACAGTAGGACTCCGGGCCTCGTGTAGTCAGTTTACTCTTCAGCGGAGATCACTGATCCTGTGCTCCACACGGCACAGTCAGAGCTGCAGGGTGCTTTGCCAACTCAGCTTTCTTTTGAATCCCAAATTACTGGGAAAAAACTTATCTCAATTGTCTTTGTCAGGATGTCCACAGACCTCTAAATGGTATTTCCCATTAAGTACTGTAGTCTCCCCAGAGTACCCTCGAGAAGATGACTCTGCTTGGCCAACGCCAGAGGTGGGAGGGATTCTCTGAGGTCATTTCCATCTAAAGGGCACACCCGCTGGTGTGAACATGCTCACATAACAGTGCTTCTTTGCACAGCTCAGGTCTGCTCACAGGCAGGTCCCGCAGTTCCCTGGCTGGTCAGGGTAGGACTTGCGAGAATCCCAAGATGACAGGAAACAGCATGGGGCTACCTGGGACAGTGACCTCTCCCACACTTAGCAAACACACGGTTTCTTGCTCCTCCCCCAAGGTATTTCCATTCATGGATACGAGTCTTTTATTTCCCTCTTCTTCCCCTTCTGCATGTTTTCAGAGATTTCAGACATAGGGATAGCCTGAATGGTATTTACCAAACCCTGGGGCAGGCTTCCTTTAAGTAAGAACAATGCAGAGAGAACAATAAGGAGTTGGATTTTTTCCTTCTAGCATGGGAATGCCTGACTTTGGCTCTGGATGGCACACCTCCAACAGGGATAATAGCAGCTGAACACAGATGCCTCTGGCCACCACGTGTTAGTTATGGAAGCCACTGTGGTTATTGTGAAGCTGACCCACTGATCATCAGCCAGGTCAAACATACCAAAATCAGAGTGGATTCAAGGTTATCTCTACATCAGTGTGCTTTTGAAGTGTGCACAGTGTACTACCCTGGGTCTACCCGTGGGGGTTTCTTATGTGGGATATTGTCCTGTAGGTGTATATTGCAGTTAGGGAGGAGAACAGATTGAGAATAGCTGATAGACTCTGCTGACAACACAAGACAGAGTGAGCTACAAACAACCTGCCATGAGACCGCAGGGAGAGGAATGATTAAGTCTGACATGAACCTCATACACAAATGGGAAACAACAGAAATAAAACATAATTGGAATCGACAACTGATCTTGAACAATAAATAATGCATATCGATGAACAATCTTTGTGCTGTTCTTTGCAGTATCTCTTGGATATCTGTGTGACGTCACCATTCATTCAATGTTTTCTGTAAACTCACTTCTGTGGATGCCTAGTGAACTAATTTTCTTATTTCTTAGTGTTTAGCCAGATTTCTACTCTCTGAAGCTTAAGAGTTAAAGTATTTATCTTTTTATGGTCAGGCATGAGTGTATGTAGCAACAATAGCTCACTTCCTCCTGTTTATAAAACTGCGACAAGAAAGCAATGCCTGCACAGCCTGCTGGAGAGATTGATGAGGACGCTGGGAGCTGGCAGTGACACAGGGAGCGGAGAGTCCTTAATCTTCCAGCAGAGCCACAGGCTCCTTGGGTTTTCTGCATCCAGTGCACCGAATGTTCTAGCAGCAGCAGCCCTGTTAACCTCTCAGGAGAGGCATTTGAATAAACGCTTTTGAACTCATGTAGTATATTTTATCTGTAAGGACGGAAGTACATAGTTCACCCTGACATCCTGTGTATTTCAAATTACTATTGATGAGTGCTAAGCTGACATGTTTTGGAGGATAATTTTCCGGTAGCTAAAAATAACATTTTAGATGCTTTTTGTAATAGTATGTGAAATCGGTCCAGGTATTATCCTTCTTTTTGTATGATATGAAGGCAATGGCCCCAAAAGAAAATGCGTTTGAGGAGATGTCCTCATAGTTGCTATCCACACTATTCATCCTGCATTTTCCTATCAGAATGGCATGTTTGCATTTCTAAACCCACTTAATAACTGCTAGTGTATTTTATTTAGAGAAAGGAGCAGGATGGTTATTATTATCCTTTTATAGAGACAGAAATTGAGGACATGGAAGGGATCCATGTTGGAAGAGCCAACGTAGAACACATGTGTTGTATTTCCCCTTTCAGCCAGGATACAGAAGGTAGTATAATGAGTGATTGAGTCAAACACACCATCACTTTCTCTTGCACAAATAAGGCAGCTTCCACAAAGGCAAATCCTGCTGGAGAGCACTTTTAGGAAGACTTGTGGCCAGTGGAAATCTGTCCACGGCCCTCTAAAGGCTATTGTAAAAAGGGATGTAATCAAGAGACTGTATTCAAATAGCAGCAGGATTCAACATGATGGGAAGTTTGAATATTACTTGTTGAGTACTTAGAACAGAAAAAAAAAATCATACCTGGTGTCATGAAAGCAGACTCAGGATGATTTAGTCTTATTTTGGACAGAATGAGGTGCTGCATGTGGTTTTTTTTGTTTTTTATTTTGTTTTGTTTTTCCTTTCTGAACTCCCACTGCTAGAGAGAATACATTTAATATTCTTTTGAAATAACTTTGAGATTACACCATCCTTAAAAGGAATTTTGCGTGTTTAAAAAGTAATTTAAAACTCATTATAGAAAACCTGAAAAGCACGATGAGTTGATAGGTGCAGCAAACCACCATGTCATGCGTATACCTATGTAAAAAACCTACACGTTTTGCATATGTATCCCAGAACTTAAAGTATAATAAAAAAAAATTTTTAAAAACCCATCAGATTCACTCCTGTTTGCCCTTAGCATTTCATGTCTGGACAATAAAGGCACTTAATAAATATTTAACGATTTAATGGAATGAACCCACAAAACTACCCAGAAATAATCTGTTCATATTTGGCATACAGTGTAAAATGAAAATAGTTTTGTGTGTTTTTATATAAACATATATAATATATATAGTATATATATACTATATATCCATATAGCATTTTCTCTATATATGTATATTATATAAATCTATATTATATACAGATATAGTATTTTATATATACATACACACATATGTATCATATGGGCACTCACAAAAGATAACTAGATTTACTCCACAACAAACGCTGACTGTGAAGTACTTTCTACTCTTCTTATCAAACTGAATTCTCCATTGTTTTCTGACATCAATGGGGGAACAATTAAAATGTAGTATTGTTGACAAAGTAAGCACTTCTTTCTCCCATTCTCATTCACATCCAATATTTAATACCACTTTTGATATATCCTGAGAATATTACCAGTGTCTACCCCTTTACCACATAACAGGAAACATTCTTTAAAGGGTTTATTGCAAAGAATTGCTTTATGTGATTGTGGGGACTGAACTGGCAAGTTGCAAATCTGTAGGGCAGACCATTAGGAAGAACTGAAACTGCTCTCCATGGTGATATTTTTTTCTTCTTCAGGAAGCCTCATCTCTGGTCTTCAGACTCTTCAACTGATTAGATAAGGCCACCCAGATTATCTAGAAAACTCAGTGTTACTCAAATTCAACAGATTATGAACTTTAACCACATCTACAAAACACCTTCACAGTAACACCTAGATTTGTGTTTGAGTAACTGGAGACAGTAGCCAAACTGACATGTCAAAAAGAACATCACAATCATCAATACCTTAATCCAAGCCAGCACCACCTGTCATATAGATGGTGACATCTTTCTGCTTCCACACTTAGACAGCTACCATCTATTCTCCCTTCAGTGGACCACAATGTGCTAATAATATGACCGTGTTTTCCTCTCAATTTCCTACTTAACTAACTCAGTTTCAGCCACATCACACAATTTTGGTGTTTCTTGCACATGTCAAGCATACTCTTGATCAGGGTTTTTGCACCCTTTGTTCCCTCTGAAGCAATCTTCCTCCAGATAATCACATGGCTGACTCTCTTGCTTAACTCAGGTCTTAGCTCAAAGTCACTACCTCAAAGTCATAGAAAAGTATTAACATGATGATTAGGAACTTGGACTCAAGCCACATGGTCTAAATTTTAAATAATGGCACCACTTTCTAGTCATGTAGCCTTGGATAAATGACTAAACTTGCACACCTATCACATACTATTTTTGTGAGGATTAAATGTTTTAATATATAGAATAATAACTATGTAAGCACAAGCTTTATTCCCTGGCCGTCTCATCTAAAGTTGCACTCCATTGCTGTAATCCCCATGCCATCCATGCTTTGTGTTTCTTCCTTGTCCTTCTATATTGTATTGTAATCTATGATTTATATAAATTATCATTTGTTTTCTCTACTAGTCTTCCATGAGGACAGGATCTTTGTCTCATTTATTGTTCTCTCCTCACTGCACAGAGCAGTTCCTGGTACATTGTACACATCTGGTAGATGTTTGTTGAATGCATTAACGAATAAATGACCGCCAAATATAATTTATATAGTAAATTATATTTAAGTATAGCAAATTGCATTACATCTTTTTTTTCTGTTTATACAGGTTGTAGTAGTTCCATTTTATCCAGCATTTCTAATGTAACCTTTAAAATCTAGCATTCTGTTTACGAATCTCAAACTCAACACTTAAAGCTCCTATCTTCTGGCCATTAGAAACCCTCCAGTTCGTATAGGCATTGTGCTGATTCTGATTTATCCATCTACACAGTCACCCACCAAGCCAATGTGCTCCAGCCCAGATCTCTGGTATGGACCCCTCTCTCCTCCCTTTCCAAAACGTGGTTCAGAATTCTTCCAAACAGTAGCCTTCCTCTATGTCTTTTTTGGTCCGCACTATGTTATTTTATATATCATTGCTTCCTTAATTTAAAATTTAGTATTTTGGACCTCTCAAAGACTTCTGTGTTATTTGTTTTTTCCCCTCTTTCCTTTATTTTGTATTCTAACTAGAGGAAGCATGTTGAGAACAATGCATATGTTTCTTGAACTTGGAATGCTGCCCTTTAGTTTGTAGATTCTCACTCAATCCTTCTCCAAGGACTTGGCTCCAGTCCCAGACCTTTCATGTTGTGGCTGTGTGACTTTAAGCAAATCACACACATAAACAATATCTGTTGTACAGTTACCTCACAGGGTTTTTATTCTTCTAGTAATTTATCATCCAAACTTTTTAGATAAAACTCTTTGAAGTAAAAATTTAAAATAGTTAAACATCTCAAATTAGGCCAATATAATGACCTATAGTTTATCAGTCAATAATACTATTAGGTCATTATATTGGATCTATAATATAGTTTATGTTGAAACTATTTTCTTAAAACAGTATCTATAAAACTAAGAATAACACATTGTTTAATTCATGCACATTAAACAAAAATCCTGTTTGTTGGTTATTTGAAAATTTAGAAAAAGGCTAAGTAGGATGTTTCTTGGTTTGTATTCATGTATTTCTGTCAGTGCCTTACCTATCTCCTTAATGATGTGTATCGTTATTTCCTAAATTCTCGTTTCTAAAAATTATTTTCACTTTTTAAAAAGAAAAGTGCCTGCATTTTGCTTCAAAATTGTATTTAATTGCTCAAATGCCTCTTTTACATAAACCACAATATTTTGAAATCTTAGGAAAACATTTCAAAATATTTACATGCCTGATCACCAGGTAAAATCAGAGCTAATCATGCTAAATGGGAAATATCCTCAAGTTTATTTGTTTCACAATTGAAGCATATAAATATTTCAGCCCAAATATTTTCATAGGCACTGGCTTTTTGCCCTTATATAAAGTACTGTTGTTTGTTGGTCAAATATGTTTACAGACAAAACTTGTCAACAAGTTGTTTCTACTTGTGATTATTTTGAATATTTTGTCAAACTCACATAGTTCACCAAATTATAGGCTTTCTCAATATAGTTCCAGCACAGAATATAAAATTTATCCAGTTATAAATAGGAACTTGCAATATTCTCAAACACGATTATAGAAGTACAGAACTAAATCTCATACACCATTTTAGCTCTCATCTGTCAATAATTTTGGGTCTTTTATTTTGTGAAGGTGATTATTCTCTTTGTAAAATTTGCATCGATAATTGCAAGTTCTTGAAAATTTCCAAAACTGCTAAAGCTTCAGCTTGTTAGGTTGCCATGGATAAATGATATGTACCACATGGCCAAATTTAAGTACATTTCTCATCTTAACATTGCTTAATTTATTAAGAATGTGGCTTTTACCAAAATGCTATGCTCCACTAAAATTTCTGACTGCATTATTGCTACAAAATCAAAATGTTTTCTTAAAAATGAATTTTAATGAATTTATAACTATTTGCAACAATGACAGATAGCTTCTACCTGAATAAACTTCTCCAAGCTTAAATTTCATTTCAATAACTGGATGGAAAAATAGAATATTTACTGAAATATAGTAACAAGTAATTTTGCATTGAAAATATGTGATAGCCCTGATATAAAATGGCATCATTTCAATTTAAGGGGTTGTTGCTACCATTGCTACTGTACTACTTCTATTATTATTATTTGGCAAATAGAGCTAACATTAACAGCAAACGCTTCACTTTTTATGTGTATGCAAAAAATTTGGAATCAAAACTAAGCAAAATTAATTTAGTAAAACGGTTACTTGATCTAAATGAAACATTCAGCACTTTCTGCAACTGAATGAGGGTTGTGACTTTGGGCCACTGTCTTCTCTAAATAACAACTGACTTTGTAATAGATACTTCTTAGCAAGTTTGCATCTCTTGGTTTTCCTGTGGTTGATGAAATCTAGACACTGTACACATGCATCATCAAACTTCTTGGTTTTAAAAATTAAATGTGTATTTTTAAGCTCACTGGTGTCAAAGATTTATTTCATAACAAAAAAAAACCATTAAAATACCCAAGTAACAAAAGACATTTGCACACGCAATAAATGATAAAACCTCGGAAGCAAGAGGATTCAAGCTTTTGCTTTTATGTCTTGTCACACCTATTTCACATACCTAACTTGTAATTTCCTAACCTGTCATTCTCATGTTCCCCTCTGTTCCCCTGCCTGGCAGCCCAGCTGCTTTGAGCTCCTCCCAACACAGACAGCAATCAGGTACACCAAGTGACCCGCGGGGGCAGAGCGTTGTGCCCTCCTCCCACCACTGTCCAAGAGTCCATGGGGTTGCTGTCCCTACCTGCTCCTGTCACAGAGCCTTAATTTTATCTTTGAGTGCCCTGCATGCAGTCCTTGAAAGGGAGGTGTTAATTAACTGGTGTCTGTAAAGTGCTTGGAAAAGAGAGAGAGGTCCCAGCCAGTTAGTTGTCTTGTGGGTTTAACCACGTTTCAATAAGCACTCTGTTTCCCTGCACCTGTGACTCAGACACTTCCTTTGTAGGTTCTGGAAGAAGCTCAAAAGACAATACTGATCTACCAAATCCAGCTTAGCTTATGTTAGTGCAAGTATTAAGGTAATACTTGATTAAAATATGGAAAATCCAGGCCAGATGTTGGCCAAACCAGATAAGATCAACGAGTATGCTGGAAGAGCAAGGATAAACCAAGACACATGGCTACTCTATTTATGAGGATAAAACTACACATGAGAAAACTTTATTTGGGGAGAAAAAGGAATGCTTATATATGGTTGGTGGGAGTGTAAATTAGTTCAACCATTGTGGAAAGCAGTGTGGTGATTCCTCAGAGACCTAAAAACAGAACTGCCATTCAACCCAGCAATCAGGTTACTATGTATATACCCAAAGGAATACAGATTGTTCTATCATAAAGACACATGCATACATATGTTCACTGCAGCACTATTCACAAAAGCAAAAATATGGAATCAACCTAAATGCCTGTAAATGGTAGACTGGATAAAGAAAATGTGGTACATATAAGCCATGGAATACTATGCAGCCATAAAAAAGAACAAGATCATGTCCTTTGCAGGAACATGAATGGAGCTGGAGGCTACTATCCTTAGCAATTATGCAGGAACAGAAAACCAAATACTACATGTTCTCACTTATAAGTGGGAGCTAAATGATGAGAACACATGGACACTAAGAAAGGAACAACAGACACTGGGGCCTACTGGAGGGTGGAAGGTGGGATGAGGGAGCTGATCAGGAAAAATAACTAATGAGTACTAGGTTTAATACTTGGGAGACAAAATAATCTTTACACTGAACCCCCATTACATGAGTTTACCCATATAGCAAACTTGCACATGTACCCCTGAACTTAAAAGTTAAAAAAAGAAAATTTTATGTTGAATTATAAATGAATTACCTATAAATGATTGTAGCTATTATTTTGGCTTAAGTGAATTCTCAGATTTAAAGAATCGTTTATTTCTCAAATTCACATATCGTTATTTTCATTAAAGGGCTAAGTAATTTTAGTACTTCACATCTTTTATTTATTCATTTATTCTACATAAGCATCAAGTATTTTCTTTACAAAAACATTAGGTTGCCTACAGAGGTAAGTAGAGCAAAAGAATATCTGTCCTCAAGGTTATTTTTAATAATTTCAATGTTTATTTTAGATTCAGGAGGTACATGTGCAGGTTTTTTACCTGGGTATACTGTGTGATGCTGAGGTTTGGAGTACAACTGATCCGGTCACCCAGGTACTGAGCTTTGTACCCAATAGGTAGTTTTCAACCCCTGTCCTCCTTCTTCTCTCCCCTGCATTGGTCCCCAGTGTTTATTGTTACCATCTTTATGCCCGTGAGTAACCAATATTTAGCTCCCACTTATAAATGAGAACTTGCAGTATCTGGTTTTCTGATCCTGCGTTAATTTGCTTAAGATAATGGCCTCCAAAGGCATTCACGTTGCTGCAGAGGGCATGATTTTCTTCTTTTTTATAGCTGCATAGTATTCCATGGTGTATAGGTACCACATTTCCTCTATCCAATCCACAGTTGATGGGCACCTAGGTTGATTCCATGTCTTCGCTATTATGAATCGTGCTGTGATGAACATATGAGTGCATGTGTTCTTTTGGTAGAACAATTTATTTTCTTTTGGATATATACCCAGTAATGGGATTGCTGGGTCAAATGTTAGGTCTGTTTTAACTTTATTGAGAGATGTTCAAACCGCTTTCCATAGTGGTTGAACTAATTTGTATTCCTACACACAGTGAATAAGTGTTCCCTTTTCTCTACAGCTGTGCCAGCATCTGTTGTTTTTTGACTTTTTAATAATAGCTATTCTGACTAGTGTGAGATGGTATCTCATTGTGGTTTTGATTTGCATTTCTCTAATGGTTAGTGATGTGGAGCATTTTTTCATATGTGTGTTGGCTGCTCATAAGTCTTTTTTTGAGAAGTGTCCATTTATGTCTTTTGTTCAGTTTTTAAAGGAGTTCTTTATTTATTGCTTGTTCAATTGTTAAAGTTCCTTATAGATTCTGGAAATAAGAACTTTGTTGTATATGTAGTTTGTGAATATTTTCTCCCGTTCTGTATGTTGTCTGTTTACTCTGTTTATAGTTTCTTTTGCTGTGCAGAAGCTCTTTAGTTTAATTAAGTCCCACTTGTCAATTTTTGGTTTTGTTGCCATTGCTTTTGATGACTTAGTCATAAATTCTTTCCAAAGGCTGATGTTCAGAATGGTGTTTCCTAGGTTTTCTTCTTTAATCTATCTTGAGTTAATGTTTGTATATGGTGAAAAGTGTACAGGTCTTTTTATGTCAGTTATGCCTCAGTAAAGCTATCAAAAACTGTAATAAAAGTTTGCACGTGGTTAAGTTTATCCTTGTGGTGTAAAAAATGCATCAAATATGCATCAAAGTACCACATAGAACAGTTCTATCACCCTAAAAATTCCCTTGTGTGGCCACTTTTTAGACAGCTCCTGCTCCCTTGAGAGGCAACCAGCCCTTGGGAACCACAGATCTTGGTATGTTTACCTTTCCCATAATGTCACATGAAGTGTGACATACAGTGTACAGCCTTTTGAATTTGGTGTCTTTCATTTAGAAAAGTGCATTTAAGAACCATCCATGTTGTTGCCTAAATCAAGCATCCCCTCCTCTTCTATTTCTGGGTGGTATCCATCATATGGCTGTACCAAAGCCTGCATCTTTAACTACGATGTTATGAAAACATCATACAGTCTGCTAAAACGATAGGATTCATTTGAAAACACTGTCTGTGGTGACAAAGGAACCGGACTTTGTCTTTTTATGAAAGTAAACTTTAATAAATAGCTTTTTGTAAGTAATAAAAGATACACACCCACACACACTTGTGTGTGTCTGTATGTGTGAGTGTATAATTGAATTCTATGTCAATTTGGTTTCTATATCAAATTGACTTCTGTAAAATATACATGAGTCATACTGACATCTCCAGTTGGTCTTAAAGAGCATTTCTATAACCTGGAAAATAAGAAAGTGATTTATAATTTCTATCTGCATGAAGCTTTCTACAACTAGCCTCATTCATTTCCTGAGGGTCAGTAGTGATTCACAACTTTTCTCTTTGTAGACACTCATTCAAAATTCCAAATATTTCCTTAATGGCTATAAAATAGAGAAATAACATTTTGTAATCTGTGGGTGATGCCTCCAAAGAATATCACTTAAATTGAAAATTAATTATGAAGTCCTCTAAGACAAAAAACAATTACAATTTAAAAAACAAAAATTAATCAAGCTCTTAAATGACCATATTCTTGTGCAACTTTGTAATTGTAGTTCAAACCCTTTCATTGTAATAATACAAAAATGTATTGTAAAAAGTGGAATGTTTTCAACAAAAATGAAAAAAAATGGAGAAAATTTTGATTTATTGGAAATGCATAATTTATGTAGAATTTAGACGAAATTAGTCTTTTTCCACAAAGCCATATCTTTGTCTTCCTATAAGTGAGTAAAAAAAATGCATGTATTCCACTCAAATATATTGCTAAATCAAACGTCATTTAAATATGTTTCTTTAGGAGATACTGTGCGTACTTTAAAAATTTATGAATGTAAGCATGGAAAAGAAAAAGTAATAAAGGAACATCTACAATGGAATGTTGCCTTCTTACAGACTTGAACATTGTGCTTTTCATTGTGATGATTTCAAAACATTTGCATGACATTTGGGTTGAAAAAGTATTTAGAAAAATAACCTTATAAAACAGAATGTAAATATGAATTTTGAAGCAATATTCGTGATTGAGGGCAGTGTAATTTTTGGAAAAAAAGATTTTCTTCTCTAAGAAGGTTATTATTATAATCATACTACAGATGCTAGAAAATATGGCACAAAACACTTAGGTGAAGTCATTTTCGTGATGCATTAAGTTAATAGCAAGATTTGCATTAGTTTTCTTCTCTTCCTAGATAAGTTAAACCTTTTCTGGAATTCACTTTCTTTTTGTGGGTAAGGAGTCTAGACTTTCTCCCAACACACATAAACATACACAACACACATACAAAAAATTACTTGTATGGAAGTTAGTGCTTCACGGAGCAAATGAGTTACACGTTATACTACAGTTACTAAAACCCACTACTCTCTGATGAATTATGGAAAGATTTATCTCTTTTTATAAATAGATGCAAAGATATTTTAGCAATTACTAAAGACTGAATGTACATTGAACTGTCATCTTCCCTTGTTTTATTATTATTTTTATTTATTTTATTTTACTGTACAAGGGAGAGAGTCTTGCTCTATCACTCAGGCTGGAGTGCAGTGGTAAGAGTATAGCTCACTGCAGCCTTGAACGCCCAGGCTCAAGCAATCCTTGCATGTCAGCTGGGACTACACATGTCAGCTGGGACTACAGGCATGCGCCACCACCCCCGGTTAATTTTATATTTTTTGTAGAAACAAGGTTTCAATATGGTGTCCAGGCTGGTCTTGAACTTCTGGGCTCAAGTGATCCTCCTGCCACAGCCTCCCAAAGGGCTGGGATTATCTGTGTGAGCCACTGAGCCCAGCCCATTTGCTTTATTGGAGAATGCAGTGCTCTTGGTAAACCTCTCTCTTCAAGAGGCGTAAAAAACCAGCAAAACTAAAACCAACCCAAACTTCCGCAATTTTATTTTTTTTTAATTTTAATTTTAATTTTTTGAGACAGAGTCTCACTCTGTCACCCAGGCTGGAGTGCAGTGGCACGATCTCGGCTCACCGCAAGCTCTGCCTCCTGGATTCGTGCCATTCTCCTGCCTCAGCCTCCCGAGTAGCTAGGACTACAGGCACCTGCCACCACACCTGGCTAATTTTTTGTATTTTTTAGTAGAGACGGGGTTTCACCATGTTAGCCAGGATGGTCTCAATTTCCTGACCTCGTGATCTGCTTGCCTCGGCCTCCCAAAGTGCTGAGATTACAGGCATGAGCCACCGTGCCCAGCCATGATTTTTAAAACTAAAGGAGAAAGTTCCATGGACAGTACATGGAGGAACATGGAGAATAACAAGTACAGGCTAAAACATGGTTCATTGAAGCAATAAAAGGGAAAAAGACAAAAAATGCCAAGTGGTTTACCCAGTTTGTCAGATAATTTCTGTTGTTCTCTAAATAAACATTCTAGCCACTCTGATTTCTTCCTTGAATCCTCCCAACATTCCCCCTGTAAGTTACCTTGGTGTCTTGTTTGGGATCTGAACTCACACCTAACTCACTGGCTAGGCCTGTCCTGCACATCAGTAAAAGAGATGGTCTCCTGTGAACTCTTGAGGTGCTCTCTATCCCATACTATTTTATTTCTTAAAAAACACAAAACAAAACAAAAAAAAACTTATCTTCCAGAACTTTTATATTCTGATCCTTTAAAAAATTTTTTTTCCCATAAGTTATTGGGGTACAGGTGGTACTGGTTACATGACCAAGTTCTTTAGTGGAGATTTGTGAGAACCTGGTGCACCCATCACCCGAGCAGTATACACTACACCATATTTGTTGTCTTTTATCCCCTACCCTCCTCCCACTCTTCCCCCCAAGTCCCGTAAGTCCATTGTATCATTCTTATGCCTTTGTGTCCTTTCAACAATTATTCCTATCAATGTTCAAAAATCATAAGGAAAGAGAAATGGGATGAGAGGTAGAATTGAAGCCTGAATTAAAGCTTTTCTTAGGAAGTTGTTGCTGTTGTTCTTAAACGTATTTTACTTTTAAAGACTTTCCTTAACATTTGCTATGTGAGAATAGTATGTGTTCATTGTACTAAAATTAGAAAATTCTGAACCTCATTAAAAAGAATAAAAGCCAAAAAAGTGATATTTATGTAGGCTTGAGAAACAATCCAGGGTAATTTGTGATAATTAAAGATAAAAATAACTTAAACCCTAGAGATATTATCTTTTTTTTCCATTCATGTCTCTTCTGTTGATTCTCAACTCACCTTATTGCCTCAGAAAAGAAACAGGAAATGCCCATATTTCAGATGTTTTATATTTGGGGGTCAATGTAGGTTCTATATATTTATGTTTCAGTATGTAGATAAGGTTTATAATTAAAACATAGAAATATCAAATTCAAAATAAAATTAATGGTACTCAACTGAAGTATTATTGGATGGCCTGAAAACCTCCCACTTGAGTATCAAGCTGTATGTTCTGAATGAAAAATTTAGAAACTTAAGTCATTTATGGTGGTATGATGTAAATTACAAGAGAAGAAATTATAGTCTACTGCCTTTGCTGGGTGTTGGACTTTAGTAGCATGCATAATTCATAGAAAAGTATTGTGTAAAGGAATATGGAGTAACCTTCAAAAATAAATCAAGAAAAACCAGTTACTAATCTACAGAGTAGTTTACCTGGAGGAAGGTAATGTGAAGGAAAACAGTCCATCATTTTGCAGAGCTTAATGCCATCCCTGATGAAAGTTACCCAGGGCTACATATTACATATAGAATAGAAAATATTTATGCCCAAGTATCTGCCTCTTGGAAAGAAATCAGCCAAACATTGATAAATGAATTGGGCAAAGCAGGTATTACATTAAGCAGATAAATTTCACTTTGATTTTGAAGTTCAGCCAGAGGGGAAAAGCACTGGAAGAAGGAAGTCATAGCTGGGAGCTACCAAGCCTGTTGATGAGGGGCAAGAACCTCATCAGGCATTAGGATGAAATTACCCCACTGTCCATTCTATCCATGAGCAACTATGGGCAGTCTAGTTTTCTTGATAAATGGTAAATCTCCAGACAGTGATGGCGAAAAATGCTAAAAAAAATGTACCTGTCTAAGGAAGACTTTGGTTTGAAGAGATTTCCTATTTCATGTTAACTTCTGGTAACGTACATAGATTTTGAAAATGTTTGCCTCAATACCTGTAAAGGGTATCAGCCTAGACTTTACAGAAATTTCGCTTGATTTATACAAATATAAAATGGCAACTAATGTAAATTTTCAAATTTCCTTTTTTTTTCTTTTTCTGAGACAGGGTCTCTGTTGCCCGGGCTGGAGTGCAGTGGCATGATCTTGGCTCACTGCAACCTCCGCTGCCTGGGCTCAAGCCATTCTCCCACCTCAGCCCCCTGAGTAGCTGGGACTACAGGCATGTGCCACCATGTCTGGCTAATTTTTGTATTTTTTGTAGAGATGGAATTTTGCCATGTTGCCCAGGCTCATCTCAAACTCCTGGGCTCCAGCAATCTGCCTATCTTGGCCTCCCAAAGTGTTGGGATTATAGGCATGAGCCTCCATGCCAGGCCAAGTTCTCAAATTTCCAATTCTCTTATTTACAGATGAGTTTCTATGAAAGTGAAATAAGGCAGGTTCCAGGAAGATATGAATAATCTGAGGACCAAACCTGAAGTTTATACTGTGTTTCCAAAAAAACATTTTCTATTACCATGCACAACACGTGGCTTTGATGTGCTTGAGAACACTTATGGCCTGCTTTTGGTTACTTGTGACAGCTGGACAAAAAAATGGAAGGAAGGGATAAAGGAAATTCATGTCATAGCATCCCGCTATGTCCATCAGAACTGTCTTTGCAGATAAGGGAGAAAGTTCTTAGGAGAGCACATGTACTAATGCCCTATAACATGCTGGATTGCTTTTTGCCTATTCAGGATGCCGTTATCAGAGGAGCGATTAGGGGTGGAGCAGCATCTGTATTCCCTGATCTGTTTCTTCCCTACCCAGGCTTCCATGGACAAACATTGTAACAACTTTAGTTTGCCCAAAGCAGACCTTAAATCCAAGTAGTTTATTTGGAAGGTAATTCCAGGGAGCATTGACGGGGATAAGGGGAAGAGAGGCAGGGACATGCAGGAAGCCAATAAAGGCAGTGTTTATGAAGTGGCTTGCCACTAGGGTATAGAAGCTGAGCCTGTGCAGAAACACTGAGATTCAGTGACAGATCTCAGAATTATCCAACCCAGGGACAATGGGGATGAGACATTTATCCTGAAATTCCTTTTCATCCTTCTTTCACAGAACTTTCAATTGGTCTTCCACGTAGGGGCTGCAGAGTCAATAGGACAATTTTGCCATGTGCTGTGGTCTTTATATTATATTCTTACCTGGGACATCCACTACCATCTAAAAGAAAGTTAAATTTAGAGTTTATTTTCTTATTCTAAAATCCAAATTTATACCACTAGCATTTTGAGTTACCAACTTGTGTTCTTAGATTTAAAAAAAGAGGTCATGTGCTAGGGGCAGACAGCATTTGCCACATATATATGTGTGTGTGTGTATGTGTGTATGTGTGTGTGTCTGTGTGTATTTCTATGTTAACTTGGAGGTTTCTTTGATAATTATTGATACTTCCTTGAGGGTTGACTTAAACAACAGAGATAAAGGGAAGCACAAATGAGGCAATCCTGTCCAGTAATAATTTGAAATAGTTTACTCCCAAAGGTAAGAACTGGGGACAAAGATTGGATTTTAAGAGTAGTTTCATGCATTGATCTTAAAGGTTGGATTTATCTCCAACTTATCTACACTTTCATGAATGTTTAGCAATTTGAATTCCATAGAGAAAAGTAGAAGGCCATAAAAGCATTCATGGATTTTAAGAGGAGGCTCGTGGAAACTAGAGGTGGTGATTTGCAAAGCGATTTGTTCATTTTAATTGCATTGATTGTACTCTTGTCAATGGACTAGACTTCCTGAAAATAAACCTCTTCCAAAGAACTTAAAGAGTGTAGATGAAGATGGTCTCCCGCACTTTATGAATCAGGCTTTCTCTGGATACCCATCAATTAGAGGTGAAGGCAATAAAAGGAAAAATTTGCCCCATCTGGTTCTACATAAAACTCCCCAAGAGCTTTGACAAAAAGTCTTCTCTACAAAGAGCAGCCTGATCTCTGGGGAGGCATTTGTTTTTCAGGCTTGTTGAAATGCTTTTTCTTTTCAGGGATGTTATTTCAATAGAGCCAGATGAGATGCACTTGCTATTTTTGTAAGTTTTTAAAGGCTTAAGCAGGGCAAATATGTCTCTTCAAGCTGCCTTCTGCAATAAACCTGATGCTAAAGCAGCTTTATGTCCCATAAAGAGCAACATTAGCCTCATGGAGCTACAGGCAATTTCTGATAATCTTGAGGATGATTCCACAGTATCAGAGTAGTGTAGGAAAGGCTGTTATTACTTTCCAATTTTTAAAAACTATGGGTATAAAATAAACTATATTTTGACCAAAATAGTCTTTCAAAAAAATTGACCAAGTTAAGCTTTGATATTCGATATTTTTAATAGGTTTAGGAATTCAAGCATTTGAAGATAATTGTTATATTCAAAATATGGCAATCTCTCTGTGTCTGGCCCTGACCAATTAATGTTATAATTGGATATTTTGCTCTCTTGATGTTATATCCTTACCTGGGAGACTCACTGCCAACTAAAAGAAAGTACTGAGTCTGCTTGGTTCAATTATTCAATAGGCATTCAAAAATTTTGCAAATTGTCAGCACATGTAAGAACTTTCTAAAATCCAAATTTATACCACCAGTATTTTATTTGAGTTACCAACTTGTGTTCTGAGATTAAAAAAAAATTCCTTCATCCTTGTGTATTGAGTAAAATCTTCAGAGTTGCTCATTTATTTTTTCATGAAAATCCTTATGGGATTCCTGTTTCCCAACCATATGTCCAGTTCACAGCAACAGTCCTATTTCTGGCTTTCTCACGACTGCAGATTTTTCCACCTTTAATCTGTCCTACTTGCAGGAGCAAGATTTATCAACAAGATAAGTTTTGATCATGCAAAGCACTTTTTCTTTGTAATTTTGAAATGGCTTCCAATTATCTCTTGAAATTCAGGAATGTAGTTGTTCGTATATTGTTCACCATTTCTCCCATTATCCAGTTCCCTAGGTTTTCTCCCATCCTTTGTGTTGTTCTCTATTTATGTAACAAATCATGCCATGTTCACTTGCTAGCCTCTGTCCCTGGGCGTGTTGGAGATAGTATCTGCATATGGACATCCCTGTATTTGCCACCTCTGTCACATACAAATAGGCACGCGCGCGCACACGCGCGCGCACACACACACACACACACACACACTCTCTCTCTCTCTCTCTCTCTCTCTCTCTCCTTCCATTTTCTTCTTCTGATGACTGCTTCAGATTGGACCCTCCCAACCCTGACACCCAGAGTCCCTGGATTACAATGTCAGGTCTGTCACTAATTTATTGTGCCCTAACTTCTGTGTTTCTCACTCTTGTTGCCAATAGAATGAAGGACTTGAAAGAGATACACTTTAAGGTGGATTCCATATTGAGCCTTTTATGATTTTCATTAACCACATCTGCCTAGAATCATGCTAGTCACTCACACCATTTCTGCGATTGTTTAGTGCCCAGCTGTTTACATGCGGTTAATGTATGTCTTTGTCACTTATTCCTATGATTACATTGCAAGTTCTTGGAGTCTGCCTGGTTCAGTTATTCAATGGGCATTCAAAAATTTTGCAAATTGTCAGCACATGTAAGAACTTTCTAATTCGGTTGTGTTTCTAACAGGTTTCTATCCTGAGAAATACAGGTATGAATGATAATTATTTCCAATAATGACTGGCTGGAAAAGCATGAGCTTGCATTTAAAAAATGTGCTATTTTCTTATCTCTTAAACAACAAATGCTAAATTACAACAACATTCTCTGTGAATGGGAGTTCTTTGTGCTATAACTTAAGTGTGTGCCCCCAATGAGCTGAATGATAATACATTGAGAGCTAATTTCTCCTCCTCCACTTCTCTGCCATATTTTATTTTAAAAAATCCCACATCATACGGCAGTGCCCAATGTGATCATTAAATAAAACTATAATTAAGGTGACATCGGCACTTTCAGTAATTAGAGTCTTGCTGTAACTGTAAGAGTGAAAATAACATTCCCTGGCGCTGAGATGGGGCAGCTGTGGCTCATGCTGATAATGTACCTTGGCAATTTAACATGACTAATTGTATGAGCTCTTCTTCACAGGGAATTGTATTCATCTCCAAAAGTTCTTCTATCCCCGCAGTTTGTCCAAGTGCTGCTGTTTCTCCCTTGCTTCCTAAAAGCCCTCACCTCCAGTTTCATAGTTCTCAGCTGAGTTTTATGGAACTCATTCTTATGACTGCCTTGATAGCTGCCAACTGGGAAACGACTTAGCAGCAGGCAGGCAGTGGCACACAGGGTGATCGTTTGGTGGGACCTGTGAGAGCCTCTTGTCAACTTTTGGTTCTCAGGGAAGTATTCTGAGTGATGGAATTTTTAAGTGTGTTGTACAAAGTAGACAAGTTATTAGGTTTTTCATGGTTCCCAAATCTGGCCATCTATCAAAATCACCAGAAAAGGGATTTTTTCCTCATTATTTTGAACCTAAGAACTATTCTCTTCATTTCTATTGCCATCCACCTCATTTTCACGCCCATAGTTTTTAGGTCTTCCAGACGTAGCTGTAACCTCAGCAGCCTTGTGAAAGACCCATCTTGGTGGATGGGATTTTCATTATCCCAGGAGGCCAAGTAGAAATGGGGGGTCTTCTTGATCTCCTTGCCTTGATTCCTTCCTCATCCTCTCAAGTCTTCATCATTGATATCTTGAATAATCTTCTCTTCTATTTTTACTGCTACCACCATGGATGACACAGTCTAAACTCTTTTCTGTCTTTGGTTTCTTGCTCTTTCCAGCTGATTCTCTAGGCTGATATGAAGTCAGTCATTCTAACATGCCCATCTGAAATCACGTTTCTCTCCTGATCCACACTGCACTTGGCTCCACTTTGCTTTGAGGATAGAGTCTGATTGCATTCCAGGACATAGAAGGCTGTCCATGATCAGGCCCTCACCTGCCTGTCCAGTCTGACCTCTCACTATTCCACATCCTTATCCCTAAGTTTTCAGTAATATTAGACTATTTGTGGCTCAACATCAGCACTTGAACAACCCTGTGATGCTGTGAAGTGCGCAGCCTAAGCACCTCACTTTCCTGGCCTGAGTCCTGGCCCTGCGCGATGGCAGCCAAACCTCTGTTCAAAAGGATTGATGCTGCTCCAGCACTCTGCAAAGCTCTGATAGAGGGCATCGATTAGACTTCATGAAGGCACAGAGAGGCAAAAGGTCTCAAAAGAGGGGTCTGAAGAAATAAATATACAATTACTATTATTATTTTTTAAAAGAAAATAAATTAAGTGGTTAGTTGCAGAAAAGTATGTCACAATTTCCACAGAAGCTAGCTGGGAGTTCAGGGAAAAGGGAGAACAACAGTCCTACAACACACTCTTATAAAACAGTGGATTAGAGTAAAGCTGAGAAAATGGCTTTTAGGTAAGGGAAGCAGCATGAACTAAGGCAGAGAGAAAGATGAGTATAACTTATGGTAGGAACAGAGAAGCTATGCAGATAGATACAAACATAGATAGATAGGTATATAGATGATAGATGGATAATTTGCATCACTCAAGACCGACTAAATTACGCTGCAGAGCAGGAAATATACCTAAATCTTGGAGGCATAATATTATCAAGATTCATTTGAAGCCAGATCCTATCCCCCAAGAACATTTCTTCTAAGTCAAGAAGAGAAGAGAAAACTCAGCACAAAAAGGGCAGCATGGGTGGGGTGTATACCCAGGACTTCTGGCCAAGTCAGTGTGCTTGGCAGAGGGTGCTATTGGAGAAGCAGCAGTGTGGTCCGGGACACCTGCAGCATCTTTGGAAAGAAGATACTGCACCATTTGAGTCTTATATGATAACTCAGATTTTAAAATTATAATGTGTTGTGCATTATGTTTCTGTTGGACAGTGCTGCTCTAGCATTTATCAGAATAAGTGGTAATGTTTAATTAAATGTCTCCCTCACCCACTAGACTTTAAGCTCCTTGAGGGCAGAAACTGTAGTCTCTTCATCTTTAAATAGAACTTGACATATAGTAAACACTCAATAAATACTGGAAAAAAGAAAAGATCCAAATTTAAAATTTTATAATCTAAAATGATAAGTTATGCATTTATCATTTAAAATTATAAATCACACATTTAAAGTTGCTGATAGCAACATTAATACAGTAAAAAAGAAATGAATTTAGTAATACTTGTACTTAATTTGTATATAAAAATTATCATTTAAATATGTAATCAATATAAAAATAAGAATGAGCTATTTCACAAAATTTATCATATACCAAACCTTCAAAATCAGGTGTCTATTTCATAATTATGGCACATCTTAATTTGAACACTAAATCTTCCTTAGAAATACATGAGCTGTATTAAGATTTCATAAAATTTGCCGTTGAAAAGTAGATTTGCAAACTCATGCTGTTCCAATTACATTTAAAATATTTCCAATAACTTAAATGAGCACTGATTTTTGAATTTAAATAAAAATAAAAAATGTGTTTTCTCAGACACACTAGCTCCACTGAATGGCTTAACACCCACATGTGGCTAGTAGATAACATTAGGGACAGCACAGTTCTAGAGAAGATTTATAAAGTGCTGTGGTGGAGAATGCAATGGAAGATTAACTCGGTTAATAGAAAAAGCTTCACTCTCAGACTCTTTTCACTCCCATTTATAATGGATTTTAAGTTCCTTGGGGCCAGGGACTGTGTCTTCTTTTCTGCAACATCTATAATGTCTGAAATCTATGACTTATCATTTTGACCATAACTATACACCCAGCTATCATTATATGCATATATAATATGTTTTAAATCAAAATTCAAGTAAGATCAACCCACTGAATTTGGCTATGTCTTTAAGGATGTATTAATCAATAGGTTTCCGTATTTATTATTTTTCTGTAATTTATTTGTTGAGGAGTCAAGATTGTTGGTCTTGTGGAATATTCCACATTCTGAGTATTGAGGATTGCAATATCATGGTTTTAGTTGGCATGTCCCGCTCTCCTTGGTGTGTTATATAAACTGTGGTTACATCTAAAGGCTTGATGAGATTTAGGGCCAATGTTTTGGCAAGAGCATCCTATAGGTGGCATCATGGCACCTTCTATTGTAACACATCAAGGGACAATTAATGTCTGGCTTCCTCTTTCATGATATTTAATGAGTAAATTCTAGTGATGTCAGCTTGATCCATCCATTATAAACTTCTCCATTTTTTATGTAACATATTAGTTATCACTGAACAGTCCCTAGAACCAATAGTTTTATCAAGTGGAAAAACAATAATTGTTCATTATAACTTCTGTCTTAACAACTGGAATCACATATATATTTATTTATCTAATCAGCGGTTCGATTACATTGAGGAAACCAAGTCAAGGCATAATAATTGTTATGTACTTCCCCTTGGCTTACTGCTTTTCAGAATAATAAGCTGATTCCTTAGCCTTCTCCAAAAGTAACAATTGGGTTTTTAAATTATAAATTTTTAGATTTAACATTTTGTGTATGTTTTCATGCATTGCAGGTTATTCTTTCTGATGCCAAAGTGTCCCATCTTTGTTAACACATGTGATTTCTCATGTAAAATGCTCCAGACTCACCTGAATCAGCTACTTATTCCAAATGTCTTGGTTCACTTTAGTGAGAAATGATATTTACATTAAAAAATCTGGGTGCTAGGGGCTCACTGTTCCTGGTCTGGGTAATTATTTCTAGGCTTTTTCAATGGATGTAGTTAGGAATATGTTTTTGTTTTTTCCAGAGGGGAAAAAATATGTTCATACTGATATTTTGAATTTAAATGTAGAATTATACATTTTAACTTCTTTGATTATGTATATATATTTACAATAAAGTATTAATATTATCCCTCGCTTCCTTTATTCAACTATGTGTATGTCTAGGTGTGCTTGTGTGTATATATCATAGTTTCAGATTAACCATATCAATATTATTACAACTCATATTACTCAAAACAATCTAAGATTTCTTAATTTTGCTTTTATCCTAAGGACTTATGCCACTAGTCAGATTGCTGTGTTTTAAATTCACTTGAAATAAATACTTTCTGGGTTGTCAAGCAATCACTTTGGTAGTTAGGTTTGTCTGTTTCACTTTGCTTTTGACTTGTAGGGATTAAGTTACTTGAAAGCAGTTTGATCCCTTCAGATTAGCTTTTATACTTTATTAACCAGGAACATAGCAGCATTTAATAAAAAGGTAATTTTATCCCACTACTAAGGTCAAACACAAAATTAATGTTCATGCAGTTCTGTTATGTCTTGCTAGATTTTCTTGTATACGTGTTATGCTATTTTTCATCCTATTAATATTTTCATTTCATTAACATTTTGATTCCTACCAGCAATGTTTCTTCAAATCTTGTCAACCAAGTGAGTGGTCAAACCCTCTCCCCCACCAACAGGTGATGGAAAGGTGATGATAGGTGATAAATAATATTACAAAGTATTTTTAATGTGCATTTATCTTATTTTTGAGTAAGACTGAGCATCTTTATTTTTAAGGGCCATTTGTATTAGTTTTCCAGTGAACTCTTCGTGCATGCCTCTTCTCCATTCTTATCTTACAATGTTCTCTATTTTTGGATGCTCTTCATATACTAGGTACATTGACCCTTTGGTCTAATATAAGTCACAAATATTTTCCCGGTTTTTCATTTGTCGTTTCATTTGCTCTGGCATTTTTACGTGATTTTTTAATGTCAGCACTTTTATTTTTCTTTCAGCAAATTGTTCCTAGATTTTGGGTCATATTTAAGAAAAGCTTTTTCTATTCCTAGCTTATAGAGGAATGCATCCATGCATTCTTCTACTATTTGTACGCTTTCATTTTATCTTTCTCTACACTACTAAGCAATGATCTCATACTATTTTTAGAAAAGAATTAATCTTTTTCTTTTAAATTTCTCTACTGCTTTGACATGAAGCCTTTATCATATACTAAGTTTCTATATTCATTAGCAACTCTGGCAATATCCTTTAGTTATTTTGCAATATCAAAATGAAACGAAAAACTTTTAAAAGGAAAATTAAAATAATCAATAAACATTAACCTAGTGATATTAGAGTTGATTACATTGATAAAGTCTGGTTTTTGTGCATGTCATATAATGAAAGAATTTCAGGAATATTAAAATGATAATCAGTTGAACAAACAATATTCAAATCCCATCTGTGAAACGATATTTATCACTACCATGATTATGAAGCAGTACAGCGCTATTGAATATGGCTTTGTTAAAAATCTCATTCCTTAAGTAGCATGATTATGCTAGAATACTATGAAAATATAATTCTTCAACCTGAAATAAACTTTTTAAAAGTTCTAGTATGTAAAACGTGCTCTTTTTGAAATGTAGCTTGCAACTAAAATCTTCCATTTTTTAACAAAAGCTCATTATTGGATCCACTTTGCTAATCTTCACTAGATAACTTTAAGCCACAAGACTTGTGTAAGATGTTGGATTTAGAAAGAACATTCTCAGATCTCTTGCTCCTTGGTTGCCAGCCTCCACAGGGTTATAATCTGCTTGCCTTATGATTGCAGCCTTAGTTTTTCTTCAGACTCTCCTAAGGCAATGTCACCACTAATGTTAAAAGTTCTGTATTTGCATATTAAAACTCCAAGTAAGATAACGTTTTCATACATCAACTTGAATTTTTTAAAAAAAGTACTCATTTATTATTGACTCTGAAGAAATAGCATTCTTAACCTGATGCTAGGAACAAAAGTGTCTAGAATTTTCCTGGGGGAAAACGTGCTTATTTAGGACATAACCTTAATTCACCAATGCCATTTGTCTACTCGGCCTTACAGCTTTGGTTCAGGAAACGTCTTCTCCAGGAAGGGGTTTTCTGACCACCATTCACTTAACAAAGTATCCTGTTATTCCTTTCAGAACATAGACCTTCCTTTATTGAAATGCCCTCTTTTTAGGCTTTTGGCCCCAGTTTGGCAATGCATTCCTTGATGACTAGGATGATGTTTTATTGAAATGTATATTTTTGTATCTCATACTCCTCTCACACTGCCAGGTATATAGGAGGTAGGGAGCACAAAATAAATTGTTTTTTCACTTGCATTTTTCCACACGCCAAAGAGGAATGTCTTTGATATGCAGTATTTTATTATTTTGTTATGTCCTTTGCCTCCTTCTACATTACAAATAATTACTGAATTTCTGTGTTACTGCTCACTTTGTTTTTCTGAAACCAGGGACTTTTAGGGCACTTTGTACCTGTGCCACAGGGCAGAATGCTAGTTGGTGCTGAAGATATAGTTGGTATATAATAAACTTGAGCGATACCCTAATCAGAATATGCTGCTGCTGAGATCTGTTATCCAGGTACAACAATTAACGTACTATGAATATTTCAGAATAGTCACAGACAACACAATTGCATGATGAGTAATTACGCAGTAAAGATAAATCTTTGATTGAAAGCCTCTCCCCACATTGAAGGGCATAGCAAGGGATGCCCAGCTTGAAAGGAAAAGTCCAAAAAAAAAAATAAACAAATTTAAATACATTCCTAACCTGAAATTAGAAGTTAAGAAGCAAATAATAATAATAAAAAATTACTGAAATTTATGAAAATACTCGTGTTGGCAGTAATGACTCCCTCTTCAAAATACACCAAGGCTGTAAAACGTTATTTGGTCAGTGTTAGACTCTAGAAATAATTGTCTGGGTTTATTCATGTTTAGTCTATGAGTCTTCTCCAGAAAGATTTTCGAAATACATGCTGACTTCCTTTTGTTTCCTGGTACATTTTTAGTGCTCATTGAGCCTTTTCTGAACAAAATGTTTCCAGTAAGGTTGGTTGCTTTGTTTTAGAGACAGGATTTAGAAAAAGCAACTGGAAATACCACAACTCAATGACGCAGAGCAAGATGGCAGAATAGAAGGCTCCACCCATCATCTCTGCTGCAAGGGTACCAAGGTAACAACTCTCTACAGAGAAAAATACACCTTCATAAGAACAAAAAATCAGGTGGGCCCTCATAGTACCTGGTTTTAACTTCATATCCCTGAAAAGATAGCAAAAACACTCCTGAATCATTGATGCCACCCCTCTCCCTCCTATACTCCCAGCAGCAGCATTGGCATGGTGTGGAGAGTATCTCTGGGTGCCAGGGGAGGGAGAGCACAGCAGCTGTGAGGCATTGAACTCAGTGCTATCCTGTTTGAGCAGAAACGAAAACCAGACCAAAGTCAGCCACCCATGGAGGGAGCATATAAACCAGAGCCAGAGGGGAATTGCAGAACCTCTAGCCAGAGGGGAAAACCTTTAGCCAGAGGGGAATTGCAGAACCCAGCGGTCTGAACTTGAGTTTTCATAAACCTCACCACCAAGGGGGTAAATTGCTCTGAGTCTCCAAGTAAACTTGAAAGACAGTCTAGGCCACAAGGTCTGAAACTCTTAGGAGAGTCCTAGTGTTGAAATCGGCCCAGAGACAATGGACTGTGGGGGCATGAGACATATGGAGACACCAGCTGGGGCAGCCAAGGGAATGCTGGCATCACCCGTCCCCAAATCCCAGGTTGCACAGTTCACAGCTCAAAAATAGACCCCTTTCTTCTGCTTGAGAAGAGGAGAGGAGAAACAATAGTGGGGAGGACTTTGTCTTGCATCTTGGACATCAGCTCAGCCACAGCAGGATAGGGCATTGGGCAGAATCCTGAGGCCCTCATTCCAGGCCCTAGCTCACAGATGATATTTCTAGACACACCCTGGGCCAGAAGGGAAACAGCTGCCTTGAAGGAAAGGACCCAGTTCTGTTCTGTCAGCATTCATCACCTGCTAACTGAAGAGCCCTTGAACCAGGAATAACCAGCAGTGATAACTAGGTACTATGTCAAGGACATTGAGTGAGCCTCTGAGACTTGCTGGTGAGACTCAACACATTCCCAGCTGCGGTGGCTAGGGGACAAAGCTCCGTCTGCTTAAAAAAAGCAGAGGAAAAGTAAAGGGGATGTTGTTTGCACCTTAGATACGAGCACAACCACAAGGGGGTAGAGCATCAGGCAAGCTCTTTGGGTCCCCAGTTGTAGAATATGACTCTTGGATGTCATTGCCGGACCTGCCCTGGGCCAGAGGGGAGCCCACTGCTCTGAAGGGTGAGTCTCAGGCCAGGGAGCATTCACCACAAGCTGACTTAAGAGTCCTTGAGATTTAAGAAAATACCAGCAGTAGTCTGGCAGTACTCCTCGTGGCCTGTGGTGGTGGTGGCTAAGGGGGTGAGGCTCTTCTGCCTTTGGAAGGGGGAGGGAAGAAGGGGAAGGACTGTGTCTTGTGGTTAGAGTGTCAGCTCAGCCTCAGTACAACAGAATACCAAGCAGACTTTTAAGGTTTTCACTCTAGTCCCTGACTCCCAGATGGTACCTCTTGATCCAAATGGGGCCTAGGGGAACTCATCACCCTGAAGAGAAGAACACAAGGCTGACTGGTTTTGCTACCTGCTGACTGTAGAGCCTGAGGGCCTTGAGCAAACAGACAGTAGCCAGGTAGTAGTTACAGGAGGCCTTAAGTGAAACCCAGGGCTGTGCTGGTTTCAGGTCTGACCCAGTGCAGTCACAGTGGTGGTGTCCACAGGGGTGCCAGTGTGACTCCACACCCAGCTTTAGGTGGTTCAGAACAGAGAGAGATACTGTTTGTTTAAGAGAAAGTAAGGAAAGAAAACAAGAGTCTCTGCCTGTAATCCAGAGAATTTTCCGGAACTTGTCCAAGACCATCAAGGTGGTACCTCTATGAGTTGGCAAGAACCACAGTGTTACGGTGCTTGGGGTGCCCCCTAAAGCAGACACAGCTTAGACCACCACACCCTTTCAAATATCTAGAAAGCCTTCCCAAGAAGGATGGGTAGAAACAAGCCTAGGCAGTGAAGACTACAATCAATACCTAACTCTTCAGTGCCCAGACACCAAAGAACATCTAACAGCATCAATGCCATCTAGGAAAACAGACCTCACCAAATAAACTAAGTAAGCCACCAGGGACTAATCCTGGAGAAACAGAGAGATGTGATCTTTCAAACAGACAATTCAAAATTGTCGTGTTGAGGAAACTCAAAGAAATTCAAGAAAACACATAGAAGGGATTCAGAATTCTATCAGATAAATTTAACAAAGAGATTGAAATAATAAAAAGAGTCAAGCAGAAATGTTGGAGCTGAAAAATGCAATTAGCATACTAAGAATGCATGAGAGTCTTTTAATAGCACAATTGATCAAGCAGAAGAATTAGTGACCTTGCACGCAGGCTACTTGAAAATACACAGTCAGAGGAGACAAAAGAATAAAAAACAATGAAGCATATCTATAGAATCTAGAAAATAGCCTCAAAAGGGCAAATTTAAGACTTATTGGCCTTAAACAGGAGGTAGAGAAAGAGACAGGGGCAGAAAGTTTATTCAAAGGGATAGTAACAGAGAACTTCCTAAACCTAGAGGAATATCAATATCCAAGTACAAGAAGATTATAGAACACCAAGCAAATGTTACCCAAAGAAGACTACCTCAAGGGATTTAATAATCAAACCCCAAATATCAAGCATAAAGAAAGGATCCTAAAAGCAGCAAGAGAAACGAAACCAGTAACATGCAATAAAGCTCCAATGTATCTGGCAGCAGACATTCCACTGGAAACCTTACAGGCCAGGAAAGAGTGTCATGGCATATTTAAAGTGCTGAAGGAATAAAACTTTTACCCTCAAATAGTATATCTGGTGAAATAATCCTTCAAATATGCAGGAGAAATAAAGACTTTCTCAAACAAAAGCTGAGGGATCTCATCAACACCACACCTGTCCTGCAAGAAATGCTAAAGTCCTTCAATCAGAAAGAAAAGGATGTTACTGAGCAATAAGTAATCACCTGAAGATAGAAAACTCACTGGTAATGGTAAGTACACAGAAAAACAGAATATTATAACACTGTAACTGTGTTATGAAAACTACTCTTATGTTGAAAGATTAAATGATGAACCAATCATAAATAATAACTACAGCAACTTTTCAAGATATAGACAGTACAGTAAGACATAAATAAAAACAACAAAAAGTTAAAAAGTGGGGTGATGAAGTTAAGGTATAGAGTTTTTATTAGTTTTCTTTTTGCTTGTTTGTTTGTGCAAACAGTGTTAAGTTATTATCAAGTTTAAATAATGGTTAAAGATAGTACTTGTAAGCCTCATGGCAAACTCAAACCAAAAGTATACAACAGATACACAAAAAATAAAAAGCAAAAAACTAAATTGTATCACCAGAAAAAAAAATCACCTGTGCTAAAGGAAGACAGGAAAGAAAGCAAAAAGGAAAAGAAGACCACAAAAGAACCAGAAAAAAAATAACAAAATGGCAGGAGTAAGTCCTTACTTATCAATAATAACATTAAATATAAATGGACTGAATGCTCCAACCAAAAGACATCAACTGGCCGAATGGATGAAAACACAAGAACCATTGATCTGTTGCCTAAAACAAACACACTTCACCTATAAATGCACACATAGACTGAAAATAAAGGAATGGAAAAAGATATTCCATGCTAATGGAAACAAAAAAAAGATCAGGAGTTGCTATATTTACATCAGACAAAATAGATTTCAAGAAAAAAACTGTAAGAAGTGATATAGAAGGTCACTGTATAATGATAAAGGAATCATTTCAGCAGAAAATATAACAATTTTAAATATATATGACCCAACACTGGAGCACCCAGGTATATAAAAAGCAGCTATTATTAGAGCTAATGTGAGAGGCTCCAATACAATAGCTGGAGACTTCAACACCCCACTTTCAGCACTGGACAGATCTTCCATACAGAAAATCAACAAACAAAATAAAGCAACATTAGACTTAATCTGCACTGTAGACCAAATGGATCTAAAAGATATCTACAGAACATTTCATCCTATGGCTGCAAAATGCACATTCTTTTCCTTGGCACATGGATCATTCTCAAGGATAGACTATGTGATAGGTCACAGAACAAGTCTTAAAACTTTCAAAAAAATTAAGATAATATCAAGCATCTTTTTTGACTGCAATGGACTAAAACTAAAAATTAATAACGAGAGGAATCTTGAAAACTACATGAATACATGGAAATTAAACAATACACTCCTTAATAACCAGTGAGTCAGTGAAGAAATTAAGAAATTAAAACATTTCTTAAAAGAAATGATAATGGAAACATAACATACAAAAACCTATGGGATACAGCAGTAAATCAAACCTCTTTCCCTTATAAATTACCCAGTCTTGGGCAGTTCTTTATAGCAGCGTGAGAATGAACTAGTACATGGGTATATATCCAAAAGAAAAGAAATCAGTACATCAAAGAGATATCTGCACTCCCATGTGTGTTGCGGCACTGTTCATGATAGCTCAGATTTGGAAGAAACCTCAGTGTTCATCAACAGATGAATGGATAAAGAAAAGGTGGTACATATACATAGTGGAGTACTACTCAGCCATAAAAAAGAATGAGATTGACATTTGCAACACAACATGGATGGAACTGGAGATATTACATTACGTGAAATAAGCCAGGCACAGAAAGACAAACTTTGCAGGTTCTCACTCTGCATCTCCATATGAAATGGTTCAACTCTATTGATAAACTTTGTTTAAAGACCATTGTACTAGTCCGTAAAATAAAAACAAGAATATTTATGCTAACACCTGTAGAGAGCTGTCACAAGGAACTTAAGCAATGATGCATGAGAAAGTACATGGTACCGGCCATGGAAACTTAGGCCTAGGTATGGTGAGAAGATTATACTCACAAGCAAAACATTCATTATAAGGCTATCAGTAGCAAAGTCAGTTACTTTGTTGTTTTTCTTTTTTGGTTCTTTTAAATGTAAAACATTGAAAATCAAGTAGAGCAAAATTGCAATTTCTGCTTCTGCCCAATTCTAGTTCTAACCCCAGAAGAAATTACCGCTAGTAGTTTACTATGTCTACTTCTTGACATTTTCTACAGGTTATAGAATGTGTATACACATTCTATAATTCTATAATGTGTGTCTGTGCATGTGTGTGCATCCATGCATGCACATGTATTTACAAGAGTGAAATAATGGCATACTGGTTTCATACTGGATCTCAATACCACACTTGGAACAAGCCATAAAATCATAGGCACACATATTACAGAACGGTTTGTCTTTGCAATCTGGCCTGTCTGTGCCATTTATGTTCCGTTTTGGAATTGTTGATTCCAAGAAGGAAGGTAGAAGATATGGGTTAGCATCTTGGTATCGGGGGCAAGGGGTTCAGCATAAGTTCAAAGCAGAAAATTTTACGGTTCTACAATATATTGTTTTGCAAGTATATATTAAATATTATAGTTTTAATTCATTAGCCATATGTACTTTTAGCTCTAAGGATAAAAATATAAAACAGATGAAGTCAACTATAGTATTTATATTAGATTAACATAAAAATAGTAAATCTGAAGACAGCATTCTTAGTCAAATTTTTATAAAACTTAAGATTTCCTACATATATGAAATCTGTACCTTAAGATGCTATTTTCATAAAAATAGAGTAGCAAAGTTGTTCATTTTTAGTCATTTATGCTCCCCCCCACCTTTTCTTTGGCAAATGGCGCAACATAGCTCCCTGTGGAAGTCATTTATTTCCAGGTGTTTTCCTATCAAACATTTAAGTAACAAGAACAGCTGGTCATAATTTCAAGGAGCCATTAGGGAGAAAGCAGCAACCTCTGAAAACGAATGGAGTTTATAAGCAGAAATAGCTATAATGGTAATTTTAATTTTGTAGTAGGTTAAGAACATTTGTATTTGGTAGGCACATTTATTTTTATATTATTATCATATCACAAATTTAAATACAGATTCAAGGGAAATCCTAGGTCTTATTTTGCAAAGGATAGGAACATTCTTGTTCAGCAAGTGAGGAAGGATAATGGCATCCAAAGCAAAATTGTTAATTTTTCCAAAATCTAAGTGCAGGTCATACTCAGTTAAAAGCTTCAATTCTGTGTTGTGAATATCACTGCTGCATTTTACCTAGAGATAACCAGAATTATAGCTCTTTACCTTAAGACGACAAAAATATTAAAAGGTTTCTGGACCAATGTGATATTTTTCTTTGCTCACTCAAATTTCATATAAAAGAGAATTAAACATTAACATAGCATCATTATGCTAAATAAAACAGTTTGAATGGGTTTAAATAAGTTACTCATAGGTATAGAAACAAGACTAGATGTCTAATGTGAAAATTACAACGTTCTGTGTGTGAAAATTTTGTGAATTTAGGGCAGTACTGTCACTCAGTCTTTGCAAATTTTAATCCTGCAATTTACTTTGCTTTAGGTCGTAGGACCACAGAAAATTATGCCCAGAGATTTGAAAGCCTACAAGACTTCTAGGCCTGCTAGTTACAATAAAACAGCATAGTTTTCTCAGAATTGCAGTCTAGCTATTATGAGAATACCACCAATATTTCAACCTGCTAATTTGCCCAGAATGTGACTAAATTTTAACTTTTTATGAATTAGGTACCATTTATTTTGTCTGTGACAGAGGCTACCTATTAAATAGCTGCATTCTTGAAAGCTAGTATGCTCATTTTATTTTTAAGATGGTTGTTTCTTTAAGAGAACAAATAAAACTAAGTGTACTTACATTCCCATATGAATGGATTGACAGCTAAATAAAATGTTCTGTAGGAGTGCGCCCTTGCTACAATGAAGCAATGGTTTCATATAAGTGTCTGAAAAAAACTTGGCAACTATAAAATTGGTAATTACAGACTATCAGTTACTTCAGTTAAAATTTGAATTATTCTCTACTGGCATTTGAATGTTTATAGAGACAGAATAACACTTAATTAAAATATGACAGCACCTCCCAACCTGCAAACACACCATCCTCCATTAGCATAATATAAAGACTGAGGGTGGGCGTGGTGGCTCACTGCTGTAATTCCAGCACTTTGGGAGGCCAAGGTGGGAGGGTCCTTTGAGCCCAGGAGTTCAAGCCCCAGGCCCAGCCTAGGAAACACTGTGAAACTTTATCTCTACAAAAATACACACACACACACACTCTTAGCCTAGTGTGACCGCATGTGCCTGTGGTGCCAGCTACTTGGGAGGCTGAGGCAGAGGGATGGCTTGAGCCCAGGAGGTCAAGGCTGCAGTGAGCCATGATCACACCACCGCACTCCAGCCTGGGTGACAGAGTGAGACCCTGTCTCAAAATAAAAAAAGACTGAAGTGTGTGTTTGGCTGATTTTTATAAAGATAGAGGATGCAGATGCCTGAATCCTATCCAGGACAAGATAATAATTGGTAAGTCAATGATAACTCTGTCTCATTTTCAAGAATTTTATTATACTCTATAACATTAGGCTACTGTATATATGTATATACATGTATATCTACATATCTGCACACACAGAGTGATGCTTACTAAATGGGCTGGTCCAGAGGAGGACAACCAAGTGTGAGATGCTCACAGGTAAGCCTTGGGAAAATTCTGGTATACTTTAGCTGGAAAAGAGAGGAGCTGGGGCCTGGAAGGGAAGAGGATATCTTCACATCTTAGAAGAACTGTCAATTCGAAAAAGGAATTATTTTAACCCAACCCAAAAGGAATAATAATTGAATAAACGTAGAAACAATGAATGATGATTAGAAGTTATAGAGGTGCAGATTCATATCCACACAGATAAGTGTTTTCTAACAAACCATTATCATTGTCCAAAAATGGAAAGCACTGTCTTGAGAGGAAGGCTGAGGTTTTCCCTCCCTAGCTCATGCTGCCCTGAAGAGATCTGATAACAGTTCAATGAGTCCGTGGTTTTAGTCCTTTGGCCACTGGTAAGTTATTATAAGCAAAGAAGATGGTTTTCCATGGACAGAAGAGTGGTGGAGCTCAAATAAAGTCTGTTTTTCTTGTGCTTGAAACTGCTTTGTAGTATTATGATGTGCCCACCTGTCAGGAGATATAGGAATTCAAATGAGCTAAGTGGGGGGGAAAAGCAAAGAAAGAAAAGGCATGCCGAAGTCCCACAGTGCACAAAAGATGGCATCAAACTGAAACTGATGTTGATAATCAATGTCAAAATATCTTAGAGTACTATTGACAGAAGGTACGGGGATGAAAGTTAATCCAAGAAGCTTAATGAAAAATGTAGAACTGAGAGAGAACTGACAGAGGAAATACAGAAAACAGACCTAGAGGATATTTTAAAACATAACTTGAGCAACGTTTGACTTATTTCTAGGCTCTCTCAAATGTATTTTCTAGTAAGGGCAAAGCAGAGAAATCAACATCAAACAGATTCTGCTTATCCATGTTTGTTTTACTTTATTTAGAAGGACCACAGAACACCACTGATGGATGAATTAGTTATTAACATTATCAAGCCTACACTAATTTTTGAGGCTTTGCATTGTAAACTCAACAACCTGGTGTCTTAAATGTTGCTTTATGTGTGCAAATGATCTCTTCATCACACGGATGTGGTTTTAGACATTCTCAAGGGAATGATCATGCATTTCTTAATACACCAATATTCAGCATTAGCACAGTGCTGTATCCTTGGATTAATGGCCCTATAATAGCCATGATAGGAGTCATGAACCTCCTATAATTAGATTCAGGCAGAGATCTTTTTTAAAAGAGATATTAATACCAAAATTAAAAAGAGAAGCCTTCTTTTGACCTCATACCATCTGGAATAGACCAGAGAATTTGTTATCAGAGTCACTGAATACTTATCTTCTCTCTGAGGATCACTCATGGCAGACACCCATCTCCTGCACACTTTAAAGGAGGGTTTATGAGTTTGCATTATATACTAGCAGTTACACAGATGCCAAAGGGCTTTATTTTATCCTGTGCTTTAATTATGTGCAACTTTTTATTTTGCTGTAATTTCAAATTTACAGAAAAGTTGCAAGAATAATAACACAAAGAAGGCTTTTATATCCTTTTCCCAGGTTCACCAATTGTTGATTGCTTTTGCTTCATTTGCCCATTCTCTCTCTCTCTCTTTCTCTCTCTCTGACTCTCTTGCTATCTCAGTGTAGCAGTTTTCTATTGCTATATAACATATTCCTTAAAAATATAGCGGTTTAAAGCTACACAGATGTCTTATCTCACTGTTCCAGAAGACAGGCATGGCTCAGCTGGGATCTCTGCTTCAGTCTCAAAACGATGCAATCAAGGTGTCAGCAGGGCTGCATTTCTCCCTGGATGCTCAGAGGAAGAATCTACTTCCAAGCCTCTATGGTTTGAATGTGTCCTCTCCAAAATCCAGCTGTTGCCAATGTGATAGTATTAAGAGGTGGGGACTTTAAGAGGTGGGTAGACTATGAGGGCGCCTCCTTTGTGAATGGGATCAGGTGTCCTTGCAAAGGGCTTTGGGAAGGTAGCTGGCTTTCTCTTGCCCTTCTTTCATGAGAGTATATAGCAGAAAGGCCCTCAGCAGGTGCCGGCATCTTGATATAGGGCTTCCCAGCCTTCAGAACTGTCTGTTCTTTATAAATTACCCAGTCTGGGCTATTCTGTTACAGCCACACAAAGGGACTTAGACACATGCTGGCTCTAGGTGTCAGCAGAATCCAGTTCCTTGCAGGTGTAGAACTGAGGTCCCACTCCTCACTCCATGGCTGCCAGTGGCTGGTGGGGAGGTCTTTCAGCAACTTCAGACCATGACATTTATCCTCTTGTGGATTGTCTTCTGAACAGCAACAGTATGTTAAAATCTCTCCAACTTTTCCTTCTCACTTTAAATTTCTCCAACTTTTCCTTCTTCAACAGCTGGGAAAGCTGTTTGCTTAAAAGGACCCGTGTGATACCCCCAGGTTACCTCCCTGTTTCATAGTCAACTGTACCATATGGCATGACACAAGCGCTTGGCTGCGTTACATGGGAATAATGATGAGAGTGACATCGTTTCATATTTATGGCTTCCAGGGATTAGGGTGTGAAATCTTGGGCGCCATTTTTAGAGTTTTGCCAATCACAGGAAAAGATTAAGAAAGTAGTGCTTTGTACCTTTGGCCTTGTGTATACAAGCTCTGTGCTTGCAGGTTGGGAGATATCTTAAGTGACGATGTGTGTCTGGAGGAGGGGTTTAATATTGACCAGCACCACTGAATGAGAATTTAGAAGAACCAAGAGCTTTATGTCAGCTCCTCAGCCTATCACAATAACACTTTGGGATAGGCATCGATCCCATCTTCAAACTGAGAACACCAAAGCATAGCAAGAACTGTTCAAAGATTTGTTTAATGTTGCAGGGCTTCATGCCGGTAGCAAACCCAGGTGTCAAAAGAGATCTGCTTGACTTCAAGGCCCTAGCTCCTGCTCAGACACCAGCCTCCATTTGGAACCTGAGCTGTCTTATTCTTTTGATAATTACATGTTCCGGGCCTTTCTTGACCCTTTCCCCAGAAAATCTCAGCAAAACTTGTCTATCTTGTATCCAATTTATTTGAAGATTCACTTTTGTCCTACTGACATGTTTGCTAAACAGGACGTTTACCCATGAAGCGAATGCCTTAGGGCAGGGCCTTCAAGCCTCTTTCAATTCAAAGGATGACACAACTCACTCTCAGGATGCTATTTCTGTCCTGGTACTGACCAGTGGTGGGAAATAGGACTTTGACACATCCAAATCCCTGTGGGCAGAAATGGCCTCATTTTGGTAGCACTTGCTTATATAGTACTTAGTGGGCTTAGTGAGTTTAGAATGTTGCTGCTTCTTTAAACAGAAGAAAGACCAATATAAAACCTACTGTCCTCACTTCTTATTTTTAGAACTAGGCTTATCAAGACCAAACCAGAAACTTCTACCATTTTTGTAGAAGTTTATTTTTGTAGAATGTTTCTTTTTGAAACATTCAGCATAGACCTTGTGTTTTCTATTTAGGGAAAATGGACACACAATGAAGTCAAAATGCCCACAACAGGGCAAAAGAAAAAATAAATTCAGCCAAGAATAGCTGCTAACTGGTTCCTCAGACAGGGATGTTTTCCAAGGGAAAATACACATTTGTTTATAGGGAGTCACCAAGGAGCTGGCTTTCTCCAGTGCATTCATCCATTCCTAGCAGCAGGAAGAATATGTGTGCCAGGTGATAGGGTGCCAGAGTGATGATGAAACGGATCACTGCCACAGCATGTTCTGAATCCTCAGGGGTCCCTAAGGAATTGATCAGGAAAGAGGGTTGGGGGGCTTGGCAAGGTGGCTCACGCCTGTAATCTTAGCACTTTGGGAGGCTGAGGCAGGCGGATTGCCTGAGCTCAGGAGTTTGAGACCAGCTTGGGCAACATGGTGAAACCCCGCCTCTACTAAAATACAGAAAATTAGTCAGGTGTGCTGGTGCGCGCCTGTAATCTCAGCTACTTGGGAGGTTAAGGCACCAGAATCGCTTGCACCTGATTGCAGTGAGCCGAGATCACACCACTGCATTCCAGCCTGAGTGACAGAGTGAGACTCTGTCTCAAAAGAAAACAAAAAAAAAAAAAAAAGGAAAGAGGGTTGTGGTATTTTGGGAATGTGCACAAATCTAGCCCATGTAGTTCAATTCTCTTGTACTTAGTTTTTATAAAAGGTTATATCTGCCATGGACAACTGCAGGCGATTTTGTTGGAGACAGAGTGTAAGACTTAAGTGAGTAGAGATTATATTTATTTGATAGTGAGAAAGAATACTACAATTAAATAGAATTCATATATATCAAAGACGTGGACTCAACCTAAATGCCCAACAATGATAGACTGGATAAAGAAAAGGTAGTATACATACACCATGGAATACTATGCAGCCATAGAAAAGATCAAGATCATGTCCTTTACAGGCACATGGATGGAGATGGAGGCCATTATCCTTAACAAACTGACACAGGAAGAGAAAACCAAATACCACATGTTCTCACATATAAGTGGGAGCTAAATGATGAGAACACATGGACATAGAAGGCAACAACACACACTGGAGCCTTTCAGAGGGTGGAGGGTGGGAGGAGGGAGGGGGTCAAGAAAAATAACTAATGGGTACTAGGTTTAATACCTGGTTGATGAAATTACCTATACAACAAACCCCCACAACACAAGTTTACCTATGTGCCATAGGTAACAAACATGCACTTGTACCCCTGAACTTAAACGCTTTAAAAATGAAATTCACATATATCTAGCAGATAAGAACAAAGTTTTATATATATGTACATATCAAGCATCGTTATAATTCATATGTAACACATCATATATGATCACATAATTATTTTCTATAGAATACACGAGTTTTATGTAATATATACTTACGTATGCATATATAGAATTATGTGAGTATGTGTATATATTCCTGTGTGTATATATAAGTAATATGTATGGTATTTTTTGCTCAAAAACTTTTACATAGGAGTAACTTTAAAGTATAATCCTAAAATCTGTTTTCAAAGCCATCATTATAAGCTAAGGGAATCACACTCTTAGAGAACTCTAAATTTTATAATCACATTATTTTTAGTTAAAATCAACACTTCCCCCAGTCCTGAAAACAAAATGGGCATCCCTGGTGAATACCACTTTTATTTACCTTTTAAAAAGAATATTGCTGTCTGGGTACAGTGGCTCAAGCCTGTAATCACAGCACTTTTGAGAGATTGAGGTTGGTGGATTGCTGCACCCAGGTCTCTCCTAAAAACACAAAAACTTAGCTGGGCATACTGGCACTTGCCTGTAGTCCCAGTTACTCAGGAGCCTGAGGTAGGAGGGTTACTGGAAGCCCAGGAGGCAGACGTTGCAGTGAGCAGTGATTCTCCACTGCACTCCAGCCTGGGTGACAGAGTCAGACTGTTTCCAAAAAAAGAAAAAAATTAAAAAAAGTATTGCTTAAGAGCTGACATTTTAACCTGTGTGATCAAAATGTTTCATGTATACCTAATGTCCCTGAATGAGTTGTTTTGGTAAAGGTTGCTACATTTGACTATATCTTTAGTTTAACTTGGTTTGATTGTGTACATCTGATCATTCTCTAACCTGCTCCTCCGTTTTCTGTTTGGGGCTTTATAAAATAATTTGTTTTAAAAAATCTCTCTCAGAGTAGAGTTACCAAATACAGAAATGTTTTGGCGCAGCAAAGCAGGTATGGGAAATCTGTGATGCTACAGTTAAAAGTATAAGGTCTGAAGTCTGATGGCGTGAATTCAAACTCTCTCTCTCCAAACTGTAGGAATTTGGGAAAGTTGCATTCCTTACTTTCCTTGAATATAAAAGTGGAGGCAGTGATAAAATCTACTTCCCTGGATGGACTCTTGGCAGAAATCAGTGAGACAGCCCATGCACAGTAAGTAGCAATGTCCCTAGTATTTTGTGTGTAGTTACTAATATAAAAACAAATAAATAAAAACAACAAAAACCAGAACAAAAAACGCTGTAATTGGTTTAAATAATCTAGGAGATGTATTGACTTATATAGCTGAAGTATTTGAAAGTAATGGAATTCAGGCATGACTTGATCAAGGCTCTATATTCATTTTTCTGTGATCTGGTTGTTTTTGACCCCTGTGTACCAAGAGGATGTTAGACTGTTTCCATGCTGAGTTCCATGCCAGGATTACAAGAAGGAATTTAAGAATCATGATTGCTCATTCATTTATCTTTTAGAGAAATGGAATTTTATTTTCACAATTATTGAATAAAATTTGAATGGACCATTCCTGCACAAGTTCTATAGCCAATGAAATGTCCTATGCTGATTAGCTTATGCCTGGGTTGCTATGTTTGAAATACTCTTGTAAGATTGATGGAATTTCCCTGAATGTAGACACATCATTACTCAACCTTCTAGATAGGGCTGGGGTCATTCCCACCAAAATCATAAAGCTGCAAAGCAATAAAAGTGGGTGGAGGGGTTTTTGGAAGGTAAACACAATGTCTTATACCATATTTTCATTGATATCAGTTATAATTCTTAATATATATAATGATTATTGACAATAATATAATAATCATGACAATAATATTTGCTCACAGGGCAGGTTAATATTCCTGGCTTTGTATCTGTATGCCAGAGGGCAAAAAGTTACAATCTTTGCTGATTTCTTTGACTTCCAGATCATGTTGTGTATTGTGGTGTAGGCATTCATATGTCATAGTATGATCTTTTGGGGAGTTAAAGCGAATTAAATATAGCCTGAGAAGGACTCTGTACTTCTGTATTTGAATATTTGTGGACAAACCATAACCTAACTTAACAGGCAGATAAAATTGAAAACCTAATTTAGGAGTACGTGCCTATAACAATAGCTAAGTCTTGGCCAATCTCAGCAGCCATACTTCAACCACTCATACACTGCTGAGTGTTCAAAGTGTGTTCAAATAAGGCAAATGCCAACCTGTAACCAATCCAGCTGTTTCTGCCCCTCACTTCTGATTTCTGTGTGTCATTCCCTGTCTTTGTCTATAAATTTGTTCTGACCACGAGGCATCCCAGGAGTCTCTGAATCTGCTGTCATTCTGGGACTATCTGATTCGTGAATCATTCATTCCTCATTTAAACTCCTTTAACTTTAGTTTGGCTGAAGTTTTTCTTTTAATAGGGGGTAGTTATGTGATTTTTAGCTGGAATACTATTCTGTGCTGGAAGCAGTTACCTCTGTCACTCCACATATTAGAATGGATTTTTAAGGTGTAAAAATCTGCACAATCATTGTGGCCTGTTTGTCCTTAGAACCTTTTCCATCTCTTCTGTGATCTGCTCAGTTTACAGAGATTTGACTCCTGCAAATTACCTTGCCTAGGCTCCCTTGCCAACCAGCTATCAACTAAGGGCAGTCAATGGAAAAAAAAAAGTTATGTCCCTGTATTAGTCCATTTTCATACTGCTATGAAGAAATACCTGAGACTGGGTAATTTATAAAGAAAAAGAGGTTTAACAGACTCACAGGTCCACATGGCTGGGGAAGCCTCACAATCATGGTGGAAGGCAAAAGAGGAGCAAAGGCATGTCTTACATGGCGGCAGGCAAGAGAGTGTGTGCAGGGGAACTGCCCTTTATAAAACAATCAGCTCTTGTGAGACTTACTCACTATCACGAGAACAGCACGGGAAAACCCGCCCCCATGCATGATTCAATTACCTCCCACCAGGTCCCTCCCATGACATGCGGGGATTATGGGAGCTACAATTCAAGATGAGATTTGGGTGGGGACATGGCCAAATCATATCCATCCCCATTTCTCTTCACTTCATATGGCACCTTTAGCTGTAGCTATATCTCCTTTATGATTCTAGTTCCCACCTGGCAGCGCTGACCTCCTTCTTGGTCTCTTTAGGTCTCTGTGCCGTAGGTAGTGCAGTCCCAACTGCTGTTGTGAATCTCTGGCTTGCCCCTCTTCCTCATTTGCCTGTTCACATCTTCCAACATGATCATTACTCGTGCTCCATGTTAATTTCCCTCTATTGAATTACCTGAGGTGACCTTCATATTCCTGGCTTGACACTAACTGATAAAAATCACTGCACTTCAAAATCCTGAAATTCTAACCTTACTAATAAGATTTTCCAGGAATAAATCCTGTTATCTACAATGCTAATATGATTTATTTTTTTCTAAAAATATAGATTTTTTTTGGTTTAAAGTAAAAGGTAGGGGCTTTCTTTGAAATCTGTAGTTCCTAGGATGATTTAATTTCTCAATTTCAAAAAGGTGTGTGTTGAGATATATTAAAACCAATCATAAACAGGTTATTTTAAAAACACTCTATTTCAACTCCTTCAGATCAAATTCCACTATTGGGTCATATTTAAAATAAAATTACAGACATCTGTTTTATGAAAAGTTAGTTATTGAGGTGGGAAACCATATTCTCTTAATCAAAGCTTGGAGTGTTTCTTGAAATGCACATATTGAACAAAAAGCACTTCAGTAAACCACACAAACTGCAAAACTTGATAGCCATCTAGAGCTGTTAGAGAATTGATCCTTTTTGATAACTGGATTGTTTTTCAAATGACTGGGATTTTGCCCATTTGTCTCAGTGATGAATTGTTTGGTCACAAGGAAGAGAAATTCACTGCAACTGAGTTGGGCCAAAATAAATAAATAAAGGAAAATGACTGGAAGGACACTAGGGGACTCCAGGACTGAAATTCCCCGGGGGTTCTCTGGAGGGAGTGGGGTTGGACCTTCAAAGCTATTTAGGACTCAGGCCTGAGCCTGAAATCTTGGCTTCTCTTGAAGAATTGCTTCATCTTCTCTCAGTGCCTACATGTCTGCCCCGAGAACTCATGACAACCTGCTCAGCCTAATCACACATCCCATGGTGCAAACACAAATGTCCCAATGGGGGTGCTCATGGTCAATTTCCTTCCCAGCAGGAATGGAGGGAGTAGCCTAATTTGCCAACATGTCCACTACACTGCATATACACCCACTTTTATTTTTCTTCAAGTTAGGCTTTTTTTTTGAGACAGGGTCTCGTTCTATCACCCAGACTAGAGTGTGATGGTGTGATCTCGGCTCACTGCAACCTCCGCCTCCTGGGTTCACGTGATTCTCCTGCCTCAGCCTCCCAAGTAGCTGGGATTACAGGCGTCCGCCACCACACTTGGCTAATTTTTGTATTGTTAGTAGAGATGGGGTTTTGCCATGCTGGCCAGGCTGGTTTTGAACTTCTGACCTTATGTGATCGACCTGCCTTGGCCTCCCAAAGTGCTGGGACTACAGAGTGACCCGCCATGCCTGGCCCTAAGTTTGTCTTTCCTCAATGATGTAAAGTTTTTCTATAATATGTTATAAACTCATAAAAAGAATATTTTGAATATAACTTAGTCATTTCTCAATGACATGTAGTGATAATCACTGGTATAACAGTGCCTGCCCACAAATGACTTTTGACTACTAACTGTGTTTGTATGTGTGATAGATACTGCATTTTTGTGTAATATATTTCTTGAAATTTCTCCTTTGTTGTCAGATGACACTTGTCATTGTTGATTGGTATTTGCCACTTCTAATTTGTAACTGCTGTGTTATTTGGTCTTGGAAACCAAGTAACCTTTATTGCACTTGCATACACAATAAAGTCAATTAAATTTTAGCGAGAAGGTCTTTCCACTGAGAAAATACTCATGAACCTAAGGGCAATGCACTTTGTAATCTTATGTTTCTGACCATGTGTGGGAAGTCAAATCACTTGTTTAAACAGATGTGCTTAATGAATGTGGAGTCACTTCATGGAGTCCCCAGAACCATCTAGTTTTAATATCAATTTCTTTAATTCCATTGTCATGGGCTCTCTTTAATCAAACAAATTATGTCTTTGGTAGGCAGAATTATGGCTCCCTGACATGCTCAAGTCCTAATCCACAGCATATGTTAACTTACAAGAGAAAAAGAACTCTACACATGTGATTCAGGTTAAGAGCTCGAGACACATAGGTTACTCAGGATTTTCAAGATGGGCTCAATCTAATCACATGAGCCATGAAAAGCAGAGAATTTTCTCCATCAAGGATCAGTTGGGGAAATGCGATGGAAGAAACGCAGGAGAGATGAGGTGTGAGAGTGATTGTCACTCACCATTGCTGGTTTTGAAGATGGAGGAAGAAGCCATGAGCCAAGGAATTCAGGGGACCTTAGAATCTACAAATGGACCTCAGCTAGCGATGAGCAACAAAGTGGGGACCTCAGTCCTACAGTCACAAAGAACTAAGTTCTGACAAAAATCTGAATGAATAGGATCCCTGAGTCTCCTTTAGAGTTTTCAGAAAAGAGAGCAGCCCTGATGACACTTTGATTTTAGCCTGGCGAGACCATATTGCATACTGGACTTATAAACTGTAGAAGTGCAAAAAAATAAATTTTTGAGCTAATTCCTCATGGCAGCAAAAGAAAACTAATAAAATGCCAAAGTCTTTGTTTTCTCCCAATAAACTGGAAATGATATCTTAAAATCATTGGGGGTCTCATCCCAACCAGCTTTTAGGAGATTGTATTTTTTTATAATCAGCTGCAGTTTTTTTTTTCCCCCATTTGCTCTTGAGAGCTTTGCCACATCTTTACGAGGAGGGGGAATCTGTTCTCTTGAACTTGGGTGGCCTTTTGTGATGACCACCACAAAAGGAATGACAGAAGTGATGCTGTATGACTCTTAAGACTGAGTTAGGAAAGGCCGTGCTGCCTGTAATGGTTTATCTCGTGACACTCACTCTGGGAGCCTTTAGCCGCCATCTAAAATCAGGCTGCTCTGAGGTTGCTATATGGATTGATGACTCAGACTGACCTCTCGAAGACAGAGAGGGATGCCCATAGGGGCCCAGTCATTCTAGTCCCCAACTGTCTAAGCCTTCCCAGCCCAGGTACCAGATGTGTGAGTGAATAAGCCTTCAAGAGAACCCAGCCCCAACCACCATCTGCTTTGCACCTATGGCCACGTAGAGAAACTGAGCCAGAACTTTCTAGATAAATCTAGTCAATTCCAGATTCTTGAGTAACATAAATTATTATTATTGTTTTAAGCCACTTTGAGAGGAGTAATTTTTTATGGAACAATAAATAACTAGAAACATTTTGGGCTATGAATGTAATTTTAATGAATTTTATGCAAAGCTGTGTGATTTTAATACTAGATGTAAGAAAATCCATATGCCCGTTATTCAGTCAGTAATTACACTGCATTTAACTTTAAGACAACAGTTTGCGTACCAACACTAACCTATTTTGCTCTTAGTTATCCCTGATTTTTTGCTTCTCACTTTCCTGAAACGATGAAGAACTTTTCTGATTTTTCTCCTGTATTCCATGTGCGCAGAGACAGGTGCTCTCTGGAGTCCACATACACTTAGAGTTGGGGATGCTTTCAGTTTTTTTAGTGAGTCACAGTTTTATTATATACCTCAGCTTCATTGACAGAAGAGCATTTACGCATTATTTTTTGCTCAATGCCTGGGAGACCTGGAATTGGCCTTCCAAATCCATTACTAAGTTCTTGAAGTAGATTAGATGAATCTGTTTTCAATTTATATTGATTAAGGAGAAATGACGGAAAAATATTTAAAACTTACCCAAACTAAAACTTGCTTTCCTATTCCTTGATGTAGCTCATAATAAGTAGTATCTATTTCTGCAGTTTTTGAACATTTCTTGCAGGTGCGTAGTATGCAGTAATTAATAACAATTGAAAACTTATACTTTCTTATCTTGTCTGAGGATATATTGTATGGTGTACTAAGGACATTAATAATGCCTTATTTTAACTGCAACTTATTCTGAGAATTCTGCTATAGCCTTTTTTTTCCCCAATGCACACTGTTATAAATCACACATAAGATGACTTTGTGGACGTAGAATATTTTAATTTCATTTTGAAACAGAATAAAAATTAGAGAACTAAAAAATGTGAGAGATGTAAGAGATGCCAGGGAACATCTAGTCTAATCCCAGCATTTTTAGGTGTGGCATCATTAATCCAGAGAAACCAAATTAGCTGGTGGCAGAGCCAGAATTAGAAAATTAATTTATAGGAGTGTGTCCAAGACATTCTCCTGTGAGGCGCGTTAGGACTCTGTGCTGATGGCACTGCAGCCTTATTAAGCTGCAGAACCCAACAGGTGAAATTCTCTTCAAGATAATTTGTTTATTGGGTTCTCCAGAGAAGCCATGACATAATTGGCTGTCTAGAAAAAAAAATAAATCTTTTAAATGAATGATTCTCTCTATTCATACTGCTAGTGTGGCCGGATACTATTTTCAGCATGCTATTTTTTTTTTTTAACCTTTGGGTTCTCTATCAATTTTGGTCTTTTGTTTCTTCACTTGTGACCCTCTCATACTTCCCTTTTGGTCATCGTCAGGATACTACAGGCTCACTGGTTCACGGAAGGGATAAACGGCAGAAGGCAGGGAAACAGGAGCCTTTTCTTGTCTTCTAACTTTCAAAATTCCAGGCTTTCCTTTGTCATATGTTAGGATTGGAACTTCAAATTTAGAATCTGTCATGACTTTCCACATCCAAAGTCTTCTCTGGAGTAAACAACATATTCTGATGTAAGGAAGATGTTTGTTATCAGGAAAACCAATCTCAGACCCTATTTGCTCCTGCAGAATTAAAACTAGAGAATACACACATGCAAACATGCATACATATTCATCGTAGGGATTGATTTATGCTAAGAATTTTTATCTTTCTGTGCCACACTGCTGTTTCACACGAGGTTCCTTCTTGAGAGTTACTTTTGAACTTTGACCCTACTTGAGTTTAATCTTATATATATAGCATATTTCATAATAACTATGTTATCTTATTCTTGATTGGTTGTGCTTTAGTATCCTTTAGAAAAAGCTTTCAGCACTTTGAGCTACTTCTTTAAGCACTTTGAGCTATTTCAATATACTCATTTTAAAGTTTTTGTCCGACAGTTCTAAAAATGTGAATGTCACCAGGAGGGAATTCCTATTTAGAGTACTGGATGTGTAGGCTCTCTTCTTAGCATTAAATGTCTTCATGTGGTTTTAGAATTTGGGTTTGGATGTATATTTTGTGTAGGTATTTCTTTTATGTTTTGGCAATTTTCTCTCTCTTTCTCTCTTCTGTGCCTTTCACTCTGTGTCCGTGGATTTTGCAGTTGACCTATCTGGGCCCTTCCAGGCTGCCTTTCTAAGTCTGGGTATGCTGGTAGCCATGGGGAGTTACTGCTTCAGAAGCTGTGGGGCTCATGGCAAATTCATCTTCAGAGCCTGGAAGCAGCTGTGCTCAGATTGTACCTATGTCCTGTGTCTCTGCCTCCTTGGCACCATGAACCCCAGTCCCAGTTGGAGTTCAAGGGCAGTTGTGTTATGCCTCCTTTGCTTAAGTGCTGGATATATTCCTAACCAAATGCTGTTGTAACAAATACCACAAACATCGTGGTGCACACAACACAAATTTATTATCTCATTGTTCTGGAGGTCAGAAGCCACCACTGGAGACCAGCAAGCTGGGGTCTTAATACCTGTCATCATTTTGGAGTTTTGTTCCATTTGTAATTCAGACAGCCAACTATTTCGTATTTTAGATTACCTATGTCTTTTCGTGACTTTCCATTTTTATGTTCAATCTTTCTTTAAGAGTCTAGAGCAGTGAGGGTTATACAGTATAAATATGCCTTGCCATCTTGATATGAAAGTCCTCAATTCTTAGTGGCTCAGCCTGGAGCATTCAAATACATCCTTAGAAAAATTTAAAATACCTGGCAGATTGTCAAAGGAGAGCAAGGAAGGCCATATGGGTTTCTTGGGGCTGCCATAGCCAAGTAACACAAACTTGGTGGCTCGAAACAACAGAAATCTGTTCTCTCACAGTTCTGAAGGCCAGAAGTTTGAAATCAAGGTATCTGCAGGGCCATGCTCCCTCTGAAGGCTCTAGGGGAGAATCCCCCTTGCCATTTACGGCTTCTCATGGCTCCTGGCATTCCCTGGCTTGTGGCAGTATCACTCCAACTCTGCCTCTATCTTCCCATGGTCATCTTCTCTCTGTGTGTCTCCTTTGTAACCCTGTGTCCAAATCTCTCTCTCCTTTCTCTTATAAAGACAGCGGTCATTGGATTTTGGAACCCCCCACCCCCTTATCCAATATGACCTAATTTCAACCTGATTACATCTGCAAAGACCCTATTTTCAAATAAGATTACACTCACAGGTACTAGGGTTAAGATTTAGATGTATCTTTTGGGAGGACACAATTCAATCCACAAAAGATGTATTAAAATATATCATGCCTATTTGTTTTACTTCTTATTTGTAACTTTTGCATCCAAAGTATAGAGACTGAGTCTGTTTTTCCTTCCCTGCCCCCTTTCTCCTGCCTCAGTGTTTTCTAGAGAGTAGCTGCTCCATAAGCACCTGCTGAATGACAGGGTGACTATCTATTTGCTGTAACATGACTACCCTTCCAAGACCTGCTAAAAAAGCAGAGGCAGACATGGAGTTAGCAATATTCTCCAAAGCAGCCGTGTTTCTAGATTCGTATGGAATGAAAAACTGTCTCAAAGGGAGCTTTTGTGGAATGCAGCATGAAATAAAGGAAAGAAAGCAGAACTAGAAGATTCTGAAATTGAAGAGCATTGGCTCTGCATTTGAGGGGTGGGAAAGACCTTTCTAAGAATGTTGCTAAAGATGAAAACCATAAAGGAACCTCTCAATAGATTTGACTGTCTTTTTAGACTTCATTGTTTCAAAGATGATAATTACCAAGTTGAAAGTAAAGTAAAGGACAAGCCAGAGAAAAAAAAGCAGTTAGGAGAACTGATGTCTGATCAGTTTTGAGTGATAAAGTGAGCTTGGAAATTTTCCTGACGGAGTACTGTTGATATTGCTGTAGTGTGAAGGATGCTCATTTTTGGTTTAATAAGACATGATATTTCCATTTGATTTGGTAAAAACAACCAAATTTTTTTTTGTGATTGCATATTTTATCTTACCTTTAAAACCATGACTATTTTAAACTCACCACTGTATTAAAAAAAAAACAAACTGTACTCTGTGTGTGTGGGGGTGTGTGTATAAAACCAGATTGCATAGAATTTACATTAAGATAAAACAGTAAGTGAATATTCTTATGGGAGTGAAGAGATTATATTTAAAAGTTATTTAAAACTGATTTGGTATAAAACAATTTCACCAAATTTATAGAGCCTTTTTCCTTTAAAACTAAACTGCAAGGTTTGATTATTTCTTTTAAGTCAATTAACAGTGTATTTCATTTTGGCTGTAAGTATGCCTTTCCACGCAAAGAAACTCACAGTTCCTCTGAAAAATGTCTTAGCCTCTTTGTCTTCCTTCTCAACCTAATCCTTTTAATTATTTCTTCTTGGCCCAGCTCCTTCACAAGGGCACTGCCGCTGCATATATGAAGCAGAGATGTTACCATGGCCTTAATGTCCTCCAGTTAATGGCTTCTCTATTTCTCCCCCTAGAGTGTCATCTTTATCAAAGTCAAAAGTCCAGGATTTGGGGTTTCAATCAGATATCAGAACAAATTGTGGGTTACCCATTTGTCTAGGACATGGAGTAGTTATTTGCCTTTGGAAGCGGGAGTGTGGAAACTTGCAGGGATATTTCGATTTCCATCTACTCTCTGCACCTTCTGAAAAGAATCATGGCACAGAGTTTTGTGGTATATTTCAGACTTGCCTGGACATACGTTTTGACTAGTGGGTGTGGTGAACATGTAGATCCCCTGCTTTCAATACCCAGTGATTTTTGGCCAAGTCTGGAGTGCACTCAGGAATCTGCATCTTTAAAATGAGTGGACTCTTTTGTCCAGAAAATTCTGGTGCTGGTGGCCTGGGCCAGAATTGGAGAAATTTTGATAAGAATGAAGTATCAAATAAGAACAATGAGGAGAATTGGAGGAATTTTGATAAGAATGAGGTATCAATGAGAACAATGAGGAGAATTGGAGGAATTTTGGTAAGAGTGAGGTATCAATGAGAACACCACTCCAAAGTGTTCCTTTCTTTCTCTCTTTTTGAATCTCTCTCTGCTTCCTTCCCTGGTTAGTGTTTCTTCCTTGGTCTTTCTCCTTCTCCCCTTAGATTCCTCCATTTTTCCTTCTCCTCATTTTCTTCTCCTCTTCCCTGTCTAACATATTTGTACATTTGGATAATAATAGGTGCTAATAATTACAGTATCAAAATAATAGGAATCATTTGTTGGTGCTCACTTCACTACTTGTGTTGAGTGTTTTTCACATATAAACTCATTTAATTCTAGGAACCATCTCATGAGCAAGTTGTAATCTCCACTTCTCAGAAAGAAGCTTAGTGCAATTCATTAATTTTCCTAAAGTTACATAAATGGCGAGAAATAGAACCAAGTAATCAGGCACCAGGAGGAGAAAACAGAGCTACCCTCTCTTGGAAAACTGAGCAGAATCAACAGAAAAAGAGGGAGATGATAAAATATATGAACTCAGTTATACTACTTCGAGGCAGTCTAATAGACTCAATGGGTATCTTATTCTGTTCGGGCTGCTATAACAAAATACTTTAGGCTGAGTTATCTATAAGCAACAGAATTTTATTGCTCACAGTTCTGAAAACTGGAGATTTCAAAAATCAAGGTGCCAGTAGATTCCATGTCTTTTAGGAGCTTGCTCTCTGCTTCATAGATGGTACATTCTTACTTTGTCTTTACATGGTAGAAGGGGTCACGAGGGCCTCTGTATAAAGGCATTAATCTCATTCATGAGAGCAGAGCCCTCACATCCTAATTGCCTCCTAAACACTCCACCTCTTAATAGTATTGCACAGGGAATTTAGTTTCAAAATATGAATTTTGGGGGGACACAAACGTTAAGACCATACCAATGACTCAGCACGGTTCTTAAAAAAAAAAATAAAAACAGAAACAGACTTGGGTTCAGTGACTGGTCCATGCATGCTGCACTGGAACCCACCCATCCTGTACCGCCATGCCCTAGATTTATTTACTCTGATGTTTCTTTGTGAAACTTGTGGTTTTTGATTTGTGATTCTCACCCTTGCCTTGTCCATGGCCAAGGAGACAGTCCACATATGACCTGGTCTTCCTCATAGTACCTATATAAGACACCTCTCATGTTTTAAAGTAATTATTGTTGGAGCATGCTTTAAAAATACGGCTGTGTTAATTTGCTTGATGGGTCACTGAACGGATAAGAAGTAGAATAGAGCCTGAAGGTTTGAGGCTTGAACATCCTGTGCCCCTGATTTCCTTTCAGTTAGATGAATCATGGCCTGGCTGAGAACAAAGGACTCATCTGACTGGTGGGAATGAGGATGTTTTTAGGTTCATAAAATTTTTAGCAAATCTATTTTAATGTTTGGGGCTTTAAAATTTTGCACTTAGTCAAGAAATTATTTTGGATGAGTATTAGATACTGCTCTGGCTGAGTAACTCAAATATATGTAGAATAATATTTTGCATCATCTTGGTAGCAGAAGAGCAAGGAACCTTCCAGGGAATAGAAAAATGGCTACAAACAGAGGTTACTTGTGCTAGGGAAAGGCACAAAACTGAAAAATTGGAGACTATTTTGAAGGTAGTGAGCAACAACATGAATGAAGAAGACTACTGAAATGGAGCTTTAGGGATGTATGGAAATAGAGCTTGGGGGGGTTCTACTCTTATGTGGTCAGGAAGACAGATGGCCCAAATCATGAATTGACACAAGGGCCATTCAGGGATAAGAGCTGGAGTTAAAAAGCCCATTCCCAACATTGATAAATGACCCTTATCTCACCAATGAGGATGTCATGTTGTCCTGGTTTTATGAAACCAACAGAAATAGTTGTTCTAAATGGACAACAACCACAAAAATATAGTAATTAATTCTTCTCTAGTAACTTCAAGTGTGGGCCTGTGGGGATGAACAAACAGGCCGGCTCCATCTGGCACTGTAAAACTATCCCAGAGTAAGCAGAAGCTGAGCTCACCAGTCCAGGCTGCCTTCTGAGCTGCTGCATTTTATGAGGTTATTCACTTTTTTTCCAAAGGCAGTGTCCTGTTCCCTTGTGATCAAACAGTCCGAAGACACAAAAGTGAATCTGAGTATTTATTTAGAGTTTTAAATCTTTATCTTGTAACTTATTTGGAATTGAAGCTAAAGAATAGGAAAACCAACTAGATTAAAAAAAATACCTATATATCAGTGACTGTACTCTGCAGCCTCTTCTCGTAGAACGGTATCAGAGGAAAAGAGCTTTACATGCATTATGAAGTACTTATGGAGAAACATTGTTTTGGGTACTTGGAAAAAGTTGAGTTGGGGTATGTATATGAATGGTTGGATTTAATATGTTTCTTCGATTGATTAAAGATTATCCACAGGCAAGATGAACAACTGTTGGATCTGACATAAGAGTAAGTGTGGTGTTTTTGAAAGTGATAACTGCTACATCACATATAAAAATGGGAAAGCAGGAAAGCACAAGAGAGTGAACACCCTTTTGAGAGAGGAGGAAGGAAGAAACCAGTCAGGCAGGGAGTTAGGGTGGGTCTTTGGTAACCCAGATAAGAGCAAGCCCATGTCTTTGAATGGAAACACCTATTCTGTAAACCCAGATGAACAAATGCCACTCCTTTTTTGGACACATTTCTCTCTACTTGGTACATGCCTTTATCTCTTACTTCTCACTTATTTTACATATGCCTACCTTTCTATGTTTAGCTGTGAGCTGAATCTTCATTACATAGGGTGCATCATCACTTCAGCCCCTGATTGGTTCTGGGCCAAACCTTCATTTCAGCCCCCAGTTGGTTCTTTTCACTGTAATATCTCTTTCTAAGTGGTGCTTTCTCCAAGACCACCTGCAGACCAGTCAGCACACTCTTCCCACTTCCCAGTCCATAAAAACCCAAAACTTTGCCCCAGAGCTGGTAACCCTCTTTCGGGTCCCCTCTCCATGCTTAGAGATTTTCTGTTGCATAATAAATCCAAGTCTGTTGTACTCACTCTCCAGAGTCCGCGTGCCTTATTCTTCTTGGTCATGGAACAAGGACCCAGAGCTCGCTGGCTGGCCGTGGGAGTAATACAGCTATAACACTCCCACTCACTCACCAAACAACAGGGATGAAAAAGCCGCAACACTGTCATTTAGAAAGAAGAGGCCAGTACTCATATCCAAGTTCTGCCATGGCTACTAAATTTAGCCATTCTGAGCTTTTCTAAGAAAATCTACCAAAGAGGAGTGATAACCCCAGTCTTACTAATATCATTGTATCCTAAGGCTACAATGCTAAGGAAAAGCATATCCTACCCTTGCCTTTGCGGGTTTACAATGCAATGGGAAGAAGGAGAAATATAATGATTAAATAATTTAATGAATGACTTTAAAATTACAGATCTGATAAGTGCTATGAAGAAAAGGGACATGGGGAACATAGCAGAAGGATCTGAGGATGTGCTATTCAAGACAGAATCTACTAATAAGGCGGAGGGTGAGGAAAGGGAGTTGTTAGGTTTTATAACAAAAAAAACTGATGTACTGGTGGCCAAGGGTATACAGTGTGTCCAAGGAGTAACAGAATGTGACAGGGAGGGAGGAGAACATAGGTCAAGTCGAGGTTTGTGAAGGTGGACAGGAGACAGACCATGCCAGTCTGTCTGTCCAAAAAGACCATGATGATCATTTGATTTTTGTCCGTTTTTGTTTTTTTGTTTTGTTTTGTTTTTTGAGGTAGAGTCTTACTCTTTCTCCCAGGCTGGAGTGCCACGGCATGATCTTGGCTCACTGCAGCCTCTGTTTCCCAGGTTCAAGCGTTTCTCATGCCTCAGCCTCCCGAGTAGCTGGGATTAGAGGTGCCTGTCACCATGCCTGGCTAGTTTTGTATTTTTAATAGTTTTAGAAACATGGGGTTTCACCATGTTGGACAGGCTATTCTTGACCTCCTGACCTCAAGTGATCCACCCGCTTCAGTCTCCCAAAGTGCTGGGAATACGGGTATGAGCCACCACACCGAGCTAATTTTTGTGGTCTTAGTAGAGATGGGGTTCTACCACGTTGGCCAGGCTGGTTTCAAACTTCTGACCTCAAGCGATCTGCCCTCTTTGCCTCCCAAAGTGCTGGGATTACAGGCATGAGCCACCATGCCCGGCCCATTTTGTCTTTGTTCTAAGACAAGCATGAGCTTGGCTTGCTTAGGCCACCATTCAGGAAAAGCTCACTCTGGCTGGGCATGGAGAACTGATTGGAGGAAGAAAGTATAGATGAGGTAGGCCACTCCAGGAGATCACAAGAGCTGACAATAGTTTCGATCAGGAAAGTTTTGATGACCGTGAAGAAAACCAAATGGATTCAAGAAGTATTTAGGAGGCAAAATGGCAGACTCAGAGTGGGTCAGACACGGGGATAAATGGGCGAATGTATCAGAGAGCTCCCCCATTTCAGGGTGGCATGACTGGAGATGTAGCAATGTTGTTCCTGACATGGGAAGTCTTGGAGGAGGGAGGACAGGAGTTCCGTTTGGGATGTTTTCAGTTTGAGGTGTTATGAGGCATCAGATGTATGTGGTGGGATACATATGTCTGGTTATTGGAAAAGGGGTCAAGCCTGAATCTGAAATGGTGAATTACTAGCTGTATTTATTAGTCAGGGTTCTCCAGATAAATAGAACTTATAGGTATATTGGTATACCTATGTGATACATAGTATAATATGTATTGTATATTAAATTATATTTCCTATAGGATACATATTATATTGTATAACATATAAAGCATCTATTATATATTTTATTATATATTGCATATATATTGAGAGAGAAAGATTTTTAAGGAATTGGGCCATGTGATTGTAGGAGCTGGCAAGTTTGAAATCTGTAACCCTGCGGGCTGGAAACTCAGGTAGGGTTTCTACGTTGCAGCCCTAAGGAAGATTCCTTCTTCTTCAGGAAACCTCAGTATTTGCACTTCAGACCTTCAACTGACTGGACAAATCCCACCCACTTTATGGAGAGTAATCTGCTTTACTCAAAACCTACTGATTTAAATATTAATTACATCTAAAAAATACCTTCAGCACCGTATCTACACTAGTGATTGAACAAACAACAGTGCACCATAGCCTAGCCAAGCTGACACACAAAATTAACCCTTACACCAGTTAGAGCAAAATTTTGGTGACATTTCTATTTTTTTTTGAGACGGAGTCTCGCTCTGTTGCACAGGCTGGAGTGGCGCCATCAAGGCTAACTACAAGCTCCGCCTCCTGGGTTCACGCCATTTTCCTGCCTCAGCCTCCCAAGTAGCTGGGACTATAGGCGCCCGCCACCACACCTGGCTATTGGTAAATAAGTCATGTGATAGTAGGTACTGAAGATTAAAACAAAATCCAGGGGGGCACCCTTCCAGGCTTTGTGAAATTCAGTGGGGGAGACAAACCTCTAACGACAGTGCAGGAGGTTCAGTGCTAGAGCCCTTGGGGGTCCTGTGAGCTGAGAGAAGGCACCTCTAAACCGGAATTGGAGGTGGGGGACAGTTTCCTAAGGGTGGTAGTCAAGGGAGGAAAGAGACATTTGAAGATTGCTTCTGGATCATGGAGAAAGAAGAATAGAGATTTGTTCTGAATTATGGTAATTAACTAGGTTCATTAGGGAAGTAAGACATATTTATAGAGAACTTGCCATTGTTAAGTGGTTCAACTTATTGTGAGAGGAAGAGACAGTGTCCCAAACATGCGAATACATATACTAACAACATGAAACTCTTCTGTCTTTACATGTATTATTCTAACAGTTTTATAATCATAATTTGTCTCTGGAATTCTGAAAATCTGAAAACTAAAGGCCACTTTAACCTTGCCTTTGGAAGTCAGAATTATTTCTTTAGAGTCATGCCTTACCAAAGGGCACCTCTACAGAATATGTTTAACATTGATATAGAGGCTCAAAACCATACAGACCATCTTGCCTTGGCTTCTGGGTTCTTCTCTCTGCTTCAAGTTAGTACCACAAGCTTTTTATTCATAACAAAACCACAAGGTTTTTATTCAAGACACTCAGTTTCAAATTCAGGCAGCCTGCCTTCACTCAGATAACAATCCTCGGAGCATGAACCACTATTGTGCGAATTTTAAAGAGGCATAGGGAAGGACAAAGCAAACAGGTGGGGATTGTCCTGTGATGGTGGCATTTGAGGACTGCCCCTTTGATGGCTGCTATCAGGCACGGTGCAGAGCTGGGCAGGCTCCAATGCGCTTGGTGTAGTGCATTCTTGAGATAACATCACCGGTAGGAATGAGGACCATGGCTGGTCTTGCTACTGAGTTTTTTCCAGCTGAGCAAAATGTTTAACAGAGAAGTTGAAAGCCTGCAGACTAAAGAACCATAAAATGACGGTCTGTTTATGTTTTGATGATTTACTTAGCCTATTTTTCCCCTCCTGTTAGTGCTGCAGGTTTTAGAGAACTTATGTCTGATGGTTTATCAGGCATAGTTTTACCTTTATTGTATAACTAATCACTTTCCACATATCTGGGAGACTCTTTCCCTTTCATCATCATCACCTTGATACTAAAATATGTTTGATTTAGTGTCTTTATTAGGACTGTCTGACAACAGTTATTTTCCCTCACCACCTATGATTAGCTGGCATTATGTAGTTGGGCACCTGCAGTGCATGTCAGGGTCCAGCTATGTGAATTTCTCTCTTTCCCTCTTCACCAGGCAAGACACTGTCATCAATCAAAAGTTGACTAAATTTACTCATGTTACTGCTGGCAAATAATTCCCCTTCCCACTTTATAATAGTCTAATTCCATTTCTTACAAACACAAAAAGATGAGGAATTTAGCCACATTACCAATTTTCAGAGCATGGAAATAAACATTTTTTGAAATGGGATAGCAAGAAAGAGAATTCTAAGGATCATTCTTATCTGAAAGGAACCAACTGCAAAATCATGGCAAACCACATTTGTAAGAAAAAAAAAACCCTCAGCATATTGCTGAATGAAGTTCTATAGGAATTCTGACATGCCAAGGACTCTTCCCACAGTTTTTCCTGCTCTCAGTTGTGAAATTCTCCATAGTTGAGAAACCCCATCTGTACCAAAAATACAAAATTAGCTGGGCATGGTGGTGCATGCCTGTCATCCCAGCTGCTAGGGAGGCTGAGGCAGGAGAATTGCTTGAACCCAGTAAGGGAGGTTGTGGTGAGCCAAGATGGTGCCATTGCACTCCAGCCTGGGCAACAAGAGTAAAACTCGGTCTCAAAAAAAAAAAATTCTCCATAGTTTATTTCATTGTCTGCTTTTCAGTAACCCAAGTAACTCACAGGGTCTTGTATTTTTTCTTTGTTTAAAATATCAATGTTGCAAAAAAAAAAAAAAAAAAAAGCAGGGGCACCAGGATGCTCTGATTATATTGTAACTGGTTCACCTTTAAAAGTCTTTGTACTCTTTAAAGAAGTCTGAATGTCTCAGAAATTTCTAGAAAATCTTATTGCTCACTTAGGGTATTTTTTCTCCAGCATAGACCTTGATATCATAGTCATTAATGGCCTTATCTTTTTTTCACCTTTGGCACTTAATTGATTAGAAGCTTCCCAGAAACATCCATCAGCACCCCCAAGAGGAAGATGTCTGAGCCCCCAGAGAATCAATACATGGAGATCTCCAGAGGTTTTCCACGGGGTAGAAACATCGACAAGGACTTCGGAAACACACCACTTGAATACCTTCAAGGTGAAGCTTTTTAAAAATTTTTCTTTTTCCTAGGCTGCTTTTCTTCTTATTTTTGCAAGAAAGTAAAGCAAGAGAAAGAATATTTGCCTTTGTCTCTGCTTCATGACTTTTCATATAATGATTAAAGTTCTAGCATGTATTAGTGCTTGTTATTATTAAAATGTCTTCCTCACAACTAAACCTACAGCTAACATGTGGCCTTTTTGAAAGATATCACAATAAAGCTTATAGAAGAAAGCATAGGAAAATATTTTCATGACCTTGGGGTAGGCAAAAATTTTCTATAATTGGACACAAAAAGCACTAGCTTTAAATGAAAAAGTTGATAAACTGAACTACATTAAGAAGTTCTGTCCACCAGTAAACATCATTGAGAAAATGAAAAGGCAAAATACAGCGTGGAAGAAGTCATTTGCAATGCATTTATCTGCCAAAGGACCTATACCTAAACTGTGTAAAGAATTCCTACAAAACAGTAAAAAAAAGAAGAATCTTTAAAAGTGCACAGACCCTTTATAAAAAGACATTCAAATGATCAATAAATGTGAAAATATGTTCAATGTCTTTTATTCATTGATAAAACAATAAATATAAAAATAATAAAAGCATAACATTATATAATCTATATGCCTACCAGAATGGCTAAAATAAAAATCATACTAATAAAAATCATACTAAAAACATTCAAATGTTGGTAAGGAAATGGAGCAACTGGAATTCTCATACACTGCTGAGAGGAATGTCAATCAGTATAATCTCTTTGAAAACTGTCAATAGCCCTTAAAGTTAAATAATTGCATATCCTACAGTCCAGCCCTTTTTCTTCAGGTGTGTATATATCTCTTCACCAAAAGACATGGATACAAATGTTCTTAGAAGCATTATTTCTGATAGCCCCAAACTGAAAACAACTCAAATGTGTATCAACACTACAAGGGATAAATTGTGGTAAATTTATTTAATGGAACATCATACAATAATGAAAAAGAACAAAGCATTTCTACAACACAATGCTGATCAACTTCACATACATTATGATGAGTGAGAGAAGTCAGATAAAAAAGAGTACATAATTGTATGTTCTCCTTTATATCAAGTCCCAAAACAGGCAAACCTAATTCTATTTTTTTTTTTTTTTTTTGAGACAGAGTCTCGCTCTATGACCCAGGCTGGAATGCAGTGGCCCGATCTCCGCTCACTGCAATCTCCACCGCCCGGGTTCAAGCAATTTCCTGCCTCAGCCTCCCGAGTAGCTGGGATTACAGATGCCTGCCACCACACTTGGCTAATTTTTGTATTTTCAGTAGAGACGGGGTTTCACCATCTTGGCCAGTCTGGTCTTGAACTCCTGACCTTGTGATCCACCAAGCTTGGCTTCCCAAAGTGCTGGGATTACAGGTGTGAGCCATCATGCCCAGCCGCAAACATAATTCTTAATGTTAGACGTCAAGGTAGTGGGTATACTTTGTGGAGTAGCAACTATAAGGGTACTGTGGGGGTTTGAAGTTATAGTAACCTTTCAGTTGTTGAATCTCATGGAGTTAGGGGAAGAGAAAAATAAACTCAAAGATAAAAAGTCATGACATTTTTTGAATCCTGCAGAGATATACTATGGAAGAAAATGTCAACTAATATTTACATTTTTTAAAAAAGCTAATTAAGTCAAGATGTTTATTTTTTATGAGAACAGAAGGCACAATTAGGCAGAAAAGAAGCATTTTATAATAAAATTGTCTAATGTTTCCCTGGAAATCATTGAATGGCAAGCAAAGATCAACATCTAGACTTACAGCATGAGGCTGAGTCTCTTAGATTCTATGTGGAAGAGACTTCTTGGTCCTGTTCCTGAGCTCACTAGATTTGTTGCTCCCCAAAATTTAGACTTGTCAACATTTCTTCTAATGCTTCAGGTCATTTTCCAAGTGACGTGAGAAACAGTTATTCACAGAGCAAGGTTTTTCTGGCATACAACTGAACAGATCTCAAGATCTTTTACAAGGCCAAATTTTGAGGGCATCATGATTGATCATCTATGACAGGGCAGAGGGAAGAGACCACTGCGACTCCCAGATTTCTGGGTTGGCCATTCTAGTGGATGGAGGTATCCTACACCAAGGCAGAAAACAGGAAGAGCGGGAAAGACTTGCAGGCTACGAGAGCATGCTATTGTACTGAGTCTGCATTGTGGGTGCCTGTAGCCAAGTTGGTTTGGAATCTCTAGAGAGTGATTTGGGTTTGTGCTACAGAATATGGAGTAGTCAGTAAATTGGTAAGTCTTAATACTGCTAATACGACGAAATACGTTATTGTTACATTTACACATTGTTTTTAAAAATATTTTCTGTGGCAACGAGTGAACTACAAGTTAGCAGATTCAGTGTCCTAACTTGGCCCCCAAGCTTCATAAACTTTCAATGAAGAACTGTGGATTTTCATTTACTTTCATGGTAGGTGATTTATCTTAGAAATATCTTAAAAGGA